>NC_000012.12:91210128-91835128 GCF_000001405.40 Homo sapiens
TAGTCCAAGCTATTTGGGAGGCTGAGAAGGGAGGATTGCTTAAGCCTTGGAATTGGAGGCTGCAGTGAGCTATGATTGTGCTGCTACACTCCAGACTGGGCAACAGAACAAGACTTCATCTGTGGAAAAACAAAACAAGAGGAAGTTGTTGATCATCCAGGAACCTGCAACAGTGGCAAACAAAGACCATCTCTGCAGGGGAAAAGGGAAGGGACAAGGGTTATCAGAATCCAGGGAAAGCTGTAATCTTAGAGGCAGGTGGTGTCACTGAGTAAGTGCTGGTAACAATGGAGTAAGTGCTGGTAACAAAGCTTGATATAATTTGAATCACAGTTGCTGGGAAGAGGAGGTTGAGGCCAATAAATTCCCCCTCTGGCCCTGTTACTTCTTCACAGTGCATCCCATTTTTTAGACCCAATGGAAGCCAGAGACTAAGAAAGCACCCTGACAAAATCCAGAGAGGTCAGCCCTCAGGGCAGAGGACAACACAGATATTAGAATGAAATGATTAGTAGGAGCAAGGAGAGAATAGCCAGCGTGGTTTTGGATTTAGCAGTTTTCTCTTGGTCTCACATCTTCCCATGCATGGATTGGGACAATCTGGGCCTGCTTGCCAAGCAAGCCCTTGCTCTATCCTGTCCAGGATGCAGCTGTGACCTCCACTCAGCCTCATTACTTGGGACACCAGGACTCTCTCTTAACCACATGGAATTATTCTTTGAAGTGAGGGGCCTTAGGGTCACAAGTCTACGCAGCTTCCTTGTACTGAAAATCTTCTCAGCCTGGCCTGACAGTGGAAAACCATTGCCAAATGTGCTTTGATGTAAAGACAAGGCATAGGCCTACTTGTGTGATTCTCTTGTGTCATTTCTGATACCAGCAACTCTGAGACCAGCATCCAAAACATCATCACATTCTCCTCTCTACAGTCTCTCCCAAAGATATATTTTTGGGAACACAAGTAGTATTTAATCTCTTTTTGGGGGTCTTTAATAGAAAACTCTGAATATAATAGGAAACATTTATGAAATATAAAATATTTGTCAATAGTTTCTCTCTGTATCAGTAAATTTTATTTACAATCTCCTTCTATGTGAAATGGTTGGTACATTTAAATTGTTTCATCCACCTAAAAATTTCAGATGGAACAAGATAGTGTCATGGTATGTGATTAAACAGAAAACACATTTTCATAACATCTCTTCTTCATTGCTTTAGAGGCAGCTAAGTATAATTTGACGCAGAAGATTGAAGTAGATTTTTAAGTCAACTATTCGCTAGTTCAGAGAGTGCATTTCACTTCTTTGAGTGGTCATGCTTTCACTGGTAACATCATAATACTAATACTTACCTTGATCTAGAGATAAAATTGCATAACATATAATACTTTTTATGTAAAATTTATTTGGTATGCTCGTTCTATTTTTTCTCTCTTTCTCTTTCTCTCTTTTTCTTTCCTTCTTTTTCTGGCAACATGAACCCTGCCATCTTTTATCTCAAGGAAGACCTGGAGTTTTGGTCATGAGTTATCTGTTGAATAGCTTTGAGGCTTTGAAGAAGATGCATACTACTAGAAGATATATTTTTTTAAAGCATATTGAATAAAATACATTTTCCTTTCGTTTCTAACTGTGAAATTTACTTAACTATGGTATGCATACTAATTCCTTTTTGAGATATGCTTTTTACAGCTCCTTGCTAAGTCAGTAAAGAATGTTATTATTTCAAATAATTTGACTGATTACAGTAAATGACGTTATGCTGTTAGTATAACTTTAATATTTTACCCTCATCATAGAAGAAAACTGATATAATATACCAGGTGGAAATCTACTTACTTCTTGGGCTTCAGGAATGCAAATAAAATAGCTATGTAATAATAAGGTCCAGCTGCACTTTGGGGTTTAGCAGAGGCCCCAGTTGGGATATGACATCTGAAAGATTTTTCACAGCATATTTTTCCAGCTGAAATTTGTCATGTCCAGATACAGGATCTGCCAAATTACAAAACTTTACACAGATGCTAGATTTTGAAAAGAAGAGATTTATACAAGTTATGAATTCTTCAGTAAATGCCACTCCCTAACCCCCTCCAAGAAAGCAGTCCAGCAACTGAAAGAAGTATTGTTCAATGAACATACAAAATAAGCAGATTATACCTTGCTCTAAGAATTCGTCTTTATTTTTCATATGAAACATACCAAAAGCTCCTGATAGAAGGTATTGCATATATGAGTGCATATATATATATATATATATATACACATATATATATATACACACATGCGTGCATGCATGTGTTTGTGTGCCTATTTTCAAAATATGGATGATATTAAAAAGACCAAAAACATTTAGGAAATGCCCATTTATATTTTCACCATTGTTCAACAAACCTTATGCTTGGTGATTCTACATCATTGACTCTTTCATACCACCAGATCAGTCAATTGGTGTAGTGAAAAGTGACAAACTGAGTCATGTGAACTTAGTTAAATCTACATTCTTCCACTTGCTTGCTTTGTGGCCATGGAGACCATCACTCAGCTGTATGGAGTTAAGCTTTTAAAATGAAACAAGATATATAGAGAATCTTTAAGAACACTTTAAATTCCGAAATGTGTTGGGACTTATTATTCTAATTTTAGAATTCAATTACTCTTGGCTTACATTAACAAAAAAAAAGTCTCTAAATAATTTGTTCAAATTTTTGTGGACTTCATTTTATTTTTTTTTTTAAGAGGGAGTCTCGCTCTGTCACCAGGCTGGAGTGCGGTGCCACCATCTCAGCTCAGTGCAACCTCCACCTCCCTGGTTCAAGGGATTCTCCTGCCTCAGTCTCCCGATTAATTGGGACTATAGGTGTGCGCCACCACGCTCAGTTATTTTTTGTATTTTTAGTAGAGATCAGATTTCACCATGTTGGCTGGGATGGTCTCCATCTCTTGACCTTGTGATCTGCTCGCCTTGGCCTCCCAAAGTGCTGGGATTACAGGCGTGCTCCACCACACCCGGCCTGGACTTCATATTTTTAAAAATTTACTTTAGATTCAGGAGGTACATGTACTTGTTTGTTACATGGATATTACATGCATAATGGTGGGAATTGGGCTTCTAGTGTATCCACCACCCAAATATTGAACACTGTACCCAATAGACAATTTTTCAACAATCAACCCTCCTCCAACCCTTCTCCATTTTGGAGTCCCCAGGTTCTATTATCTCAACCTTTATGTCCATGCATACTCATTGTTTAGATCTCACTTATAGGTAAGACCATGCAGTATTTTATCTTCTTCTTCTGAGTTAGTTTACTTAGGATAATGGTCTGCAGTTACATCCTACAAAGGACATGATTTCATTCTTTTTTATGGCTGCATAGTATTCCACAGCATAAATATTACCACATTTTCTTTAAGCAGCCACTGGTGGACACTTAGGGTGGTTCCATGACTTTACTACTGTGAATAGTGCTTTTTATAAACATACGAGTGCAAGTACCTTTTTAGTATAATGATTTCTTTTCCTTTGGGTAAATATCAAGTAGTGAATTGTTGGGTTAAATAGTAGTTCTATTTTTAGTTATTTGAGATATCTCCTTACTGTTTTTCATAGTGGTTGAACTAATTTACATGCCTACCAACAGTTTATAAGCGTTCTCTTTTCTCCACATCCACGCCAACATCTTTTGTTATTTGCCTTTTTAATAATAGTCATTCTGACTGGCATAAGATCATATCTCAGTGTGGTTTTAATTTGCATGTATCTGATGATTATTGGTGTTGAGCATTTTTCGTGTGTTTGCTGGCTGCTTGTATTTGTTCTTTTGAGAAATGCCTGTTCATGTCCTGTGCCCAGTTTTTAATGTTTTTTTATTGTTGATTTGTTTGCATACCTTGTAGTTTCTGAATATTAGTTCTTTGTCAGAGTTAACAGACAACCTACAGAATGGGAGACAATATTTGGACATCTTTTTTTTAGCGAAGTCATAGATCACAGAAAAATTGTGTATAGAGTACAGAAAATATATTCTGTACATATTACTATATATTCTCTTCCCACATAGTTTCTCCTGTTATTAACAAGGGGCTTGATGAATGCATAACACCATGCATCCACCATTACAGTATCATACATAATAGTTTGAACATCTTAAAAATGCCCCGTGCATAGGTAAAACTATCTCCACTTACTCATTCCTGTTTCCCTCTCCCTGAATCTTTGGACACCACTGATCTTTTTACCATCTCTGTAGTTTTTTGTCTATCACAGAGTGCCATATGGTTGGAATCATTTGGAATATAGCCTTTACAGACTGGTTTCTTTCTCTTAGCAATATACATTTAAGGCTCTTCCATTTCTTTTTGTGGCTGATAGCTCATTTCTTTTTATTGTTGAATGATATTCAGTTGTATGGATATATGATATTTTGTGTAACCATTATCCTACTGAAGGACATTTGGTTGCTTCCAATATTTAGCAATTATGAATAAAACTGATTTACAAATTATAGGCAGGTTTTTGTGTAGACAAAAATTTAACTCATTTGGGTAAGTACATAGAAGAATGATTGCTGGATTGCATGTGAAGCTTGTGCTTCATTTTGTAAGAGACTGTCAAACTGTCTTGGGAAGTTGACATATCCTTCTGTATTTCCACCAGCAATGAATGCAAATTTCTGTAAACACATCTTCATTTTAAGAAATACAATCTAAATAAAGTCATTCAAAATAGCTTCTGAGTATGATAGTTTAATAAACATCAATTAAATTATACTTACTTCATGTTACAGAAATTCTTGTTTATACAAGTAAAAGGCATTTGATATACGTCTCCTTGTATTGTTTTGCAGTCTTCACCATCCATTAAAATAAATATCTAAGACATTCCATTTACATGTGTATGTTTTTGCATAAGATCCTTTAAGAATACTTAGCTAAATTTGATAATGCTTAATCCATTTCATGTATATTTATATTACTATAAATTATGTATATGATTGGTGAGTCTCTGAATTTCTATACTTTTGAGATAATCATAAATCATGTTGTTATTATTTAATCTCTGTACTTGGCCTATACTTGGTATGAATATTTTCTCATGATCAGATATGTCTTAGAGAGATTCAAGAATTATAGCACTTAGGATTCCATTTAGTAAGAAATTGAATTTTTTTTAGCATAAAACCCTTTTACAATATAGCCCATGATCTCCTCTGTATCTTCATTTATTTCCACCCATCCTCATACTAAATGCTCCAGATAAAAAGAACTACTTAATAATCTCCACTTACAGTATATTTGCTTTAGTCTCTAAGTTCTAGAGGCCAGAAGTATACAGTGGATTTGAATCTGGGTCCTGCAGTCAAAGAGCTTGTTTTGAGTTCCCTGATTCGTAACTTTGATATTTGAAATTGGGTAAGTTATTTCACTTTTATCAGCCTCAATTTCCCCATTTATAAGAAGTAGTTCATAAAATTGTTGTAGAGATTAAATGACACAGTATCTGCAAATACTTCAGCACAGCAAAGACGTAAACACAATACATATTGAGTATTATAATTATTAATAGCAGACCTGTTTCTTTTGACTGACTGCTTTTCTCTTTCTTTGCCTCAGTTATTTAAAAAAGACACCTCAAGTATTATTTCCTTCTAAGACATTTTCCTTAGAAACCCTTCATTAACAGGCTGAGTTCTTGCAAGGTGGATCCTTCTCTTTCCAATATCCTAAAACTCATTTCCCTTTTATTATTTTATTTTTAATTGTATTTTGTCTCTGCCACTAACATGTAAATTCCTTGATGTTACAGACTCTGTGTTACTCCTTTGTTATGGCTAGCACCAGGCATATAGTCAGTGTATCCCTTAGGAATCTTCAGTAAAAATAACAGAATGCTTGACTCATTCTCAGGCTTAAATAGCAGAACTTAATGGAGCAAGTAACTGAAGACCAGAGGCACGTCAGATTTTAGGTAATATGTAACCCAATGTTGTGATGACATCACAAAAGACTCAATTCCTTTCCAAGTCTCCTTGGCACCTTTCTCAGTGCTCTTTCAATCTAAGGCTTCTTTCTCTTGGGGTTACAAGATGGCCGCTGTCATCTGCCAGTGGTTAAAAGACTTTGCATTCATAGTAAGCAGAAGGAGAATTTTCTTTTTTTTCTGAGGAGCTCTCTTGGGAGAATAAGAAAGTTCTTTCTCAAAAACCCTCAGAAAACATCTCCTCCCATCACGTTGGCCTGATTTGGGTCATGTTCTCATCCCTGAAGCCAGGAACATGGGTTGTGCCTATTACATTAGTTCAGTTAGAACATACCTAAAACAGAAATTATCTTCCCCACATTTATAGGAGCTCCATAGAGAAAAGAAAATACTAGAATAAAAGTAGAATTACTATTACCGAGAAAAAGGAGGGACGAGTGTGCTAAATATAAGAACAATATCCTCTCTTTTCAAAGGCACAAAATAGGATCTGAAAATATCTTTGACCTGGATGTTATAGAGTCTATGAAAGAGGGTGATATACTAAAGCATGATTTGTCCCATTTTTATCTTTTTGAAATGAAATTTAAATTGTGTGCATGAGGGTTAGCCTTCAATATGTACAGTTTATGTTGTATATACTATTTGAATTTTAATATGAGCTTTATGAAAGCAGTGTCCTGCTTTATTTTGTTCACTGCTGAATCTCTAAGTCATACAACGGTGCCTGGCACATAACAGACATGCAATAAACATTTGGTAAATGAATTGATATTTCCAATGTTTGGGATTTACTAATGGAGAGACCACGAATGCGGAAGTTGGGGTAAAAAGAAATTACATTTGTTCTGTCTTATTATTGGGATGGCCAAAGCACTGTGTTTATGAGTAATTTACATGGCACTAAAAAACAGGGATCAAATAAAGACAATGTGTTCCAAAGAACTTGTTCAAATCATGTGAGCAGCTGCATCATAAGATGACTAATGAAGAAATTAGAAGCACTGAGGCAAGGACTTTAGACCTGTGTGATGGCAGAGAGCAGAGTTAACCCATGCTAGACTGTTCTTAGTACAGCAATCTGAATGTTAAAACCTAATGTTCAACATAGCACTCTTCTGCACAAATACTGGCAATGGCTCCTCATTTTCATTAAAAAATAAATAAATAAATAAACATCTCAAAATTCTTAAGAGGCACATGAGGCCATCAAGAACATTCTCCAACATCGTCACCACCACTGTAACTACTACTTCTTCTTTGTCTTCTTCTTCTTCCTCTTCCTCTTCTTCTTCTTCATTTTGTATTACTCGCACACTTATTCGCTCCTGCCTTCTCTTTGACTGAAATACTTTTCCCTTACATTGTGCAGTTGTTTCTTCAGTTACCTTTACAGAAGGTCTAACATGACCACCCAGTTTAACACTGCATCCTATCCCTCCCTTCCACCTTGATACTTAATACCCTTCACTGTATTCTACCTTTATTTCCATAGCATTTATTACCTTCTCACATACTATAGAATTCACATTTATTTTCATTTTATTTTCATTTCATTTTGTAACTTCCCTATCAAAAAGGAAGCCCCAATCAGGTAGTAGTTATTATTTGTTCACTTATTTGTTCTGAATGCATAGAACAGGACTTGGCCCATATAATAGTAACTTTGATATTTGAAATTGGGTAAGTTATTTCACTCTTTTAACCATTTATTCAAATCAGGAGTTCAGGCTTATCCTATAACAGTACCCAAAAAGGCAAATTTAATCTCCTTTATCTTTCCACATGCTATTAGCTTTCTAGGTCTCTTCTATGTTAGAAAACATTGCTGCCAAATAAAATGTATTTTGAACATATTTAATACTCGGATTGTTTCCCTGCATTTTAGTGAAATTCAACTGTCAAATGGAATTAAACAATGATATAATAGGTTAATTCATAACAAATTTTGGATTTCTGAACATTTGTCCAAGTTCCAGACTTAGAAACAATTTTGGGTAGAAGCTCAAATATATGTTTAATTACTTTATTGTATGATCTGTTATGTTTGAAACTTGAGTTTTTCTAGAAAGATCCTGGTAGGGCTTGGGGATTGTATGTTTGACTCTAGAATGGCACATGTCTTTTTCTGTATTACAGGTATCTCTAAAAACTTATGATCCTACATTTATTTTTTTAAATAGCACTAGCCAATAAATAATCCTTACTTTTATGGAATACTAATTTATAAAAACTGTTGCCCAAATAAGAGATACAATTTCTGCTTCCTGGTTTTTTTCTGATGGAAGCCTTTCTTTCTTTCTTTAAATTTTATTTTATTATTATTATACTTTAAGTTTTAGGGTACATGTGCACAACGTGCAGGTTTGTTACATATGTATACATGTGCCATGTTGGTGTGCTGCACCCATTAACTCGTCATTTAGCATTAGGTATATCTCCTAATGCTATCCCTTCCCCCTTCCCCCACCCCAAAACAGGCCCTGGTGTGTGATGTTCCCCTTCCTGTGTCCATGTGTTCTCATTGTTCAATTCCCACCTATGAGTGAGAACACGCGGTGTTTGGTTTTTTGTCCTTGCAATAGTTTGCTGAGAATGATGGTTTCCAGCTTTATCCATGTCCCTACAAAGGACATGAACTCATCGTTTTTTATGGCTGCATAGTATTCCTTTCTTTCTAAATTTATTAAATGATACTAATGATAGCTTCTTATTCAAAAACTTGTCAACTTTTTCATGATTGATGATTATTCACAAAATCAAGTTTTGTTATTTTGTTCTGCATAGTATTGTTCTACAGAGATTCATTCCCTGAAGACATTAAGTGTTTTGTTTTGTTTTATAGGATTCTTGTTTTTCCTTAGACTAGGCCACCATTTTTCTGGGTCTGGCTCTTGGACAGCCTCCTGTCTTCCCTGTGACATCCCATAGTTCTCAGAAATCTCTCACCTGAATTCATCCAAGCTTTGCTCCTCAACATGGCAAACTTTTAATTGTCTTATGTCACTAATCTATTTAATTCTTTTCCTCTTTAATTACCAAAATTTTTCTTATTCCTCATATAATTTACTCATTCCTTTACCTAACATTTCAATACATATTTGGAATAGAAAATATGTAGAGAAGTAATCATATTAAGAAGAGATCATACAAAAGTATTATTCATCTCTCCATGATACTTTATATATTCACATAATCATGTGTATACACATTTATTCTTTAACTCATGTAATATTTATTTTAGTAACAATTGAGAACTTGTTTTATGTCATGCACTAGGCACATGAAATACATTAGTGAAGAAGACGTATTTTACAGAAACTATGAAAGATAATACATGTTTGTAGTGTTATGCTACTTAGTTATGCAATTTGTCTCTGCTGGCCATGATGCTAGCGAGGGTGGCTCATTTTGTGGTAGGGGAAGCAATGGAACATACACTTCCCAGATGGCTTCACTCATATGGTTGCTTTATGGGGCTAGATTATCTTTATCACAGCACACAATGGTTTCAGGATACTTCAAAGCCTTATGTGGTGTGGAGCTTTCCCCAGAGCACCACAGCAGAATTTCCCATCTTTCTTAACCTTTAGACCAACACTGGCATGGCATGACTTCCTTCCACTAAGTCTTGGGTAATTTGTGACACAGCAATAGATGACTAATTTAGGATCTCTACTTCAGACTATTTCCTGCCAATTCCCAAGCTCACATTGCTGCTAGTCTCAGGACTCATTGACAATTTGGTGGCCCATAAAACTGAAGTCTGAAATAAGATAGACCTGATTTCTAGTTACAGATTGATAACTTTCTAGTCATGTGTCTTTGAGCAAGTCAGGCCAGTGGGCAGTTTCAAACAATCTATTTCTTCATCTCAAGAAAGGCCAATGATGTTTATTTCATTTGGATGCTGTGAGGATCAAATAAGACAGTAATAAATGTAAGCTCTGTTGTCATTTCTGTTCACATGATCACATGACCCTTTAGAAGAGTTTCTCTACCTGCTAAGTTGACAATAGAATTAGGGAGTGGAGTGCAAAAGCTGATGTGAGAAGACAAGTTATTACCTGCTCTTGAAACTCAGACAGGTCATGATAGTAGCTCGGAGAGAGAAGGATTAAAGTAAAATATATTGTAAATTTAAAAAGACAGAAATTCCCTTTGATGACATCCACAGACACATAAGTTTTTTATAACTTTTTTTATTTATAACTTTTTTTATTTATAACTTTTATATCCTTTTAACAAAATTCCACATCTCTAGGTTAAATATTTCTCTTTCTTTAAACATTTCTCATAAGCGATGTTGTGTTATTCTTTTGTAAATATATTTTAATCCATCTAAATCCTTCTAAATGAAGGTACTCAGAACTGAAAGAAATAGTCCAAGAATTTACCAACCAGTACAGAGTTGGACTGTGCCGCCCTAGGTTTACCTGTGGTACTGTCCTTAATGAAGATGGATATGATATCCTTTTGGTCATGAAATCATCTGATATTGAATGTTCTGATAACCAAAAAAGGGGCTAAGATATGACCCCTTATTTTGTGACAGTGAATTCAGTTGACTATACATGAGCAAAGGTGTCATAGTTATCCTTGATCAGTTTCACCTCATAACACATCCTATCTCAGTGCATTGGGATCTTTTTGTATATTTTTTGCTTACAGATTTTGTCCACAGACATATTTGTTCTTCTTTACAAATTCCGATTATTTTCAATCAACTTAACCTTATGAAATTTATTGCTAAATGCATGTAAGACTTTATCCATATCTAAATGGAAAGATAGAGATAGGTGTAATATAATCAGCATCAAAAATGTATTAGAACATATGTGAAAAATCATATCAATATGTCTAAACCAAATAACTAGATAGACATGATTCAAATTTGTTGTATTTATGTTTTTTTCATAGCATACACTGATCTGAAATTCATTAATTCATAAATTTGTGTGTGTGTACTATATACTCTGCTAGGTGCTGGGAATACAGCAATGGACAAGGCAGAGTAGGTGTGTGGCATTACAGGGTTAATAACAAGCAAACAATGACAACCCATGACATGAAGGTGATTCTATTTCACTGACTTATTTTTTTGCATGGATTCTACATGTGTAATCAATTTTAATTGTTAGATTTATTGAAACTTCATCATATTAAAATGAATTTCATAATATTTTGTTTTACCACCAAGATAAAACAATTTTTAAAAATAATTTTAGACTGCTTTTGAAATGCCATCAGCCTATTTCAGAATGTTTTCTTTTTACAGCACATGTATAATATTGGAAGTTTTTTCATTGATTTTATATTTATATAAAATATATAATCAATTTAAATCTAGCCTGTACCTCTTATTGTGCATCAGCATTTTTTAAATGTTGACATCATTATAATGGTTGCATAACTGCGGCTAGTAGAACTATTCCATTGCAAGTTCTATTTTATTTTTAAGTTGGTTATAATTTTGCCTTTGTGGTGCAGATAGATTATACCTGCACCAAGAGAAAGGTCACTGAAGATGCAGAGTGCATTCACTGGACTACACTGACCGAAAATATACTACTACAACTTAGTGTGTAAAACAAGATGACAAAGAGAGATTAAAGGTATTTGGTCACACGTGTCCCATGTTGTAGGGGATGTAACTGAGTTATGACTAAATTAAATGCCTTCTACAGGGTAGAGCGAAGACTCAGACTCAGACCTTCTGCCTTCTGTTCAGTGGTGTTTCTACCATTTAACATTTATACTAGAAATGCATAAAATTAAATAAGTGGACAGATAGAGATGAAACAAGATTGGCTGTGTGCTGCTCCTGGGTCACAGTTTCATGGGTTCATTATGCTATTCTCAACTTTTGTTTTTGAAATTTTCCAAATAAAAAATTCCATACAAAAAATTAAGACATAAGCACAAAGAGCTCATTTCTAATTTAGTATGCCATTATAATTTATAACATAGAGGTAACAGAACATAACATATTTTTGAAAAAAATAAGTACAGGTTACAAATATTTACCAATTAAAAACCCCCATAATCATTCCAGGATTAAGAAAGTAGAAGCTATTCTAAGAAACTGTATGCTATAAAGTCACCATTTCAACTTTTAAAGAAAGTTATTTTTGTTTTTCATGTTGGTGGAATTTCAATACTGTTAATAGTATTATTTATATAAAGTTTAATATATGGACATATGTGATTTTTTAATATCCCATATTGGTTTATTTTATGCTTAAGCTGCTAAAAGAACAATCCAACAGAGTTACCTAATTGGGACCCTATCTGGGCAAGAATAGAATGAATCCAAACAGATCAATAGAAAAGACATATTCGTTGAAAAGTAAATTAGAAGATATGACTTGTGATGTCTACAGATTTGGTACAATCTCATACAAAAACTTACAAGAACTGATGGCAAGTTGAATGGTTCTAAGGTTCTACATCTCTAAAGAAAGCTCGGGCTTTTAGGGACCCTAAATTACGCTAAGGCCACAAAGAATATTAATGCATTTTAGGAAGTTACTAGAAAAAAGATTTTAAAAAAAGAAGCTTTTGTATATTTTAACCAACTAAAAACTTTAATAAACAGAACTAATTATTCTCCATGAATTAGGGTTACTCAATTTGTTTCAGTATAACAATACTGTAGAAGTAAACATCTGACTCACACAAATCCCATGCTGATAATAGTCCTGAACACTGATAACAGTAACAGAGTTTTCCTCATGTACCATCTGATGTCTATGGTAGAGAACAAAGGAATGGAAAAAGTTTTGCCAACGATTTTAAAGAAAGTGTATTACCGACATGTCTTTTTCCCAGAAAAAGGACTATTCTTGTGGTATAAGTCACCAGCAATTCATATTATTCTAATTACTCACTTTTAAGAACACGATGTGTCATGAAACCTGTGGCTGTAACTTTGCAGACTTATTTTTTCCCCAGAGTTTACAAAATGAGCAAAAATATACAAAGCCACTGAACATTACTGACTTTGACTTTCCAGAATTATTCTTCAGAACCACAAACCCTCTGTATGTCATCTGAAATGATCCAAAGGTTGCCTGCCAAGTATACACATCCCCAAATTCTCAGTCGCAAACACAGATATTTCATGAGAAGCCAAACCCGGGACAGCACTTCTGGGTTCTTTAGAACATGGAACTGCCTAGAATTGAAACTAATTTTTGCAGGGACTCCAAAACAGGTTACAGTTCTTTTACTCTTCTGGGTTCTCTTAACATTTGGGAAATAATTGTGTTTATTCATCCATTCTTTTATTCATTTTATTCATCTAACAAGTGCTTATCCAGTCCCTCTTCTATGCCAGGTGCAGATAATACAATGGAGATAAGGCAGAAATCAAAGACATTTGTCTTCATGGAATTTATATTCTGGTGGGTGTGGCAGAAAAATAAGCATGTGAGCAAATAAATAAACAAGATTTCAATTAGCAGTAGGTGAAAATGCAATCTCAACTCCCTTTGTATCAGTTGAGTGAACTTGATAATGTTTCTTAACCTTTTTGATATATTAATTTTCAAGATATCAATAAAGCAACATTGATCCTAGACTTTGTGTGAGGATTAAGCCAGATTATGCAGCAAAGTGCTTGAAACATAACCAATGCTTCACTTGCACGTTTGCATAGGATACGTGCTGAGATGTCTGACATGCTATTTGCAACATGGAAAAAAATGAAAATAACCCAAATTCTCTCAGAGGGAAATGGATTAATAATATATACTATATTTATTTGGTCGAATGAAGCCCAGCTGTTAAAAGACAAACCCTAGATTTTAAAAATATAATTTGAGTAAAAATAAAGTGGCAGAAAACATGTATTATGATGCTATGAACAGTGCAACATTCATGAACATATATGTATGTATGCAAAAATATTTTAATGGGACAGGAAAGAGGTATTAAATTCATGATAATGAATGTACGCTCAGGGAAGGAGGAGGCAATAGATAGAACTGGAAAGGTGCTAGAAAGATTCAAAGAATATGGCATCTTTATCTATAATGTGCTATTTTATATTAAAAATAAGGCACATTGAAAAATCAAATGAATGACAGAGAATGTGCTGGAGAGATAATATCAATTGCATGGATAACTGAGATTCTATATTTAAAAATTGTCTGTGAAAGGGAAACTTTCTGTACATTTGTGGCTGTCCTTTCTACATGGCCGTTACTTTAAGTTTGACAGTTCATTTTCCCTGGCTCAGCAAGCAAAGTCCTGTGGAATGAATACGCCATGGGCTTTCTTTAGCTCCTGTTTTGGGGGTAAAACACATTTACTTAGAATAATCAAGTATATTTTCTAAATAGTTCAGGTCTTTCTTTCTTTTTCTTTTTTTTTTTTTATTTTGTGTTTTGTTTATACATTTTTTTCAGCTAGGGACTTCTTCACATCTGGTCACATCTGGGATACAGAACAAAATTCCTGACCGCTGTTTTTGAGCTTAATTCAAGAAGTCAGTCTGTTCCAGGACATTGCCACAGAATAGTTGACAGGATCTTTCCCCTTCTTACATACTACAAAGACTTGATTGACTTTTACAGACAGCAAGTGGTTGTTTTTGGTGGGCTCTTTAAATTACTAAATACACACATTTGTTCAATGTTGTCAGCCTAATTTTTTTTCAGTTCTGATGGTTTTTAACTTTTACTGAATACTCACAGACTGTGCACATAGTCACTAAATGAGGTTAAGTTTTCATTTTCCATCTCATATAAATAGCTACTCAAGTAGATGTGGACTGGGATAGGTGTCCCCCAAACCAAAGCTATTTGGCAAAGATCTGACTTTTCTTTCACAAGCAGAATGAGAGGCTAACATCTTAATGTACCATATTCATTGCAAGAAAATTATATCGTGCTTTAAATATAAGTCATTAATCTCTCATTGCTGTTAAAAGTAATACTGAAATTAGGCAAATCAATCTTTTTTTTTTTTGGTGCAATATCTTTTCCTTGCTGGGTTCTTATCAATATCCAATGGAATACATTTTTTCTCTTTTGGAGGGACATTGCTTATATATATTTTTGATATATCTCAAAAGATTCAGCGAAAATAGGAATATCACTAGGGCATATTCATTTACTAAAGCAAGTTTATAATAATCTATCTAAGAGGAGTGAAAAACTCTTCTCTGTTTTCTTCCAATAACTATAAGACAGCTTCAGACTCCTGACTGTGGAACTGCTTGCAAAAGATTAAGGGCAATATTTAAAAGTATTAAGTTTATTTGCTTGCATGGTTTTTCATTCCACCTCCCCAAGTCACATTAGCCATGCCACACCCAAGACCTTAGTTTTGCAATCACTTAACTCCTGATGTAGCAATTAAGATTATAACAGCCTTGAAGAAGATTCCAGAGCCTTCTGAAACCTCAGTTTCAGACCCTAGTTTTGCAATCGCTTAACTCCTGATGTATCAGTTAAGATTATAAAAGCCTTGAAGAAGGTTCCAGTTCCTTCTGAAACCTCAGTCACACTTTAGTCACTGGAATAGAATTCACTATTAGAAAATAAGCAGAACTCTCTCTCTCTTAGCTCCTAGAACTTTTTAAAAAAATGTTCTATTGAACGCTCATTTCTATCTTGCTGACCCCATATTTTCTTAACTTTCAACATGACTTCTCTCATCAGGCCAAATGACTTTGCTTGTTCTTCCTTATAACTCTTTTGGTAATTCTTACATTCGTGCTATAAACCCTCATGGAATTCCCTCTTCATGATTTTCCAGTAATCCTGATTCAAGAGAATGTTTAAACCCATACCTCATAGAAAATCCTAAATCTTCCTCACTTCTCTAATAAATTCAATGTTTTGCATGCCCACAGCACTTTATATGTACAGATTTCAACATATTATCTGATATTTATTCATCTTGTCCTTAATAATTGTTCTGTAGCTTAATGAAGGCATGTTTGGTTCAACCTCTTATATCCTCATTGTCACCATTAACTTGAGACAGATAGAATGTATTTTTCTTCTGCATAATGCCATTCAAATCACAATTATTGAACACTGATAATCTGTGAAAGAGGCAAAGAAAAATATAATTAAAATTATGAAGAATTTTAAAACTTATAGTCTGAGGAAACAAGATATAGTCTTTATTTAAAAAATAAAATGTTTAAATATTTCCTAATAAATATAGAGAATATACACAATGTGGCCATACAAATCTTCTTAAAAATAAATACTTGGGGGACTCAACATAGGGAGAAATTACTTCTAGATGGAGATGAGGACATACCATATGAAGAAAGTAGAATTTGACTTGGGAGAAGTTTTAACTTATTCATTCAACACATGTTAAGTAGCTAGTATTCATCAGATACTATGATAAACTCTGGGCTGAACAGAATTTTGCTAGATGGAGAGAAAGGAATGAAAAGTTTATTAGCAGACATGTAGTTCATAAAGGTGCTTGAACAATGGTAATGGAGCCAGTCTAGTGTCCATTTATCCATTAAGATATTCAGCAGTTATACTATTTCTATATACTGGAAAAATTTAATCATAGGTTAAAGAGATTGTGGTTAGAGACTAGACTACAGAAGAACATGGGGGCCAGGTCAGGGAGGCCTCATGTGATATCATAGGGAATCTGAAGTTCAGGATACATCTAGTGGGGAATCTTTGGAGAATTTTAAATTGGTCTGAGATTTGATCAGAATGGCCGACTTCAATGGTCAACTTGATCCTTGAAGTAATGAAGATGAAGAATGAGACAGTTAGATAAAGTTAAA
The DNA here is from genome assembly GCF_000001405.40 of Homo sapiens. Taxonomy (NCBI): domain Eukaryota; kingdom Metazoa; phylum Chordata; class Mammalia; order Primates; family Hominidae; genus Homo; species Homo sapiens. Next base: position 91,226,888 of record NC_000012.12, read on the forward strand.
AGGTTAGCTTAAAAATAGAGTTAAAATGTAATGGAAGCTACCATAAACATAAGACTAAGCAAGGGAGTCAACAACTTGCTGAATACATGATTCAGTAATTCTTTCCTGGTTTCTTGCCTTTGAGGGGAAAAGCATGAAACTTGAAAGATTATACTTTTGTGTCTTCATCCAAATTCCTCTGAAGAGGAGCAGTGACACAGGAGCCAGGAAAGGCTCCCAGCCATACCACATGGGCACCTGCTGTCTGCAAAGCTGTGACCATAGCTTTGCCCAGATGGACAAAGGGGAAATTGGTTGGCCTAAAGTGATTATAAATTGGCCCTGGAACCCCTTAGTCAGAGTTAAGTAGTAATTCTCTTTTGGGAAATGTACCTGTTATTATAATTGAAACGTAGTCAAGTTCTACAAACAATGGTTCATAGATTCACAGTAAGAAGTTCTGTTCAACATTTAAGAAAGTTCTGCTTTACTTTTCCTGTGCTTCCATTATAGACAATGTTAAGAGATAATTGAAAGTTGTGAAATCTGCATTCTGAAATTCCCTCTTCCTAAGATTTACTGTGAAAATGCTGGCACCTCAAACTGTGTTCCCTTTTCTCCTCTGAAAGCTTCTATGTCACTTTTAAGTTTTAATGTCTAATAAGTCTCTTAATATAATACATCATAACCATTTAATTTGAGGAATTGAGTAACCCCAAATGTTTTAACGTGTCTTTTGTGTTATTGTCATTTTATCACCTTGATTTCACTCAACCTAACTAGTCTTTTCAGTTAGACTCATAATTCTAGTCTTTGATTGTTTTCCTCTTGCTTTTGCCTTGTTTGATTTGTAATACTGATTTCCCTTCACCACTGACAACCTCTTTTAATTACTTTTAGTATATACTGCATTGGGTCCCAAATCACTGTTTTTTCTTTTCCCTTAACTCCTAGTAAAATTTTATCCTGTTAAGTAGCTGTTTCCTAATTTTGTATAATCATGTAAAACTATCTACCAAAACATTCCACCTGAATTCATTCAATTTGACCCAGTTAGGCCAAATGTATTATGCAATTAAATATATAATCTAAGATACAAACACATACAAACATATCTGATATATTTGTAGTCAGTGGTCTTGTTTAATCCATCACAGTATTACCTGTTTAAGGAAAGTAATTATATCAATTTTAATTATCTTAAAGTAATGTAGCACTGATCTATAAATTTCTCATAGATGTGAACTAAATATGAGATAAAGATGATATCATAACTTGGTACAAGACTTGTGTCTCTTTTTCAGTTACTGAGCTAGCTAAGCTTTTGTCTAATTTCTTCTGTAAACATGACTAGATAGGATTACATTTATGAAGGAGAAATATACAGCCAAATTAATAAACATATACAAAAAGTCTCTGATACTACAAATACCATTTTTTTCTGAAAAGAATAGCATATTTTTGAAGGAGTATCTGATGAATATACATTGAATGAGATGAAAACATTCAATTTAGTGTTTCAATGTAAATATTGTAGCACTAAAGAACTACATAAAGTTTTAATTATAACATCCATTTGAAGAAATGCCATTTTATTTTGTTGTACCTTGCAGATGTCCAAGGGGTTGATAAAAATGTGTCAACACGATAAGGGAGACACTAAAATGTTATGCCAAAAATAGACTTTTCCCACTAACACTGGGTTAGTGAAACTCAACATGCCAACATCTATCTCCAACTACAGATTTGATCCATTTTATTTGTTTTTCTTTTTGTTTTTCTTTTTTGGAAGTTAAAGTTGTTATTGACCCTGGCATAAGTATACATTATTGGGGTTTGGTTCATTCCAAACAACATACACTAAGCTTTTCTAAGTAGAGGTTTAACTTGAAAATGATATAGAAATGCCACTTTGGTTATAGACATGTGAGAGAAAAAAGAAGATTCTGCCTTTCCTGTGACAGTGCCTTCCACATCAAGGGCAGTGGGTCAGAAAGGTTGCTGGTGTCTTTCCTTTTTTGTTTTGCACCTCAGAAGACTCCCTCTCACCCTCTCCTTTCATTTTCCTCCATAAATAAAGAGGGTCACAAAATCACAAATTTAAGATGTTTTAGTTTGAGTAATTGTAGGCTTAATCTGTGTGTGTGTGTAAATCCAGGAAGAGGTGTGGCATTTGGCGAGACACCCTACGTAGACCTGATTTCATGAGGATCATGATAGAGTCATCCATCCTGCTGAGATAGTAATCTGTGTTTTCTTCTTGTTCAATATCCGCTCCATTTGAAGAAGCTAGGCAAACACTTCATACTCAGGAGAAAGCCGTGTAGTGCATTCTGCTCCAAATTTCTCTTTCTGACTTTCTTTTTGGAACCTAAGATATGTCAAAATAATATGGTGAGCATCAAAAAAAAAAAAAAAAAAGAAGAAGAAGAAGCATCAGGACAGAGGGGAGATAATTTTGCCTCAATCCAAAGTAGAAGCTAGATGCTCATTGGCTCTGTGAGCGGTGCAGACCAAGAGCCATGAAATACCCAGGGAAATAAACAGGAAACAGATCAAGGAAGACTCTACATTGGCGCTAGTATTCTCAGCCCTATCAAACGTCTCTTTGCTCAGGAAGCCATTGAAAAAACTTTTGGGCAGCAAGGAACCCCTGGATCTTGGACAATTGATGTCTAAATGGTAACTCAGCATAGACAAAGGGCCCTTGGACCTTGAATAATCTGAGTGGGAAGAGAGAAATAAGCTAATAACTAAAACTTAATTTTTTGCCAGAGACAGAGAATCAATGTCAGACTTATTCTGATTTAAAGGGAAACATGACATATGATATTTCTTAACATCCAATTTATGGAGAAAGTATCACATCAGATACAATAATAGTATGTGTCTCTATGCTGAACCCATTGGTAAAATCATAATACTTATTTATAATTATTTGTAATTAACTCATTAGTTCAGGCTAATTATCCTGAATTTTTTTAAGAGGAACAAACACCATGATCTTCCAGTTTGTCCCATGTTAAGGTAGACAATGCCACTACAGTGTGCATTCCTTATGGTAGATACAACACATATCCTGCTTTGCCAGAGGCAGTCCTGGTTCATGCAAATTGTCCTGGAATAATTATTAATAGTATCCACTTTCACACTCAAGAGTGTCCTGCTTTGAATTATAAATGATTTGGTCATCCTACACATAAAATATTCTGGCTTTGGAACAGTTACTTTATTATTATTTTTTTGCTGGATATATGAAGTTGTTCCTACTTCTTCATAGTATGTCATTAGTATTTTCTAACTCTCCCTTAAGCAGGAAATGTGTACTAGTCTGTTATTAATACGTTTAGATATTTATAAGAAACAAGAAAAAAAACAGCCAGAATAGAGAGGCGAAAATGTTGTTATAAATTTGTTAACCTACTTTTTAAGTTTAATAAGAATTAATTTTCTGATCTGTAGGAGAACACAGAAAAATTAATGAGAAACTTCAGCCTGGTACATTTTCTGATTTTACATAAATCAAGTACAAAAATGAAAAAAAGCTTGAAATGTCATTTGATACTATGCACAAATTAGTACAAGACATTGTACAAATTATTTGTATTTCTCCGATAACATAGAACTTTCAATTACTTAAACAAACAAAAGTAATGGGTGGCTTTTTAATGTCAGTGCCAAAAGGGTTAGATGCAATGATACCTTGTGCTCCCATTATTAGGAGTGAAAATTATGAAACATAAAATAATACTGTATAGAAGAGCTATTAACCAGAGGTATACACCAATTTAACCAGAATGATAATCATGCTTCATGAAAGCTCTTGGGGAAAATAAAGAAACATTTAATCATTGGTGGGGAAATTATTTTTAAAAAAAAGCATTATAAAACTGTTTTACAAAATAAAGCATTTAAAATAATAAAAAGCAACAGAATATTTTATCAAAGAGTGTTGAAAAAACAAATGAAAAAAAAACTACTACTCTCAGAATGTTTTCCACTATTAATTATAAAGTTAAAAAGAATACCAATCCAAATGTGTCATCACAGTCTAGATTTATAGTGTCATTTGAACTATGGAATGAAAAAACATTTTGCAGCAAACTTTTGAAATGAGGAAATAAAATGTTGATTATCATTGGCAAAACTTCAACTGTTCCACATAATAATGCTTTAATAATTGATTTTAAATGAAAAATTCATGATTTGGAAGATAATTTAATAGTTTTGTTGAACTTGTGAGCTACAAGAAGCAATATCTGCAATAATATATCAGACTCAACTCATCATTAAATAAACAATGTTATCAGTGAAACATCACTATAGGAAAGCCTCATTATTGTCTGTAGAGGGAAATATGTAATACTCTGGAGAAAGTCTGGAGCTTTGTCAAATTTTTGAAAATAAATTATTGATGTTTTTATTTCTACCGACGATTATTGCATTCAATTATAGAATAATGTAATAAAATACATAAATCAAGTAACTCACTTTAGCTCCATTTTTATGAAAAAACTTGTATGTGTATTTGCTATTATACATCAGATAAACAGCAGAGATAATTAAATAATGTATCTGACAATATGGGAACTGAAATAATGAAAATTGAAAAAATATTAAAATCTGACACACAATGATCTCCTGCTCTCCTGAACTCTACAGATTGCCATTTATTTGCTACTAATCATTTATTACCTTGCATAATTCATAACACATAATATCTTGTTCATTTTATTTACCAATACCAGTAGAGTAAAGTACAATTTATAATAGAAATGTTATTCCAATAGTTCTTTGATATGGTATTATTATGTTTCATCAAAGGACCTACAAAATTAGTTTGCTGATACAAACGTAACTTAGTAGAAGGTGGGTATCATCAAATATCCCGCAAAAAGTCATCTAGGAAATATGTAATTCATATAGGTAGTCTTGCACTTGACACAAATGGGGAGAAGCTCTTCAATTCAAAGGTATCCATGATTCCACTTACAACATTTAATAGATAGAAATTGGAAACAACACACATTTTCAATGACAGGGTTGAGTTAAGTAAATTATGATAAATCCAGACAATACAACAGCAAACCCCCTTGACACAAGTTTATGTATGTGAAAAACATGCACTTGAACCCCTGAACTTAAAAGTAAAAAAAAAAAAAGATGGCTGATAAGAATATTTTATAAAAGTTAACACCCCACTGTCAACATTAGACAGACCAACGAAACGGAAAGTTAACAAGGATATCCAGGAATTGAACTCAGCTCTGCACCAAGCGGACCTCATAGACATCTACAGAACTCTCCACCCCAAGTCAACAGAATATACATTCTTTTCATCACCACACCACACCTATTCCAAAATTGACCACATAGTTGGAAGTAAAGCACTCCTCAGCAAATGTAAAAGAACAGAAATTATAACAAACTGTCTCTCAGACCACAGTGCAATTAAACTAGAACTCAGGATTAAGAAACTCACTCAAAACGGCTCAACTACATGGAAACTGAACAACCTGCTCCTGAATGACTACTGGGTACATAACGAAATGAAGGCAGAAATAAAGATGTTCTTTGAAACCAACGAGAACAAAGACACAACATACCAGAATCTCTGGGACACATTCAAAACAGTGTGTAGAGGGAAATTTGTAGCACTAAATGCCCACAAGGGAAAGCAGGAAAGATCTAAAATTGACACCCTAACATCACAATTAAAAACTAGAGAAGCAAGACCAAACATAGTCAAAAGCTAGCAGATGGCAAGAAATAACTAAGATCAGAGCAGAATTGAAGGAAATAGAGACACAAAAAACCCTTCAAAAAATCAATGAATCCAGGAGCTGGTTTTTTGAAAAGATCAACAAAATTGATAGACTGCTAGCAAGACTAATAAAGAAGAAAAGAGAGAAGAATCAAATAGACGCAATAAAAAATGATAAAGGGGCTATCACCACCAATCCCACAGAAATACAAACTACCATTAGAGAATACTATAAACACCTCTATGCAAATAAACTAGAAAATCTAGAAGAAATGGATAAATTCCTCGACACATACACCCTCCCAAGACTAAACCAGGAAGAAGTTGAATCTCTGAATAGATCAATAACAGGCTCTTAAATTGTGGCAATAATTAATAGCTTACCAACCAAAAAAAGTCCAGGACTAGATGGGTTCACAGCCAAATTCTACCAGAGGTACAGGGAGGAGCTGATACCATTCCTTCTGAAACTATTCCAATCAATAGAAAAACAGGGAATCCTCCCTAACTCATTTTATGAGGCCAGCATCATCCTGACACCAAAGCCTGGCAGAGACACAACAAAAAAAGAGAATTTTAGACCAATATCCCTGATGAATATCGATGCAAAAATCATCAATAAAATACTGGCAAACCGAATCCAGCAGCATGTCAAAAAGCTTATCCACCATGATCAAGTGGGCTTCATCCCTGGGATGCAAGGCTGGTTCAACATATGCAAATCAATAAACGTAATCCAGCATATAAACAGAACCAATGACAAAAACTATATGATTATCTCAATAGATGCAGAAAAGGCCTTTGACAACATTCAACAACCTTCATGATAAAAACTCTCAATAAATTAGGTATTGATGGAACATATCTCAAAATAACAAGAGCTATCTATGACAAACCCACAGCCAATATCATACTGAATGGGCAGAAACTGGAAGCATTCCCTTTGAAAACTGGCACAAGACAGGGATGCCCTCTCTCACCACTCCTATTCAACATAGTGTTGGAAGTTCTGGCCAGGGCAATCAGGCAGGAGAAAGAAATAAAAGGTACTCAATTAGGAAAAGAGGAAGTTAAATTATCCCTGTTTGCAGATGACATGATTGTATATAGAGAAAACCCCATCATCTCAGCCCAAAATCTCCTTAAGCTGACAGGCAACTTCAGCAAAGTCTCAGGATACAAAATCAATGTGCAAAAATCACAAGCATTCTTATACACCTGTAACAGACAAACAGAGAGCCAAATCATGAGTGAACTCCCATTCACAATTGCTTCAAAGAGAATAAAATACCTAGGAATCCAACTTACAAGGGATGTGAAGGACCTCTTCAAGGAGAACTACAAACCACTGCTCAGTGAAATAAAAGAGGATACAAACAAATGGAAGAACATTCCATGCTCATGGGTAGGAAGAATCAATATTGTGAAAATGGCCATACTGCCCAAGGTAATTTATAGATTCAGTGCCATCCCCATCAAGCTACCAATGACTTTCTTCACAGAGTTGGAAAAAAACTACTTTAAAGTTCATATGGAACCAAAAAAGAGCCTGCATCACCAAGTCAATCCTAAGCCAAAAGAACAAAGCTGGAGGCATCACGCTACCTGACTTCAAACTATACTACAAGTCTACAGTAACCAAAACAGCATGGTACTGGTACCAAAACAGAGATATAGACCAATGGAACAGAAAAGAGCCCACAGAAATAATGCTGCATATTTACAATCATCTGATCTTTGACAAACCTGACAAAAACAAGAAAATGGGGAAATGATTCCCTATTTAATAAATGGTGCTGGGAAAACTGGCTAGTCATATGTAGAAAGCTGAAACTGGATCCCTTCCTTACACCTTATACAAAAATTAATTCAAGATGGATTAAAGACTTAAATGTTAGACCTAAAACCATAAAAACCCTAGAAGAAAACCTAGGCAATACCATTCAGGACATAGGCATGGGCAAGGACTTCATGTCAAAAACACCAAAAGCAATGGCAACTAAAGCCAAAACTGACAAATGGGATCTTATTAAACTAAAGAGCTTCTGCACAGCAAAAGAAACTATGGTCAGAGTGAACAGGCAACCCACAGAATGAGAGAAAATGTTTGCAATCTACTCATCTGACAAAGGGCTAATATCCAGAATCTACAATGAACTCAAACAAATTTACAAGAAGAAAACAAACAATCCCATCAAAAAGTGGGTGAAGGATATGAACAGACATTTCTTAAAAAAATACATTTATGCAGCCAAAAGACACATGAAAAAATTCTCGTCATCACTGGCCATCAGAGAAATGCAAATCAAAACCACAATGAGATACTATCTCACACCAGTTAGAATGACGATCATTAAATAGTCAGGAAACAACAGGTGCTGGAGAGGATGAGGAGAAATAGGAACACTTTTACACTGTTGGTGGGACTGTAAACTAGTTCAACCATTGTGGAAGTCAGTGTGGCGATTCCTCAGGGATCTAGAACTAGAAACACCATTTGACCCAGCCATCCCATTACTGGGTATATACCCAAAGGATTATAAATCATGCTGCTATAAAGACACATGCACACGTATGTTTATTGCAGCACTATTCACAATAGCAAAGACTTGGAACCAACCCAAATGTCCAACAATGATAGACTGTATTAAGAAAATGTGGCACATATACACCATGGAATACTATGCAGCCATAAAAAATGATGAGTTCATGTCCTTTGTAGGGACATGGATGAAGCTGGAAACCATCATTCTCAGCAAACTATCACAAGGACAAAAAACCAAACACCGCATGTTCTCACTCATAGATGGGAACTGAACAATGAGAACACATGGACACAGGAAGGGGAACATCACACACCAGGGCCTGTTGTGGGGTGGGGGGAGGGGGGAGGGATAGCATTAGGAGATATACCTAATGTTAAATGACAAGTTAATGGGTGCAGCACACCAACATGGCACATGTATACATATGTAACTAACCTACACATTGTGCACATGTACCCTAAAACTTAAAGTATATTAATACAAAAAAGAATATTTTATACAAGTTTTAATAACACAGGAATATGTTGTTACTCTATGATGTTAAATTGAGCAACCTAAGATACAAAGCCATGTATACAGTATAATGTTACTTTTATATATAAGTGGGCGTGGGGGCATGTTTGTAATTATACAAAAAGTTTTAAATATTAAAGTGAATGTCCTATAGCTGGTAGTTATCAGTGACCATATTATTGTATTTTTCTGTTTGTTTTCTCTTTTATTTTCTACCTTTTCTACAATGAGTATGTAAAATTCCTAATCAGAAATACACATTCATCGGTCATAGACTCTTTTACACACCTATTTGACAAAGCTGGAAAATGAGATGTTATGGTAGGCTGCCCAAGGAGAATCCAACCCACAGGCCAAGGTTATAATTAACAATATAGTTAAAACCTACTACCCACTGTTACCACCAATTATTATCTCATTGCCAACAAGAAAAAATATTTGACCCAGCTCAAAATGTCCTCCTAGGTTTGAGAGCTTGACACTGTAGTCTCAAAATTTAATATGTATTTTCTCTGTTGCTATTTAGATACTTATTGGTGATTGGAATCCTACCTTGCATATTTTTTTGAAAAGCTTAAATAAAAGAACATAGGAAACACACATAGCTAGTGGCTGCCTTATGATAGATGATAAATAAGTGTTAGCTAATCATTGATTTTCTAAAATTTATGCTTAATTGCAGAAAGCTGTCTGATCTCTTAGGACTGAGACTTGGGCCTTCAATGGACCATTTGTTTAGTACCTTTTACATTTCCATTGATATGGCCTTGGAGTTCTAGTAGATGATATATATCAAGCCTGAACACTGATTAGTCAGTGTTAAGATTTTGTCAATTCAGAGTACTCTAGCACAAAGCTACCAGATTGTACTACCTGAGAGTAGTGAGTAGAGGAAATTTCAAGTAACCTCCAAAAAGTAAGGTAAAATGTACCCAAAAGTTAAAGCAAAACTTCTAGTAAAATAACAATAGCAGACTGTATAGTTATGAACTGTGAAAATTAAATAGCCATAGCGTACTTTATCTCTTCATTTAATCATTAATATTATTCATTTTATCATTGATTAAACAACTATTTACTAATTATTAAAAGTGAGGAACATTTGGGATATATTTCTGAACAAAATAGACATTGTTTCTGACTTTGTGGAGTTCACAGTCTAGGAGGTGAATTATCAATAATAAGGTACAATTTTGAGCATGCATAAGAACACTTAAGAACCATGAGTCCAACAAAAAACGATGACAAACTGAAATAGCGAAGAAGAACCTAATGTATTCAGAACAATGTATGCTTGTTTGGACATTGAACTTTTGAGCTGTACCCACAAATAACAAACATTAAACATTCTTTATGCAAACATTTATTAAATCCTAACAATGTACCAGCTGTTATAAAAACAAAAAGATAGAGTTCCTCTGCATTAATCCATTCTTATGCTGCTATAAAGAACTACCTGAAACTGGGTAATTTATGAAGAAAAGAGGTCTAATTGACTCACAAGTTCTGCAGGCTTAACGGGAAGGATGGCTGGGAGGCCTCAGGAAACTTACAATTATGGTAGAAGGACAAAGAGGAAGCACACACCTTCACATGAGGCGGAAGAGAGAGAGGCAGGGGGAAGTGCCACACACTTTTAAACCATCAGATCTCGTGAGAACTCACTATCTTGACAACAGAAAGGCGGAAATCCACCCCTTTGATTCAATCACCACTCAACAGGCCCTTCCTTCAATTCGACATGAGATTTGGTCGAGGACACAAATCCAAACCATATCACCCTCCAATATAGACATAATGGGCATATGGAATAATCATGATTGTTACTATTAGTTTTGAAGATCAAGAATAAAGGTGATGTAGAAAAGAAAAAGATATAGGGAGAAAAAAGGGAAACCACTTTTTATGCATTAAATACCTTGGGCCTGATACTATGCTTAGCACTTTACATATTATTTCACTTAATACCTATAATGGCTAAGGAAGTTATATATAACTATTCCATATTCATGATGAGAAAACAGGATAAGAAGACAGGTACCTTGCCAAAAGCTATCAGCTAATTAGTGTTAAAGCTAGAATTTGAAGCCCAGGCAGGATTATTTTTTCACTTACATTTTTTTTTTTTTTTTGCTTTTTACATTTCTATTTTTATTTTACAATTAAAATAAGCAAAATAGAATGTTGTTTTGATTGCACTTCTTTGCTTATTAGAAAGTTGAAAATTTTTGAAATATGCTATCAGCCATTTCTACTTTTTCCAATGGAATTGTTTGTTAATATCCTTAGTCTCTCTTTTATTGGAGTTGTTAAGGGTTTGTTGTTTTTTTTTTTTTTAATTTTACTTTAAGTTCTGGGATGCACGTGCAGAATGTGCAGGTTTGTGACATAGATTGTATGTGCCATGGTGGTTTGCTGCACTTCTCAACCCGTCATCTAGGTTTTAAGCCCCACATGCATTAGGTGTTTGTCCTAATGCTCTCCCTCCCCTTTCTCCCCACCCTCCAACAGGCCCTGGTATGTGTTGTTCCCCTCCCTGTGTCCATGTGTTCTCATTGTTCAACTCCCACTATGATTGAGAAGATGCGGTGTTTGGTTTTCTGTTCCTGTGTTAGGTTGCTGAGGATGACGGCTTCCAGCTTCATTCATGTCTGTGCAGAGGACATGATCTCATTCTTTTTATGACTGCATAGTATTCCATGGTGTATATGTACCACATTTTCTTTATCCAGTCTATCATTGATGGGCATTTGGGTTGGTTCCACGACTTTGTTATCGTAAATAGTGCTGTAATAAAAATACATGTGCATGTGTCTTTATAGTAGAATGATTTATATTCCTTTTGATATATACCCAGTAATGGGATTGCTGGGTCAAATGGTATTTCTGGTTCTAGATCCTTGAGGAGTTGCCACACTGACTTCCACAATGGTTGAACTAATTTACATTCCCACCAGCAGCGTAAAAGCATTCCTGTTTCTCCACAGCCTCCCCAGCATCTACTGTTTCCTGACATTTTAATGATCACCATTCTCACTGGCATGAGATGGTATCTCACTGTGGGCTTGATTTGAATTTCTCTCATGATCACTAAGGATGAGCCTTTTTTCATATGTTTGTTGGCTGCATAAATGTCTTCTTTTGAGAAGTTTCTGTTCATATCCTTTGCCTGCTTTTTGATGGGGTTGTTTTATTTTCTTGTAAATTTGTTTAAGTTCCTTATAGATTCTGGATATACTTATATCTTAAACCATAGCAATTACATCATTTCCTTTGTGTCTTGAAAACATAAAAAATGTCTAGTGTAATGGAGTGAAAAATTACATACATTGTAAATACTGTGGATAAAAATTGCCAATAGATATTCAATTTCAAAATAATATCTGAGAAACATAGGATCTGTTATAGTTCAGTGGACAAAATAATGAAAGAATAAATGAATGAATGAATGAATGACCAAATACTGAAATTTAGGTAATTTTAAAATGTCTCCACAACTCCCAGCTTAGTTTTATATGGGTTGTCTGGTTTTCACATAACTTTATACTATAGTAAGCCAATTAAAAATATATATTAATAGCACCATTTACACATCTTAGGGCAAATCAAGTATTATTTAATGACCAAGTTAAGAGTTACATTTTTAAATCTAAAAAAATATGTACACCTTTAGGTCATCATTTCCCTTGGAGGAAGAGAAATTAAGCTAACCCCTATATAAATGAAATGTTTTATAATTATCCTATAATTTTCACTTATTATGTATTTTATATTTGAGGCTTTAAACTGGATAAACGAAAATATGTCAGTAGTTGAGGGTTTGAAGAAATCTAAAATTTTAGAGCCTGTTAGTTTAGGCGTAGAGCTATGCAAAATACTTTTTGCTCCTGGCAAAAACAATGGGAAAAAAAGCATTAGTCTCTCCAGTGTGATTTTTTTGGTACATCCCACTCTAGGGAAGTCCAGAAACACAAAGTGAGATCAGAATTTTTTACTAATTTCTTGCCCTTCTGTTTCTCTCCAACCTGGCAATGAGCTGTGGAAAACATATTTGTGCAAGGCCAATGTGAACTTTTTCTGAACCTCTCAAGACATCCACTCTTACTCACAGAAAAACAGTACTTTATGGTTCTTTTTTAACATCAACTATTGAAGCCACGAATGAATGGTACAATGACTTCTCCCAGTCCCTGCCCAATCAAAATTCATTTTCTTTTCTTTACTTATCACACTTTAAATAATATTATGCCAATATCTAGATTTATAGGATGCTTAACAGAAGACATGAAATCAGTTTTGTTGTCAGAATGAAATGGCTGATACTCCTAAAAATGTCTCTTTTCTGTCTCCCAAGCTATTTATGCCAAAACTACATTGAAATAGAATGATGCTTAATTGACTGAATACAATGAATTCTTTTTTAAAAGGTCAATGTCTTTTATCGTGTTTTATCTTTCTTAAACTCCAAAGTTTTTTGATCATTTGAGAGTGGCAATGCAAAAGAGTTAGAGATTGTTTATTTTATTTTATGAATGGAAAAAAACTGAAATGAAGACAAGAGGCAGTATTTGTTTGCACTATGTTTACTAGAGTCCCAGGAGTTTTTCAAAGATTTAATGTTTTTTTTCTAATACAGTGCTCCCCAAAGACCAGTTTGGTTAATAAAAATGATAATCTGCACAATAGCTAATGCAAAATAATTTACTCACATATAAACTAAAAAGAAGGATCCTTCTAGGAAGAAAGTAATACACTGAAGGCAAACCAACAGTATCTCTGAAATTAAGGAAAGGGCAAAGAAAGCAAAGAGGAATTATTCTCCCATCCATCTCTCCACAAATCCTCTGCTGCAGTGCTTGAAGGGATGCTGCATAGTTTTCAGGGATTATCTCTTGACGTTACGGATTTTCAACTAAGGGTATTATTATGCTCTGGAAAAGAGAGGCTTAGACATAGGAACTGTTATTTTTTCCACTCAATTATTTCACAGAAACCTTGGATTTTTAAATTTTATTTTTAGAAGTCATGGGCTGATAGCATTACAGTCAGCATAGTTATTTGTTTGGAATATTTTCAGAAATATCTTGAGATTTATATTATTCTTTGATTTTTTTTCTAAACAAAATGAGTTTAGAGCTTAACATTATAGCACGTAAAACATAAGCTACATGATTTGGGCACCACTGATCCAGACCATATGTTCTACTCAGCTTAAATGTGATATGGGCTGCTGTTTCCATTGTGCTGTGCCTTGAGAAACATCAGGTTTCCATTCCAATTTCCTTATATATTTTCCAGTGCTTACAAGTACAAAGAATAATTGCTTTGGAATTTTTTCTGAAGCTCTCCCGTTTGCTTTCCTATCTTCAAGATATCTCTAAATTCATCCCTTCCTGATACAGGAGCATATATCTTGTTTTATAGTGCATCAGAGAAGATTCCTTTACTTCCTAGAACATTACAAGGTTGAATATTTCTTTATGCAGTTCAATACAGCGTGGAATATCATAATGCAGGGATTAGTAAACTTTTTCTGTAAAAAAATATTTTAGGCTTTGTTACCTCATATAGTCTCTGGTGGGACTAGTCAACTATTTGAATGTCATGCAAGTTTCACATGTCATCAAACATTATTTTTTAATTTTTTATACCTCTAAGTGGTTAAATATATTACAATCATTCTTAGCTCATGGGTCATACAACAAAAGCCTAAGACTATATATTTTCTTGAGTCGTAGTTTGCCAACCTCTGATCTGGTGCATTGGTTAGAAACCGAAAGACTGAAATTAGCCATTCTTGATTAGAACGAAAATTCCACCATTTATTGTACAGCCTTAGGCAAAAAGCAAAAAAAAAAAAAAAACAAACAAAAAAAAAACTCTTGAGCCTTAATGTATCCTTTTTTAAAGGCACGACAATGCCTATTTAATAATGTTAAGAGTTAAATAAATTTAAGTTCTTAACATGTACTCATTGAAGTCACTTTATTGTTGTGCTAAAATGTTTTCAGGTAGAGAAGTAAATCTGTGTCACCTTGTTTCTTTCTCTGTGTAAACAGACAATAGCCAATTCCTACCTTTGGTTAACAACTTTCAACAAAACTTGAAGCTTCTTCCTGTCATTCTCTTTTCTGCCTCAAACCATGCTGATTCTTCTAGCTTTCACTTAAAGAGATGTTTTTCTCCAACTCTTTAATAATAATCTGAGATTCTTTCAAACCCTCTGAAATGTTTCATATTCCTCTGAAATTATGGTGCCAAGAACAGACTGAGTTTTATGACAAAGTCTGCAGCCATGTATTCAAAGTTTTTGCATAACCACATGAAACATTCCCAGAGTAAGCATCTCTGATTAATATTTTCTGAAAATATGAGTATCATACCTAACAATTTCTCTTTTCCGGGGGTAAGGTGCTTTGCATATTATTAAATATTCATCTCGCTATTTATGATTGTAGTGGTATTTACTGTTTTATTTAATTCAAAGTCCTGTTGATGTTTTACAGGCTATACTGTTTGATTTCGTATTTCTTCAATGACTTACCTCAGCCATAATCTTAAGAACTGCCCTTTAGATGGGGTGGCAAGATGGCCAAATAGGAACAGCTCAGGTCTGCAGCTACCAGCGAGATCAACGCAGAAGGTGGGTGATTTCTGCATTTCCAATTGAGGTACTCAGCTTATCTCACTGGGACTGGTTAGACAGTGGGTGCAGCCCATGGAGGGTATGCCGAAGCAGGGTGGGGCATCACCTCACCCAGGAAGTGCAAGGGGTTGTGGAACTCCCTCCGCTAGCCAAGGGAAGCCGTGAGGGACCATGCCCTGAGGAATGGTGCATTCCAGCCCAGATACTATGCTTTTGTTCTCAACCTGCAGCAGGAGATTCCCTCAGGTGCCTACACCACCCGGGCCCTGGGTTTCAAGTACAAAACTAGGCGGCCATTTGGGCAGACACCGAGCTAGCTGCAGGAGTTTTTTTTTCATACCCCAGTGGTGCCTGGAACTACAGCGAGACAGAACCCTTCACTCCTCTGGAAAGGGGGCTGAAGCCAGGGAGCCAAGTGTTCTAGCTCAGCGTATCACACCCCCATGGAGCCCAGCAAACTAAAATCCACTGGCTTGAAATTCTTGCTCCCAGGAGAGCAGTCTGAAGTCAACCTGGGATGCCAAGCTTGGTGACGGGAGGGGTGTGAGCCATTACTGAGGCTGGAGTAGACGGTTTTCCCCTCACAATGTAAACAAACCGGCTGCGAAGTTCAAATTGGGTGGAGCCCACCTCTGCAAAGCGGCTGTAGCCAGACTGCCTCTCTAGATTCCTCCTCTCTGGGCAGGGTATCTCTGAAAGAAAGGCAGCAGCCCCAGTCAGGGACTTAGAGATAAAACTCCCATCTCCCTGGGACAGAGCACCTGGGGGAAGGGGCAACTGTGGGCGCAGCTTCAGCAGACTTAAATGTTCCTGTCTTCAGCCTCTGAAGAGAGCAGCAGATCTCCTAGCACAGTGCTCGAGCTCTGCTAAGGGACAGACTGCCTCCTCAAGTGGGTCCCTGACCCCTGTGCCTCCTGACTGGGAGACACCTCCAAGCAGAGGTCGACAGACACCTCATACAGGAGAGTTCCGGCTGGCATCTGGTGGGTGCCCCTCTGGGATGAAGCTTTCAGGGGAAGGAAGAGGCAGCAATCTTTGCTCTTCTGCAGCCTCTGCTGGTGATACTTGGACAAACAGGGTCTGAAGTGGACCTTCAGTAAACTCCAGCAGACCTGCACCAGAGGGGCGGCCTGACTGTTAGGAGGAAAACTAACAAACAAAAAGGAATATCGTCAACATCAACAAAAAGGATGTCCACACAAAAACCCCATCCGAAGATCACCAACATCAAAGACCAAAGGTAGATAAATCCACCAAGATGATGAAAAACCAGTGCAAAAAGGCTGAAAATTCCAAAAACCAGAACGCTTCTTCTCCAAAGGATCACAGCTCATCTCCAGTAAGAGAACCAAACTGGACAGAGAAAGAGTTTGATGAATTGACAGAAGTAGGCTTCAGAAGGTGGGTAATAACAAACTCCTCTGAGCTAAAGGAGCATGTTCTAACCCAATGCAAGGAAGCTAAGAGCCTTGAAAAAAGGTTAGAGGAATTACTAACTAGAATATTCAGTTTAAAGAAAAACATAATGACTTGATGGAGCTGAAAAGCACAGCACAAGAACTTCAGGAGGCATACACAAGTGTCAATAGCCGAATCAATCACGGGGAAAAAAGGATATCACAGATTGAAGATCAACTTAATGAAATAAAGCAAGAAGAAAAGATTAGAGGAAAAATAATAAAAAGGGACAAACAAAGCCTTCAAGAAATATGGGACAATGTGGAAAGACCAAACCTATGTTTGATTGGTGTACCTGAAAGTGATGGGGTGAATGGAATCAAACTGGAAAACACTCTCTTCAGGATATTATCCAGGAGATCTTCCCCAACCTAGCAAGACAGGCCAACGTTCACATTTGGGAAATACAGAGAACACCACTAAGATACTACCAGAGAAGAGCAACCCCAAGACACATAATCATCAGATGCACTAAGGTTGAAGTGAAGGAAAAAATGTTAAGGGCAGCCAGAGAGAAAGGTCGGGTTATCCAAAAAGGGAAGGCCATCAGACTAACAGCGGATCTCTCAGCAGAAACTCTACAAGCCAGAAGAGAGAGGGGGCCAATGTTCAATATTATTAAAAAAAAAATTTAATCCAGAATTTTATAACCAGCCAAACTAAGCTTCATAAGCAAAGGAGAAATACAAATTTTTACAGAAAAGCAAATGCTGAGAGGTTTTGTCACCACCAGACCTGCCTTACAAGAGCTCCTGAAGGAAGCACTAAATATGGAAAGGAAAAACCAGCACCAGCCACTGCAAAAACATACCAAATTGTAAAGAACATTGACACTATGAAGAAACTGCAACAACCAACAGGCAAAATAACCAGCTAGCATCACGACAGGACCAAATTCACAAATAATGATATTAACCTTAAATGTAAATGGGCTAAATGCCCAAATTAAAAGACACAGACTGGCAAATTGGATGAAGAGTCAAGACTCATTGGTGTGCTGTATTCAGGAGACCCATATCACATGCAAAGGCACACATAGGTTCAAAATAAAGGGATGGAGGAATATTTACCAAGCAAATGGAAAGCAAAAAAGTGCAGGGGTTGCAAAAAAAGAAATCAAAGACCTAAATAAATGATGAGAGCTACTATGTTAATGAACTGTGATTCAAGATATGAACAATCTTCTAATTGATCTATATGTTTAATGCAATTTCCAGCAAGATTTGTATAGACATAATCAAGCTTATTCTAAAGTTTATATGGAAACACACAGATTCAAGAATAGTTAAAACAATCTTGACAAAAAATACAATGGAAGGAATTACTCTACCTTGGAACCAACCCAAATGCCCATCAGTGTTAGACTGGATAAAGAAAATGTGGCACATATACACCATGGAATACTGTGCAGCCATAAAAAGGATGAGTTCATGTCCTTTGCAGGGGCATGGATGAAGCTGGAAACTATCATTCTCAGCAAACTAACACAGGAACAGAAAACCAAACACCGCATATTCTCACTCATAAGTAGGAGCTGAACAATGAGAACACATGGACAAAGGGAGGGGAACATTACACACCGGGCCCTGTTGGGGTTTGGAGGGTAGGGGAGAGACAACATTAGGATAAATACCTAATGTAGATGATGGGTTGATGGGTGTAGCAAACCACCATGGCACACGTATACCTATATAACAAATCTGCATGTTCTACACATGTATCTCAGAACTTAAAGTATAATTTTAAAAACATTTTGCAAATAAAAAACAACTGCCATTTTACTTGTTTCTTTTGATTTTTAATTATAAACATTTATAATTTATAAATTATCACTTGTAAGGATACCTCTGATTGTACTTTTATAACAATATCTACCTTCCTCTACCTGTCCCCCCATTCATAACACCTGGGCATCTACTAATCTGTTCTTTGTCTCTACCATTTTGTCAATTCAAGAATGTTATATCAATGAAATCATATATTTCAGCATTGGCTTTTTTTACAGAGCACAATTTCCTTGAGATTTATCTGAGTTGCTTTGTATCAATAATATAGTTTGTGTCTTTATTGCTGAGTAATGTTTCATGGTACGGTTGTATCAAGCTTGTTTATTCAACAGTTGAAGAACATTTGGATTGCTTCCAGTTTTTTTGCTATTATTAACAAAACTACTGTGAACATTCATATACATATTATTGTGAGCATTACTCTTCATTTCTCTAGAATATACACCCAAGGATTCAATTGCTGGGTCACGAAGTAACTATATATATTTAGTTTTATAAGCAAATGCTAAACTGCTCCCCAGAATGGCTGTACCATCTCACATTCCCAGCAACAATGTATGAGTGAGCTAATTTGTATGTCTCCTGACCAGCATTTGGTGTTGTAACTATTTTTCATTTTATTCATTCTGATAGTCCTGTAGTAATGTCTCATTGTGATTTTAATTTGAATGTCCTTAATACATAATAATTTTGAATATCTTTTCTTTTGCTTATTTGCTATCTGCATATCCTCATTGGTTGAAATATATTTGGCTATTGCCCATTTTCTAATTGAATTGTTTTCTTTTTAATGTTGAGTTTTGAAAGTTCATTATATATTCTAGATACTAGTCCTTTGTCAGATAGGTTTGCAAATGTTTTCTCCAAGTCTGTGGTTTGTCTTTTCATACTCATAAAGGTCACTGTCAAAGGAAAAGTTTTTCATTTTGATGAGGTTCAATTTATCAATCATTTTGTTTTACATTTAAGTCTGTGATCCATCTTGAGTTCACTTTTAGAATAACATGTAATTTAAATCAAAGTTCATATTTTGCCTATGATATACAGTTGCTCCAGCACTGTTTGTTGAGAAGGCTATCCTTCATCTAGCAAGTTGTTTTTGAACTTTATTGCAATCATGTCGGTATTCCTTTGGGTCTATTATTGGATTTTCTACTCTTTACTATCGATATTTGCTTGTATCCCTATGCCATAATATACCCTCTCATTTATTATAGCTAAATAGTAAGACTTAATATCAGGTAGAATAATTCCTTCTATTGTATTCTTTGTCAAGATTGTTTTAGCTATTCTTGAGTCTGTGTGTTACCATATAAACTTTAGAATAAGCTTGATTATGCCTATGTAAATCTTGTTGGAAATTGCATTAAACATATAGATCAATTAGAAGATTGTTCATATCTTGAATCACAGTTCATTAACAGAGTAACTCTCATCATTTATTTAGGTATTTTATTTATTTCAAACAATATATTGGGATATTCAGTGTAGAGATCCTGTATGCATTTTCTTAAGTTTATACATGAGTTTCATTTTATTTGGAGTGATTAAAAACGGTATTGTGTTTTTAATTTGTTTTCACATGCTATTTTTTAACATATAAGAATGAGTTTCTTTGTGTTGGTTTTGTATCTTTCAAACTACTGAACTAACTTAACAGTTCTACTTTTTAATTTTTATAGAGATATCTTGGAATTTTCTTCTAAGACAATCGTGTCATCTGCAGATAGGGACAATTTTATTTCTTACATTCCAATCTGTATAACTTTCATTTCTTTTTCTTCCCTCACTGGAGTGACCAGAACTTGTAGTACTATGTTAAATATAGGAGGTAAGAGTAGACATCTTTAATATGTTCCTAATCTTAGGGGCAAAGCTTTCAGTATTTCACTATTACATATACTGTTAGCTATAAACTTTTTTTTTTTTTTACATTTTGCTATCATGTTCAAGCAAATATTCTGTAATTATAACTTTCTGAGAGTTTTTGTAATTAATGGGTGTTGGAGTTTTTCAAATGCTTCTACTTCAATTAATTAATTAATTATATATATATATGTTTCTTTTCGGCATTTTGATGTAGTCAATTACATTGATTTTTGAATTTTGAACCAGATTTTCATTACTTGAAATAAATCTCATTTATTCACTGTGTATAATTGTTTTTATACATTTTTGGATTCAATTTGCTAAGGATTTTTGCATATATACTCATGAGGGATATTGATCTGTAATTTTTCTTTGTTATTTTGGTGTCAGAGAAATTCTGACCTCATAATATAAATTAAGAAGCTTTCTCTCCTTTTCTTTGTTCTGGAAAAGATTGTATAAAATTGGTATTCTTTAAATGTTTGTTAGAATTTTTCACTGGAACCATCTGGACATGTAATTGTTTTCTTCAGAAGACTTCTAATTATGAATTGAATTTCTTTCATAGTTAAAAACTAATCAAATGATACATTTCTCTTTGGTTGGGATTTTACAGTTTGTGGCTTTCAGTGAATTGATCCATCAGTCTACTTTGAATTTATGAGTAGAAGCTGCTCATAGTACTGCATTTTAGTCTTTATATGGCTGATATTTTTGCCTTGTGTCCTCTCTTTTTAAATTTTGGCCAGTCCTGCCATAAGCTCATCAATTTTATTATTTTTTCCAAAGAATCAATTTTTGTTTTGTTGATTCTTTTCTATTGTCTTCTGATTTCCAATTACATAGATTTCTACTCTTTTACTTATTATTTCACACTTTACCTGCCTTGCATTTATTTACTCTTGGTTTTCTAGTTTCCTAAATTTTGCACAGAGGTAATTGATTTAAGACCTTCACACTTTTTTTTTCTTTTAGCTAACATAAGCATTTTGTGCTATAAATTTCCCTTTCATAACAGCTTTATCTACATCTCTACATCTCACATATTTTGATATGCTGCATTTTTTATTTTCATTCAGTTTTACGCATTTTTATTTCGTCTGATATCCCCTCTGAATCATGGATTATTTAGAAGTGTATTGTTTAATTTTCAAGGTGCAGAGATTTTCTTCTTATTACTATTAGTTTTTAGTTTAATTATGTTATGATTAGAGAACATACTCTTTATAATTTCAAATTTTTTAAAGTTGTTGAGGTTTATTTTATAGCTAGGACTTGATGTATCTCAAGGAATGTTCCATGCATGCTTGAAAAAATGTATATTTAGCTGTTGTTCAGTGAAGTGTTCTATAGATGCCATATTTTTATAGTTGATAATGTTGTTCAGGTCTTCTATATTTTTGTTGATTTGGTTTTTACCTAGCAGTTCTATCAAGGTTGATAGAAGGTTTTTGAACTTCCCAATTATCATTGTGGTTCTGTCATTTTATGAAGATCACCTAGATACTATTTTAATTACTTCACAATCAGAAAACTTAGTGGAATGTGATCATGAAAGTTTTTCTTTCACTGTTGAAAATATCCTTCTCAGAAAATAGAGTGAAAAAGTAAAAGAACGTTGATATATTCCACATAGTTAGTGACAAAGTCATTTGCAAAAATTTGGAGTTAATAGTAAATTTTGATGAGGGGAGAGCATTTGGAGGTTTCCTGGAGTCCAAGAAAATGCTGAAGAATTAAGTTCTGTGTAGTCCCTCTAGTCCTCTATAACATGCAAATATTATGTGAAAATTGCACCACATCCCTTAATAGACAAAGTTGGCTTGACTTTATGGGCTAAGTATTGAGTAATAGTAGTTTTACTATGGCATATAGTGAAGCAATCTAAATTATGAATGGAACCCAGTTTATCTAACTTTTACATTCTGTTTAATAGGTCCATTGGCCTTATATATATATATATATCTACCATTACTATTTAATTATATATATTTCTATTAAATTTAAAATGAAAAGGCTTTTTTTTTTTTTTTTTTTTAGTTCAGGCCTGTGTGTTTTACAGCCACAAAAAAACATTACTAAGGGATAACTTAGAGCACATTCTTCCTGATAGTGTTATTATCTAATGAATCACAGCTGATTTTTTCTTGGCTTAATAGTCTCAGAAGAAAGTTTTATAATGTGTCCCGAGTTCAATAATTGCTGAATCAGTTAATCTTTATATAATAGAAAAATAAGAAAACTCCACTGTAAGCATGTTGAACAAGGTTTTAATTAAAAGCAGTTCTATGGTTGGCAGCAGCCTCTGTCCCAACTGTGTTTTTACAAAATCCTCCAAAATATTTTAAAGTAATCTCTATCTTTACTTATTATAAAGAGAGTTATATTCTTCTGACTAATATGAACAAGAATTGTTTTCAGCTCATATAATTAATAGGGTAACAGATTTCTCACATGCTAAGCTCAGCCAGCAATGGGTGTGTGTGAAATAAAAAGTTCACCCCTCTCTCCCTAGTGTATGACCTCAGCTTTGGACAAGATAATAGAAATGGCTTATGTAAAAGATTAGTTCCTGATGTTAATGGACCTAAAATCTACAGAATGTGCTGTTTGTTCAAAAACAGACATGGAATTTGCTCCTATATTCAGTGTGTTATTTACTTGTATACATTGTGCTATGTTTTTGAAAATGACCTTAAGCATAAACTTTATTAGTAGCATCCAACTTCCACTCCACTGTTGTCTCTGGCAACATTTTCTTTTCATCCTCTCTTACCTATATTTATGGTAAATGACAAACTGGCTTTTTAAAGAAATGGCCAATCAAAAAAAGCCTGCAGCAATTTCAATTTCCAAAAAGAGAGCACTAAGTTTGAGGTTTTACGACCATGGTAAGTGTCTTCAGTTCTGGGGTGACTTTGATAAATTACTTTAAAGGAGTTTTGTTATAAAGAAACAAATCCCCAGGATATATAGTTCTCTCATTGCCTCATATCCTTATTTTTCACATGATTGTCCTGGGACTCTTTGAGAACATCTGGGAGAGCTCTGATTACAAAATGTGAGCTGTTTTGAGCACAGCGCAGTTTGTAATTTTGATTCTGTTTCATGCTGAATCTTGTTGTGCTCTCATCCCCTTTTTAATCCATTCAGATAGATAACATGTTCTAAGATCTCTTTTAAATGGGTTAAGTCAACTTCAGTTCCATGTAGAAAGGTTTTCTCATCACGTAAGGGAAAGTCTGATATAACAGTTTTTATTACAACACAGTTGATACACAGGGCAAGGAAATTTAATATAAAGAAAGACAAGAGATACATTACAGGGATCTTGAGTTGCACAGGCTTTTTTTTTTACTTTATTAATTCTTTTATTGTGGTAAGAACACTTACATGAGATCTACTCACTTAACAATTTTGAAATGCATAAGCTTTTACTGTTGATGTTGTATAGCTGATCTTTACAACTTATTCTTCATGAGTAACTGAAACTTTACCCACTGATTAGTAACTCCCCATTTTCCCTTCCCCTCAGTAATTCCACGACTATTTTAGATAACTCATGTAAGTAGAATCATGCAGTATTTGTCTTTTTGTGGCTGGCCTATTTCACCTAGCATAACATCCTCAAGGATCATATATGTTGTTGCACATTACAGAATTTCCTTTTTTTTAAAGGCCGAATAGCATTCCATTGTATGCATATATCAGATTTCCTTTATTCATTTATCAGTCCATGGACATTTAGATCCACATTTTGGCTATTATAAATAATATTGCTATGAATATAGGCATGCTAATATCTCTTCGAGATCCTGATTTCATTTCTTTTGGATAAATACCCAGAAGTAGAATTGCTGGCACATACATTATTGCTATTGTTTTTTGAGAAACTTCCATACTGTTTTCCATAATGGTGTCACCACTTTGCATTCGCTATTACAAGGATTTCAGTTTCTCCACATCTTTGTCAACACTGTTGTCTTTTTCAGTTTACGTAATATGCATTCTAACAGGTATGTGGTGATATTTCACGTGGTTTGAATTTGCATTTTCCTGAGGATTAGTGACATTGTGCATTTTTTTCATAAACCTGTTGACCATTTGTCTGTCTTTTATGCAGAAATGTCTATTCAAGTCAAAGGCAATTATACCACGAGGTATAGTTCCTGTAGAAATTTGTTCATATACTTATTAGAATCTTTTACTCAAAATCTCAACTTGAAATTTATCAAAGTTAGAGCGTGGATCTATTTATTAATGTACGGATTTCCAGTGCTTGCCACAGATATTATTACACATTTCTCAATAAATTTTTCTTCAACTTATGATTGATAGATAAATAGGATATAGATTAATTCTTAGTAGGAGATAGATAGTAGTAGGAGGTAGATATTTTTAGGTTGGAAGCTTCATTACCATTTCCAAGATATTAAGTAAAATTTAAACACCAAAAGTTAAATAGGCAGACATAATTTTTAAGAATCTGTTTTTGGCAGTTATATATGATATTAAGGAAAAATTACTATTACCAGCTTGATATGTTGCATCCCAGTACTGACTGTTACAATAATAATCATAACTCTCACTTATCTTTTTTCTGTGTGTCTAGAAGTTTACCACTAAGACAATGAGGCAGCAGCCAGCTCTGTGCATTCTCACTTGTGGATTATGTAGCAAATAAGCAACTTATAAAATAAGGCACTTTTAGTTGTATAGGAAATAAAGAAAGTAAAACAGATTTGGGGAAGTAAGAACCTAAGAATTCACCCCTGATATTGCAAATAACAAGGTTTTGGTCCTAAAAAATTATAACTTGCCTAAGCTATATGATTATTTTATTGTCAGAGATGGGACTACATCCAAAAACCTTAGCATGTTTTTCTTTCTATAAAGCAATGTTGATTCCCTTCATGAAGATCTTAAAATTAAAAAGAAGGAATATAAGCCTACATGTTGGTGCACGAAAGCAAAAAAACACTGAAAAATATCTATCCAAAACCAACTCAGTTTATTTGTGCATTCATTCAGCCAGAAAAACATTCATTAACAATCTCAGTCTCAAGACTGCTTACACAAAACATCGTTTCTGGCAACAAGAGCTTCCTATTTAGTGAAGGATGCAGATAAGTAAATAGACTGTTACAAAAATGTTGTAGCAAATTCTCTGATAGAAGGAATCACAAGAACTACAAGATGGCACATCTTATCCAGATTGGGTGGTTAAAGCAACCTCCAATCTTTTTTTTAAAATGGCCTCTAAATTTTTAAAAATAATGTACTACCACACGTCTTTTAATTTTCATATGTAAAATTGGCAACATGGAGTCTTCATTTCATATCAGTCAGTTCTGCATCCATGGATTCAACCAACTGATCTAAAATATTCAGAAAATAAAATCAATAGTTGTATCTATATGGAATACATGCAGACTTTTCTCTTGTAATTATTTCATAAACAATATAGAATAAAACTGTATATCATTTACATTGTATTAGGAACTAATAAGTAATGTAGAGGTGACTTAAAGCATACAGGAGGATGTGTGTAGGTTATACGCAAATACTATATTATTTTATATCAGAGACTTGATCATCCTTGGATTTTTGTGTCCCTAGGGTGTCCTGGAACTAATCCTGCACAGCTATTGAGGGATGACTGTGTACAGATCCATAAGATTTCATTTTTAGCATAATATAACTTTAAGAAAAAATAAAATTATTATATATCTCTTTTAAATATTTCCCCTGAAGTGTAAGCCTTAAAGCAATTCCATATCACCATCATTTATTAAAATGTATGTAAACAAGCTCTTCTTTGGAAGGCAGAAATTGCCTATCATTTATTTTAATCCTTGAACTCATCTTTCCATTTCAATTATAATGCACTTTAGCCCTTGAAAATATTTTATTGATTGTCCTAACATCATTTCTGTGATAAAAATATGTATATAGATAATACAAATTTAAAGTGTAATGTAAACATATAATACATACATAGACTTTGATATATAATATGTAATATAATTGTTACTATAAAATTTATATTAATAATATAAATAAATTTAACTTACTTTTCCAATTTTCTGGAATCATATGGCTCCAGCTACTAAAATATTTTGTCTAGAGTTACCATTGTAATGTTTATTACTGCCAACTGATAAAACAAGAGAAATATGTGACTAAATGAATGAAATATATGAGAATTGTTTTTATCTATTTTTAATGAATACTGTTATTTGAATAAAGCAGATTACAATATTAACTTTATTCCTCTTTTTAAAACTGTTTTCATGAGGTTAAAGCTTATAAATTATTTTACATAAACATATATGTGTGAATGAAAAGAATATTCTAGAACAAAAGTACCAATTTTTAAAACTTCTTTTAGCTTAATATGCCAAAAATTATGTAATAGTCTTCCATCAAATATTTTTAATGAATCAGCAGCTCAACTAGGCATTTCCTCAGTTTTGTTTAAGGCAAAAATTTAAAGCTATCAGACATAAAATGGATTTGTTACCAAGAGAAAATTTGTTACCAAAAGAAATTCTCTTTCTGAATTTCTGAAAACTATACATATGAGGATAATTACTAATTTTGCTTACTATCCTTTCATTTAGAGGATTTATAAATTAGGCTTTATAAATTAGGAATTGGGCCCCTAGTGTCAAGTTTATAATGGTTTATTAATTGTATTAATAATTGTTTTTAATTGTATTAATGGTAGAATTTACAACATTCTATAAATAATTAATAGGAATGAATAATAAACATATATCTGATTGCAATGAATTTGGGGAGTATGGAAATTTCCCTAAATTTAAAAATGAAGATAGCAAGAATATGCTTACTTTTATAAGAAACCACAAAACTTGTTTTCCAAGGGACTCTAGCAGCTTGCATCACCACCAGCAGTGCATAAGAGTTTTAATTATTCCAAGTCCTTGCCAATACTTGCTATCATTAGCTTTTTAAAATTAGTCCTATTAGCTTTTTAAAATTAGCCCTTCTAATAGATGTGTCATATTTTATATTGCATCTTAATTCATATTTTTATGATGACCTATAATGTTGAGCATATTTTATAATTTATTCATAATTTATTTTCCTCTCAGATGCTTTATTTGATCATGTATGTGTTGAATTATTTTGCCCTTTCTAAAAAATATCAGGCTGTCTTATTACTGAATTTCAAGAGTTCCTCATGTATTCTAAAGAGTTCTTTATCAGATGTATATTTTGCCATATCTCCCAGTTTGCAGTATGCCTTTTCATTTTCTTAAGAGTATCTTTTGAAGCACAAAAGATAGCTAGTTTTTATGAAGTCCAATTTATCAATTTTTTAGCAGTCCACACTTAAGTGCTTACCTAAGAGTTATGAAAAGACATTACAATGACTTGTACTTAAATGTTTATAGCATTTTATTTATAATAGACAAAAATTGGAAGCAACCCACGTGTCTACTAACTAGTAAATGGATAAACAAAATGTTGCATATTCATACAATGGAATAATACCTACCAATAACAATAAATGAACTATAGATATGTGCAATAACAGATAAAGCACACATGTATTATGCTAAATAAAAAATGTCCACCAGAAAAGACTACATTCTGTATTATCTATTTATATGAAATCCTGCAAAAGACAAAACTATGTTATAGGAAGAAGGCAGATAATAGCTCCTAGGGGCCAGAGGTGGGGAAGGGAGATTGACTAATAAAGGGCACAAGGGAACTTTTTTGAGGAGATGCAAATATTCTACATCATGACTGTGGAGGTCATTACATGAATGCATGTATCTGCCCAAACTCATTCATTGTATACTGAAAATTGGTGAATTTTATGTTTGTAAATTGAAAAACAGTTTTTTCTTAATTGGTTAAAAAATTAGTATAGATTTACTCATTTTTTATGAATTTTAATCAAAAACACGTATCTTACTTTCAGTATACGTTCCCTTTAATCAAAAAATAAAATTGGTGGAAGCGAATGTATACAGAACTAGAGCCAAGATCATTAAAAAGTCAATGTTTTCACTACCCCTAGTCTACCACATATTAATTTTTAAAAATTCATAGCCCCACTTTCCCCAGAAGAGAAATTTGAAATAAAAGACAAAAAAATTAAGCCATATATCAGGTATTAACCTTGACTAAGGAGGCTTCACTAACACCAACTCTTGTAATAGGTTTTTTTGGTGTTCTAAAGAATCTTATGCCCTGGAGCAAGATGAGACGGATGAGTGACTGAAATTGTCAAAAGCTCTTTTACTAAAATTCCTTACTGGACATCAGATGTATAGAATATCATTGCCTCTGCAACATGATGGGGCACAAGAAGAAAGACTGTGTGTCCTGTTGAGGTGAAGTACCCTGACCTGAATGTCGATTTCTAACAGCTTTCATCTGAAATGACACATCAGCAAGAAGGAGCACAGAACCCTTCAGGACGTCAGCAGAGGCAGAGCTGAAACCACATAAAGCAGGTGTAGAGAAGAGGAATGACATCTTACAGTCTTCAAAAAACTAGCTGCTAAGATGTTTGAAAGAGCATGAGGATACACAATATTGAGCAGAAGATGATACTTTATACTCATATCATTTAACTTAAAAACCATGTATATTCTTTCCTACAGTCATTAATCACTAAGGAAAAAGAGATAGCCCTCCAAATGATCATTAAGGGAGAAGGAGGAATTTCAGCTAAGAACATCACCTGTCCTATTTTCTCACAATTTCAGTGTCTCATCAATGACAGCAGTGTCAAACTCCTATAAACCTTAATAGGGAAGGTACCAGGTTCAAGAGGCTGAAAAAGAGACCCAGAGCAGCAAACCATACATGGGGATTTATTAAGGATTTACACACAGGACACAGAGTCCAGTGATGACAGGTCAGATAGGAGAACTGCCTTACATACAGAAACGGTCCAGTGGCAGCAGGCTAGTCGAGACATCTGCCTTCCTACAGTTCAGTGGCAGCAGGTTAGGCAGGAAAATTGCAACCGCTTTCAAACAGCAGACAGTTTATATAGCCTTTTTGCTTAGCACATTCCCCTTAATGATCTCCACCTGGCAACCTTTATTTAACCCAAAACTCAGGGCCTCAATCCCCTGTACAGCTCACATTCCGTGGGAAAAGCCAGGGGTTCAGTTATTCCTCATAGACAAGGAACAAATCTCCGGGCTGGACATTCCCGGATTCCCTAGCTCAGAACACACATTCAGATGCGTCTACTATACAGGGTCATTCTAAGGGTATGCTTGTTATTGCTTTCAGATGTGTTTACCCTACAATGACCCACATAATGCTGCATTGCTTCCAACTTCATAAATAGAGCAGCCTTCTCTACCTATATCACGGCCATCTTTGGGCCATTTTGAATTAGTTGCCTTAGGGATTTCTTTCTGTCTTTCAATTCCCTGAAATAAAGCAGTTTTTCTGACAGTCTATGCCTTCTGTTCTTTATGTCCTTTAATGTGATCCTTTCTCTTAAAATCCTGTCATGAGAAGCTTAGACAATCTTGCCTTCCCCAGATTCTTTTTCACAGTTATCACAGCATACATGTACTTTATATCTGAGGTCAGCTTGTACTATTCTTACCCCTTGTATCTGTTTTGTTGCATATTATCAGGAAGTAAGTAGATCCCTTTCCAAGTTGAATCTTTATCAGTTGAACACCTGCAAGGATAACAATCATTTGCAATTAACCAATTTTGAAGCACTCTTTCCTCCGTGGGTTAGCCTGCTATGTGAACATAAGCTCAACCCAGTGGTTATGTTTTTCTACTCCCTACCCAAGGTTTGAGTCTGTATCTTCTCCATATTTTCTCACTTATATGCTGTGATTACTTAAGTTAATTTTAATGATTTTTTTCTAATATTTTGGGGATTAAATGAACATTAACATTAATGAAGAATCTAATTTGCCAAAGATTTTGTAACCATCTAATATGTGTAGGATCTGGGTTTACACACTGTCCAGGATATAAAGATAATCAAGATGGAATTCTAATCTTCAAGGGAATATCTAGTACAAATTGGAGAGGACATGTCAAAAATAATTCTAACATGAAATAGGTGATGTATGTAGTAAAAGTATGAAATTCCATGTAAGCAACTAAGAAAAAAGACATCGTAGAGAGGGCTTGTTCAAACACAGATTTCTTTGTCCCATCTCCAGAATTTCTGATTTAGTAAAGGTGGGATAAACCTTGAGAATTTGCGTTTCTAACAAGTACCCAAGTGATGCTGATGCTGCTAGCTGAAGGACCACATTATGAAAACCTCTGATCTGGTTTATGCCTTCTCATTATACAGATGAGAAAATTGAGTGAGAGAGAGTGAAAACCTGCCCAAATGTGCATAGCTTGTTATAGTGGAACTGGAATTAAGATCCAAGTCCCTTGGTTGCAGTTGAGGTTTCCTTTTCTTACTATATGCTTTTTTGGAGCAATACCTGGAAGGAGGGAAAACATTTCCAAAGAGTAAAGTTAAGAAGGGCTTCCCATGCCTAATGAACATGGGCTTTCCTGCAGGTGTGTCAAGTGATTCAGTTTGTCTAATGTGTCAGCTGTGGGTAGAGGCAGACTGTGAGCTGTAACAGTATTGATCAGTTCAGCTGTTGTGTCTTGAGTGAACTTTGGGAAGAAGGCCAGCAGACAGCTAGGATGTTGCTATAAAATCCAGTTCAGAGGTAAGAAAAGTCATAGCTAGTGTTAATGGAGTAACAGTGAAGTAACAACTTGTCTACTTGTGATTAGGAAGTAATCAATTCTTTACCTTTTTTAAGCTAGAAAATATCCTTCGTAATAAACTCAGAATAAGGAACTGAAATTCCTGACTGCAAAAGAACACAAGTGGAAAGGACAGAACAAAATACTTATTCAACCCTATTTTCATTATCAGGATTAACTCTTTAATGTTGCATTAGAAATACACTGTGAATATTCCAGCATCAAAATGAGTTGGAATGATCAATAATTTGAAAAGAAACAGTAATTCTCTAAGCAAAGTCTTAAACCTCTTTATTAATAACTCAAAACAGATAAAAATCATATTCACATCTTCTGGCACCTGATATCCATCTTGATAAGTTACCTGAAAAGAAAAAAACATTAAGGAACACTGAGTTTAAAGATTTAAATATATTCTCATTAAGAGGTCAAAGATTTTTTAAAAATTGTCAGAGACAATTTTTAATGAATATATAAATTTTCATGTTTATACTTTGGCTAAAACTACACAAAGGATTTTGTCCGAGAGGAAATTAAAGGAGGATTTTGTTCAAGAATTTAATTTCCTAAATCTGACTTTTATTCTTTTTTTTTTTTTTTTTTGCCCAGAAAAGGCCAGCAAAAGATTTCAGAATCAGACTCATCTGGCATTTTTTTCTGGGGAAAAACTAGAAACTAAAGGATCCATTGTGTAACTGAAAGCCTGTTTACTTAAGGGGCTTGAATTCATGCCTGCAGGATGGTATCTTGATATTCTATCCCATATTTTGAGAAAGATCAAGGAGTCAGAGGGAGTCATGAGATGGAAATAAGTATCTCTTATATTCCCTAAATTTAATTGTTTTCAACTTTTCTGCAAAACTCATATAATTTCCGCTTGCTCTATGGATGAGGAAGATTTTGGATTTGTCTTTTGGGTCAATTCAGATCCTCCAGATAGAAGATGTCAAGACAGAAGTGCTAGAGATTTTTTGAGGGAAACACTTGTGAATGATAAAGGGTAGATGGAGCAGGAGTAGGCAGGTAGAATAGGCCTGATACTTGGAAAAGGAGAGAGTAGAAAGAGCTTCAGATTATAGTATGAATCCGAGAAAGTCTCAGCCATGCTGATAGGAAATCCCAAAGCAAAGATTTTCCATTAGCAGAATCCCGCATGGGTTAGAAATGGCCCAGCATCTGACATTCTCTATTACTGACATAAGCCAGGTAAAGTATGACTTTGGTATGATCCTTGTTACTGATCACAAAGGTTCAGCAGCTGAAACAACGAACGAACTAACTATACTTTTAGCAGGTTCGTCACCTACAGAGCTGCCCCAGTACAACCTTCACTTGACACAAATCTTCTCCGCATGTATTTGGGAGTAGATCCTCCATGCTGTTCCTGTTTCTCTCAAACTACAACATCTGTTGCTGCAGTGGTCTCAGGGTTGTAACTTATATATATCATCATTTCCCCCCTCCACCCTCCATTCTAAATGTCCCTCTACCTCAGCTGTTGCCTGAGTATGTCTTAGGGAATTCCTGGCATTTTGACCTAAACCCTAATTCTTAAGGAGGCTGAGCCTCTGGTAATCTCAAACTAGTATTGCTGCAAGTGGACATTCATAGTTACAATTAGACATGGGAACATAAAGGGGTATGCAAGTGAATCATCTGAGTTCCATACATATTCCTCTCCACCCTCACTATGTGAAAGCAGACTTAACTCCTCCTGCTAATCAATTACCCTGGCCAAGATGGTAGCCCCTCTCTTCACCTACTGGACCCTGGACACAAGGAGTTCAAAGTGCACAGGGGGAAGCAATGGTTTATAATTCATTGGGGGCAGTGTTGTATGCCTTGGTAAAATATGCCACCTTAAAAGAAATCAACATATCAAAGGGATAGCTGCACTTGCTTGTTTATCGCAGTACTATTCACAGTAGCAAAGACGTGGAATAAACTAAATGCCTGTCAACAGATGAATGGATAAAGAAAATGTGGTACATATACACAATGGAATACTATTCAGCCATAAAAAATGAAATCATGTCACTTGCAGCAACATGGGTGGGCCAGAAGGTCATTATCTTAAGTGAAATAACACATGCACAAAAAGACAAACATCACATGTTCTTATTCATATGTGGAAGCTAAAAAATTTGACCACATGGAAGTTGATGGGAAAAATAGATAACAGGGACTGGCAGAGTTTAGTGGGAGGGAGAATGAAGAGAAGTGGGTTAAAGAGTACAAACATACAGTTAGGAAGAATACATTCAATGTTTGATAGCAGAATAGGATGGCTACACTTAAAAACATGTATTGTACTTGGGTGATGGATGCCCTAAATACCCCGACTTAATCACTACATATTATATAGATGTAAAAATTTTCTCATGTGCCCCATACATTTGCACAAATAAAAAATATTCCACCATTGGGAACCAAGAATTATAACTACAGAGTCAAGAGTTGTGAAGTTGTGAAGACAGGGTACACAAAGTTCCCCAGTTGGTCACTGGGAAGAATATTAAGTGGGGGTCACTCCTTTCTTTTATCCCTTGGTTCCTGGACATATATTTTTCCTAATGGAAACATAATATCACGCATGAGACTCTAGTGTGTATGCTGTATTTTAGAGAATGGCACCCTGTCTTCACAGAGTATTTCCTTCAAGTTGGTGCTTCAGTTGTGTCTTTACTCATCAATTTCAATGCTCTGTCAGGCTAGCTGCTTCTACACAGTATAGGAGTGGTATGTGATTCAATGCACACTATGTGAATGCCACAGTTACTCCTGTATCTATTTTGCTATGAAGTGGGCCTGTTGGTCAAATGTCATTCAGTGTGAAATTCCCTGTTTGTAGATCTGGCTACATGAGCTTCTGGATAGTCATGCTGGTTGAGGCTCCCCTGGGAGATAATGCAAACTCATATCTAGAAAATTATTTTATTCCTATAAAAATCACCACTGGCTTTTCTAGAATAAAGGGAGACCAAAGTAGATGACTAGCCACCAGTAGCAAGTTGGTCTCCTGAAAGAATAGTGCCATACCAAAGTCTCAGCATTAAGTCTGGCTGGCAGTTTGGGTGATTAGGGTTATCTGTAGTCTTAATAAATGAGAGTCCATTGAGCTAGTGCAGTTTCTACCTTTGCCACAGTGCTATTCTTCTCTGTGCCCATTTGACCAGTTCCGGGTTAGCTGAAGACAAAGGTTGGCTGAACCATTTTTTCTATTCATTGCTCACTGCTTCCTCTAGCGTGGATCATTTTTGATAGATAGTAACATGATGACAAAAACCTTCACACTTCAGGCCGATCTCCAGTGTCCATTCACATGACCCCACTCCAGACATCTCTGGCCTCCCAGTTCTTGTCCTTTCAGTGTACTCATCATATAGCCCCATTTATTTTTGGCTTGTACCATAAACCATGATAACCTCTACATAAAACAAGCTTATGCTTTTTCCTCTTCTTTCATCTGGGTGTACCCTGACTCATATATGGTCATAGGTGAAATGTAAACTGAAAGAGGGTCACTGATGCAACTCTGGCAGATACCACTGGGATCTGGGCTGCCTGTCCATGAAGGTTACTCAGGACTTCTGATTCTGCTCAAGCTCAATTCCATTTTCTTCAGAGAGTGATCAGCTACTGAGCCCTTCTGACAATCTACTTGGCAAGTCAAGCAGAACTCAGCTTATAATGAGGAGTTGCAGAGACACAGTCACTTGGTACCATGTAGTCAATTGTTCTATGTCTTCCTGGATGCAGTATTTTCCCAGGAGCTATTTTTCAAAATGAATGTAATTATCTGCTGATGACATGGCCATAATCCAGAACCCCAGAGGCCTCTGTTATGCTTCTTCCACTGGGGCTTGCCATAAGGCCACACTGCATCTCTTCTGACAACTCTTCAAATTCAACTGTGCTGGATTACATGACCCAAACGGCAGAGCTGTTTGCACCGCAAACCAAATTCAATTCAGAACCTTTACTTCTCTTGGCTCTACTGGGAGGTGGTGGCCTTTCATGTCATCTGGCACATAAGCCAGAGCAGTAAACCCTGGGGTCAAATCTGTTGCTTCTGGAACCTAATAGCCCTTCCAAGCATTGCTTCCTTCTCCGTGGTGAGGTATCAAAATACAGAAAAATTATATTTTACTCTTTAGTTGTATCAGCCTGTCCCTGACCACTGGTCCCTTGAAAATGTTGCTGAATTTCTTGGAATCTTCATAGAGTTTATCTCATTCCCTCTGGAGTACTTGGGTCTTATCAAAGCCTCCAGAATCTTCATAAACTCTTGCTCATGCTGACTGAACAGCAAAATGTTATCAATATAATAAATCAGTGTGATGTTCTGTGGAATACCAGATGGTCTGTATCTTTTTGGACTACATTATGACAGGTTGAGAGAATTAGCATAGTCCTGGGGCAAAATTGCAAATGAATATCATTATTTGTTTCACATGAATATGAACATTCTCTGTTGTTCTTTATTAATTCATATAGAAAAGAATGCATTTGCCAAATAAATGACCATATACCGTATACCTGGGGCTTTATTTACTGGCTTTTGCAAGGATTACATGTCTAGTATAGCAACTCTGATTGAGGCAACTGCTTTGTTGGACTTTTAGTAGACTACAGTCATTCTTTAGGACTTGTTCAGATTTTTGCAGAGACAAGAATAGCATATTAAATGAATATATGAGGAGCAACATCACCACTGTACCATTTTAGATCTTCAAGGATAGCATAATCTCCTTCTCATCCCCACCCTGGGACACAATCTATATATTTTTAATTGAATAACTTTGTGTGAAGGCAGGGAGGGGTTGTGGACTTTCACGTGGCCTTCCTTGCTATCATAGCTCTTATTTGAAAGGCCTGAAACCCAATGTGAGGTGACTCTAATTGTCAAGAATGGCAATCTCAATTATCCATTAAGTAACCAGGAAAATAAACCCGGCTGTCCTACTGAAAGCTGTAGTTTATCAAGACTCCATCCTTTATTACCTGGTCCCTGTATGTCACCTCTACAATGGGGGGCTGCAATGAGGTTCCAGATTTCCAGGTATCATATCCACTCAGGATATTTTTCTTAGACTGATATATAGACACCGAAGTAAATGACCATAGTTCCCTTTTCAGACAATAAGAAATGGAAAGCATACAAACAGAAGCATAATAACTATCCCGGTATAAATGGAATAATAACTCATGTTACTTACATTGCTTACCTTAGAAATTCATTTATTCATGCAGAAAAAAACACTAAGAGTCTAATTTGGAATAGACTCTGTGATAGATACTTGAACTTATATGAAAACAATGGAAAAAAGTACAGACATGAGGCCTGGAGGTCCTGAAATTTGTCCAGTTTGTCATTAGAGCGTACAAGTTTAAGAAATAATTTTTTAAAATACTTTTTGGTAATTTAAAAGAATAAAAGCATATTCTATGCATAATATTGGTTTATATTCCCTTAATGTGTAGCAATTTCTCACTTATGTGAATACTTATTTTTTGTATAAAAAAGGACTAATGCTAATGACTTTATAAAAATAAAGACAAAGATACTTAAATAAATGAATTAAAATAATATGGATATTTACTTGTGACTACTATACATGGCTCTGCACCACTTCATGAACCACCATTCACAGGAAAAGGACTACGATGCACTTAGTATTCCCTATGGTTTGCAGTGGCCTGCCTGCACAATTATAGGTAAGAGCCCTACAATTTTGTTGCCTGAAATCATGGTGTAGTCAGAGCCTATTATGCAGAAAATAGTGACAACATTTGCCTCATTCTCACATTTTAAAGTCTGAAGTTTAAAATTTTGATTAATCCAGATGAGGTAATATATACCAATTTTGTGATATACGAACTATAAAGCATGAATTTGTTAAATGAATATATTTAAAACTCATAAGGATTTTTCAAAACATTACTATTGTGATCTTTAACAAACAGAACATAAACAAAACAGAACATAAACAAAATTAAACAAAGCAACAATAAACAAAAACAGAAAGGGTCCAGGCTTCAAAGCATGCCAGTGAGATAGAGCAATTATTACTATTATTATTTCCATCTATCATTTTAAAAAGTCAATTACTTAAGACCATATGCTGAACCACAAAAGCAGCTTTTTTAATGTTAGCTGGAGGTCAAATTACGTCTCCATGGAGAGATAAAGAAAGAAAACAAAAGAATGTTCTATCCTGACAAGGAGGATGCCAGTGTATAGTTTCATCGGTACTTGTGATATAGAAAGACATGCAATTACCCCCTTTTTCATGAGATTCAGACTGGTGAAGGAAGATGTAGTAATTAATTATAATTTTAATGTATTATGTACATAATATAACATGTATTATATACTTTGTACAGTATCATGATGATTGCATAAGCCTACATAAATCACATGTCCATGAAACCAGCACTGCATGGGGGATTCTTCCCTGAAGATAAGCTAAGGATGAGTACCATTGAGCCTATGGTAGCAGGCATCTCATTGGTGCCCTAGCATTCATCCTAGCCCATCTGCTTTGTATAGGATCCATTTTGGTTGACGTGGAACTGACCTCTTCTTCAGATCTAAATGGATCCTACTTGATATAAACGAATTCATATAATCTTATCTCCATCACCTCAGTGAGATATGCAATAACCCAAGTCTAAGCCAAACAGGGTGAAGCCCAGCTTCTAGATTAGACTGATTTATTCAAATTATATTGACGCTCGGAGCTATTATTAATTTGGGAAAGAAAGCCTTTCTCTCGGTGGTATGGTATTTGGAGGTGAAGCTTGGAACTTCTGTATGCCATTTTTCTACCAAGAAAAATCTGAGGTGAACAGGCCCTGAAGAATGACCATGGTCTACTAAAAGCTCAACAAAGTAGTTGTCCTGATCAGAGTTGCTATGCTACACATGTAATCCTTGCAAAAGCCAGT
The DNA here is from genome assembly GCF_000001405.40 of Homo sapiens. NCBI lineage: Eukaryota > Metazoa > Chordata > Mammalia > Primates > Hominidae > Homo > Homo sapiens. The sequence continues at coordinate 91,265,147 of NC_000012.12, forward strand.
AAATAAAGCCTCAGAGGCCAGTTTGGGGACATAGCTCTCATATATCTGCATGGTTAACTCATTCAAGTCTTTTTTTTTTTTTTTTTTTTTTTTTTTTCTGAGACAGAGTTTCGCTCTTGTTGCCCAGGGTCTCTGGCTCACCGCAACCTCCGCCTCCTGGGTTCAAGCAATTCTCCTGCTTCAGCCTCCCGAGCAGCTGGGATTACAGGCATGTGCCACCACACCTGGTTAATTTTGTATTTTTAGTAGAGACGGGGTTTCTCCATGTTGGTCAGGGTGGTCTTGAACTCCCAACCTCAGGTGATCTGCCCACCTTGGCTTCTCAAAGTTCTGGGATCACAGGCATGAGCCACCGCGCCCAGCTCAAGTCTTTTGTTTTAAGCCAATAAAAATCCACTATGGTGGCCAGGCATGAGGAAAGATGTGAAAGTGTAAATTGGACTACTAAGCATTTTAAAACAAGATTTCAGAAAAAAAAGAAATGAAAAGGCAGAGTATTGGATGATCAATGTAGATACAGGCCATGCGATGTAATAGAAGAAGGGGAAAAAATGCTCTAAGAACAAAACAGTAAGTGACAACTGTTATTTGGCCATTCTCAGGCCTGAGTATTCCCATTTGTCCCCTATTAGGGATGTGTTGAATGTTAACTGTTGAAGAATTTTGAAGAAGAGGGCAAACAGGCAGTCCTAACATTTGGGTCAATGTGGAAAAGGACAGAGGAAAACAAAGAAAGAAAAAAAAATAAGAAAGAAAATGACAAGAGACCACTCAGTTATTTAAATATACTTCTATAAAACATAGCGATAAAAAATGACATAAAGATAGACAAATTTATAATGATTTTGAAAAGAACACTTTCTCTATTTATCATTGATAAACTTTTTTAACATTCTTCCATTAGATATTCCAAATCTGTGCCACCTCCTTAAAGCCCCATTCAGTTCAGGAGTTGCCCATTTGAAGCAAATAGTTTCTTCTAATGCAGAAATGTGAGACCACCGGAGATCAAAAGACTCAATATTCTACAATTCCAATTATAATAGTACCTCCCACAAGAATCTTGTGTCTCATCTCTTAAGTCTCTAAAGAGAACTTTCCCCACATCTTGAGGCTAAAACCCTCATCTGCTCTTTTCATCTCATGTCTAAATCTTGATTTATCCATTTTCCTTTCAAACTTTTATTTTGTACAGGATACTTTTCATCAACTTAGATATATGATTAATCTTCAATTTTAATAACTTTTCCCAATACACTATATTTTTCTAACCAGCATTTTGGGAAAAAAAAAGTCTTCACCTACTTCTTCCACTCACATAACATTACTGAAGCAACATTGGCAGGGATAATAAATGACCTGATGGCTAACTCTGAAGGACTTGGCCTATTATTACATTGTTTTAAATTATTTGTTCTATGCCCTTAGTTTCTATTTTTTTTGTTTTCTTCTTACATGTCTGATTAATTTGCTGAAAATATTTTGCCTATTTAAATTTCTGTTTCTGAATCCAGATCTCTTGAATTTCTAAAACCTATATGCTAACAATTTTCAACTTTGCTTCTCTACTTTAGACTTGTCTGCAAAGTGCCTGACCCATAAAACCTATTGTCTACTAGGTATTTGCAGTCTAATATTAGGTTGGTGCAAATGTAATTGTGGTTTTTGCCATTACTTTTAATATTTCATTGGAAGGTATGTTGTCTCCACTCATCACTGAGCTTCTGTCTCTCATTTTCTCTCTCAGTTAGGGACACTTAATCTCCCAAGCAAGAAATTTAGGAATCAAATAAGCATCTATTCCTCATTACCTATCTTCAGTTAGTTACTAAGCTTCTACCATTTCTTGCATGTTCTACTGCAATAGCTTCTTATTCAACTGGTCTTTTAGTTTCAGCCTTACCTTCCTCCATTCTTTCCTTCACAGGCTGCCAAGAGAAAGCTCTCTAACAAGTGTAAAATGTAAGTCTGATCATGTCATTTCTCATTCAGAATTCCCCAACAGCTTCCCATAAATGAAGGATTGAAACTACATTTTTGCTAAACATCTCTGGCAGGCATACAAGAACCTGCATGCCTTGGTTCCTACATACCTGTCCAGCCACATCTAACTTATTAAATAAACTGCTTAAAATTCTCCAAACACTTAAAGCTGCTTCAAGCACTTGAATGTCTGTGCATGCAATTCCTTCTGGAAAAAAACTGACCACCTTTTTATTTTCAACCTTAGAAAACTTCAGTACATCTTTCAAAATCCAGCTAAACTCATCCAAATATGTGTGATGCTTGTCCACTTTTCCCCCCAACTGTATTATCACTGGATCTTAAACCTACTTCTAGTACTTTTCAAATAATATTGCAATTTTTGTACACTATCTTTCTCCCCTGCTACTCCATGACCTTCTTGAAGGTAGGGACTGTGTCTTATCTAGTTTCTATTCCCAGCACCTATAATAGTTTGATCCATATTTCATCTTAATAAATATATGTTGAAATCAATTCAATTCAATGCATTCAAGATTTCTTTAGAAGAAGACAGGAAGGAAAGAAACTCCCCAGTAAAGGTTTATACAGGGACCTTGATTATTGTGTCACATAATTGAACCAAAGACCATATATGTAGACCAGTGAATATTTTACGTAAGCTTCCAGGGAAGCTTTTATGTAAGCTTCAGATGATGGGAGATCATGGATTTGTTTTGCAGGCTATACAAAAGGATTAGGATTTCTGCTATAAATAAATCAAGAATATAAGCCTCTGTTGCTCATTTTCAATAATGAAACAGTGCATGAAGGCTAAGGAGTGTCCTGGTAAAAACATATCAGAATATATCAACAGCTACAGGAAAAGTAGCAGATGAATTGAGGGTTTGAGCTAGAGACAAAGTATAGGAAAGAGATTTGTTATAAGGAGAAGATGATGCCTTTAACATAGATTCCAGTTATTGTTTTAGTCAACTGATAGTGAGCAATTTTGGTAGAAACTGGAACTAACTTATGAAACCCTACAAATATTGTAAAAGGAGTATACACAAAACAAATTAAGTGCAGGGACTTTTACCTTGTATTATAAAAGTGTTGTCTTTGGGAGTAAATTCTAACTGAATTTTGGTAGAATTTGATAGGATTGAAAATAACAAAATCACATATTATATAAGCAAATAGAAATTAAGGACTTTTCTCCCTTAAAGTTCAGAAATTGAGGATTTGGATAATTAAATATACATTTTCAAATATGGAATTTAAAAAGACACCTGCAATAATATTTATTTTGTATGCCCACGCGCTAAAACCCCTTCCTATTTTTGGTCATTTCTTTGTCTGGTGGGTCTTGGTTGGGGCAGAGACTGACTTCCACAGAAGTGAAAATCTTTTTTTCCTGGCCTCCCTTGCAACTAGAACACTGGTTCTGTTAGGAAGATGCAACCCCACCAAGTTCTGACTCTTTGACTCAAAGGTATTGAATGCAAAGAAGCAATACTGGTCGGAAATCCATTCTTGCAGGAGTAGGGCAGTAAGTGAAGCTACATCAAATTCCAGAAGAGGCAATGGTGGTGATTCTGCTAGCCTGTGCAACTTCCAGCATCCATGGTTTGTGGGGTACAACAGCTGTGCCTGTGCCCAGTGGTGGCTGCATAGGGATTTGTATAGAATCAATTATCTGACATCATTTTAGAGATTGTTTCTGATGGTGTGGCCTCTAAACACAAGTTGTGTAAGTATTCTAGAATACAGTTCTTTCCTGCATAAATTAGCCTGGGTTGGTTCATGATGCTTAAAATTAAGAACTTTGACTAGCCATCTACCTTTCTAACAAATCCAAAACTTTAATCTACTGATATTCACTGAATGCAAGAAACTATGTTATGTGCTTGAGTGAAGGGATAGCGTCAGGGGTAAATACTGAAATGTAAGCCACAGGCCTGCTCTCCAGGGGCAAGCAGCATAAAACAACTGTAAACTGAGAAGGATGATTGTAGGGCTACATCAAAGCACAAGCCTTGCAGTACAGAAGAAGTAACAACCATTTTTCACTGATGGGGTATCACATAAGTCTTCATGAAAAAGGTATATTTTTTACTAAGTCTGGTAGGATGAATAGGATTTTTGGTAGGGCAATGCATGGAATGAAGGAAGTGAAGATTTCCACTGGGGGATGCTGGACTTAAGGGACAACATAATCAAAAGCGAAGAAGAGGAAGTAAAAACTGAAAGGACAAAAATATAGACTACTGCATCACTCAACCCTAATGAAGTACCAACAATATGGTCCATTTTAAAAACAATTAATGGTCCAATTATTTTTAGAATAGAGAGAGTTCACAGGCACACACATGGGGGGTCCTGAGTGTCTCCCACAAGCTTGAGTACTGAAAAAAATGTACAATGCCTCTGGGAAGTGAAAACACTTTGATTCTTTGCAGACCCCAAGCTCCTTGGGTAGTATCAGGTGTGCTAAGACTGCCTCAGCCTGGTCCTTGTCTCATGTTGTCCAGAGATACAAAAGTCCATGGGTCATATAACCATTTTCCACTTTTTCTGGAGTGGACATAATTTCTTCAAAATAAATAATATTAAGGATTCCAGTACTTAAAACAGAACAAGAGAATCTTCTCTGGTGGAAGGGGAGGCAGGGACTCTCACAGCCTTCACCTCTGGGTTCCCTCTTCACCACACATAAATTTAGACCGTTTACCTTGAAACTTCTAAGAATTTGGAGAACCAAAGTTCATAAAACACTGGGTTATAAAGAAAAAAAATGAAATAGCATAGCAAGAATGAGAGCTTGCCTTAGAAAGAGACATAATGGAGGAATCACACTGACATATGTTTGCTTTCTAAATGGGCTAGGTCGAGGACTCTTTGAGTCACTTCCTCTATATTGTGATATAAAGGGGAGAGGGTGAGCAAATATCCTATATATATAAGGAGTTTATGGAGACTAAGTTTAAGAAGAAAATATAAAATATATGTTACAATTGGGGGATAAAGATATTTTTAGACATAAACTATTCAGATTGAGGTAAGGACTGCTCTGAAGGTAATAAGAAAAAGTATGATGTTATTTAGTGTATTGTTAAAAACCAAGATAGAAATGTGGAAAGTTTGTTTTCACTGGTTATGGAAGAAGAATTAAAAATATAGGCATAAATATATTTTTCTTTCATAATAAAAATTATGGTAATTATAACTGAAACTACTTTTTAATGATAACAATGTAATAATATGAATTTCTTTGGGTTCAGGATACTATGAACATTATGAACAATACACTGAGCAATGATTTTGATGATTCTAGTGCCAGACCACCCAGGAGCTATTTGGACTCAGCAAAGGGTGTGTACTCTTTGGATGGTATGTCTGCATTTTCTGGGAAAAAGAAGTTTTCAGAGTGTGGCATCCTAATCTATACACATTTTCCCTGAAGCGTGTAGAGTCCAAGCATGTTTATTTGCTCTTCTATGCCAAACCAGGGAGGGCAAGACATTTCTAAATCTCCTTTAAGGCAACAAATCAAAGGGCTTCCTTGGAAAGGGTCTTAGATTATCACCCAAGAACCAAACACAAAAAAAACTAGCTGTGCATTTTCCCCTTCTGCATTAAGTCTAAGTTGTTCTTCTGCTCAATTCTAGAAGAAATTAGGGGACTAAAATATGATGGTATAGGAAAAAAGGGTGTCAAGATGACAGGGATAAGAGATACTAGTTTTCTCATTGTATTAGAATTCTATTTTTTAAAAAAGTACATGTTTCATGTATTATGTAACAAACCTGCATGTTCTGCACATGTATCCCAGAACTTAAAGAATATTAAAAAAAAAAAAGAAGAAAAAGAAATCTACTCTTTAAGGACCATTAAGCATCCCTTATTTTCCATGGCATTTTCATTAATTAAAAGAATTAAAAGGAAAAAAAAGTACATGTTTATTTATTTAATCTTCTCACCATGTTGCCAACCAATGTTTCAGTCCCAGTCAAAATCCCTACCTTCTAGTAGGGTGAGAAAGCCAGTAAACAGAGAAAGAGCTAAGATAACCTTAGACTTCAATAACTGTTACAGACAAAATAAACTCAGTGATACAATAGTAAGTAGGAGAGGGTTTTCTTGTTTTTAATGTTTTAGCTGATATAATCTTACCTTCATTATAAAGAAGGTTGCCAGGGAATGCCTTTCCAGTGAGGTGCTATGGGAGTACAGTGCTGAATGAAGTTAAGTTTCACGTCATGTGAAAGTTCTAGGAAAAGAATAGTTCAGTCAGACACTTGGCAAATATAGAGCTCTGAGCAGGAAACAGTTGGGCACATTTGAAAGCAGAGAAAGGAGTCCAAGGTAGTGGAGTGGCGTTGCGGAATGTGGGCATAGAGAACTAGGCAGGGGTTAGACCATGCATGACCTTTTGGGTGTTCGTAAAGGGGATGAGTTTAATTCTTAGATTATTTGGAAGACACTTAAGAATTGTAGTTGGGAAATGACTTAGCCTGATTGGCTTTGTAAAAGGACGCTTTGATTGCTGTGTAGAGAATGGAAAATGATAGCCAAATACATGGGAGCAAGGAGATTTAACTAGAGGGTACTGCTAGAAGCTCAGTGAGAGGTGATGGTGGTTTGGATTGGGAGTGGCAGTGGAAAATGAGGTTTATTCCAGAAGTATAATGCTTTGAAGATGAGCTTGAGGGACTTCCTGGAAGCTTATATGGGGCAAATGGGCTAAGTAAGGGCTCAACGGGGGAAGGGGAGAACTCTTAAATGACCATAAGAATTTTGTTTTAAACAAGTACGTGTACTTAGCTACCTTTACTTAAATGGGAAAAGGTATGGAGGAGAAAAATATTTGTAGAAGAAATCAAGAGTTCTGTGTTAAGCCTGAAGATGTTTCCAGAACATTTACCTCAAGATGTCAAGCAAACAGACAGATATCTCGCTCATATACTCATGCAGCCAACTCATAACACAGAGACACCCAGCATCATCCTTCAGGCTCACACCTGTAACTAGAGGGTACTGCTAGAGGCTCAGTGAGAGGTGATGGTGGTTTGGATTGGGAGAGTGAAACTCCATCTCTAAATAAATAAATAAATAACACAAATATTCAGGACATGCTAGAAGCAGTGCTGCCGTGATTTGGGTCCAAATTTTGCCTCAATACTCAAAAGTATTTTCCAAACCTAAACTCCACTGATAGTCTGTAGGACTTATCAACATTAGAATTTTTCCTCTTTTCATGCATCCTAATCTATAACATGTAGCATAGTTCCATTATGTCCAATTGGAGCTACTTTATTCCTTACACTTCACCTCAGGTGGCCTGCCTGCTGTTATTTTCAAAAGATTAATCCTGGTGGTTATATTGCATAAGACTGCTCTTTATTTGACCTGAAACATTCCTTCACTCCTGACAGACAGACAGGATATGGCCTAATAGGAAAGGGTTCATGAAGCTCCAGCCCTAGTACAGCTGGCGTCCATCCTCCGCCTGTCGCTGCCAACAGGGCTGGGAGATGGCCACTCTCCTGAGCACACTGGACTCTGCAGCTGGGAAGGTGCAGTTCTCTGGGAACAGTCAGAGTTGAGCCCCCATGGTGGGTGGCATGTTTATCTTTTCCCTTGAAAAACAAAAGGTCAATGAGGAACACATGTTTCTATGACAACAAGAAATTCAAAGGGGATGCTAAATCCAAGCAAATGTGAATGCAAGGGAAGAGGAAGAGAAAAGTTGGCCCAGTTTGAAAGGAAGTGATTTGGTAGTACATTGAGTCTCTTTTTATTTCAACTTAATTCCCATCTGAATTTACATGTGATGAAAGGCTGGTGAAGAAAATATGTGAAAATAGGAATAATCCTCTAAAATAATGTAGTCTGTACGCCACTGATGAGGGAGGTCTGAATTTGGTAAAACTAGTGGTCTCAGGTTGGTAAATGATACCCTCAGTTTTCAAAATAGGTATTTTATTTGTTAGCATTGGAAATGACTTAATCTAGTCTGCCTTCTGCCCTGTTGAAAAATCACATTTGCAAATACTATCTTTAGAAAAAGTGTATTTTGTCACCTGTGTTTTCAATGGTCCCATCCATTTTATCCTTGCCATGATTTTGTCATGTTTCAGTGTAGGGCCACCAATATATGACATGGGGGAATACTTCACTGACATTGCATAGTGAGATGGGAGGAGGAGAAAAGAAAAAAAGAGTAAAAATGAAAAAATCAAATGGAAGGAACATCCTATTCATAATACTTAATATTTAAAAGAAACAGAGAGTGTGTTATAAACATGAAGAAGAGTAACACCCGGACAGCATTTGGTGTCATTTCTTTCCATGCATAAAAATGGAAAGAAGTACTCCACGGAGTATTCAAAAATATTCTTCTCTAAACTGTCTTACGAGTAGCAAGAAAGGACATCAAATAGAATTTTGTTTTTTGTTTTAAACATCACAAATCCAATGTGTACTTATTGTGAATTATTAAAAGAATTCACAAAAATATGGAAAAGTGAAATTCCTTTCACTTTTGTGCCCTCATTACTGCTCTAGAGAGGTAATCTCTGTTCAAACTTTGTTGTGTCACACACGGTTATTCCAATTGCACTTTACGGGAACTTGGAGAGGAGGCATATGAGGTAGTGGAAAAGTACCAGGAAGGAAAGTTGCGTCTCAGGTCTGCCATTCTGTGGATTTTGGAAAATCTACTAACTTCCTTGGGACTCTGATTCCTGATGTGTAATATGAAGTGGCTCCCAGGAAAGATGGAGTAGAATTTACCACCATCTGAGCGATTGCTGGAAATCCGGAGGGATATTTTGACAACTTTGTTTGTCACTGTGACTATGAGAGCCTTCTGATGCCTGTTTCCCTCAGAATGGGAATGCTACACATCTCCAAAGCACAATGAAGAATTTTCCCACTTCAAGTGTCAGGAGTACCCCTACCACAAAGCAAAACAAACAAACAAACAAAAAACCTCGAACATTGCTATGGTCTCTTCCAGCTGACAAGATCTCACAAAGTAAAGTTGTTGGTGATATTGACCAATACTAACATTTACAAAGCAAATTTTCTTTTTAAAAGAAAATTGTAAATCCCACAATTATCTAGATTAAAATGATTTTTCTTTGTGCTCTAATTCAATAGAAAAGGTAGTTTTTAAGTCTATAAATCGCTTTATTATTTTGGTGATTTCTCAGCTTGCATTTTGCTATAATTTGCATTATTAAAATATTCTGCTGTGGAACCAGTTTTGACGATTTCCCTTTCTTTTTTTCTTTTCATATTATGTACATCTTATTAGTTTCTGAATTTTTCATAGAAGTTTGCCTCTTTTATCACACAATACTAAAGAAAACACTATAATAATACATATAAAGGTACACTGTAGCCTAGAAGCTTCAAAGCTGATACTGCATCCAAGTGATTTTTAAATGATTATTTAATACTTAATTTTTTCTAAATTGCTTCACATGTTCCAGGGAGGCCCAATAGTCCAATCCTTTTCTATTAATTTTATTTCAAAAAAGCCAGGTTTGTACATTGGCCTTATGATAGTCATGATAATAATCAAAATATATAAAACTGTTTTACATTTGTACAGTATAAATGGAAAGTTATAGCTTATTTCTTCACATGCTTTCACAAATATTATTTTTTATGATCCTCCCAACAAATCCGAGAGACTGCGTAGGCCAAATAGTATTATTTTCAATTTGCAGATGAAGAAGAAAAGAACACTGCAGAGTTAACTTGGCTTCCAGAGAATCTTCTTATACCAAACTCATTTTCTTCAGGGGTTTAAAAAACACTCATGTAAACTTTATTTTTTTTTTCTTCAAATACACTTAATCTGGCAAGGTTCTTTCACACAGCAATAAATAGCATTTGCTATCTTTGAGAGAATGCCAGCTGGTCTCCTTCCTAGTCCTGAGGTAAACAGAAGGCTGCCTGCTTGTCTTGAGTCTGCTCTTGCTAATTAGAGGATTTGTGTTCTGTTTCCCTTTAAAAGGCTTCTGGAAAATGGTAGTTCCCTTTTTTCTCAACCTTCCACGCAGTTCAGTGTTAGAATCTTCTCCTTGAGTGCCCTTCTTTCTTTCATGGGCATGACAGTGAGAAAATCCCCAAGAGCTACTGAGCAAAAGCAAAAGAATATTTGGATAAGAAATTAATCCATATATGGAATGAGAGCCATGAGAAGTTTTCATTTCTATTTCAAATCTAAACTAAAGCAAAGACCCAGCAAAATCTTTTTACTTTGGAGGCTTAATGTAAATATTTTTCTAACTGGTGTTTTTAGTTGGAAATCCTGAAGATCAAATAAAGATTTTTCTTTCTCACTCACTTCTGCTGAACCCCTACTATAACTTATTTGGCCAGGGCTAAAATATTAAAGCTTGAGTTTTCACAGCCCATCGTTTCCCCATTTCAGCTAAAGAAGGTTTGGTCTCACCAACAGATTTCTGGACAATTTTATGTAAATGGATGTCACAGCAGGTCAGGGGATAGAATAATGGCAATGGGAAAAAAAATTTGTAAGATCATCATAACCAAAGGTCAAAAGAGAGTTTGGAGTAGTTTAGAAAGGAAGAGGAGAGAGATTTGGGATAGTCACTTATTTGTGGGAGATAGGTAAAACTAAAACATATAAGGAAAAGTTATGTATTAGAAGTTTTTCTATGTGTTAAGAATATATTCTTTATTTTACCCTGTGGTAATTTCAAGAGAGGCTTCATTAAAGATGCAAATTACTTTTAATTCCTTGGGTAACAGGCTGTTGCTTGTTTGAAAGTGATATTGGCACTAAACGCTAAGAAAGCTAGGTTTTATGTGTATTACATTTGAAGATTGACATTTTCTTTGTGGAAGAGTCATCGGTGTATTTATCATATCCGTAAAAACATTAACTGCCTGATTTTCGAAGTTGGATTGTTCTTTTTTGCATGACTGCTATCAAGCAAGACTAAGAAGTAAAATATGTGACAATGAAAGACAAAGACAAACCAGAAAAATAGTTATTATTTTTCCTTTTTACCTTCTGAAACTTTTCTTGGTACTGGTAATCACATGTATTTAAAAATGGAAAACTTGGAAAATAAGAACTATTCATTTATTCGAGCTAATTCAACATTTGAATATTCATTCTGTTTCCAAAATGTAGATAATACAAAGGTAAGCTGAAGCATTCTCTGCCTTTAATAAAAGAAGTTGTATAAAAATTTATTCACACACATTGTATAAAATAAAATAAGGAAAATGCCTGTCACACACACAATAATATAAGTCTGCACAGGTAAGAGAGCTCAAATAAGAAGCCCTTCTGAATTCATGTTGTTACCTTAATTTTTATTCACTGAGTACTGAAAGAGTTTGGGAAAACAAGACAAATGCCCATTTCCCTTTTACTCCATGAGAGTCATCTTTAGGTAATTAGGGTTTTTCCAAAACATAAATTATTTATTTCTTCCTACAGTCACATATGCAGACCAGAAGTCTCAAGTATCCCAGAAATGAAGTAGCTTTCAGTCATCATCATTTCTACTAAGAAAACTTCCTGGAATTTAGGAAAACTGGGTAGAAACTCTCCAAAGTCCTCTCAGCGTCATTTTTTGTCCTGTCCAGATGGATATTCTTGATGAGCATTTTTTACATCATTCCCTCAGGCAGTTTGATAAATTGTTGCTTTTATGCCTGCTATGGCCCCGTTCTGAAAAATGAAGTTAAAATGATATTTATAATTATTCCCATAATTGGAGCAAGGCCAGAGCTCTGTGTATTTCACATTTAGACTAGTTACAAAAACTTGGCATTGATTGTGTCTCCACCTCTAAATCTGAACAAATAAGATAAGTGATTAGCAGGTATGGTTTTAAAATTAAATCTTAAAGGCCAAATCACAAAAACACTTTTTGAAGCTGACAAATCACTGAGTATTTTGTAACTGATTAACTGTCAGTCATCCACAAAATCCCCTACCTTTAACTTTGACTCTGCATTTATTTTATTGCTTTAGTTGAATTGAGTCTCACCTCTGAGAACACTGCTTCCTCTGCAGCCTTCTCAAGTGGTAACTGTTTCTCCCACATCCCTCAAAACCCTAGACCAGGCTTTTTTCTCTCCCCCATCGCTCCAGCCAGTTGTCCTCTCTGCTCTTCTAGAAGCTGCTCATTTCAGGCTATATTCCCTTTCTCCTCCATGAAAATACCTTCCTTTGAATGTCATTTTATCAAAATATAAACATACAGTCAGATGTAAGGATTTCTGATATTCAATAGCACAGTAGGGTGACAAGAGTTAGCAACAACATATTGTGTGTGTGTGTGGGTGTGTGGGTGTGTGTGTGTGTGTGTGTGTGTGTATAAATACACATTTTTTTTTTTTTTTGAGATGGAGTCTCGCTCTGTCGCCCAGGCTGGGGTGCAGTGGCGTGATCTCAGCTCGCTGCAAGCTCCTCCTCCCAGGTTCACGCCATTCTCCTGCCTCAGCCTCCTGAGTAGCTAGGACTACAGGCGCCTGCCACCACGTCCGGCTATTTTTTTGTATTTTTAGTAGAGACAGGGTTTCACCGTGTTAGCCAGAATGGTCTCGATCTCCTGACCTCATGATCCACCCGCCTCGGCCTCCCAAAGTGCTGGGATTACAGGCGTGAGCCACAGCGCCCGGCAACATATTGTATATTTCAACATAGTTGGAAGAAAGGATTTAAAGTGTTCCCAACACAAAGAAATGATAAACGCTTAAGGTGATGGATATCCTAAATACCCTGACTTGATCATTATACATTCTGTGCATGTATCAAAATATGACATATACCCTATAAATATGATTTCAATATCCACATCCATACCCTTTCCAATTTTCTGACCTCTTTCTTCCCTGACATGCACTCCTCCATTCACGTTGCCCTTCACACTATCTCAGACCCTTATTATCATCATACTCACACTAGCTTCCTTGCAATTTCCCAAACACATTAAGCACAACCTCATCTCTGGGTCTTTGTACTTGCTCTGTTCTGCCCTTAGAAATGCTCTTCCTCCTCATATCTGATGGCCACAGTCTTACCACTTCAATTCTCATCTAACTCATTCAAGCTTTCCTCACATTCTTTTTCAAACAGCAACTCTTCCACCCACTTCTCCTGCCCTACTTAGTTACATTGTTTTTATACCATTCAAGACTCTCTGACATATGATTTATTTGCATATTATTCATTTCTCCACCCATATTAGACTTGAACTGCAGAAAGGCAGAGATATTTGTCTGTTTTGTTCACTGCTGTATCCTTAGTAACTGAAATATACAACATATATATGCCACATAGTAGACATATAGTAGATATCTGATGAATAAATTATTTCCCCTTTTTTGAAAAGTGTGGTATGATATATTTTCATGGTTTAAATAATTCCATATTTAAAAATTGGTCTAAAGGTGTGATAATTATAGAAATAATTCCAACCTAGACATGTGAGTGACTAAGATATTTTTTACTCAGATTCAATTGAACATGGTTTTTGCCCTTCACCATGTAAATCCTGATCTCAGATTTTAAGTAAAGTGGTACTTCAATTGTGTCAGATATATAAAATTATTTCAGCATTTTTGCCAATTTATCGTTTATAAAATAGCTAAAATTCTGTCAGTTTTTTTGTTTGTTTCCACAAACAAGTATTGTCTTCTTAAAGAAAGTAAGACTGATTATTCTTTTCCATATCATGTATTGTCTTCTTAAAGAAAATAAGACTGATTATTTCAGAAGAAAACCAAGCATATACCCCATTGTTCCTAAGACTATATTTCTTGTTGAAGTCCGTAAAATAGGATTTTGCTTTGAAGCTGTCTTCTCAAATAAACAAAAGCATGGATTCCTACATGAAGATACTCACTATAATCAAACCATCACTGTCCATGTAATCCACTGCCCCACTACATCTACATATTCTCAAAAGAGCACACAAGTACCTTTTCTCTCTTTCGGAGCACTCAGGATATGTGCATCACTACAGGGCCTGTTAATCATTGCAAACTTTCAATAAATAACAAATCCTTGCTGTGACAACTGTTGGCCAAAATGTTTAAAAAGAAAACAGCAAAGTTAGCCAAAAAAAAAAAAAAAACTTTCATGTCAAATTTCTTAATTACTGCTTGTATACCTTGACTGTGAGTCAGATGTGGCTTAAAACTAATAAGAACTTGGTTAATACTCTAGAATCCCCTTCATAGCTCAATAATAAATTTTTGGCAAAAGCAAAACATATTTCCCTCAATCACTCTAAGTATTATATAAAGATAACCACTACACCAATAATAATATTTATTTTTAATTAGTTTACACTATGTACCAAAAACAATGTTATTTATATACTGCCATAATGCTAATCTTCATTGGAGTACTATGAAAAAACACTTTCAGAAGAATGTAAGATCTAAGCTGAGATACATGGTTTAGTAGAAAACAGTTCAATCACTTGTTTGAACTTTGGGAAGGGAGGAAAGATCCAGGCAAAAGGAATAGCATTTTAAAAGCCTAGTAGTCAGAGATAATATAACAAATAATACAGATTATTTCCTATGCAATTAATGCATACAGTTTTCCAGGGCTCGAGTGTAGGCTATAGTGCAAGAATGTGTTGGAGTGGATGTGGACCAATGGCCAGACGAGAACTACAAACTTAGTCAAAGGGTAAATCATGTGTACCTCTTAGTCAAGAGGCAAATCATGTGTAATCATGGTAAAGCATGTTCATGCATGTGTAAGCTACAGATAATTAAAGACTTTGGATTTTATCTAGGAAATCTGGTAATTGTTGACCTCTGTATTTGTTTTTATGTTTTCTTTTTCTACCCCGCCTTTTGTTTCTCTTCTTGTTCTCTCCTCTGCTTTTTGGCTCTTCCTTTTTTCCCCTTATGTCTTCTTCCCCTCACTCCTATATTTCATTTAAGCACAAGAAGTGTTATTAATAGATTCAAGAAATCATTATTGGACATCTACCTCATGTAAGCCACTCTGCTAGATACTGAGGAAGTTTATTCAGCAAGACAGACCTGATTCCATCCCTCATAAAACTTACAGTCTGGTGGACAAGACTGGCATATTCAGAGAACTGAAATAAACACAGTGTTACTTGGAGTTCAAAGTAGGGAAATGCCATGAGATGAGCCAGAGAAGAAAGAAGGAACAGGTCAGAGGGTGTGTTGCAAATTAGATAAGGAATTTTGGGTTTTATGCTAAGAGCAACGGGAGGACGTTAAAGTACTTTTCAAATTTCCTCTCCTCTTATTCATCCTCTTCATTATGGTTTCCATTCGTTTATGTCACTGAAATCATTTTTAATATGGTTTCAAAAACCTTAATAACACTCAAACTACTGGACATTTTCTACTCTTGACTATGCAGCATCATTAAATTGCCTCTTTCCAGAACACTCTATTCTGTTGACTTTCATGACACTAGATTCTCTTGCCACCTCTGTGGCCACATTTTCCTTGTCTTTTTTTGCCAATTTGGCTTGCACTTTTCTGCTTAGACTTTAAATGTTGCAACTAGTCATGGTTGAATCCTAGGCCCTCTCCTCTTCTCACTCTATACAATATTCCCATGCTATCTTATCCAGAATCATGCTTCTTTTACTTGTAGCTCCATTCCAGACAACTTTTCTGAATTTCAGTCTCAAATCTCACTGCATATGGTAGATCTCTATTATAATTTTACACAAACACTTCAAACTCAACATGCCTATCCGTAGAAAAGGAAGAGAAGAGGAGGATCAGGCTGGGGGTAGGTAGATATGTGTGATTGTGGGTGAATTGCCACTTTGAGCTAGATACAAGGTTTGATATCATATATTTTCTACTATTGATCCTTTTGAATTGAGAAAAGAAAAGAGATGTGGCTGACTGCATTTGAGTACTAAGAGAGAAAACAAAATAAATGAAAAGTAAACAAAAAGTTTTTAAATAAACAGACTATTTAAAACAAGACGTAGGGTAGCAAAATGATCAAGCTATCTAACTTAATATTTCACTAGTTCCATCCATTTAATGATCAATGGAGAAATTAATTTACAAACTTAAAAATGAGATTTTAAGTTTATACTACATTAAAAATAAATTTTAAGATTTGGAGAAAGTAGCTGATTTCCTAAAAATGTAATATACTATTTTTAATTCAGGTAGAAAAAAACTTGAATAAATCAATGACCATAGAAGAGGCCAAAGAAGGAATTAAAAAACAACTTTTTTTGAAAGAGTCACCTGTTGGTCCAGTTGGTTTTACATCTTATTTCTTTCTTTTTTTTTTTTTTTTTTCAGATGGAGTCTCACTCTGTCTCCCAGGCTGGAGTGCAGGAGTGCAGTGGCACCATCTCGGCTCACTGCAAGCTCCACCTCCCGGGTTCACACCATTCTCCTGCCTCAACCTCCAGAGTAGCTGGGACTACCGTCGCCCGCCACCGTGCCCGGCTAATTTTTTTTTTTGTATTTTTAGTAGAGATGGGGTTTCACTGTGTTAGCCAGGATGGTCTCGATCTCCTGACCTCGTGATCTGCCCGCCTCGGCCTCCCAAAGTGCTGGGATTACAGGCATAAGCCACTGCCCCCAGCCTACATCTTATTTCTTAATAACTATATTAGTCTGCTCAGGCTTCCATAGCACAGGACCACAAATTAGGTAGCTTAAACAACAGAAATTTATCTGTTAAAGATAAGACCAAGATCCTATCAAGTTTGGATTTTAGAGAAGCCTCCCTTCCTGGCTTGCACATGGCCACCTTCTCGCTGTGTCTTCAATGGCCTCTGCTCTATGCATGTGTAGTGAAACATCTCTGATGTATCTTCCTCTTCTTAGGAGGACACCAGTCCTATTGGATTAGGACCCCATCCTCATAACCTCATTTAATCTTAATTATCTCACCAAAGAGCCTTTCTTCAAATACACTCACATTGGGGGTTATGAAATAAACACAAAAATTTGGGAGGAAATAAATCAATCTGTAACAATTGCCTTTATAAACTAGGTAATCCCTGTTACTTACACTACTATCAGCCACAAAAGAAAAAGGAAAAAGAGAAGGAACATCTCTATCAAATAACAGAAAAGAACGGTTCCCAACTTCTTTCATGAGGCCAGCATAAACTTAATAGCAAAACCTAACAGAGTCATTAAAGTAAAATGATAGTACAAACCAATCTTATGCATAACTGTCAAAGCAAAATTCCACTCCAACAAAAACAGCAAACTGCATTCAGCAATACATTAAAAACATATACTCAAAACACTGCAAGATTAGTTAACATTTAAAAATGTGTAATAATTCAATTCATTGAAAATAAAAAATATCAACAGGTCAATAGATGGAATAAAAACATATGAAAAATTTCAGCATGGATTTATGATTTTAAAACTCAGCAAACTATAAATAGAAGGAAATTTCTTACTCTGATAGTGATTATGTTAGTTGATGGAGAAATGTTGAAAGCTTTTCCTTTGAAATTGGAACAAAAGGACAATAATTATTTAACATTGTTTTGGAGATCTTGGCAAATGCAAAGGGCAAGTAAGTGAAACAAAAGGGATAGTCACCAGAAATAAAGAAATAAAATGTTCATTATTCGTGGAGAACTTGATTATGTTGTAGAAAATCCAAAATAGTTTACTGAGAATGATGATTTCCAATTTCATCCATGTCCCTACAAAGGACATGAACTCATCATTTTTATGGCTGCATAGTATTCCATGGTGTATATGTGCCACATTTTCTTAATACAGTCTATCATTGTTGGACATTTGGGTTGGTTCCAAGTCTTTGCTATTGTGAATAGTGCTGCAATAAACATACGTGTGCATGTGTCTTTATAGCAGCATGATTTATAGTCCTTTGGGTATATACCCAGTAATGGGATGGCTGGGTCAAATATTTCTAGTTCTAGATCCCTGAGGAATCACCACACTGACTTCCACAATGGTTGAACTAGTTTACAGTCCCACCAACATTGTGCACATGTACCCTAAAACTTAAAGTATAATAATAATAAAAAAAAAGAAAATCCAAAATAATCTAAAGAAAAACTATCAGAATTACTAAAAAAATTTGGCAAGGTCACCAGATACATCAATATGTAAAAAAAATCCATTGTATTTTTTAGTCTAGCAACAAACAAATGGAAAAAAATTAATAAGATTTTCAATAGTATAAAAAAGAAATAAATCTTTAGAAAAGTGCAACATCTGTGAAAGAAACCAAAAAATAGTACTGACAGAAATGAAAGAAGTCCTAATAACATAGAGGGATACAGAAGACTTAATGTTGTTATAATGTCAGTCCCTGAAATTGATTCATAGATCCCATTCAATCCCAATAAAATTCTTAACCAGTTTTCTTTTCTAAGGTAGATAAGCAATTTTCATGACTTTTATATGGAATATAAAGGGCCGAGACACCCAAAACAAGCTTGTAAAGAAGAACCAAGTTAGAGAACATGAACTATGTAGTAAGTCTTATTATAAAGCTACTCTAATTAAGAGTTGCAATATTAGAGCAAAAATAGACAAATCAACAGATGAAACAGAATGAAGAATACAGAAATAAACCTACACATTTATTATTATTCGTTTAACAAATGTAGCACATATACACATATACAGATACATAAATAAACATATATATCCATATATAGATACAGCTAGATATTTCTGTGTGTCTATATATGTGTGTGTGTGTGTATATATATATATATATATATATATATATATATACATAGAGAGAGAATGCTATAAATATGTAGATATAGATATATCTGTCTCCTATTGGTTCCATTTCAC
Source organism: Homo sapiens (assembly GCF_000001405.40). Classification (NCBI taxonomy): domain Eukaryota; kingdom Metazoa; phylum Chordata; class Mammalia; order Primates; family Hominidae; genus Homo; species Homo sapiens. The sequence continues at coordinate 91,283,951 of NC_000012.12, forward strand.
TAGAGAACCCAGACTAATACATTTATGATCCCATTTATATTAAATTTAATATTATAAAAATTCTTCCTACAGGGTTATAAGTCAGTTAATTAAATGAGACGAGCCCAGCATATGTTCAGGTCATGTTTTTCTCACCTAGAATTAATTTTTGCATTGCTCTCTTTGTGATAATTAATCAAGATGTATACTTATGATTCATGACTTTACCATATGCAGGTTTACTTCAACAAGAAATATTTTCAAATATATAACTCTTGGAAATAAATAATCAAAACTGATTTTATTTATGTATTATGCTGTCTGGTGTATACAAAATCTAAAAAATCTATAGATAATATATACAAATAGTTTGTGGAGTTTGTTGGTTACAAGATCAATATATAAGAATTTTTTTTTCTAAAAATAAATATTTGCCTGGGCATGGTGGCTCAGGCCTGTAACCCCAGCACTTTGTGAGGCCAAGGAGGGTAGATCACTTCAGGTCAGGAATTTGAGACCAGTCTGGCCAACATGGTGAAACCCCATGTCTACAAAAAATACAAAAAACTAGCCAGGTATGGTGGGGTGCACCCGTAATTCCAGGTCCTAGGGAGGCTGAGGTGGGAGAATTGCTTGAACCTGGGAGGCAAAGGTTTCAGTGAGCCTAGATTGTGCCACTGCACTCCAACCTGGGCAACAGGGTGAACCCTGTTTCAAAAAAAAAAAATCAGTCATAATAACACAAAAATATCAAATATATCTAGGAAAATGCAACAAAGATGATCATGACTTCTTCACAGAAAAATATAGCATTATTGAAATAAACTAAAGAAGACCAAAATAAATAGAGGGATAAATTATACTTATACATTGGAAAACTCAGTATTTTTAAGATTTCGATTTTTCTCAAACCAATCTATAAAAGCAATGTTATTCAAATAAAAATGCCAATGAGTTTGTGTGTGTATGTGAATGTGTGTATATGTGTGATTTGAAAAGCCAGTTCTAACATATATGTGGACGTGAAAAAGGGCAAGAATGGTCGTGACACTCTTAAAGTGGAACAAGGTGTGAAAATTTACTCTGTTAGATCAAAAGTTTGTATTAAAGCCTCATAATAAAGACAATGTGATACTCTTGCAAGGATAGACCGACATGCTGACAAAACCAATGGAATAGAGAGTCCAGAAAACTAAATATTCTTCTATAGATATTTGGTTTATAACGAGATGACACTGAGAAGTAGAAAAACAACTATCTTTTCTTTAAGGGGTAATTGTCAAATGTGTATCCACTTGATCCCTAACAAATACCATACTACCAGTCCTAGATGGTTTGAAGATTTAAAAGTGAAAGTAAATTAATAAAGTTTCTCAAAGGTACTATAGGAGAAAATTCATCAGTTTAGAGTAAGAAAAGATACTTCCAAGAGAACACAAAACGCGTAGTAATTATTTTTTAAAAGAATTGATAAAATTGACTACATAAAATTAAGAATTAATTTTCATCAAGAGACAGAAAATAGAAAGGCAAGCCATGGGGTGGGAGAATGGATTTGAAAAATATGTAATCAATAAAAGAGTTCTTTTTATAATATACAAAGAATTTCTAGAAATCAGTAAGAAAACACAATTGAATGGACAAAAGTGCAAATGAACTTCAGCAGTCCCCTCAAAAAAGAAGTTCGTGTCCTTTGTAGGGACATGGATGAAATTGGAAATCATCATTCTCAGTAAACTATCGCAAGAACAAAAAACCAAACACCGCATATTCTCACTCATAGGTGGGAATTGAACAATGAGATCACATGGACACAGGAAGGGGAACATCACACTCTGGGGACTGTTGTGGAGTGTGGGGAGGGGGGAGGGATAGCATTGGGAGATATACCTAATGCTAGATGACAAGTTAGTGGGTGCAGCACACCAGCATGGCACATGTATACGTATGTAACTAACCTGCACAATGTGCACATGTACCCTAAAACTTAAAGTATAATAAAAAAAAGAAGATATCTAAATGGCAAAAAGGAAAAAAGAAAGAAAGAAAGAAACTCACCTAACATACAAACCAAATAGATATGAAAAGGTACTCAACCTCATCAGTAAACCAAAAAGTTCCCATTAAAACCTCAATTAGACTTGAGGAGTCTGGGAAGATGGTGAAGTAGGAAGCATGATAATTCAGCCTCCCCACCTAGACAACAATTACACTGGCAGAATCTGTCTGATATAATTATTTTGGAATTATAGAGTCTATTGAAGGCTTGCAACATCCAAGGGAAGGCTTGCTTGGTAAACTGCAATTAATTTTGCTTAATTTCCGAAGACATAAATAGGTTTAAAATGAAAGTATGGAAAAAAAAATTCTGTGCAAATAGTAACCAGAAGAGAGCAAGTGTGGCTAGACTAACATCAGACAAAACAGACTTTAAATAAAATAGCTTATAAGAGATAAAAAGGACATTATAAATTAATAAGAGATTTAAGACAGCAAGAAGACAATTATAAACATTAACACACTAATAACAGACTGTAAAATATATAAAGCAAAAATTGACGGAACTGAAAGAAGGAAATAGTTCTACAGTAATATTTGGAAACTTCAGTGCCTCACTCTCAATAATGGATAAAATGACCAGACAAAAAACAAGTAAGAAAATAGAGGACTTGTATAACACAATAAACCAACTAGATCTCACAGATATATATAGAATATACTAATTAAGAACAACAGAATACACATTCTTCTCAATTGCACAGGGTAATTTTCCAGGATACAGCATATATTAGGTCACAAATTACATCTCAATAGATTTAGAAAGATAGATATCATACAAAGTATGTTCTACAAATACAAGATAGTTAGAAATAAATAACACAAAGAAACTGGAAGATTAACAAATTCACAAAAATTGAAAAATGCACTCTTAAAATTAAATAACCAGTGTATCAAAGAAGAAATCAGAAAAGAAATTAAAAAGTATGGTTAACAGTAGAATATTGTATCTTACAAAATAGCTAGAAGAGAGGTTTTTGAATGCTGCTGCCACAAAGAAGTAACACATGCATGAGGTGATGGGTACATTACCCTGAATGGATCATTATACAACATATATATGTATTGAAACATAAAATTGTACCCCAGTAGTAAATATAATTGCAAAGTGTCAATTGTTTAAAATTAATTTAAAAAGAGATGCATCTAATTTCATAAAATGACAAAAACTACCAAAATTTATGAGATATAGCAAAAGCAGTCCTAAAAAGCACATTTATAGCTATAAACATTTACATTAAAAAATAAAGAGGCAGGTGGATCACTTCAGCTCAGGAGTTTGAGACCAACATGGACAACATGGCAAAACTCTGTCTCTACCAAAAATACAAAAAAATTCGCCAGGCCTGGTGGTGTAATCATGCCTGTAGTCCCAGCTATTTCGGAGGCTGAGATAAAAAGGATTGCTTGAGCCTGGGAGGTGGAGGTTGCAGTGCGCTGAGATCACTCCACTACACTCCAGCCTGGGTGACAAAACAGAAAACAAAAAAAATAAGAAAGATCTCAAATGAACAAACTAAGTTGACAACTTAAGGTACTATAAAAAAAGGAGAAACTAAACCCAAAGCTAGCAGAAGGAGGGAAATAATAAAGATTATAGCAGAAATAAATAAAATGGAGAATAGAAAAACATTGGATAAAATGAATGAAGCCAAAAGTCAGCTCTTCAAAAGAGTTAACAAAAATTGGCTAAGCTTTAACTAGATTAACTAAGGAAAAAAATACGAATCTCAGAAATATAAGAGATTATAAGAGAGTACTATTAACAGTTATATGCCAACAAATTGGATAACCTAGATAAAATAAACAACTTCCTAGAAACACCCGGTCAACGTAATACACCATATCAGCAGAATGAAGGAAAATAAACCACATGATCATCTGATATATGATAATGTTTTGTGATCCCAAATTTCTCAAAATGGAGTCACTTATGATAAGTGACTCAGCCTAAAGTGAAATTACTGACCCCTCAAAGTGATGTGCACATGTATGGTAGACTGAGGTTCTAAGATAACATCTGCTGTGGACAGACACCCCCAAGGCTTGACAAGAAAGCAAGGCAACTGAGATCATGGCTATGGACATTCCTGCAGAGGGTCATAAAAGCTTCACATAAATTGACCACGGCCTAGATGCCTGCAGAAGCTCTTGGTGGGGGGAGAACTGTGAAGCCTCTTTTCTATGGGCAGTGGCTGCTGGAAGTTCTGCTGAGCACTTGCCTCCCTACATCTCCAAGCTACTCCCTGTGATTGGTTCTCCCTCTCTCTTATTACTGCCTATGTGTGTTAAATAATGTATGTACACCTATATATTTGTATGTATGTTGTATACCAATAATGCCTATGTATAATTTGCATGTTTGTTGGCTTCTGACAGCCTCAGAATAAACCATGAATTCAAAAGCATTTAATTGGCCATGGAGTCATTATAAAACCTCTGGCCCTGTGGTCAGAATTAGCACAGCTAGGCTGATTTGAACCTGACAAACTATCATCTCATTTGATGCAAAAAAGAAAGAAAGCTGACAAAATTTAACACGCTCTCCTAATAAAAACGTGCAACAAAATAGGAATATGACAAAACTACCTCAATATATTAAAAATTATATGTAAAAACCCACAGCAAACATGATGAAAGTTTGAAAAGTTTTCCTTTAAAATCAGAGACAAGGAAGAATGCCTGCTTTCCCCACTTCTATTCATAGGAAGTCCAACCCAAAGCTACTAGATTCATGCAATACATGAATTTAAACACACAATGTTGACCCAGGCAGCTAAACACAAATAATAAACATTTTATTATTCATTCTATAAGTTGTTTAACAAAAGAAAAAAATACATAAAAAGCAAATATAGAGAAAGAGTTTGAAGTTGCGAAAGTGGCTACTTTGGGGAAGGATGGAGAGGTTGGAGGTGGCATGGGTTTTTGGTGGCGGGCGGCTTTTTACAGTGCTGGCAATGGTCAATTTTCTAAACTAAAAAGTGGTTACTTGGGTGTATATTTGGTGCTAATTCATTGAGGTGTATATTTACATTTTCTAACACTTCTTTAGGGGTACTCTACTGCTAAATTAAAAAGAAAATATTCTACCTGCAAAAAAAATTACAAACATCTAGTGACAAAATTGGTAACACAGGTAAACTGCCTATATGAAATGAACTATAAAACAAAGTCCAAATATGTTGAGAGATGACCTAAGTTTCAGAATATATAAAGGCATCCTACAAATGATGAAAAACAACTAAAAAGGAAAAAACATTCATAAAAAGTGGCCAAAAAGATGAATCAGCAATTCAAAAGAGAAACAATAAAATGGATAGAAACGTTTATTTAAAAGCTGTCACCCACACTCCAAAGTCACAAAACTCAGGAAAAAGCAAGTTAAAACAACAGAAACATATTTTATTATTCATATTTGGAAAATTTTATAAAATACCTATAATATTCAGATCTAGTTACATGAGAAACTTTTTTTAACCACATTGGTCATGGGAGAATGTATAGCTAAAACTTATTTTAAAATAATCTGGCATTATCTAGTATAATTAAAGTTCCATAAGCCTTTTATTTGACTGTACTGAAATGACAGCACTATATATAAAAATACACATACAAGATTTTTGTTTGTTTGCACCATTGCTTATAATGACAAGAATTGGGAACAATCTGAGAGTCCATTATTAATGGAATATTTTTTGTCTATTCATCTGAAAGGCTGTCCATAATACATTACAAAATGAGAATAAAAAATTGCAAAAAGAAACCATGGTAGTATATTGGTTCTGTAAAAAAACATTGCCACACAGTCCCATTTATCTATATAATAGTTTGTAAAAGACACAAATCTGTTATTCTCAGGCATATTGGAGTGGAGGAGGCTGGGAGTCAGCTGGAGATATTTTTTAAAACTTGTTTTCTTCCTCTTCATTTGTTACAATGAGCAAGTGTTTACATTTCTTAAAACTAAGACTATTTAACAAGAAAAATGTTTACTTCATGGATCAAATAGATGGCACTTTTCTTTCTTTTCCATGTAACCTCATTCTTTCAGCTTCACTGATTTAGAGCTCCTGATACCAGTTGTTTCCTGTCGACTTCATTAACTTCCCTTGAAACCGATCTAACCATGCCAGCTTTTCTTTTATTATAATAGGTATTTACATCCTACAACTATTTAAGACATGTTAAGATGGCTCTGCAGCCCATGTTTAAAAGGGAATTCTGGTAAATCCTTTCCACTTACAACACTTTTATCCGCTAATTTGCTGTAGTTCATTGCTCTACTTTTGTTTACTTAAATATTTAATCTAGGTTCTTTATACTTTGCCAGCACCCAAAGGCACACTTTTCTCTTGGTGCATTCCAGTTTCCATAGTACTATTTGCTGGCTTGATTCTTTAAGAGACAGTCCTTTTATTGAATTACAAAAATTCTAGATTTAACCCAAGATAAATGTTGAATATTGCTTGGGGTCCTGGAAAACATTAGATGCTCTGTAAAAGAGTGGCCCTACCTCCAAGTTAAAAGCAGCCTGTTTGAACTTTCAAATACACATTCCACTTCAGTGTACTCTGTCACCATAAGATTTCTGTACCCTGGGCTCACCTTGACAACCTAAATCCTATGCTTACTGGATCAGCTGCTTTCCTCTGGGAATTCAAGTAGAATACAGGCTCTGAGATCACCCATTTTTCTCTTTCTGAAAGCAGTATTATTATTTCCTTTCTATTTTTTCTTTCCAACTTTTATTTTAGGTTAAAGGGGTACATGTACAGGTTTGTTAGGTGGATAAATTTTATGTCATGGGTGTTTGATGTACATATAATTTTGTCACCCAGGTAGTCGGCATAATACCCAATATGTAGTTTTTAAATCCTAACCCTCCTTCCACCCTCCACCTTCAAATAGGCCCCAGTTTCTATTGTACCCTTCTTTGTGTCCCTGTGTACTCACTGTTTAGCTCCCACTTATAAGTAAGAACATGCACTATTTGGTTTTCTGTTCCTGTATTAATTCACTTTGGATTATGGCCTCCAGCTCCATCCATGTTGCTGCAAAGGTCATAATCTCGTTTTTTTAATACCCACGTCATATTCCATGGTGTATATATACCACATTTTCTTTATCCAGTCCACCATTAATGGGCATCTAGGTCAATTCCATGTCTTTGCTATTGTGAATAGTGTTTCAGTGAAGATACTTGTGAATGTGTCTTTATCGTAGAACGATTTATATTCCTTTGAGTATATACCCAGTAAGAGAATTGCTGGGTTGAATGGCAGTTCTATTTTAAGTCCTTTGAGAAATCTCCAGACTGCATTCCACAGCAGCTAAACTAGTTTGCATTCCCACCGGCAGTGTATACATTTTCCTTTTCCTACACCACCTCACCAGCATCTGTTATTTTTTGACTTTTTAATAACAGCCATTCTGACTGGTGAGACATGGTATCTCATTGTGGTTTTGATTTGCATTTCCCTAATGATTAGTGATAGTGAACATGTTTTCATATGCTGTTGGCCATATTTATGTCATCTTTTGAGAAGTGGCTGTTCATGTCCTTTACCCATTTCTTAATGGAGTTGTTCATTTTTTGTTAATCTGTTTCAGTTCCTTAAGATTCTAGATATTAGACTTTTGTCAGATGCATAGTTTTCAAATATTTTCTCACATTCTGTATGCTGTTTTGCTCCTTTGATAGTTTGTTTGGCTGTGCATAGCTCTTTAGTTTAATTAGGTCCCACTTGTCAATTTTGGTTTTGTTTGCAATTGCTTTTGGCATCTTCATTATGAAATCTTTGCCAGTTCCTATGTCCGGAATGGTATTTCCTGGTTTCATTCTAGGGTCTTTGTAGTTTTAGGTTTTACATTTAACTCTTTTATCCACCTTGAGTTGATTTTTGTATATGGCAAAAGGTAGGGGTCCAGTTTCCATCTTCTACAAATGGCTAACCAGCTATCCCAGCACCAGTTATTGAATGGGGATTCCTTTCCCTGTTGCTTGCTTTTGTAAGCATTGTTGAAGATCAGATGGTTTTATTTGTCAAAGATCAACAGCTGTATTTCCAGATTCTCTAACATGTTCCATTGGTCTATGTGTCGGTTAGTGTCGTCCTGTAGTATAGTTTGAAGTTGGGTACTGTGATGCCTCCAGCTTTGATCTTTTTACTTAGCATTTCTTTGGCTATTTGGGCTCTTCTTTGGTTCCAAATAAGTTTTATATATTTTTTCTAATTCCGTGAAAATGTCATTGGTAGTTTGATAGGAATAGCATTGAATCTGTAAATTGCTTTGGGCACTTTAGCCATTTTAACAATACTGGTTCTTGCTACCCATAAGCATGGAATGTTTTTGCCTTTGTGTTGTCTCTAATTTCTTGGAGTAGTGTTTTGTAATTCTCATTGTAGAGGTCTTTCACCTCCCTGGTTAGCTGTATCCATAAATATTTTTTTGTTTGTGGGTTTTGTGAATGGGATTGCATTCTTGATTTGGCTGTCAACTTGGATGTTATTTGTGTTAGAAATGCTACTGATTTTTGTACATTGATTTTGTATCCTGAAACTTAGCTAAAGTTGTTTATTAGATCTAGGAGTCTTTGGGTAGAGACTATGGGATTTTTTTTAAGGTATAGTATCATATCATCTGTGAAGACAAATAGTTTTACTTCCTCTCCTCCTATTTGAATGCCTTTTATTTTCTTCTCTTGCCTGATACTCTGGCTAGTGCTTCCAGTACTATGCTGAATACGTATGGTGACAGTGGACTTCCTAGTCATGTTCTGGTTCTCGAGAAAAATGCTTTCACCTTTTGACCATTAACTATGATGCTGGCTGTGGGTTTGTCAGAGATAGCTCTTACTATTTTGAGGTATATGCTTTCAATGGCTAGTTTGTTGAGGGTTTTTAACATGAAGCAATGTTAAATGTTATCAAAAGCATTTTCTGCATCTATTGAGATTATCATGTGGTTTTTGTTTCTAGGTCTGTTTATGGGATGAGCTACATTTATTGATTTTTGTACACTGAAATAACCTCACACCCAAGGAATAAAGTCTACTTAATCAAGGTGGATTGACTTTTTGATGAACTGCTTGATTTGGTTTGCTAGTGTTTTACTGAGGCTTTTTGCATCTATGTTAATCAGGAATATTGGTCTGAAGTTTTCTTTCTCATTGTTTCTGTGCCAGATTTTGGTATCACAATGATGCTGGCTTCATAGAATGAGTTAGAGAGGACGCCCTCCTCTTCAATTTTTTGGAGTAGTTTCAGTAGGATTGGTACCAGCTCTTTTTTATACATCTGGTAGAATTTGTCTGTGAATCCATCTGGTCCAGGGTTGTTTTCTTTTTTAATTAGTAGGTTTTTAATTACTGATTCAATATCAGGACTCATTATTCATCTGTTCTTATATTCAGTTTCTTCCTGGTTCAATCTCAAAAGGTGAAATATTTCCAAGAATTTATCCATTTCATTTAAGTTTTCTAGTTTGTGGGCATAGAGGTGTTGGCAACAGTCTCTGAGTGTTTTTTCTATTTCTTTGGGGTCAGTGATTATGTCTTTTGTCATTTCTGATTGTGTTTATTTGGATCTTCCCCCTTTTTTCTTTATTAGTATAGCTAATGGTCTATCAATCTTTTTTTTTCTTTCAAAGAACCAACTTTTGGTTTCACTGATCTTTTGTACGGTTTTTCTTATCTCCGTTTCATTAAGTTCAGATCTGATTTGGTTGTTTCTTTTCTTCTGCTACCTTTGATGTTGGTTTGCTCTTGTTTTGAAGTTCCTTGAGGTATGATGGTCACTAATCTGAAATTTTTCTAACTTTTTGATGTGGGTGTTTACCACTATAAACTTTTCTCTTGGGGGAAAGGCCAAGATGGCTGAGTAGAAACAGCTCTGGTCTGCAGCTCCCACTGAGAAGAATGAAAATCGTGAGTGACTTCTGCATTTTCAACTGATGTACCCAGGTTCTCTCATTGAGACTGATTAGATGGTTGGCGCGACCCATGGAGAGTGAGAAAAAGCAGGGTGGAGTGACACCCCACCTGGGAGCTGCAGGAGACAAAAAGATCTCCCTCCCCCAGCCAAGGGAGGCAGTGAGTGATTGTGTGCTACCCCACCGGGGAAACCATGATTTTCCCACAGATCTTTGTAACCCATGGATCAGGAGATCTCCCTGTAAGCCCACAATACTAGGGCCTTGGGTCCCAAGCACAGAGATGTGCAGACTCACAGCAGCCACTCAGGTCAGTGGCAAATCTGGCAGGCACTGAGAATGCAGGGATTTTTGTAGACTTTAGCTCCAGGAACTCCAGTGAGACCACAGAGCTGTCCACTCCTGTAGGAAGGGGGCTGAAGACAGGGAGCCAAGCTGCCTCACTCAGTTGGCCCCACTCCAATAAAAGCCCTCAAGCTAAGACCCACTAGCTTGGAATCCCCACTGGCCAGTGCAGCAGGCTGTAGACTGCTTAAGACAACCGAGTTTCTGTTGGGAGGGAAAGCCACCATCACTGTGGCTCCATTTAGCCATTTTCCAATGCTGGTGCCAGCTATACTGGGTGGTTTCGTCTGGGAGGAATTCCACACAGTGCAGCACAGTGACTATGACAGATCATGTCCAGACTGCCTCTTTAAGTAGGACCCCAGCCTATCCTCTCTCATCGGGCAGGGCCTCCCTGCAGGAATTTCAGCATCTCCAGCCAGGGGTTTAAGGACAGAACTCTGATCTCCTTGGGATAAGCCCCTAAGGGAAGGGGCAGCCAAGGTATCTGGGAATTAGCAGTCTTAGTCTTCTCTTCCTGCTAGCTCCAGAGAGTCAGGGCAGTCCAAAAGAGGAGGATTCCCCCCAATTCAGCATACCTGCTTTGCCAAGGGGCAGCCAGACTACTTATTTAAGTGGGTCTCTGATCCCATTCCTTCTGACTGGATGAGACTTCCCATTAAGGGTCTCCAGGCATGTTATACAGGAGTATTCCTGCTGGCATCAGGTTGGTGCCCCTCTGGGATGATGGAGCTCCCAGAGGAAGGAGCAGACAGCCATCTTTGCTGTTCTGCAGCATCCAGTGGTGATACCTCCAGGTGCAGGAGGGACCCAGGTGAATAAAGTCTGGAGTGGACCACCCCAGCAAACTGCAGTGGCCCTACGGAAGAGAAGTCTGACTGCTAAAAGAAAAACAGAAAGCAACAACAACAAAATCAATGGAAATAGTCCCACAAATATCCCAGCCAAAGGTCAACAGCCTCAAAGATTGAAGGTAGATAAACCCAAGAAGATGAGAAAGAATCAATGCAAAAACACTGAAAACTCAAAAAGCCAGAGTGCCTCTTCTCCTTCAAATGATTATAACACCTCTCCAGCAAGGCCACAGATCTGGGCTGAGGCTGAGATGGATGAATTGACAGAAGGAGGCTTCAGGAGGTGAGTAATAGTGGACTTTGCTGAGCTAAAGGAGCATGTTCTAACCCAATGCAAAGAAAGTAAGAACCATGGTAAAACATCACAGGAACTGTTAACCAGAATAACCAGTTTAGAGAGGAACATCAATGACTTGATGAAAGTGCAGCTTTGTTCACAATGCAAATACAAGTGTCAGTAGGTGAATACACCAAGCGAAAGAAAGACTATAAGAGCTTGAAGATTAACTTGGTGAAATAAGGCAGGCAGACAAGATGAGAGAAAAAAAAATGAAAAGGTACTAACAAAACCCTCAATAACTATGGGAATATGTTAAAAGACCAAACCTCCAACTGACTGAAGTCCCTAAAATAGATGAGGAGAATGAAACCAAGTTGGAAAACATACTTCAGGATATCATCCAGGAGAAATCTCTAATCTAACAAGACAGGCCAACATTCAAATTCAGAAAATCCAGGGAACCACAGTAAGATACTCCATGAGAAGATCAACTCCAAGACACATAATCATAGATTCTCCAAGGTCAAAATGAAGGAAAAAATGTTAAGGGCAGCCAGAGAAAAAGGCCAGGTCACCTATAAAGAGATGCTCATCAGACTAACAGCAGACTTCTCAGTGGAAACCCTACAAGCAAGAAGAGATTGGGGACCAATAATCAACATTCTTAAATAAAAGAATTTCCAACACAGAAGTTTGTATCTGGCCAAACTAGCTTCATAAGTGAAATCCTTTTCAGACAAGCAAACGCTGAGGGAATTCATCACCACCAGGCCTGCCTTGCAAGATTTTCTGAAGAAAACACTAAATATGGAAAGGAAAAACTGTTACCAGCCACTACAGAAACACACTGAAGTACCCAGACCAATGACACTATAAAGCAACTACATAGACAAATATGCAAAATAACCAGCTAGCATCATGATGACAGTATGAAATTTACACATAACACAATTAACCTTAAATGTAAATGGGCTAAATACCTCCAATTAAAAGACACAGAATGGAAAGCTGGATAAAGAGTCAAGACCCATTGGCGTGCTGTATTTAAGCGACCCATCTCACGTGCAAAAACACATAAGGACTCAAAATAAGGAGATGGAGAAAAATTTACCAAGCAAATGGAAAACAGAAAAAAGCAGGGGTTGCAATCTTAGTTTCTGACAAAAAAGGCCTTAAACCAACAAAGATTTAAAAAGACAAAGAAGGGCATTAAATAATTGTAAAGCATTTAATTAAATAAGAACTAACTACCCTAAATATATATACACCCAATACAAAAGCACCCAGATTCATAAAACAAATTCTTTGAGACCTGAAAAAAGACTTAGACTCCCACACAATAAAAGCGGGAGATGTTAACACCCCACTGACAATATTAGAAACATCGAGGCAATATTTTTTTTCTGTTATGAAGAGTTTTTTACTTTAAGTTCTGGGATACATTTGCAGAACAGGCAGGTTTGTTACGTAGGTATACATGTGCCATGGTGGTTTTCTGTACCTATCAACCCGTCATCTAGGTTTAAGCCCTGCATGCATTAGGTATTTGTCCTAATGCTCTCCATCCCATTGCCACCCACCCTCCGACAGATCCCTGTGTGTAATGTTCCCCTCTCTGTGTCCATGTGTTCTCATTGTTCAACTCCCGCTTATGAGTGAGAACATGTGATGTTTGGTTTTCTGTTCCCGTGTTAGTTTGCTGAGAATGATGGCTTCCAGCTCCATCCCTGTCCCTGCAAAGGACATGGACATGAACTCATTATTTTTTATGGCTGCATAGTATTCCAAGGTGTCCAAGGTGTATATGTGATACATTTTCTTTTTTTTCGAGACGGAGTCTCACTCTGTCACCGGGGTGGAGTGCAGGGCATGATCTTGGTTCACTGCAACCTCTGCCTCCTGGATTCAAGTGATTCTCGTGCTTCAGCCTCCCAAATAGCTGGGATTACAGGCACACACCACCACATCCAACTAATTTTTGTATTTTTAGTAGAGACGGGGTTTCACCATGTTGGCCAGGATGGTATCGATCTCCTAACATCGTGATCCAACTGTCTCAGCCTCCCAAAGTGCTGGGATTACAGGTGTGAGCCACCACACCCAACCCACATTTTCTTTATTTAGTCTACCATTGATGGGAATTTGGGTTGGTTCCAAGTCTTTTTTTTTTGAGATGGAGTCTCGCTTTGTCACCCAGGCTGGAGTGCAGTGGCACGTTCTCCGCTCACTGAAAGCTCCACCCCCTGGGTTCATGCCATTCTCCTGCCTCAGCCTCCCGAGTAGCTGGGACTACAGGCGCCCACCAACACACAAGTCTTTGCTATTGTAAATAGTGCTGCAATAAATATACGTGTGTATGTGTCTTTATAGTAGAATGATTTATAATTTTTTGGGTGTATACCCAGTAATGGGATTGCTGAGTCAAATGGTATTTCTTGTTCTAGATCCTTGAGGAATTGCCACATTGTCTTCCACAATGGTTGAACTAATTTACACTCTCACCAACAGTGTAAAAGCATTCCTATTTCTCCACAGGCTCACCAGCATCTGTTGTTTCCTGACTTTTTAATGATTGCCATTCTAACTGGTGTGAGATGGTATCTCATTGTGGTTCTGATTTGCATTTCTCTAATGACCAGTGATGATGAGACTTTTTTCATGTTTGTTGGCCGCATAAACGTCTTCTTTTGAGAAGTGTCTGTTCATGTCCTTCAGCCACTTTTTGATGGGGTTGTTTGTTTTTTTTCTTGTAAATCTGTTTAAGTTCCTTGTAGATTCTGGATATTAGACTTTTGTCGGATGGGTAGGTTGCAAAATTTTTCCCCCATTCTGTAGGTTGCCTGTTCACTCTGATGATAGTTTCTTTGCTGTGCAGAAGCTCTTTAGTTTAATTAGATCCCATTTGTCAATTTTTGCTTTTGTTGCAATTGCTTTTGGCATATTCATCATGAAATCTTTGCCTATGCCTATGGCCATAATGGTATTGTCTAGGTTTTCTTCTAGGGTTTTTATGATTTTGTGTTTTACATTTAAGTCTTTAATTCATCTTCAGTTAATTTTTCTATAAAATGTAAGGAAGTGTTCTAGTTTCTGTTTTCTGCATATGGCTAGCCAGTTCTCCCAGCCCCATTTATTAGTTAGGGAATCCCTTCCCCATTGATTGTTTTTGTCAGGTTTGTCAGAGATCAGATGGTTGTAGATGTGTGATATTATTTCTGAGGTCTCTGTTCTGTTCCATTGATCTATATATCTGTTTTGGTACCAGTACCATGCTGTTTTGATTACTGTAGCCTTGTAGTATAGTTTGAAGTCAGGTAGCATGATGCCTCCAGCTTTATTCTTTTTGCTTAGGATTGTCTTGGCTCTATGGGCTCTTTTTTGGTTCCATATGAAATTTAAAGTACTGTTTTCTAATTCTTCAAAGAAATTCGATGGTAGCTTGGTGGGAATAGCATTGAATCTATAAATTACTTTGGGCAGTATGGCCATTTTCATGATATTGATTCTTCCTATCCATAAGCATGCAATTTTTTTCCATTTGTGTCAAGGCAGAAAAATTAACAAAGATGTTCAGGACTTAAAATCAACTGTAGATCAAGTGGATCTGATAGATATCTACAGAACTCTCCACCTCAGAACAACAGAATATACATTATTATTGGCACCACATGGCACTTACTCTAAAATTGATCATATAATTGGAAGTAAAACAGTCTTCAGCAAATGGAAAAGAACTGAAATCATAACAAACAGTGTCTCAGACCACAGCACAATCAAATTAGAACTCAAGATTAAGAACCTCACACAAAACCACACAACTACATGGAAATTGAAAATCTGCTCCCAAATGACTCGTGAGTAAGTAATTAAATTAAGACAGGAATCAAGAAGTTCTTTTAAACTAATGAGAACAAAGAGACAATGTACCAGAACCTCTGGGATGCAGCTAAGCAGTATTAAAAGGGAAATTTATAGCACTAACTGCACATATCAAAAGCTAGAAAGATCTCAAATCAACACCCTAATATCACAACTGAAAAAACTAGAGAATCAAGAGTAAATGAACCCCAAAGCTAGCAGAAGACAAGAAATAACTAAGCTCAGAGCAGAACTAAAGGAGACAGAGACATAAAAAACCCTTCAAAAAAATCAACAAACCCAAGAGGTGTTTTTTGAAAACATTAATAAAACAGACCTCTAGCTAGACTAATAAAGAAGAAAAGAGAGAAGAATAAAATAAACATAATAAACATAAAAAAAGGGATATCACCACTGAACACAAAGAAATACAAACAACCATTAGAGTACTATAAACATCTCTATGCAAATAAACTAGAAAATCCAGAAGAAATGAATAAATTTCTGGACACATACAGCCTCCCAAGACTGAACCAGGAAGGAATTGAATCCCTGAATAGACCAATAACAAGTTCTGAAATTGAGACAGTAATAAGTAGACTGACAACCAAAAACAGCCCTGGACCAGATAGATTTACAGCTCTATTCTATCAGAAGTACAACTATTCCAAATAATTAAAAAGAAGGGACTCTTCCCTACTCATTTTATGAGGCCAGCATCATTCTGATACCAAAACCTCGCAGAGAAACAACAACAAAAAACTTCAGGCCAATATTCCTGATTAACATTAATCCAAAAATCCTCAATAAAATACTGACAAACTGAATCCAGCTAATCCAGGACAATCAAATTGGCTTCATCCCTGAGATGCCAGGCTGGTTCACATACACAAATAAATAAACATAATACATCACATAAACAGAACTAAAGAAAAAAAACAAATGATTATCTCAATAGATGCAGAAAAGACCTTCAATAAAATTTAACTTCATTTCATGTTAAAAACTCTCAAAAACTAGGAACTGAAGAAGCATACCTCAAAATAATAAGAGACATTTATGACAAACCCACAGTCAATATCATTCTGAATGAGCAAAAGCTGGAAGCATTCCCCTTGAAATCTGGCACAAGACAAGGATGCCCTCTCTCACCACTCCTGTTCAACATAGTTTTCAAAGTTCCAGCTAGGGCAATCAGGCAAGATAAAGAAATAAAGCATATTCAAGTAGGAAAAGACAAATTCAAATTATCATTTTTTGCAGATGACATGATCCTATATCTAGAAAACTCCATCATCTCAGCTTAAAAGATTCTTAAGCTAATAAGCAACTTCAGCGAAGTGTCAGGATACAAAATCAATGTGCAAAAATCAGAAGCATTGCTATACACAAACAATAGAGAAGCAGAGAGTCAAATCATGAATCAACTCCCATTCACAATTGCTACAAAGAGAATAAATTAGCTATGAATACATCTAACAAGGAAAGTGAAGGACCACTTCAAGGAGAACTACAAACCACTGTCAAGGAAATCAGAGAGAACACAAAGAAATGAAAATAATATTCCATAGTCATGGATAGGAAGAATAGATATCATGAAATGACCATACCACCCGAAGTAATTTATAGATTCAGTGCTATTCCCATTAAATTACAATTGACATTCTTCACAGAATTAGAAAAAAAAACTATTTTACAATTCATATGGAACTACAAAGGAGTTCATATAATCAAGACAATCCTAACCAAAAAGAACAAAGCTGGAAGCATCACACTACCTTACTTCAAAATATACTAGAAGACTACAGTAACCAAACAGCATAGTACTGGTACAAAAACAGACACATAAACCAATGGAACAGAATAGAAAACTCAGAAATAATACTGCTTATCTGCAACCATCTGATCTTCAACAAACCTGAAGAAAACAAGCAATGGGGAAAGGAATCTCTGTTTAATAAATGGTTCTGGGAGGATTGGCTAGCCATATGCGGTAAATTGAAACTGGCCCCCTTCCTTACACTTATACAAAAATTAACTCAAGATAGATTAAAGACTTAAATGTAAAACCCAAAACTATAAAAACCCTAAAAGAAAATCTAGGTAATACCACTCTGGACATAGGCACAGGCAAAAATTTCATGACGAATATGCCAAAAGCAATTGCAACTAAAGCAAAAATTGACAAATGGTATCTAATTAAATTAAAGAGCTTCTGCACAGCAAAAGAAACTATCGTCAGAGTGAACAGACAACCTACAGAGTAGGAGAAAATTTTTGCAATCTACCTATCTGACAAAGATCTAATATTCAGAATCTACGAAGAATTTAAACAAATTACAAGAAAAAAAACTCCATTAAAAAGTGGGCAAAGGGCATAAACAGATACTTCTCAGAAGAAGACATTCATGTGGTCAGCAAACATATGAAAAAAAACCAACATAACTGATCATTAGAGAAACAGAAATCAAAACCACAATGAGATACTCTCACGCCAGTCAGAATGGCAAATAAAAAAACAAGAAACAACAGATGCTGGAGAGGTGGTGGAGAAATAGGAACACTTTTACATTATTGGTGGGAATGTAAATTGGCTCAACCATTGTGGAAGACAGTGTGGCAATCCTCAAAGATCTAGAACCAGAAATACCATTTGACCTAGCAATCCCATTTCTGGATATATACCCAAAGGAATATATTCATTCTATTATAAAGATACATGCACGGATATGTTAAATTCAACACTATTCAAAATAGCAAAGATATGAAATCGACCCAAAAGCCCATCAACGATAGATTGGATAAACAAAATATGGTACATATATGCCATGGAATACTATGTAGCCATAAAAAGAAATGAGATCATGTCCTTTGCAGGGACATAGATGGAGCAAGAAGCCATTATTCTCAGAAAACTAATGCAAGAACAGAAAACTAAACACATGTTCTCACTTATAAGTGGGAACTGAACAATGAGAACATATGGACACGGGGAGGGGAACAACACACACTGGGGCCTGTCACGTGTGGTTGGGGAAGGAGAGCATTAAGAAAAATAGCTAATGCATGCTGGGCTTAATTGCTGGGTGATGGGTTGATAGGTGCAGCAACCCACCATGGCACACATTTATCTATGTAACAAACCTGCACATCCTCCACAAGTACCCCAGAACTTTAAAATAAAATAAAATAAAATAAAATAAAAACTTTTAACACTGCTTTATTGTTCTGGTATGTTGTATCTTTGCTTTCATTAGTTTCGACTAATTTATTGATTTCTGCCTTAATGTCATGGTTTACCCAAAAGTCATTCAGGAGCAGATTGTGTAATTTTCATTTAATTGTATGGTTTTGAGAGAGATATTTGGTATTAACTTCTCTTTTTATTGCACTGTGTTCCAAGAGGATGGTTCATATGATTTCAGGGTTTTCTTTTTTAAATTTGTTAAGAATTGCTTTCTTGCTGAGTGTGCAGTCAATTTTAGAATATGTGCCATGTGCAATTGAGAAGAATGTATATTCTGTTTTTGTTGAGTCAAATGTTCTGTACATGTCTGTTAGCTCCATTTGGTCAACTGTTGTGTTTAGGTTCCATATATCTTTGTTAGTATTCTGCCTCAATGATCTGTCCAATACTGTCAGTTGGGTATTAAAGTCTCCCATAATTATTGTGTGGTTATATAAGTCTCTTTGTAGGTATGTAAGAATGTGTTTTATGAATCTGGGTGCTCAGTGTTGGGTGCATATATATTTAGAATAGTTCAGTCTTCTTTTTGAGTTGAACCATCCCCAAGACAGGTAGTCATCAGAGTCTCCAAGACCAATGTGAAAGAAAAAATATTAAAGACAAGTAAGCAGAAGGAGAAGTTCACCTACAAAGGGAACTCCAGCAGGCTAACAGTGGACCTTTCAATAGAAACTCTAAAAGTCAGAAGAGATTGGGGGCCTATGTTCAGCATCCTTAAAGAAAAAAATTCCAACTGAAAATTTTATATCTGGCTAAACTAAGCTTCATAAGCTAAGGAGAAATAAAATCTTTTTCAGACAAGGAAACACTAAGGGAATTCAATACCACTAGACCTGCCTTACAAGAGGTCATTTCCATACTAAACACAGAAATGAAAGACTGGTACCTGCCACCACAAAAACACACTTAAATACATAGACTATTGAAACTAGAAAGAAAATATACAATCAAGTCTACATAATAACCAGCTAACAACACAATAAAAGGATCAAATTCACACATACTCATGTTAACCTTTAATGTAAATAGGTTAAACATCCCACTTAAAAGGCACAGAGTGGCAAGTTGGATAAAGAAGCAAGGCCCCACTGTATGCTGTCTTCAAGAGAACCATCTTACATGCAAGGACATCCATAGGCTTAAAGTAAAGGGATAGAGAAAGATCTATCAGACAAATGGAAAGCAAAAAAGAGCAGGGGTTTCTGTTCTTATTTGAGACAAAACCAACTGTAAACCAACAATGATCAAAATTACAAAGAAAGGCATAAAATAATATTATTTTAAATTACAGGCTTTTGAAGTTGCAATGGTCCCAAAGTATCCCAAGGTTCAAGCACAGATTCCTTCTATGACTCTCCTGATGCAACAAGGATTGGTCAAGCTAGTGAAATTCCACCTAAAATGCTCAATCCAACCTGTTGCCCAAATGAATCTGCCTCCTACCATTCCTCTGCAGTCAATGATTTGAAGAGTCCTAGAGAAAAACGCTCAATCTGAACCCTACTTTCTTCCTTTTCTCAATGATCACTAGCTTGCTTTGGCTATTTTTATGTTTCTTCTGAATAATACAGTAGACTTCTCTCCAGACTTTTTATCTGTAGTTTTCCTCATAACACTAACCCTTCCAACACATTCTGCCAAAGTTATTTTTTCAAATACAAGAATCCAAGCTTCTCACTTTTCTCTTTAAATAATTTTGATGTTTCCTTAACAACTACAAGAAAAAGGCTAAAGATCTTAGTGTTATAAAATAATAATGTTAGGAAAGTCTCTCCAAATGCATTTCTCTCTATCATTCTGATCTTCTAACCAACATTCTGCCAGCATTGCTCTCCCCCAAAAAGAGATGCCTTCCTCATACTCTTTTGCATTTGAATATGCTGTTTCTTTTGTGGCAAAGCCTTTCTAATTCTGTTCTGTTTGGTGAATCCTAACTCATCCTTTAAGACGCCACTCAAGTGTCACAAGCTCTGAAAAGTCCTTTAGGCAATAGCTGTTCTTCATTTTTGTCTCCACAGTACTGTTCAGAATTCTATTTAGCATGTATCAGATTGCATTTTACCCATCTCACTACATACCTGACTTCCCCCTCAAGTTATGAATTCCTCCAGGATAGGGATGATAATCATACACCCACAATGTCAGGTTCATTTTCTGGCATGGAGGAGTTCAGTGTGCCCTTATTCTAGGACTGCAAGAACAACTGAATAAATGGAGTTCTTCCACAGAAATAAGGAGTCTTCACATTCCTGAAAACCTCTTGTTAAAACTTGATTAAGTAAGATCAGAAAATAAATCATGGAGATGCCTTTTTACTTTGTTTAAAGAAGATATACCATGAAATTCTGTGGAAATTCAGTGAAAAATGACATTCAATTTCCCTCCTTTCAATTGTG
This sequence comes from Homo sapiens, assembly GCF_000001405.40. NCBI lineage: Eukaryota > Metazoa > Chordata > Mammalia > Primates > Hominidae > Homo > Homo sapiens. Next base: position 91,304,903 of record NC_000012.12, read on the forward strand.
GGCTAAATAGTATTGCCAATACTGTCTACTCTTAAAAACTGAAAATCTGTTTTTCAGACTGCAAAATATCTCAAATTCTTGACTCCTTCTACTGTTACTAAATCAAATTGCATTTTGTTTTCCACTTAAATTTTCATTTTACTCCAGGAGTTTTTAGAGAAGCCACTTGTATTAGTGAATTTGTGTTCAAAGTGCAAATTCTGCTGCCCAGTTTGTTATATCATCCCCTCCTATAGCTGTGATTTATCTATTACATTCATGGTGTATCTTCTAGATAATTAACATTTATAGGTAGTAGAGTAGAGTATATATCTATATATAGAGAGAGAAGGAGAGATATATTTGAATCTTATCTCATATGTATAAATTCCAGGTGAACGACCTGATGCTTAGAAAGTCTAAGCCACTTATTAGGGTGGACAACCCTCCTGGTTTGCCTGAAATAAAAAGAGTTTCATAGATGTAGGACTTTCACTTTTAAAACCAAAAAAATCCCAAGGAAATCCAGCAGAGTAGGTCACTCTATTACTTATTTAAGTTCACACAATAAGTAGCAGATACAAAGGCCAAATTGAGTTCTACATATGCCCCAAATTCTATATTTATTCCACATGCTGCCACCTTGATTTTTATTTTGCCCGTAACATTAATTTCCACATTGTTCATCATAAGATACAAAGTTTTTAAGAGCAATACACAAATGGAAGAGTCTAGTGAAATATTTTAACAATATTTTAAATTATGAATTAGTAGCACAGTTTGCTTTCAGCTGTAGATGTCATCTTCCATTTACATGCCACAATTACTAGCTAATATTTTGCAAATCACTATGTTATAAAACTTAGAAAGTCAAAAAATAACAGATGCTGACAAGATTGTGGAGAAAAAAAGAACACTTATACACTGTTAGTGGGAGTGTAAATTAGTTCAGCCATTGTGGATCACGGGGTGGCAATTCCTTAAAGATCTAAAGACAGAAATACCATTTAACCCAGCAATCCCATTACTGGGATTTATGTACCCAAAAGAATATCAATAATTCTATTATAAAGACACATGCATGCACATATTCATTGATGCACTATTCAAGAGAACCAAGACATGGAATCAACCTAAATACCCATCACTGATAGACTGGATTAACAAAATGTAGTACATATACACCATGGAACACTATGCAGCCATGAAAAAGAATGAGGCCATGTCCTTTGCAGGGACATGGATGGAGCTGGAGGCCAATTATCCTTAGCAAACTAACACAGGAATAGAAAACCTAATACCACATGTTCTCACTTATATATGGGAGCTAAATAATGAGAATGCATGGACACAGGGAGGGAACAACACACACTGGGGTCTACCAGACCCCAGGGAGGTAGGGGGAGAGAAAGGATCAGGAAAAATAACTAATGGGTACTAGGCTTAATGCCTGGGTGATGGAATAATCTGTATAACAAACCTCCATGACACAACTTTACGTACATAACAAACCTACACATGTACTCTGAACTTAAAATAAAAGTTTTTAAAAAATAAAAAGAAATTTATCTAGTTACTAAGAGACTAGTTGTTAGGACTCTCAAATTAGACTATCACTCCCCTATGAAAATAAGTAGTTCTTAATTCTTGTGAACCTTCATAAAGTTTTTAATGTCCCTCAATGGGCTTCCATTTTTTCCCCAAACCCACCCCTCCAATTTCAATTTTAGAAATATTTAAGACATATGGAGGAAGGGGGGAAAATTATTGTACTTTCACTGATTTGAAGAGAAAGTGAACAAGTTAATGTTTGGGTTGTGGGACAGAGTGTCAAGACAAACTGGATTAAGAGATGATAAAGGTTGAAAGATGATGTCATGTATCACGGAATTATTCTAGTAATATTCTCCAAAAGATATCTGGACTTATGTATTTTCTCTTGTGAATGTTTTTCACCAAGCTCTATGCATTTATAAAGAAATATGGTACTCTTTCTTGCATATGATTTATAAATCTTCAATTTTTTATTACTTTCTCTCAAATTATACTTGATAAAATGCTACTGATGTGACTATATTTCCAATTAGTTTTTGACAATAATGCAGAATTCAAGTGTCCTAATATTTAAAAATTAACATGAATGAAAAAATTGGTAAAGGATTATACATTCATTTAACAAACAACAGCATAGTAATGAAACACATTTTAAACCAAGGGTTAAGGACCTTGCATATGTGTTTTTATTGTACTTGTGATTATCTAGGTGACTCTAAGAAAATCACATCATAATTTTCTCTTTTCAGTTTTTCTGTCAGCAAAATGGGAAATAAAATAATTGCCTTACTTTGTCCATAGGCATGGGAAGAGATTCAGCTACATGATCACAATGCATACTAGGAAGGAGAGTATTTGCTAAATTTGAATGAGGAGAAGAAACATAGAAACCACAATACTTCATGTATAGGTATTTCAAAAGAAACAGCTATACATGAATTCCAAGAGAAATTGAAAGACTTTGAGGCAACACAATTTGGGCACAGATCACAAAACACTTGAACTCACTGAGGTGATTTTCATGTATCCTCCAGTTTGCATATATGTAGTTTGCCAGTGCCTCTTACACTTTACTGTGTAAAAATATTACCTAGAGATCGTATTAAAATGCAGATTATAATTCAGAAAGTCTGCAGTTCAACTTGACTGTGTGCATTTTTAAAAGCACTAGAGCAATGTTAATAACGCAAATAAAGGAATCACACTTTGAATAGCAATGTAGAAGGCTACTTGTTTCCACAGTATTAGAGGGATGATGAAAATAAACAGCCCTATGACATAGTCCAGAGTCACTGTGACATACTAGACATTACAACAAGGGACTGGTTTGAAATTTGGATAGGAGGTGTCCTATTCCATTCGGCTTGCTATTGTATATAGAACACAAGGGCAACTTTTTATAAAGGCCATAAACTAAGCAGTTTATAAATAATAGAAATGTATTTCTCATAGATTTGGGGGCTATGAATTCCAAGACTGAGGTGCCAGCAGATTCAGCATGTGACTAGGGCCCACTTTCTGGTTCACAGATGGTGGCTTCTAGCTGTTTCTTCAAATGATGGAAGGGAGGGGTAAGGGGAGGTCTCTCTGGCACCTCTTTTGTAAGACACTAATCCCATTCATGAGGCCTCTGTACCTATGACCTAATCACCTCCCAAAGGCCTCAATTTCTAATCACATCACCTTGAGGGTTAGGATTGCAACATATGCATTTTAGGGGACCACAATATGTATACCATAGCAGAGGTATATTAATTTGAGGTAGTAACATGACAAGGGAGTTCCCCACAAAAAAAAAAAAATCTGGTAAGAGATAGCCAAGTACAGATTGGGAAAAGCTTCAGATAATTTGTAATTGAAAAAAAGTCCAGGGTATGTAGAACACAGGGGCAACTTTCTAAATGAAAACACCAAGGCAGAGAGTGTAATGCACAAAATTTGTTTGGAGAAGAACAAAGAATAAAGAAGGTGAGCAAACTTCTCAATAATAAATCAAAATGAGTAAAGACAGATGCAGCTGGATCAGTTTCAAGGGCTCAGAATGAAAGGGGAACTTTAAAAACTGAATGGTAACATCTGTACGATGCAAAGAAGACCCAAAAACTATTAAAAGGAAGGGAGACAGGATGAAAAGCTTTCTCAAGGGAGAAGTAAAATTAAGACATTTTCTGGTGGTGGCAAGACAAAAAGTAGAAGGAAAACAGTCATTATGGAGGTTGCAAGTTATCTCTTTGGAAATGGGAACCCTTGCTCAGTAGAGCAGACAGAATAGGAAAGTTCATCAGATTTCAGTGGGAAAGAAAGAAGAAATGGGGGGAGTTATCTAGAGAAGTAATTAAAATAAAGGCTATAGAAAATAAGTGGATGCCTGTTGTGTTTTGAACTAAAGTGACTGGAGAAATCAATGTAGAAGGTGAGGAGGAACAGATCCTGAGTCAAAGGAGAAATGTAGAAAGAGAAGAAAAGTGTCAAAAGAGAAAGAGAAATAGCACTTAAAGGGCGTCTTTATAAATTGTCACAATGTTGATAATTTTTTTTATGATTCACTATGAAGAAGAAAAAAGATGACATCCATTCAAGTACTGACAAATTCTAACTAACTATGAAAGACTAAAGAGAAGGATTGAATTACAAGAATAAATTATTTTTTAAAGTTGGAAGTAGCGACATAAGTAATGAACATAGTAAATTAAAGTGGCAGGGTAAACAGTGAAGACCAATGAACAACCGGTTGGAAAGTATCATATAGAGAACAGAGCTAAGGACAAAGAGGATGCAGATGTAGAAATAAGAACTCCATTCATCTGGGGAAAGATTAAAAGTGTCCACTTCTCTATGGCACACCCAGTTTGGCTTCATCATTTCTTTAAGACCTTTTTTTTTTTTTTCATCATTGCCAACAGAATACTAACATTTTTCTCTTTACTCCTTTTCCTCCAGGTCCTCATAGATAATTTATTGAGCAATCTGATAACTAAATTTGAGTTATGAAACTAATGCTTAAGAGTATTTTCTATTTCATTTCTTCCAGATATGTTGGTAAGACCCGTTCATATTTGTTTCCAAGTCATAAAGACCAAATCATGTTTACAGGGTCATAAAGGAGATAACTTCATTTTGAGAATATTTTCAGTTGTGTGTACTCTCTGAAAAGAAGATTAATTCTATGTGATAGGGACCAGTGTAATTTTTAAACACTAATTGGGCTTGGTCCATATCCAATTCTGCCATTACTCAATGTTCTCAAATTTATTTCAGAGTTTATCAGAGGAAGGGAAAGGAAATTATCCAAAAGCAAATGACTATTGGAATCATTACTGATTATGTTGTATCTCATTAAAGAAACGTTTGAGTAATGCAGAAAAGTAGGTCAGAAGTATAATGGCTGTCATGTTTAGGACATAAAGCAAGATGATCAAGCATGGGTATAATTTTAAAAGTAATAATTTTAGCAGAATGTAGGCATGGAAATAGCTGGTAACTTTTACAATAGTCATTAGAGTAGATATCACAATGATGTTAGTGCTCAAGACATTTTTGAAACACTTTCAGAAAATTTTCATCAGGATCAGTTCACAAGTCATGCAAAAAAAATGTTCCCATAAAATCACGATTGCCTAAATATTTGTATATTCTCACCATAGCATCTCAATCTTTATTTTTAAAAATAAACAAATAAAAATGCTTATTGTTGAAAGTGCACCTGAGTAAACATAGGTGAAGGGATCAACTTGAAGTATCAGAATAAAAGTCTAAGTAACATTGAACAGAGTTTTTAATTTGAATTGCTTTAAGGACCATATTTCTTAACTTCTTACTGGTAGTGCTGCCTATTGCAAGAACTTTACAAGGCAAGAAAGAAAAAAAAAACTTGATTCATGATTTATTTGAAATAAACAGAATAATATATTTCCTTGGTCATGAAAAGGAAATATTCTGCAAAATATTTTGAAACAACATATTTATTAATGCACTCTTGTCAAAACAGAAAGTTGTATAGTAAACGACATTTCTGGCAATATTGAAGAGTTGTTGTTCAAGCTAGAAACCACAATATGTTTCCTTCTCAGCATAAACAAGATGGAATCCTTGTATACGCTTATCACTCTGATGCCCACTATAGTAGAATTTGGGTATTATGTTGCATGTCTATTATTGTGTTAATTAACATAATATTTTTGTGTTCTTTCTTTCACACAAAATGGTGGATCCACAAAAATGGTGGATCAAAACCATTTGATATGAAATTATTTTCCTTTACATAGGAAGTATTGATCATAACCACATGTGTAAATGATTACATCTTTGTTATAAAACTTTAATTACAAATTTCCTGATTGATTAAAAATTATCACAAGCTCAAATTAAGAAGATGTCAATAAAATGTTTATTTATTCAATAAATTCCCCTTAAATATTTATATGAGATGTCCTTCTGACTTGTATTGTACATTAAGATTTTTTGGCAATTGTTTTGGGACAAGCCAAGGAGAAATGGAATAGTACTAGGGGTTTAACAAAACGGCTGTCTTTGCATTTCATCTACAAACAGAGTCTATATAACATTCATCCCTGGCAAAGAAGTTAATATTCCCTAGAAGAGAAAAATATTTAAGTCTTTAATTAATCTTAAGTAGATTTTTGTATATGGCATAAGGAAGGGATCTAGTTTCAGTCTTCTGCATATGGCTAGCCAGTTATCCAAGCACCATTTATTGAATAGGGAGTCCTTTCCCCATTGTTTGTTTTTATCACCTTTGTTGAAGATAAGATAATTACAGGTGTGCAGCCTTATTCCTGGGATCAAAACCCAAACTATAAAAACCCTGGAAGAAAACTTACGCAATACCATTCTGGAAATAGGAACAGGCAAAGATTTTATGATGAAGATGTCAAAAGCAATCGTAACACAAGCAAAAATTGACAAATGGGATCTAATTAAATTAAAGAGCTTCTGCACAGCAAATAAACCATCAACAAAGTCAACAGATAACCTACAGAATGGGTGAAAATTTTTGCAAATTATGTATCTGACAAAGGTCTAATATCCAGCATTTATAAGGAACTTACACAAATTTCAAGAAAAAAAACAAAGAGCCCAATTAAAAAGTGGACAAAGAACACTCCTTCTTTTCCAAAAGAAGAAATACATGTGGCAAACAAATATATGGAAAAAAACCCTCATCATCACTGATCATTAGAGAAAGGGAAATCAAAACCACAATTAGATACCATCTAACACTAGTTAGAATTGCTATTATTAAAAAGTCAAAAAATAATGCATGCTGGTGACATTGCAGAGAAGAAGGAACACTTATACACTATTGGTAGGGGTGTAAATTAGTTCAAACATTGTGGAAAACAGTATGGAAATTCCTCAAAGACCTAAAAAACAAAAATACCATTTGACCCAGCAATCCCATTACTGGGTATATACTCAAAGGAATATAAATTATTCTATCACAAAGACACATGAGTGCACATATTCATTGTAGCACTACTCACAATAGCAAAGACATGAAATCAACCTAAATGCCCATCAGCAGTGATAGACTGGAAATTGAAAATGTGATACACATACACCATGCAATACTATGCAGCCACAAAAAAACAAAAAACAAAAAACAAAAAACAAGATCATGTTCTTTACAGGAACATGGATAGTGCTGTAGACCAATTATCCTTAGCAAACTAATACAGGAACAGAAAACCAAATACTGCATGCTCTCATTTATAAGTGAGAGCTAAATAATAATGAGAACACATGGACATGTAGAGGGGAGTGGGAAGAGAAAAAGGATCAGGAAAAATAACTAATGTGTACTAGGCTTAATACCTGGGTGATGAAATAATCTGTACAACAAGCCCCCATGACATGAGTTTACCTAAATAACAAACCTGCACATAAACCCCTGAATTTTAAATACGTTTTAAAGAAGGCGAGATAAATAGATCTGGGTGTGTGTGTATAATCTGGAGGAATGAAAAGGATATGTACTGTCTTTTTGAGGAGGTGGTGTAACCACGTGGTTGACTACTGGTTTTTGATTTACAGACCGGGTATCAGGCCAACACTTTCCCACTGAGGAGCACTGTGACTTTGAGAAAGTTACTTAAGCTCTTTGAGTCTTGTTTCTCAAATATCAAATATGGGCAATAGCAACCTTCTCAAATTGTCATTATAAATAATTATTAAGATAATACATGAAAAATGCCCACCATAGTACTATGTCTTACCTTTAGCAGAAGCCACAAAACAAAAAACTGATTTCAGGAGTTACTGAGGGAGGGGAGGAAATAGTCATACACACACTTGCCTCTATTTCTACTTTGGCAAAAAGTGGCATATGGTTATAAAGACCAAACATTTCTATGACAGGATTCATTCCTTCAACAGAAAACAGTTTAGGTGAGGTTTGGACTCTATATAAAGGAGGGGTCAGATTGCATTTTATTTAGAAACTAATAAAGGATTTGAAGCAGTCAAGGGGCATGCTATGTTTATAATAATTATTTTGGCTTCTATGTGTAGAAATATTTGAAGGACGGCAAGACTGGAAAGAGGAAGGTAAGTTAGGAAACTACTACAATTGCTGAGGCAAATGATGAAGGCAGTCAGCAGGAAGAGACACGGATAGACCGGAACATGTTCTGGATGTAGAGATGACAGAAGTTACCGGTGATACAATATTGGGAGAAGAAACGTGTGCATGTTCCAGGACAATTCCTGAATTTTTAGCTTGATCCACTGGAACAGATAATGATGCTATTTAATAAAAATGGAAGTGACAGAGAGAAGCAGGTTGAGGAAGAAATTAATTAATACAAAGTTTGAGATGCTTACTGAGTACCCAAAGCTGTCAAGGAGACAGTTGAACATACATTTAGAAGGGGGGACAAGTTGGAAATAAAAACACTGGAGTCATCCAAATATAGTTAGCCTTTTAAAGTCACTCAATTACTAGAGCTAAACCAGGAGGCATAGAAGCAAGTAGGAAATTCAGAATGCTCAGATGTTTAGAGGTTGACAAGCTAAGAGCCAACAGAGGAAATGAGAGAGAAAGTGGCTGGCAAAGAATAAGAAAGCCAGAAGGGCAAGTGGTGTCACAGAAAGCCAGACAAGAAAGTGCCTCTTAAAATAGGGAATGGACATCAGCCTCAGTGCTGTGAAAGGGCAATAAATGAGATGGTATGAGAAAAACACCTATTACACTTCCAGACATGTAGCAGGTATTCAGTAAATGTTACTTCCCTTAACTTTCTGTTTTCTTTCTAACAGTGTTTAGTGGTTAAGAGTGTAGGCATAGGAGCTGATCTGCCTGAGTTCAAATTCTTCCTCTGCCATTCCATAACTGTGTGACCTTAGGCAAGTCATTTAACTTCTCAGTACCTTAGTTTCTATATTTTATTTTTATTTTTTGGGGATGGAGTCTCCCTCTGTCACCCAGGTTGGAGTGCAATGGCACCATCTCGGCTCACTGCAGCTTCGGCTCACTGAACCCTCAACTGGGTTCAAGCAATTCTCATGCCTTAGCCTCCTGAGTAACTGGGATTACAGGCACATACACCATGCCTGGCTAATTTTTGTATTTTTAGTAGAGACCAGGTTTCACCATGTTGACCAGGCTGGTTTCAAACTCCTGACTTCAAGTGATCCTCCTTCTTTGGCCTCCCAAAGTGCTGGGATTACAGGCGTAAACCACCACACCCAACCAGTTTCTATATTTTAAAATGGAGGTACCAATAGTGCTTAATTCACAGGGATGCAGCTAACATGTTGCAATCAATCAGTAATGTTAATTACTATTTCCTTTCATAATTGTTTTTTAAAAGTATACAATAGGTATAATTTTTTTCAATTTTCATAATTTTTACTTGGCTAAGTGTCTTAATTATCTCAATTATATTTCCATGGCCAGTGAGATAATAAGCAAAGCCCACCCTTTCTTTTCACATTGTACAGATATCCACTTTTTAAACATGTTTAATTGACATATAATAATCCTATATTTTTACAGGGCACAATGAGATATTTTGATGTATATGCATACAGTGTATACTGTAGAATATTACAATTAAATCAAGCTAACATATCTATCACTTCACCTATTTTTTATTTGTAGTGAGAACACTTAAAATCTACTCGTTGAACAATTTTGAAATACACAATATATCACTATTAAGTATAGACATCATGCTGTTCAATAGATCACTGAAATGTATTTCTCCTGTCAAACTGAAGCCTTGTACCCTTTGGTCAACATCTCTCCTTCCCCTATTTTCCCACTGCCTCTCCCAGTCCCCAGCTCCTGGTAACCACCATTCTACTCTACTTCTGTGAATTTGAATATTTTAGATTATACATGTAAGTGAGATCATGCAGTATTTGTCTTCCTGTGCCTGGCTTATTTCACTTAGCATAATGTTTTCTAGTTCATCAGTGTTGAAACAAATGACAGAATTTCCTCCTTTTTTAAGGCTATATAGTGTTCCATTGTGCATATATAACACATTTTCTTTATCAGTTCATCTATTGATGGACACTGAGATTACTTTCCTATCTTGGCTATTGTGAACAATGCAGCAATGTACATGGGAATACAGATTATCTTTTCAACATACTGATATTGATTCTCTTGAATATATAGCCAGAAGTGGGATTGCTAGATCATATGATAATTCAATTTTCAGTTTTTTCAAAATCCTGTTTTTCATTATGGTTGTACTAAGTTATATTCCCACTAACCATTTACCATGATTCATTTCTCCACCTCCTAATGTTTATATTTTATTTTCTGAATAATAGCCATTCTAATAAGTGTTAGGTGATATTCTGTTGTGGTTTAATTTGCATTTTCCTGATGATTAGAGATGTTGAGCATTTTTTCATATATCTAGTCACCTTTTATATTTCTTCATTTAAGCAATGTCTCTTGAGGTTTGCCTTAATTCATTTGTGCTGACATAATAAAATACTACAGACTTGATCATTTGTAAATAACAGTAATTTGTTTTTCACAGTTCTGGAGCTATGTAAGTCCAAGATCAAGGCATCAACAAGTTCCATGGCTGGCGAGGGCTGCCCTCTGCTTCCAAGATGGTGCATCATTGCTGTGTCCTCACATAGTGGAAGGTGAAAAGGCAAAAGGGCTGAATGCTGAATAAGCCTCTTTTTAAGGGCCTTAGTCCCATTCAGAAGAGAGAAGGCCTCATGACTAATCACCTTCTACAGGCCACACCACTTAATACTATCACACTGGTAGTTGTTTCAGCATATGAGTTTTGGGGGACAGCCAGACCATAGCAAAGTTCTTTGCCCATGTTTTAATTAATTGGGTTGTTTTCCTGTTATTGAATTGTTTAAGTTTCATATATTTTGGATATTTGTCCCTTATCAGCTATATGGTTTGCAAGTATTTTCTTTTAATCTGTAATTTTTCTTTTAACTCTTTTTTTTTTTGTTGTTGTTGTAAAGTTTTTTTAGTTTGATGAAATTTCATTTGTCTATTTTTGCTTTTGTTGACTGTGCTTTTGGGGTAATATCAAAGAAATCATTGCCTAGAACAATGTTGTGGAGCTTTTCCCCTACGTTTTTCTTCTAGTAGTTTTACAATTCTAGGTCTTAAATTTCTTTCTTTAATCCATCTTGAGTTTATTTTTGTCTTTAGTGTGAAATAAAAATCCAATGTTATTATTCTGCATTTGGATATTCTACTTGTAAAGAATACAGTTATTTTTATTGTCTGGAGTCCTGACAAGAAACAGAACTCACTTCAGATTGTTCAACTGAAAAACAAAACAAAACATTAATGTATTGTACTTTCTGAGGTATAGGAATAGCAAAAGGAGTAAATCAGGGATGGTGGAGCATGCTGAGACTAGCAACAGCTGAAAGTAATTTCCTCTCACAGGACCAAAGAGGCATGAGGAAGAAATGGTGTTACCAGCATTCACTGAGGATTAGAATTGCAAAAATGTTGCTTTCTAGTGGGAAAAAGGAAAAAAAGTTATTACCAAGGACAAGGTAATGTACAACTTCCTCTCCTCCCACCTTCCTATCTCAGTGCACTAGGACCACTGTCTGGTTAGAAGCAGAAGCCAGCTGGCAAAGAAATTACAGTGAGGCAGTTTGCAGAAATTAGCTTTCTAAGGCCCAGATGGAGCGTAGCATGGTGGAGCATAGACTAAGGGAACAATGAAAGACCATGGATGCTTTGATATTCTCTAGTGTCATGTTCATAGTCAAGTCCCAGTAAATAATACCCAGACACAAGTGATTCCTCCCAGTTTCAATATCCTCCTTCCATGCTGGTAGCCTATCTACAGTCAACACCACCAGCTTCTAAACTATGCTTTATGTCACCAAGATTTTTACAGTCATTAACCTACATGGTGTCTCCTTAGCACTTTGCTTCTAATTAAAATATATATACTGATATATGTTGTATATATATTCAGTTGCAAAAGTGTTTACAAATTATTAAAGTTACATGCATGATCCAAACTCTTCTGCAAAATAAGCCAAAACTCTTGTTTGTTTTCAAGATCTGGACAGAATTCCTTGATTTGACTACATCCCACAAGAATGCTTTCATTCCTGCTTTTTACTGGAAACTTTTAAACTGTTGACACCACGGATTTTAAAAAATAAACAGATGGGCATAGCTTCATGACTTCATTTTATATTGTAAATATAAATATTCAGAGAGATAAAAGACAATGTCTCTATTTTTAATGTTTGTAAATTTAAAAATTTGCCGACATCATTTTATCCATATATACTTTGCTTGGCTTTTGTCCCTTAATAGATCTATAACTGTGTTGGGAAGTTGTTTAATCATAAGTCATTCTAGGTAAGTTAGAGTTTTAAAAAAATAAAAATGAAAGAATTAAAAAAAAAATAACCCTGATGTCAAGATAAGTAAAAATGTGAGATTAGCAAAACTGATTACAGTCACGGTAGAAAGAACATAAATCCTTTTCAATAATTTTTTTCTTTATTAAAAAAAACCCCTTTTCTCACTTTACAGGGGAAAAAAAGGGTATTTGGCATACAGTAGTACTGGACGTTATCCAGAGAAGAGTTTTTTTCAGAACTTGGTCCCTTTTCTAATCTGAACAAGTTCAAGCTACAGCAAAATTACAGTTTCCCAGTCTCCTTTTAATTTCCAATTTTTGTTAAAAAGGAACCTCAGAAGATATTGACTTCGTACTACTAAATTTGAGACAGGGCAGGTTAGAAATGTTTGCAATTTAACTAATATCAGTAACCTAATGGTGATGAACAAAATTTATATGTAGATGGAAAAATTTAAGCTAGTAAACACTATTTTGTCGTTTTTAATTGAGATGGATTTTTACATTTTTTTTTGTTCTAAATGGATATTTTACCATCACAAAACGGATGGTAATTATAAATTACATTTTGCCCAACATGGAATCAGAAAAAAGAAAAGACTTTTCATGATGCATCAATAAATAATGATTACATATCAGCTGAGCACAAAATCATGGGTCAAAATTAATAAATACAAATAATTTATGTTTTCATTTTCTGTGTATCAGATTTTGTTGTTGTTGTTCAAGAGTAATTTGTCCAAAATTTGTTTCCACATAATTTGATTACATTTATATTTTAGGGAGAATTCTTATAGTCTGGTTGGTGCTTTGCTCATGTCAAAGACATGTAATAAGCAAGTCATACACTTTGGGATCTCAATTTCTCTACAGAGAGTGGAGCCCTAAAATGGATGAATAATGAGACAAATAGTACTATAACACTGAGCAACAGGTGCCATAAGTATACATAGACTAATGTGAGCCCATATATTCAGTAAAGTTTCATGGATCTGAGACTTCAGATGATCCCACAGTGAGACTGAGTTAGCCAGTATACAGATCACATAAGTAAAAATTTTTTGGAAGAAAATTTTCTAAGGTGATGATCTGACAACTTTGGTTTCTAAAATATTTTTAAAGTAATAACTCAGATTTAGAATTTGTTTCTTGTATACACAATTTTCTTTGAATACTAAGAGCCACACATCTCAGTGTGATCAAGATAGATACTTTTTAAAAAATGTGAAATTGGCTACTTAAAATATGTGATGTGGCTTTGAGAGAGAGAGAGAGACCTGTGAGTTGGAAGCTTGGTCTAGAGAAAGTCTGCTCTGTATCCCTTCTGTCTATGGAAAGATTCTCAAGCCACAGAACAAATACAAATAATTCCAGCTGAAATAACTACAAATAGCATTCTAATTATGCATCCAATTTCCAGGCAAATATTATTTAAGAATATTGCAGTATTTTCTAATGCTATATAACATAGGTTGGGATACATTTTAATAGTAGAAATTTACTCTTCAGCTGAACAGGTATTTTCCCTTATTTTTATAGCTAGTATCAGAATTTGTTTATTTTGTAAAATTTCCAGCTCTAGCCTTTTTAGCAACCATAAAAATCCTCAAGAAAATGACACATTTTATCTTTAACCAAAATATTTTGTTTTCCAAAACTGTTTTCACTAGTGATATTATAGCAAGTAATATTTTGATCAAAGCTTTGTCACATAACCTATAAGAAAAAAAATTACCAACTACTATGCTTTTCTCACTAGATACTTAAAGAAAACTGAGAAAAATAGAATACCAACAGTATCGTTTTATTTTCCACCTAATTTTTCAGATGAGAGTATTAAAGTCCAGTGTAATACAGTATTTTGCCCAAAGCCACACAGCTAGAAAATATTTTCCTATGAAGAAGTCCATTTGTTTCACTATACTGGGCAGTATATGTTAATTGAATGCATAAATGCACTTTTGTTATACAAGAATGGTATATTTGAAATGCATGAATAGAGCTTTTGTTTATGAGAACCTTTGAATTCTAAGATCCTAGAGGAAATCCTTAAAAGAGAGGAGCAAATGAATTGTAGATATAAAGGACAAAATTCTCCAAATTAAAATTGATGGATTGGTAACTATCATTCTACTCAATTTCTATAAGTTTGGCTTTTTAAGATTTTACATATAAGGTAATATGCTATTTGTCTTTCCATGCCTGGCTTATTTCACATAACATAATGTCCTCTAGGTTCATTTATACTGTCACAAATGACAGAATTTCCTGTTTTAGTAAGGCTGAATAGTATTCCATTGTGCATATATATCGCATTTTAAAAAACTCATTCATCTTTTGATGGACATTTAGGTTGTTTCCATCTGTGGCTGGGGGAGGAGGTGGTCAGGGAAAGGGGAGATGTTGGTCAACAAGTACAAAGTTAGTTAGATAGAAGAAATAAACTCAGGCATTCTATTGCACAGCAAAGGTGACTATAATTAATAATAATGTATTGTATATTTCAAAATAACCAAAAGAGAATTTAAACTGTGTCCATTGCAAAGAAATAATACATATTTGAGGTAATAGATATGTTAACTAGTCATTTGATCATTTCACTATAATTAATAATGTATTGTGTATTTCAAAATCACTAAAAGAATTTAAAATGTGTCCATTGCAAAGAAATAATAAATATTTGGGGTGATAGATATGTTAATTAGCCATTTGATGATTTCACAATGTATACATGCATCGAAACATCATATTGCACCCTATAAATATATACAATTATTATTTGTCAATTAAAAATAAAAAGAAAACAAAATTGATAGATTGGAAAGAAAGGAGTATTGATCACTAAAAGTAGAAGAGAGAAGATTTGTGTTGGTTTATTTATTTATTGTTTGTTTGTTTGTTTTGGCAGGAGAGTATGACAAAGTCAAAAGAATGGTGTGATTAGGCAGGCTTCATGAAGACCTGAAAAGAATTTTCTAAAAATGTTGCTGTCAATTAAATCCTGTACAGTGAATTTGCTGATTAGGATAAGAAAGATGGCCACACTCACTATTCACAATAGCAAAGACTTGGAACCAACCCAAATGTCCATCAATAATAGACTAGATTAAGAAAATGTGGCACATATACACCATGGAATACTATGCAGCCATAAAAAAGGATGAGTTCATGTCCTTTGTAGGGACATGGCTGAAGCTGGAAACCATCATTCTGAGCAAACTATTGCAAGGACAGAAAACCAAACACCACATGTTCTCACTCATAGTTGGGAATTGAACAATGAGAATACTTGGACACAGGGCGGGGAACATCACACACTGGGGCCTGTCATGGGGTGGGGGCATGGGGGAGGGATAGCATTAGGGGAAATACCTAATGTAAATGATGAGTTAATGGGTGCAGCAAGCCAACATGGCACATGTATACATACGTAACAAACCTGCACGTTGTGCACATGTACCCTAGAACTTCAAGTATA
Source organism: Homo sapiens (assembly GCF_000001405.40). Lineage (NCBI taxonomy): Eukaryota > Metazoa > Chordata > Mammalia > Primates > Hominidae > Homo > Homo sapiens. The sequence continues at coordinate 91,320,770 of NC_000012.12, forward strand.
ATAATAATAAAAAAAGAAAGATGGCCACACTATTGGAAGTTTCTATTGATGAAGATAAAGGTAATCTCTAACTAGGTTTATTTTGTAAGTAAATGCAGCACCATCTCACTTTAATACAAGTTGGGACTAAAAGTATTGCAAGTAGCACAGAGTACCCCTTCAAAACATAAAACTTAACATTTGACTGATAACTTGTATGTGTGGGAGGAATTCTCTATCATACTCTTTCTTAGGAGGCCGTACTGAGTGACATATGGTTTATGTGGTACATTTACAAATAATATGGTTCAGAGACAGTATAGGGTTCTGTTAAGGCCACTTGACTGATGGAGTGGTGCCACCAAATTTCCAAGCAAGGAATGTTGCAAAGAGAAAATATATAAGACCCAGAATTAGGATAACATCTGGATTTGGGTGTGCCTAAACGGATCATGCTTTTATGCAGAAAGTCATGGGAAGTGCCCAAACTGAAAAGTTGCGGGTTACTGACGCTGCTCCGATTGCCTGCACACAGTGTAATCCCATCCATCTGCCAATCGACAAGAATTAGATCCATATATATGCATAATATATATACACATATATATGCATATATGTATATGGATCTTAAACATAAATGAATTATCTTTCTCTATAGATATATGGTATTGCTTTCTATATAGAAAGAGCATTCATTTGTGTTTAAGTTCTGACAACCCCTAAGATTTCAAAGTATTTTCAATGTATTGATGGAACATCAGGAAGCACAGATCAGTTCAACCCAGGAGCGTTTTACCACTTAGTTTAGAGCTCCGAAGAGAAGTCTGGGTAAAAAACACAAATATAATTCTGTCTTTATTCAAGAAAATTCTAAAAATTGAACTTACAAAAAAGAGAATGTCGATATATATACAAGGCACGACTTATTCGATAGTTCCTTGGAAGATGTTGGAAAAAATTAGAAAGTTGGCATAAACCAATCTCTACCATGGGGTTGGTAATAGAGAGATTAGAAAGTGCATTGGACATATTGGACTTGAAGTTAAAAACATGTATTCCAGTTTGAAGATATGTTTTTTATCTTCTGTATTTTTATTGTTGTTGTTTGTTTTGTTTTCGGGAGACAGAGTCTCACCCTATCCCCCAGGCTGGAGTGCAGTGGCGCAATCACGGCTCACTGCAATCTCCCCCTCCCAGGTTCAAGCAATTCTCATGCCTCAGCCTCCTGAGTAGCTGGGCTTACAGGCGCCCACCACCATGCCTGGGTAATCTTTATATTTTTAGTAGGGTTTCGCCATGTTGGCCAGGCTGGTCTCGAACTCCTGACCTAAGGTGATCCTCCCACCTCCCAAAGTGCTGGGATTACAGGCATGAGCCACTGTACCCAGCTATCTTCTGTATTATTTTGGGCAAGTCACTTCACCCCTCAGAATAAACTTCCATCTCATCATATACACAGTTAAGCTAATAATACTTGCTTTTGCTACTTCAAATGGTCTGAGGAGATCATTCCTATCTCGGTTGAACTCTGGAGATGTGTTTGCTCCTGCCTGGTTTATTATTATATAGCATCTTCTGTGTCTTCCTTTTTAGTTGCCTGGTACAGTGCCTGTTGTACAGTACACATTTAACAGACACTGCAAAATTTGTATAACTGTATAATTGTATAACACACACAAGAGGAAATAAATAGAGTACTCAAAAAGATTTGTTGTGAACTCTAAAAAGTGAAAAGTATTAGAGAAGTCCAAAGTAGAGAAGAAACAGAGTGGGAGAAGGCATAAGAAGACATTAACCTGATAATTTTCCATGGCTGGTTGTAAATTTTCTTATGAACCCAAACAAATTATGAAACAAATATTTTCAGCTATTACACACTGGATTAGCCTATCACACTATGTAACTGACCTTGTGTTATACTCTCTTTATACTCTCTACAATTAATGATCAATCTATAACACTGCTGTCCAAGAGAGCTTTCAGCAATGATGGGAAGTTCTACAAGCATATCTTGGAGATATTGTAATTTTCATTTTAAAGCACATATTACAGGAAAGTGAGATGCACAATTTTTTCAGTTTTCCAGTGCATATACAAGTTATTTGCAAACTATATTACAGTCTATTAAGTGTGAAGTTGCACTATGTCTAAAAAATCTACATATATTAATTTTAAAATACTGTATTGCTTAAAAATGATAATCATCTGAGCCTTCAGCGAATCATAATCTATTTGCCAGTGGAGGATCTTGTGTCAGTGTCGATGGCTGCTAATCAATCAGGGTGGGGTTGCTGAAGGTTGACATGCCTGTGGAAATTTCTTAAAATGAGACAGCAATGAAGTTTGCCCCATTGATTGACTCTTCGTGTCCCAAAAGATTTATCTAGCATGTGATGCAGTTTGGCAGCATTTTACCCACAGTGGAACTATTTCAAAACTGGAGTCAATATTCTCAAACCCTGCTGCTGCTTTATCAATTAAGTTTATGCAATATTCTAAGTCCTCTGTTCAACAACATTCATAGCAACCTCACCAGGAGTAGATTCCATCTCAAGAAACCACTTTCTTTGAACATCTACAAAAAGTAACTTCTCATTTGTTAGTTTTATTATGAGATTGCAGCAATTCAGTCACATCTTCAGGCTCTACTTCTAATCCTAATCTCTAGTTAACTTCCTCCAGTGAAATCTTGCACTTCTCAAAGTCATCTATGACGGATGGATGAATAAACTCCTGTTAATCTTGACATTTTGAATTATGAATGTTATGGATGGTATCTAGAATGATAAGTCCTTTCCAGAAGGTTTTCAATTTATTTTTCCCAGATCCATCAGAGGAATCAGTTAATGGCATTGATGGCCTTACAAAATGTGTTTCTTAAATGACAAGACTTGAAAATCAAAATTACTCCTTGATCCATAAGCTGCAGAATGAATGTTGTGTTAGCAGGAATAAAAACAACATCAATCTCCTTGTACATCTTCAACAGAGCTCTTGAGTAACTAGGTGCATTGTCAATGAACGGTAATATTTTTAAATGAATCTTTTTTACTGAGCAATAGATCTCAAAAGTGGGATTAAATATTCAGTAAACCATGCTGTAAACAGGTGTACTGCCATCCAGGCTGTGTTGTTGCATTTACAGAACACAGGCAGAGCCAATTTAACATAATTCTTAAGGGCCCAAAGATTTTTGGAATGGCAAATTAGCATTGGCTTCAAATTAAAATCACAAGATGCACTAACCCCTAACAAGAGAGTAAGCCTGTCCCTCGTAGATTTGAACCAGGCATTGACTTCTCCTCTCTTGGTATGCAAGTCCTATACAGCATTTCTTCCAATAGAAGACATTCATCTTCATTGAGAATCTGTTGTTTAACGTAGTCACCTTCATGGATTATTTTAGCTTGATCTTCTGGATAACTTGCTTTGGCACCGTGGCTTCACTTTGTACTTTTATGTTATGGAGATGGTTGCTTTCCTTAAGCCTCATGAACCAACCTCTGCTAGCCTCAAACTTTTCTTCTGCAACTTCCTTACCTCTCTCAGCCTTCATAGAATTGAAGAGAGTTTGGGCCTTGCTCTAGATTAGGCTTTTGTCTAAGGGAATGATGTGGCTGGTTTAATCTTCTATCCAGACCACTAAAATCTTTCCCATACTAGCAATAAGGCTGTTTCACTTTCTCGTATTTCTGTGTTCACTGGAGTAGCACCTTTTTTTTTTCTTCTAGCTTCTTTTTCTTTTTTTTATTTTATTATTATTATACTTTAAGTTTTAGGGTACATGTGCACAATGTGCAGGTTAGTTACATATGTATACATGTGTGTGTAGCACTTTTATTGATTGATGGATTGTTTCTTTTTGAGACAGAGTCTCACTCTGTCCCCAAGGCTGGAGTGCAATGGCGCAATCTCGACTCACTGCAACATCCGCCTCTCAGGTTCAAGCAATTCTCCTGCTTCAGTCTCCCAAGTAACTAGGATTGCAGGTGCACGCTGCCACACCCAGCTAATTTTTTTGTATTTTAGTAGAGGTGGGGTTTCAGCATTTTGCCCAGGCTGGTCTTGAACTTCTGAGCTCAGCAATCCACCCACCTCGGCCTCCCAAAGTGCTAGAATTACAGGGGTGAGCCACCACACCTGACCTGGAGTAGCACTTTTAATCTTCTTTAAGAACTTTTCTTTTGCATTCACAATTGGGCTAACTATTCGGCACAAGAGGCCTAGCTTTCAGCCTGTCTTGGCTTTCAACATGCCCTCCTCACTAAGCTTAATCATTTCTAGCTCTTGATTAAAAGTGAGAGACATGTGACTCTTCCTTTCACTTGATCATTTTAGAGGCCATTTTAGAGTTATTAGTTGGCCTAATTTCAATATTGTTGTGTCTCAGAAAATGGGGGGCCCAAGGAGAGGGAGATAAATTAAGGAGAGGAAGAAAGATGAAGGAAGGGTCAGTTGGTGGAGCTATCGTAACACACACAATATTTACTATTAAGTTCACTGTTTTATATGAGTGTGGTTCATGGCACTCCAAAATAATTACAACAGTAACATCAAAGATCACTGATCACAGTTCACCATAACAGAAATAACAAGTCTGAAATATTGTGAGAATCACCAAAATGGGACACAGAGACACGAAGTGAGCACATGTTGTTGGAAAATGGCACCAATAGACTTGCTCCATGCAGAGTTGCCACAAACTTTCAATTTGTGAAACATGCGATATCTGCAAAGCACAATAAAGTGAAGTACAATTATGCCTGTATATGTGCCCTGTTTAAATAGCAGCCACTAGCTACATGCAACTGCTAAGCACTTGAAATACGGCTAGTGCAATGGATGAACTAAATTTTTCATTTCATTTCATTTAAATTAGTTTAAAATTCAATGAAATACTCAAGTGGCCAATGGCTACTGCATTGGACAGCACAGATCTACAACTTAATGGCTAATGAATGACCATATTCATCTGTGGAGCAGAGGAGAGTGTCTAAAACAGCATAGTGACCAAAATAATACAAGCCTAAATAAAAAAGAATCATGATTTAAAAGACTACAATTTTCAAAACTATTAAGTCTTGCTTTCTGCAACTTGTGACTTAACACACCTCTTTGACAGATTCTTGTATTATTTCACCAGAAACAGAACAGAATTCAGTTGTGTTTCACTAAATACATGGCTTCATCTTTTGGGACTTGGTTTCCTCATCTGTAAAGTGAAGTGGTTGGACTTCGTTAGATCATATTTAAATTTTTCTTTCAGCTACAGAGTTTGGAAGCACATTTAAGTGAATTGCTGGGAAAAACTGTGTGTTTGATTTTAGGTCTCATCTGTGAATTCCTGTCTCATCATCAGAATCTCTCCAACATGTTTTCCTTTCCCTCTGTACTTCTGACTCCCTCTTATCTGCCCATAGTTCAAAAGATTTCTCCTGTCTGATAGATTTATCCTTCTGCATTTGTGCTGTCAAAGAGCTTTGTTTAGACAGAGTCCAGACATACTTGTGTGTTGCTTATGAATTCTAATTAAGAAGGACAACTCCACATGAGTCAAGGTTATCTTTAAAAAAATAGAACTTTAGTCTAAGATCAGAAAGGAAGAAAAACATTATAAAATAAACTTGGCAAAAAGAACTCCAAAGTTTAAACCAAACTAAGATGGGAAGCATAGGAAGCATGTTTTTCTTTCACAAAATCAGATTAATTCTTATTTGAAGGGTTCTTTGAGCATAAAGAAACTGCCATTGCAGAAATGCAGATTTCTGATGTGGCCACCTTGAGTTTGTTGAAGAAAAACAATTCTGAAAATTCACTCAGGTCCCTCTGGCTCCCCAGGTTCTTTGCACCCTGATAAAGAAAAAGATTACACATGCGCCACCTTTTGGAAAAAATGGGAATAGCAGCAAAGAGGTCAGATTCAAAGACCATTAGCTCTATTTCACCCTCAAAGGGAAAAACAAAAAGCCAAATATCATTTATTTTTATTATAATATTTAAAAGTTATATCCCCCAGAGGTTTATTAATCATGTGACATAGAACTATTAGTAAAGTCTGAATCAAAACTTGGATTTGGTTTTTCTCATTTTCAAAATGGTAATAAGTTGATTTTGCTTTAAAACAGTAAGTCTGAAATAACCACAAAATAGCAAAACACTGTCTCAAATCCTAATGTCACAGTTTTCATTTATCCTTGGTCATGGATATAGATCTACGGGGAAAATTAATTGTTTCTATTTATTCTATCCTAGTTACAATAATCCTTAACTTTAAGTATTGTACCTCCCTTTTTCTTAGTACTTAGAGTAGAAAACCAGAGAAGCAAATCCATTTATTTTACTAGAAAGAAAATTCTTACTTGTTTTATCTAGAACCATGAAAAAGAAGTGGTATCACAAATCTGCTTAGTTTTTTTGGACTTGAAGCGTAGAGTCGAAGGCTTTTGAGATTCCACAATGCTTGGGAGAAAATGTAAGTAAAATTACTGGTTACTATAGGTAAATACCTTTTACACATGTTAGGCATTAAGGCGTGCCCTCCAAAGTTATAATGACCACTGAGCAAAATATTCTGCAACTAAACAGTAGACAATGCTGACGTATAAAATGCTTCCAGGATGGAGAGGGGAGACAGCTGAATTTCATTTTAAACAGTACTGACATATCCACAAATCTGACTTAGAGATAGTTCTCACTAGACTTGCATATTGAAGTCACAATCATAAAACAATGCTCTTCATTTATTGTCTTTAAATTCTCATCTCTGTCTGAAGACCCTTTCAAACATAATAGAATAACAAAGCATAGAGGCAAATCTGAAAAATGACTGATAGCTTCTAAGTTTCTGAGTTCATTCTCCCAACATTATTTTGTTTATACAACTGACATGTATAAGAATTAAAGAGTTCTTAAAAATATTCAACTTGAGTCGTAATCCAAATCAGATTTTTCATTATTTCCTAAAAAAAGTGTTACAAAAGCTGCTGTGATTTTAAGTATAAAACGAACGCCACCCTTGTAAATAGCAGCCATAATGTTTTAAAAAATAATTCTCATTGAATATAAATGTACTGTGTTGACTTTTATATCACTCCTTTTCCCACTCTGTAAGTTTTAATGAAATTATTTTTCCTTAAAATAAATACATGAAAGATTGATTACTAAAACAGCATTATGTGTTTTATGTTCTGCCAACAGGGAGATGATAGAGTTGGGTTTAAATTCCTCAGCACGCCCTGCTGTGGTTGTCACTCATAGCTCTCCCTTTCCAAAAACCTCAAAATAGCTTATAATGCCACGTACTATATGTGGAGTAATAATTAGGCTTTCCAGGGTACTTTCTGTTGGACAATCCCTTTGGCACACACAAAAGCCATAAAATCCAGCTCTTCACACAAAGTTCTCCAGCTTTTTTTGAATGCTTTAAAGATCATAACTGTGATATCGCTTGACAACTTGGCATGGTGAAAGCTGACTAATGGGCACTTTTGAGTATGGAGTTTTATGCTTTTTCTTTTCTTCTTTTGGGGACATCTACCAGGATTTGAGAATCAAATTGATAGGATAAACCTACAATGTACAGTCCTTGAACCCTGAAAATTAATTAAAGGCAGACATGTTAAAGGTTTTAAGTTAAAACTGATTTTTGCAAAAGGAATTTGGGTCTTCAAATGAAAAGAAAACATAAAGACCTTCCAAAGAAACTTAACATTTTAAATGAGCTTCCAGAAGCCTGGAGCTCATTCCATAATAATATATTACTTTTCTAATTAGAATCCCTAATTATCTGGTGTATTCCTATGGATGCATAGAACTTTGTAATTTGGCCACTCGCCCACTCCATTTGGGGTTGCTCTTGTGAATTTAAATTGCACCCCGGTCACCACCAGATGCACCTACGACATGTGTCTTCAGAGTCTACCACACTATCAGTATAAAGTAGAGGAATTATCAGAAATGACTAGAGAAAAGAAAGGAGATTTAAATATTTATAGAGTAAAATCAGGTTGGCTTAAACCCAGGTTTTTCCAGTCAAGAAAAGGGGATAGATCTTTTTTCCTTTAGAAACATACAAACACACACAATAAAGCATTTTTATTCCCATAAGCAACTCTAAGACAAGGTCCTTCAGGACTGCCAGTTTATAATGGTGCCCTGCAGAAAATAAGAAAAAAGCTACTCATAATTATTTGTTAAACTCACTTTATCTAACCTGTAACTTCCGCTAATTCCTTGTTTATTTTGATTTATGTTTAATTAAATTTTGTTGTTTGTTTTTTTGAGATGAAGTCTCACTCTGTCGCCCAGGCTGGAGTGCAGTGGCGCAATTTCGGCTCACTGCAACCTCCGCCTCCTGGGTTCCAGCAATTCTCCTGCCTCAGCTTCCCGAGGAGCTGGGATTACAGCATGTGCCACCATGCCCAACTAAGTTTTGTTTTTTTTTTGGTAGAGACAGGGTTTCACCATGTTGGCCAGGCTGGTCTCGAACTCCTGACCTCAGGTGATGCACCTGTCTTGGCCTCCCAAAGTGCTGAGATTACAGGCGTGAGCCACTGCACCTGGCCATGATATATGTTTAATTAAAATTAACACAGGGCATGATAAAAAAACAAAATAAGCATAAATTACTTATTTAACCTATGTACCCATAATGTTCCCAGTTGTTTTCAGCTCAGTTTAAAAATTGGTCTAATTTGTAGCTAATTTTTATGTACTGGCCTGCATATGTTTAAATAGTGGAATAAGCAAACATCTAAACGTGACATTTAAAATCTATTTTGAAATTCCTTGTTCTGCTTTTTAGAAAATGACTGGATATATGTACAAGTGTATATATATACACATATATACATATATACATATATATGACTGCATGTGTGCATGATGTATGTGTATATGTGCATAATTTAGGGTTCTCGTATTTTTCACACTGTGGGCAGGAAGGGTAGGATTTAGACAATCTTGTGGCTGTTACCAGGAAATGTAGCCCTTTTTGATCTTAGTAAAACATTTTACAAATAAATGCATAAAATTAAAAATTATATTATCAAAGGGGAAAATATTAAAATACACAGGTTACTTGTCTTCACATAATTTTACAAAATAGAAAAAATATTTTAATTCTTAAAATTATATAATAAAAAAAACCGGTATAAAATAAGAGAGTTTGAGATTTGAATCTTATTTCTAACATCTTGTGTAATATTCAATATCCAAGAACCTGTGATCTTGGGAAGTTGTAGAGCCCCTGAAGCCCCAGTTTTCTAGTCAGAAACCTTATCGTTACTTTTCAATAAACACACATTCCTTCCTTCCAAAGCTTTGCAAAAAGGCACTTCCTCTAGTAGGTCCTTAGCCATAAACTCCACCCAGCTTAATTAATTATATTTTTCCTAACATACAGTAAATAAATTTAAAGTTCTCAAAAGAGCAAGTCACTTCTAAGATTCTATACAACCAAGGTATTTTATGATAGCAGCTTTCATTCATCCATTCACTCATTCATTCATTCATTCATCATTTAGTTATTTATTCAACAAATGTTCATTAAAGCTTGCGTGTGTGTGAATGAGTGTTGGATTTCTCCGCAAAGGCTGGAGCAAAGTAGAGGATGCCAGCAAGCATACTTGTCCTACTATCTCAATATCTTGTCCAGTTTTCTCTATTCATTTCACAGGACTGCATATGCACTAGGTAGTCAGAGGTGAAGAGGATGATACCCCTATAGCTGTGGGGTGTTTCACTGTTTTATAAGGGACTGAACTCATTTGAAATTGGCAGCTGAAGGAAGTCATTATTCTCAACTCAGAAAAGCCCAGAAACAAGTCCAGGCTGGTAATAAACAAAGCTATCTTCAATGTTCATGCCTCAGAAGTAGATTTTCTCAAAAGACACTGTATCTAATGTTGTATTTGTAGTTTTTTATTTTATTTCATAAAGAGAGCCTCAATATTTATAGCTTCAAGCCATATAAACTGAATTTGCCCCTACCTGTGCTACTTCTTTTTATTTTGTTTTGTTCATTGCACTATATTTTGAGGCCATTACTTTTAGGAACAGTCTTCAAAGTGTACAAACCAGTGGTTCTCAACTATCCTGTTCATAATAGTTGTATGGAGGGATTCTATTAAATGTGAACCCCAAGTTTCCACACTAAGGAGCTTCTGTTTCAGTAGTCTAGTTTGTAGCTTTCAGAATGAATATGTGTGTGTGTGTGTGTGTGTGTGTGTGTGTGTTTGTTTGTTTTATTCCTGTCTTTAGATCATACACTGAATATCAAATACAAAACAAATTTTTTAAAATTTAAGAGAGCTTTAGAATCTATCTGCTATTGTTGTTCTTCATTTTAAGATAAGCTGAAGTTTTTTTTTCTGTTATGTTGGGTGGCTCTCTATTCTGAAATGATGGCAGCTGCAGGGGGTTCGGGATAGGGTAGAAGGCTCAGTTTGGTTAAGCACTTTCTTTCAAAGTGGTTCTGTAAGCAGATATTTGGAAGTATTAATCTTACTCCTTATTGACCTTGCCATTGATATGGCTGGTCATTTAGAATAGTGGATATTAAACTTCAGTTCCAATCCTAAGAGACTACAATAAAAAATGTTGAAGTCATATAGATTGGGCCCAAAATAAAATATAAACAGTCCCCACATCTCCGTGTTGTAGACTTTGATATACAGCACTTTTAATTATATTGCCAACTCACTCTATTTCTTTTTAACCTCTGTTCCTTCCAGAGGACCCCTAATTCCTGCCAACCACCTGACTCTACCTCATTCCAACAGTTCCCAGACACCTGTCTCTCCCCTCCTCCATTCCATCTGCCGTAAAGCAGGCTCTGCAAAACAGTCATTAAAATCTTTAGAGATGCCATCTGCTGCCTAGTATTGTCTATGAATCATTTGAGGTTATAAATATTACATTTGCATTGTGTGGCCTGGGACCTCTGAAAAACTGACTCAACTAATTTAACATCATAATTATCATCATGGCCTAGAGGACTACAATATCCAAATAGTATTTCACTGGTAAGAGCGATGGCTTTTTAAAAGAGTGAAATAGACTCTTTCCTTATCATCCAATGAAACCTATCATCCAATGAAAACCATCATCCAATGAAACCCATCCCTGGATCAAAGATTCTGGAAGATACTACTGTCTTTAAGTTTTACTTAAACCAATTAAGAGCTAAAATGTAGCCAAGATTCAAAATAAATTATTTAGTGACATTGAAGATAGTTGAGTAGGAATATGGATAGATGAGTAATAGAAAATGCATAGTACATTGTAGGTTTAGTAGAAAGTGATTAAAGATAATCATTATATCATCTAGAAATTAAAGAAGCAAAAATAAACATTTTTGTCCATTCTTTTACTAAATAACAAAGATTTGTTTAGTCCCTCCATTTAGTACTATTATTTTTCTAATAATTATAAATTTAGAGTACATTTGATATAAATATTTAATTCTCAATATTAAATCATATTATCAAAAATACATATCAAAATTATTTACATAATTATATGAAGTTCTAAACTGCTTAAATGATTTAAAGGGTATGTATTTTGTATATATCTAATCATTTTCTTTCTTCTAAAATTATATATGAGTATGTAATTTTTTCAAAGAAGTTATTTTATAAAGTAAATCATAATAAGGTAATATAAATGCTTCCAAAATTAAAATACATGTTCCATATCACTTTCAACAACACAGTAGTATCTGTAATTAAATCCTGTAACTTGATAGAATAACCCTGCACCACCACCTGCTGTTGGAAACAAAAAATTTAATTTCATATATTCAACTTATAGCTATGTATAAGCTTGGTGCTAGGTATAAATCTTGGCGCTAGGTATAAATCTTCATGGGGATAAAGTAACATTATCATTATTATGGCTTTTATGGATTTTAAGGCTTCTTCATAATTTCTTGAGCATGTGTGTAGATTTTTAAGTATACTGATTCTACAAAGGAGGAAAGCAAGAAGTGGAACAAAACAAGTAAAGCCAAATAAAATAAATAAACACTTGCAATTTGAGTACTCTGCTGCACTTTGGGAAGAAGAGAACTTCATTTTTCTGCCACAGAATCTCTACAGTTTTTATTCTTAATAATTTCATATACTATCATTATTATTCCTGTGTATATTTATCACTGTTAACAGATATATTATCAATGTTTAATGCAAACGGAAAAAATGGCCTTTTCCATTAGGACAAACCTGTATTTGAATGCCAGCCCTTCTACTTGTTAGCTTCGAGCTCAGTCCGATTATTTAGCTTCTCTGAACACCAGGCAAAAGACTTTTTAAAAATTGAGATATACACATGGATCTTATAGGGTTTTATGAGATTTTTAAATATTATATGTAAAGTACCTGGGATACACATTAAGCACTGAATAAATGGCATCTCTGATTATGTTATTTTTATTCCATAATCTTTGTATGTGTCACTAAAATCTCAAATCTGGGAAGTTCAAATCTGATCAGACCATGGACAGATGTTAGAGAGATCATAAGAAGACATAAGAAATCTTATAGTTGAAATAAATATAAAGAGTGAGACTTGAGTCAGACACTCAACCAAACTTGATAAAAATACCAAATCTATAGTAAGTAAGCCTTACAGTTTCAGTCAACAATCCAACTGGGGATCATCTTGACAAGGAGGTTAGGGGAGGAGCACAGACAGTCCAAACATATGTTCATGAACATATGCAGATTCATCTGATGAAGGTCACCTTAGAAAGCTTGAGTCTCCCTCATAGACAAGCCTCTAACAGATTTTAAAGAATGGACTTTTATGTTTTCTGATATAAATTACTCATTAACTCTATAGAAAGCAGTAGTAGGCACATGTAATGATACATAAATAAAGTAGTGAGCAGGAACATCACTAAGGGAGTCTTTTATGAAAATCTAATTAAGTCAGAGAAATGAAATAAGACTATACATTTAGTACATATGAAATGAAGCAAAGGATAAATAAAAAAGAAAATAGATGGATGGACAGATAGATGAATGCAGAGACCTCAGAAAAGAAGTTTAGCAGGGTAGAAAGTAAAACTCTTCTTTACAATAAAATTCCAACTAACAAAGGTAGAACGAACGATAGAAATAGAAAAATCACTATTTGGAAACCATGCTAGTAATAATTATTTCAGGCAAGACTCATCAAAGAATTATTGCATAAAAGTATAGTGAGAAACAGGATGATTATATAATCTCAAAGTAGCTCACAACAAGATAGTTATTCATTACAAAGACAAAAATGGTAACTTTACATTAAAGAAAATTGGCTGACACCACCTTTACCAAATGGACAGTTAAATTACTGTTTCACTAAAGACAACATGCTGCACTGAGAAAAACACATCACTCCTGTTGTACTCCTGCCAAAAATACATGGCTTAAATCTAATAAGGAAACATCAGACAGACCCAAACTGAGGAACATTGTTCAAAATAACTGGTCTGTATTCTTTAAAAAAAAAGTAACTGTCATGAATGGCAAAGAAAAACTGACTGTTCTAGAGTAAAGGAAAATAAAAAGATATGAGAACTACAGGCAACATGGGATCCTGGATTGGTTTAGAATATTAGTGGTATAAATGGCTGAATTGGAATATGGCTTCTAAGTTAGACTGTAATGTTATTAATGTTAGTTTCTTGATTTTGTTTATTGTAATGTGGCTAAGTGACATAAACTGTACACTAATGTATTTAGATGTAAAGAGTATCATGTTTGTAACTTACTCTCAAGTGTTTCAGGAAAAAAATATATAACTACAGTTATATTTGCATCTATACTTATATCTACATTTGTAATCATACCTATGGAAAGGCCAGGGTTGGAAGAGAGAAATAGGGAGGAAAAGAGGAGAGGGAGAAGAAGGGAGGAAGAGTGAGAATTATAAAGCAAGCAAGAGAGGTAAAGGTTAACATTTGGAGAATCTGGGTTAGGGTATAGTATATAGGAATGCTTTGCTCTAATCTTGCAACATTTTTGTACACCTGAAATTACTTCAAAATTAAAAGTAGAAAATGATAAAGAAAGTGGAGAAGAAGGGTAAAGGACAAGGAGGAGGAGGAGAAGGAGGAAAAGCTTACTTTCAAAAAGATCTTATACCAAAATCATCTCATTTCTAGATGCTCCATAACATTAATAATATAAGTACATACTTACTGAATGAGAATAATTTGTATGGTGTATTAGCCCACGTTCATGGCACTGATAAAGACATATCAGAGACTGGGCAATTTACAAAAGAAATAGGTTTACTGCACTTACAGTTCCACGTGGCTGGGGAGGCCTCGCAATCATGGCAGAAGGTGGAAGGTACGTTTCACATGGTGGCAGACAAGAGAAGAGAGCTTGTGCAGGGAAATTCCCCTTTTTAAAACCATTAGATCTCATGAAACTTAACCATCACCAGAACAGCATGGGAAAGACTAGCCCCCATGATTCAGTCACCCCTCACTTGGTCCCTTCCACAACACGTGGGAATTCAAGATGAGATTTGGGTGGGCACACAGCCAAATCACATCATGTGGGAAAGAGAAAAAAAGATCTAGGAGCGGGAGTTTGGGATGAACTACACGTCTAATTGTACACATTTCCTGTGCTATAACTTCTATGAAGAAAAGAAACAAGCTAATTTTTGTTCACTACTGTTTATGCTGTTCCAATATAATGCCTGGCACACAGAAAATGCTTAACAAATATGTATTTATGGAACCATGTAAGATATCTACTTTATAATTGTTTTAACTCTTATTCTCCTCTTTTGCAATTGTCTTAAAATCTGCCCACTAAACATCTAGATTTCATAAATACATAACTATTCAATCTGTGTAACATTTTTAGGAGAGAACAACTAAATTGTATAAGGCAGAGAGAGCTTATATCTGAGTATTACATAGCAATGAAACATGGGCATCTCTTCACTCTCCAATCCTGACAGGATTTGTGGTTAACTTACATTCTTTTTCCCCTACTGAACAATTATAAATTTCCTTGAGTATTAATTAGTAGCCTTAGCCAGATGTTAAAGTGTGGCTGATAAAATGTAGCATCATATTTCAAACCAAAATCCAAAGTCTAAGCAACATCTAATTTTTTTGGAATGTGGATTGTGAAACTTGAAACTACCAGAGTATTGGATGTGCTAGAGAAGTGTGAAAGGGTCACAACTGAACCAGACACATCAACCAGCCTAAAGGGCAACAGATGGCAAGGAATGTCTCAGAGTTGCCTAGCTTATTTTATCCCTATTCTTGGTAACATCTCCATTTTCTCTTATATTAGACGGTGTACTACATAGGTCCAGCCTCAGAATGCCTGCAAACCAACAGCTCCCTTCAGCCTAAGACAATTACTTAATAGAAGTTTTTAAGCTGACAACAGATGGATACATCACCATACTCTACCCACAGCTGATAAATTCATCAGTGAGCCCTTGACCTGGTGCCAACCAATTCTTACAACCAGTGACACCTATGAGGTGGCCTGGAACAGAAGGTCCAGGTACATAGATAATGGTGCTTATGGTGGAGTTTTCTGTTTTGCTTTGTTTTAAAATAGAATTATTGAAACATGCTCAACATAAATTTTGCACATTTTAATGTGTACAATTTGATTTATGATATATAAACATATATGTATATCAACATATTTATACCCATGAAACCATCACAATGAAGATATTGTGCAGCAAACCACCATGGCACACATTTACCTATGTGACAAACCTGTACATCCTACACATATACCCCTGAACTTAAAATGAAAGTTGAAGAAAATAAATGTTGAATAAATCTATCACCTCCAGACGTTTCCTTGTGCCTTTGCAATCCCTCTCTTACTCCTGTCCACCTTCCTTCCATAGAAGGCAATCGTTGATCTGCTTTTTACCAATCTTTGTTAATTTTCATTTCTTAGTATTTTGTAGAGATAGAAGAACCATACATTGTGTCCTATTTTCAATGGCTTCTTTCACTCAGCATAATTGTTTCACTAACAGTTACATATATGGTGTAGCATAAATTTCTTTTTATTGTTGACTAGTATTCTAGTTTACAAATATACAATGGTTTGTTTATCTATTTATCTGCTCGTGGACATTTGGACTGTTTCCAGTTTTTAGCTATTATATCACAAATAGAAATGATATGAACATTCATGTAAAAGTTTTCATAGGAACAATGCTTTAGTTAACTAAAAATCTAGGAATGGAATAGGTAAGTTTATTTCTAACTGTTTAAGAAACTGCCAAGCTATTTTCTAAAGTGGTTATACCATTTTACATTCATAACGGAGTGAACGGCAATTCTAGATCTTCAATAACCTAGCCAGCACTTAGTGTATAATGTTATCTCATTGTGATTTTAATTTGTATTTCCCAAATAACCAATGATATTGAGTGTCTTTTAACATGTTTATTTAATACCAGTATATGTTCTTTGGTGAAGAATCTATTCAAATCTTTTGCCTATTTTTACATAGGTTGTTTATTTTCTTTATTGTTGAGTTTTACAAGTTCTTTATATATTCTGAAGACACATCCATTGCCATATATATGCTTTGCAAATGTTTTTTCCTATACTGTACCTTGCCTTTTTATTCCCTTAACAGTGTCTTATGAAAAGCAGAATTTTTAATTTTGGTGAATTCTGACTTTATTATAGGCCATGCTCTTGATGTTGTATCTAGTAAATCCTAGCCCAGAGAATCCTGTGTTCTCTTCTAGAAATTGTATAGTATTAAATTTCATATTTAGGTCTAATATCCATTTTGTGTTATGTTCAAATAATGAATTGACATTGATTTTATGTTATGATGACATTTTCATGTGTTTTGCTTTGTTTTATCTTCTGCATATTATTTGATTATTCCAACATCATCTAATGAGAATATGATTCTTTCTCCTTTGACCTGCTTTTACACCTTTTAAAGAATATCACTGTCCATATACGTGTAGCTCTATTTTTGGAATCTCTGTTTTATTCCATTGATCTATTTCTAATATTTGTACAAATACAACATTGCCTTGATTAAAATCACATTATAAGAAGTCTTGATATTAGATAGTGTTAGTCCTCCCACTTGGTTCTTCTATTTCAAAGATGTTTTGGCTTCTCTAGATTACTGCATTTCCCTGTGAATTTTAGAAATTTTTTTTTCATTTTCTGCCAAATCAAAACAAAACAAAAACTAGTACTAAAGACCCATGGGTATAGTATGGGTCTCAGTATACTTAGACCTTCAGTAATTTCTGTCTGCAATTTTAGGCAGTTTTCAGTGCACAGATTTTTTTGGTGTTTTATCAGATTTTTCCTTAATAACTTCATATTTTTGCTGTTAATACATATGGTACAATTTTTTATTTTTAATTTTTGATTGTTGGTTGCTAACATATAGAAATATAACTGATTTTTATATAATCTATAAGTTTGTCAAACTCATAGGTTCTAATATCATTTTATATATTTCATTACATTTTTTATAAAATGTTTGAATAAAGTTTTACTTATTTCTTAGTGACATGAGTGCCTTTAGTTTTAATTTCTTTATCTTATTGCACTGGCTAGGGCCTCTGTTTTAATGTTAAACAAAATTGATAAGACCAGACACCTTTGTATTTTTCCTAATCTTGGGAGAAAGCTTTAAGTCTTTCACTATTAAACAAGATATTAGTTGTATATTTTTTTATATCTGAACTTTATCAGGTTGAGAAAGTTACCTGCCATTTCTACTTTGTTGACATATTGTCAGGAATGAATGTTGGATTTTTTTCAAATGCTTTATCTCATTAATAATAGTGTTGATTTGGTTTGTTCCTTTCAGTTTATAATATGGTGATTTTATCTGATACATTTTTGAATGTTAAAACAACCTTACATCCAGGATAATTACTACCTGGTCATGATGTATTAGTGGAATTATACAGATATCAAAACCAGACAAAAATGTTAACATAAAAGAACATTACATACCAATATTTTTCATGAATAAATATGCAAAAATAGATAGATATGCTACCCAAATTTTAGCAAGTCAAATCCAGTAATATATGATGACTATGTGTGGTTTAACCCAGGAAGGTAAGGTTCAAGAGCAATGGGAAGAGGAATAGAGAGGACTTGAGTAAGAACATGGAGTAAAATGAATTTGTGATGACTTTGATGTTGAATTACCCTCCAGTTCTGCATTAGTGCTATCATAAAACTCAAGTATTCCTTATTTTCTTATTTCAGTAAAATTTCTTTCTCCTGATTTTATATGTATCCTTAGCACAAAACCTCCATTAATTGAGAAATAAAGGTGGGTCTCTGCTCCTTGAAGCCAAAAACTCTTAACTAACAAAACATCCTTGATTATCTTTGTTTGTGATTAGGGTGTGCTTAGATTAAGATGTTTTAATATTCTCCATAATGTAATAGAGTTTATGGATCTTCTTTATGTTAACACTCAGCAGGCCCTCACCGAACAACTGACCTGACAGCTTCCTTGACTCTTCCCAGCCTCCAGAACTGTGATAGATAAATGTTTGTTGTTTAAGTCATCTAGCCTACGGCAAGTTGTTGTAACAGCCTGAACCAATTAACACATAAGGCTTATAAATGGTGATTTTGTGAGGAAAGATTTAGTTCCTCTAAAATTTTGTGAAAGCTTTTTACCATAAGTTGCACTTTAGGACATAAACCCTATTCCCTTTGTGTAAATACATAAAAAGAAGTCAATAAAGCCTCTAGGATTTACACCTCAAACTACTCCCTCTCTATCTTCATTCTGCCAGGTGGATGTCTCCAGGGAGGCCATACCTAATGAGGAGCTCCCAACAAATGGCAACTGATGTTACCTACAACCGAATACGTCAAGAAGGTTAGAAAAACCAATACAAAGTTAGTCTGTCAGAACCTGTGTCAGGCAGAGGGCTCCCGTGCCACATAGTTGCTTTAAGATGTTAATTGATTATAAAGCACAGTAGGCTCCCAAACAACAATTATACTCCAAAATGAAGTGGAAATCTTAATGAAGACATCGAGACACATCATAAGGACTTAAGTAGAATATTTAAAAAGAAAAATTTATCAGAATTCTCTAAAGCAGATTTTTTGATTACACAATGAGAATGAACTATATAATAAGGAGAGAAATATTATCTTTTGAAGAAAAACATCTTCAAAAAATAAAAAAAGTTTTAAACCTAGGTCAAACATCCTTCAAAACCACCCTATTCCATTTATTCTAATAACATACTCAGTAAGTATCACTGTAGTATTTGAGATACACTGAGAAGATTTCACTGGATAATAGATATAATTGTTCAAATTATTTTTCTATTTAGCACATATAAATCAAGCCCCTGTAGAGCTCCAGACACTGTTCTAAACATTGGGAATACAACAGTGAACAAAACATATATAGGTGGTTACAGATGTTATGAAGAAAAAAAAAGCAAATAACAGGGTTATAGGTTGATGGGGCAGGGGGAGTGCTATTTAAATAAGAGGATTGGAAATTAAGTTATAATAATAAGGTGACATTTAAACCGACATGTAGGCAGAGTGATGGAGTGAGCCATATAGAATAAGGCTGTTCCAGATATGGAGAGCAGCAAATGCCAAAAATCCAAAGCAGTTTTATGCTTGGCCATATTCAAAAACCAGCGAGGTGGACAATATGGGAGGAGCAGAGCAGGTTAAGTATCAGACTTCCACACTGGGGATGCTTCAGCCTCCTACCTCCCATTAAAGGTACTTCGTCTCTCATTAAATTCAACAACCTGCTTGCAAAATAAATTATTTAACTTCTGATTCCCCCAAGTACTTATCATCAACTGCTTTTCACATAGGCTTTAAAAGTTTCAACTTGTGTCTAATCTTAACACCACAGGAAAAAATCTTTTGTATTTGCTGTAGACTTTTTTTTATGTCTATGTGGATGTGTCCATCTGCGAAAGGCAATGGCAGGTAAAAGTGTCAGAACTGAACTCTTTTCTGTTCAGATTTAGTTCATTAAACTTCAAAGGGGCTTATATTTCAGTTTTCTATTGTCCACTTAAAAATATAAGAAGGATTTTTAAAAGAGCTAAATCTCCACATAAGAAAGATAAAGTAAAACTGTATTTGGAAAGTTTTCTTGGGAGCCAGTTTAGAATGGTTAGCAATACTTGTCAATGCAAGAGCAAATAAAACATGAACTCTGCGCACTTCTGCTAATTTACTGTAAAACCTCTTGGTAAGAAACGTCAAGAAATCCTTCTTATAAAATTGTCTTCTATAATACATTTATAACTTTTTTTCTGTTTATAAGATCTATTGTAATATTTTCCTGGATGTTTTTCAGGGAAAATAGGAAACAAAACAAACACATCACGCAAATTATTTATATTGGCTAAATTAGGGAGACGCTTGTTTATGCAGAACAATCAGCATCCACAAAGATTATGCAAAACACTGTTCAGTAACACCAAGTTTTTACAAAAATGATACACTGTTTCCCCTGTTCTTTCTCTGTAACTCCTCAGAAAATTCACTGGTTGCGTGTGACCTTAGCCTAAGGCAATTTTATACCTACAGTTTTTAAAGGTATGCTTGGAATTTCATTTGGAACAATTCCGTAATAATACGGACCTATCTTATACAGGAGAAATGATACTTTTTTCTTCTTGGTCATAGATTTTAGGAGTAAAGGAGAAAAGCAATAAGAGGTTAGCGGATGGAAGGTGTATTAGTCCATTCTCACACTGCTACAAAGAAATACCCGAGACTGGGTAATTTATAAAGAAAGGACGTTCAATTGACTCACAGTTCCGCATGGCTGGGGAGACCTCAAGAAACTTACAGTCATGGCGGAAGGTGAAGGGGAAGCAAGCCTGGGCCTTCTCACATGGCAGCAGAAGAGAGTATAACTGCAGGAGGAACCAACAGACACTTACAAAACCATCAGATCTCGTGAGAACTCACTCGCTATTATGAGAACAGCATGGGGGAAACTGACCTCATGATCCTATTACCTCCACCTGGTCTCTCCCTTGACATGTGGAGGTTATAAGGATTGTAATTCAAGATGAGATTTGAGTGGGGATAAAAAGCATAACCGTATCACAAGGCAAATCTTCATTCAAAGATAAAGCAAGAACAAAAAAGGGGTGGATAGAATTAATTATATTGCTGGGTTTTCTTCATGAAGAACATCTGTGCCTTTAGAGCTTTTCATTTAAGACACATGTAATAACAAACAGTTTAGTAATAGTACATTTTGGGGGTAATCTCAGATTAAAAACACCAGCATTTCCTGACCCAGGCAGCAAAGAAGTTATGGCTGCTGTTGAAAACAGGACAAATTTGCTACATAGCCTCTTGTCACTTTAAAAATTCACTTTGGTCAGCCAAGATTAATATGGGAGGCTCACAGTCCACACAAATTCTTCTGGGCCCCTGCTATTTGTCAAAACATCCATGTAATATTAATAGCATTAAGCAGCTCCTAAACATTCATATTAGTGATACCAGTAATACTTGGCCTTAGTGTCAGCTCAGCACTTCCCATTCTCATTGGAAAGGGCAAATATTTATATTAGCTCCACTTAGAAGATGCGTCTTAGGATACTGAAGCATGTAACTTAACCCACAAAATTAAAAATAAAGTCATTTCAATGTGACTTTTAAAGAAACACAATTCAGTTATAATATGGCTTTTTGAATATAAGAAAGAAAGTATAACTAGAATTGGGTTGTCTTATCATCCTGAGAGTTACAAGGATATATATTTCCTCCTGGAAAATAGTTATTTTGGACCCTGCCTGTTCAAGTATTTTCTCTGTCAATTATCGCAGATTTTTCAGGTCTTCAGGGAATTCATGGATCAAAAAACATAAGACAGTCTTTCCATATTGTAGAATATTTCTATCACTAACTATAACTCGGTGCCTATTTCTGCAGTATCCATCCATATTACAAAAGTTTCAATAAACACTGGAGTTGGAAACTTTGGTAGATTCTTGTGAGATTTCTGAGGTTTAGTTGCCGAAAGTCACAAAAGGTTGAACTTTTCTCAAAGATATTGATATTTAGCAGAATTGGAATGAAATTTCATCATGGTTTTGTGGCACTAATATAAATAGAAAAAAATCGTTTATTTTTTTTAACAGTGACTCAAACATTGATGATTTTTTTCATGTTGATATCAATAAATTTATCTGAAAGTAGGGGCTATAATACTGCTAGAGTTATCTAGCATGCTTTTGTTGTTGTGATTGTTTTCCCTTGTCCATAGTTTCTCTAAACATTTTATTTTTCTTATATCTTTACTAGGGTTATTTTACATATATACATCATCTCTTCATTCCACATGTGCCATTTTCATCCCATTTCTGAGTATTTTCCAGTGCACCACTCTCCTGTGTCTCATTTAGCTCTTATCAAATCTTTGTGTTATCACATAATAGAGTTACAGACGGTTTTAGGGCTAAATTATATTCGAAACCTGAGCTATGTTTTTCAATTAACTGTTTAAAATATTTTAAATGAATCCCTTATTTAGTGGTAAATCATTTAATTAGCAATAACCTAGAAGAGTGTATGGCACAGTAATAAACCTGGGGAAATTAGGTCATCCTGACTTGTTTTTGGAGAGCCATTTGACTGCCAGATCCCATGGGTTCCTTAAGAATACTATTTCCCAGAAGTAGAAACATTATTCTTTAGAGGCCCAAGTTGAAAGATATTCCTGGTAAATGGTATATAATTTTAACTTGCAGTGGTCCAGAAGAGAACCTGAATATGCATCTAAGGTGCTTCTCATTTGTACTGTCTTAAAGAACACAAATACACATTTGAGGCACAGGAAAAATGTCAGATTTCTACAAATAAAGTATTTGCACCTGTAAGTCATGCTCAATGCAGGCAAAAGACCTACAAGGAGACCAACATAAGAATATAAAATGTAAATGTTTTAAAAAAAGTGATTTCACTCTAAATTTTTTTCATTACCATAATATATTCCTATGCATATACACTCAGAAACATATCTAACAAGGTCTTATAATATAAATGAAAGAATCTAACATAACATGAAACTGCTACATATAAAACTATATCACAATTAAGCAAAAAGTAACACTTTTTAATCAGAGGCAAAGTGTTCATATATTTGAGATATAGTTTATAAGAAATAAATATCAATTAGACTGCTTCCAAAGAACAATCTCTAGAAAATACGGCATGTGAATATTTTATCCTCCATCTCAATTTTTTAGAGTGTGGATGACGGTTTACAGAGAATTGAAGTTGACAAGGCAAGGAACAGCTGAAAGTGCAGGCAGCCCTTAGCCAAATAAAGTTTCTAAGATGGGAAATATCCCCCACTGTTCTGTTTCTGGAACTGTTGCCGTCGCAGTGTGGGGCAAATAAGAACATGCAAATTTCTTGACAACCTTCTATATGCATGTCATCTAAAAATTGCATGTAGTGCTCACACCAACCACTCAGCTCACTCAGCTATTTTCACAGTGCCTGATTTACTAGCGAGAAAACAATAGCTTAAATAGATTAAATTATTTTCCCAACATCTCCCAGTGGGTAAGTGACAAAGTCAGGATGCATCCTCAGTTCTATGTAATTGTGAAGTCAGCAGTCTTTCTGTTAAATTCCATTGCCTTGCATTTCATAAAGACTGAGGGGGTTCTGTACTATGGAAAACTGATCTTGAAGACTGAGATGCCTATGAAATGAGAAAGACTAAATAGATAACATCCATGGAGAAATAGGAGGATGGGTAGGTGCCTGCCATGCAGGAAGTGAATATGTTATGTGTGTGAGCATGTACATGGTACCTAAGTGAGTACATACGTGGTACCTAAGGCACTGTGGTATACTTAATATAGGGCAGAGTAGAAAACTAGTGGAAGGAGAGGCCTCTCAGAATGGGGCATGACTGAAGAGTTAGAGGAATCTAAGGGAAAACAACAAGTCTGATAACCCAATTTATCCCAGAGTCAGGCTTGGGTTTAAGTCTTCTTGTCTCTATCATGTCTAATGTTTCCTCGGTGGTTGCTGGCATGCCTTGTCTTCTCCATTGATTACAGCAGTAACCTCTATGAGACCGAGGTCAGAGAGAGAATCTTTCTTTTTTTCTGAAGAGCCCCAGGTGTCACAGTGATCAGATAAAGCTGGCCAGATGACTGAAACTTCGAGAAGGCCCAATAACAAATGGAAAGAAATGGTTTGTGAATGGAGGCATGAGTGGCACAGCAAAAATTTCCTTTCATGGAAAGTTGTTAGACCATTGGGTGTTAATGTGCATGACCTCTCCATGCCCATCCCTCCATGGAAAAAGGCATAAAAGGCAGAAATCTTATGTTTCTGGGGTCCTCTGTCCTGGTAGATTCCCATGCTATGGGAGCTGCTGAATCTGACTTTGAAGCTCAGGGCACCGTCCTGTGAGGATAAATAGAGGGACTTAAGAGCCAGGCTTACTTGCCAGCATCCTTGACCATGTATTTATTCTATGCATTGTTTGTTTGCTGATTCTATAGTAAACAAAATCTATTCCAAATCATCATTCTCTCAATGGTCCAAACTAGACCAGCTTTAATGGTCTGGCCTAGTTCAAGCAGGATATAGTAATTGCTGATGTTTATTGTAAAGCACTTTGTAATTACCAAGGTTCTATCATAGATCTAATCTTATTTTTTATCATCCTCTCATGAGAAAGAAGGTATTTTTCTTCCCCAATCTTCAAGGTGTAGAAACTGAGTTCCAGATTTGTTAACTCCTTTCACATCTCACCACTAAGGAATTTGGGGCCAGAATCTATGTATCCTCCCTCCTACTGCCTTCTGCATATTATTTTATAAATAGCATAGGGTTAATGACTGATGGGAAGGTCGCGTGGATCATCACTGTTTTCAAATGAAAATTTCTCCCAATTTTGGGAACTTTTGGCTTCCCATTATGTTTCAGCACATTTCAAACCAAATATAAATAGGGATAAGATTTTACCTGTGGAGAAAAATCACAGAAACTTGAATAAATGTTCTTTTCAAGTTCAAAATTGCAAGTAACCAGAAAACAGTCTTGGGAAATATTCTAAATAGGGGATTGAGAGTGTAAAGAAAATATCCAAAATGCAAACTATATGTCATGTAATAGTCTAGAGGTAAACAAGAAAAGCTGCTTTGGTGTTTAGAAATGAGAAAATCAAAATTATATAACAACCAGCAGCAAAATATTCAATACTTTAACTCATAAAACAAATTTTTAGTCTCTGCTGACTTGGGAAGGAGGTAGGTCAAGGAACAAGGACAGGATCCTGGCACATAGCTTAATCAATGCAAACTGAATGGATGAAGAAATGAAAGGAGTTACTGCCATAAACACAGCTGAGAAGGAGAATGAGAGATGAGTCCCCCAAACACAGATCTTATCCTGTACCTTCCCACAATTTTTTCTTTAACAGTTTTTACAATGTTTGATTTTGTTTTTAATTTCTCCTTTTCCACAGCTCATGAATCCATAAGTTTCACCTTTCCCTGGATAGGATCAAGAAAGGTCCTATTGGAGTATAAGATTTGGATGTGTGATGGTTGTGGTAGAATGGGGTAAAGAGAAGGCACTTGTAGAGACACGCACAGTACTAAACCTAAACCTGCAGTACTTAAAGTTGTCACTACTTCTCTGTGTGCTCAGAGCTTTACTTCTATTAACTCATTTAATTCTCACGATTCTAGAAGGTTGATGTTCCTACTTCCAACTTATTTATCAAAAAATAGAGACAGAAGTAGCACATAGAAAAGGTGGCAGAGCAGAAATTGTAA
Source organism: Homo sapiens (assembly GCF_000001405.40). NCBI lineage: Eukaryota > Metazoa > Chordata > Mammalia > Primates > Hominidae > Homo > Homo sapiens. The sequence goes on from NC_000012.12 coordinate 91,346,573, forward strand.
CCTGTATCTGTCTGAAATCAATGCTGTCTGCTGTTTTCACTAAACTATTCTCAGACCATAGGAATAATCCAACTTTTTCAGTTTGCTCATTAATAATGAGTAGTGATATGACTAATAACTGAATATAGCAAAATAGTTATGGACCTAGTTATAATAAATCCTGTTTTGGTCCTCTCTACATTATACCAAAGCTAGCCTTTGCTTTATTAGTTAGAGATAAATTTTGAAAGCATATCGTATACACAGATAGCATTCCCAATAAAAGCACTGGTTGCATAAGTAAAACCCAAATGCATTGCCTCCGCAGAGCCTATGCCTCCAGTATCACATAATCAGGGGTAACTGCTGTTTTTCCCATAAAAGTCCTGGTAGCATCCAATATTGGAAAACCTGGTTAGAGGCTGGAGGCTCCTGGTGTCCTTTGCCTAGATACCTGGCTACTCTAAAGGCCTGAGTCATCAGTTTCAGAAGGTTGCAATCCATGTGCATATCTCAAAATTTCCTTTTATATTAGATGGCATAAAATACAGATATGAATTTATAATTCTTGAATTAATCAAAATCACAAACTAAACTGAATCAAATGTAATGTTTCTTTTTCTTCCCTGCTTCTAAGACTAAAGTCTTAGAATTAAAGACATCCAGAACTGTGTTTAAAATATTCTATCCATCACCTAAATCCATTCAGAATGCAAAATTATTCAACAGCTCTTTAAAAGATTTCTTCAAACTTTACATAATTCTATCCTTTTCTGATTCTCACATATTTCCTAGCATAAATTTGATTGCAAGAGGACGAATATTTTGACTTATTTAGAGAAAGAAAATAGTTTTCTGATTAGTTATTTAAATAATTTTGACAAAGATGCTCTCCAAAACTCTTAACACAAACAAAAAGTGATTTTGAAATACTGCTTTGGATTCTTCCAACTTAAAATGAAGAGGAGAAATAGAAACTGGCATGTGCTTAGAAACATTAGTTGTAGACTTGGGTTGCTGAATATTCCCTGAAAAGTAATATAACATTTTTTTCCTTTGAAATAACAAAATAATGGCATTAACAGCCCATAGCCACAGTGAAAAACTGGAATAACAAGAGAGTGGGAAAAAAATTCCAAGGTGAATGCCAAAATGCCAAGGTAAAATGCAAAGAATGATAATAGCTCTTCATTTTTCTAAGATGAGTTTTCCAGTTCTGCTGGGAATAAGTATGGGAGTTAGTTACAACTGGTAGCACATCACATGGTTGCCACTTCTAAAGTTTGCTAAGAACAATTACAAAATCCTAAATGGTAGTTATTCTTGAATATTTGCTCTCAAATCTCATTCTTTACCAGCTCAAACTGAAGTTACTGCTGCTGGTTGCGAAAATGAGAGGGTTTTCTGGTCTTAGTTAACTCCTTTGAAATCGCAGACTCTTGGAATTCAAATAGATGACACGCATGGGAAATCAAACATAGAACTGTCCTTGTAAGTAGGAAGAGTTAGAAGCCCTTTGCCAGCTTTATGGAGCCTATAGAATTGTGGTGTCATGTATGCCTTCTCATATGCTGGGAAATTTAACCTTTATAGTCATTTGTGTCATAAAAGCATCCCTATTAAATGTAAATATCCCTGGACCCATCATAAGCCTAATAGATTCCATCTCCTGTCATATTAGGAACTGGAAAACTCTATTAGGAAGAAACACTGTATAGAAGATGGGTTGAGAAAGATTGTAAGAGCAAGTGGAGGTTTACTGTGTGAAACATCACTGTGATTAAACAGCCATGTGTGTTGGCTGATGGCAGGGGCATGAGGGAGAGGGCTTGGTGGAGGGTTCAGGGAACAAAGTCATATACAGTGCTCTTCTTCCAGCTCTATTTTACATCATTATTAGTTGATAAATAATAGGAACGTCAAGAATGAGAGGTAAGTTGTTAAGTCTCATTTTATCTATTAATTATTAAAGAAAAAATATTTATAACACTTGTTGAATAGTAGGGCAGACTTTACTCAAGACCATTGCATTAACCATAGGGACCACTGAGATGGGTTTGCGATAGAGGAGAAAGGTTGGGCTCAACTCCATATACAATAAGGAAAACTGGGAATTTATAGCCTGTGAGCCAGGTTGCAGTAGGAAGGTCAGTGAATGGAAACACACCAAGAGGAGGCATCAGGGGTAAGAGGCGATTCTGGTTAAACCAATGTAGCAGAATGCCTGCTGATGGCAGGCCAAGGTGATCAGACACTACATGGGGAATGGTTGGGAATGAGGAAACTGCTCAGATATACAGTGTGATCAGATACTGAGGGTGGAAGGTTCTGGTTAAACTGACTTATCAAGATTGTTTCTAATATTGGACAATGCAGAAACACAGAAGCCCAAAAGTCAGGACCTAGTTGAGAAGAGAGTTCAGAGGCGCCTGATTATGGCACGGGCAAGGAAGAAATATTTGTCCACATTCCTGCACCCAGTGTATCTTTATATTTACTATGTTAATGAAAGTAGAAAATATTCATCTAATAGGCCATAATATAATATTTCTACACCATATAGGAATACATTTTACTTTAATAGAAGTGGAACTGAACAGTCACTGGAAGGATATCCATTATAGATTTTTCCATGGTGGGGTTGAATGGAACTTACTTTTGTATTATAATTTAATGAACAGTCAACCAGAAGACTTAAATTCTAGTTAAACCATGCGAATGTGGACAAGTCACTTCTCTTTTACTTCAATTGTTCTCCTAGAGTTGGCTATGTGCTTTCTACGCAAAAGTCTGCCTCAAGCTTTCACAGGCAACACTTTTACCAAATGGTTTGTCACAGAACAACAAAAGTCACTGGATCTCCAGGCTGCAATATCTATTTGTTTGTTATTCACTGCCTGACTGCAATTCAATTGCCTCATATTTATTATAAAATAATAAATATCCATGCATTAATCTCTGTGTTAGCTAGTTGCTCTATCAAAATTAATTTTAAAATGCAGTAGATTTTACAAGACAATAGTATATTAGTCACTCTCACAAGCAGAGATGAGCTGTCAGGGGTTGGAGGCAGCTACTATCAACAGTTGTCTTCGGTCCTTGCATCTGAAGAGAGAGGGTGATGTGGAAGTTGGCACAATAACTTACATGCACATTCCACTGAAGGGGAGAATTTCAGTCACAAGGCTGCACTTAAAATTAAGAGCTTTTATTACTAGCAGGAATAAAGAAAGAAATACTGAGAGATAATTGGCAGGCTCTTCTACAGTGGACTTCGAGTCCAACAAGCAAAGCTCCATATTTATAATCTTTGAGAATTTTTGTTTCCCAGACACCAGTCTCTGTGCTCTGCCCAACCTCTGTCCCTCAGTTTAATATTCTTTATTTTGAAGTAATTGTTTTTAAAACTAGCCTTGGAGATATACGCACAAGTCGTTTAACAAATCTCTCCTACCAGTTGTATATAATAAATGTTCCCCTTTGTTGGGTGCAGGCTGTTTAATTGGATTTATTAGTCCTATATTTTTAGTTTGTAACACAAAATTTGTTTGGCTTTGTTTTCAGTCCTTGAATGTTTCATGTTATGAGGCTCTTAGTTGACTTTAGACTATAAGTCATGGGCAAAAGGACCTTTCTTTGTTTCCTTCCTTTTTTGCATCCAGGAATGCTTCCTTCATCTTAGGTTGATATCTTTCTTCTAGTTAGGGTTGCCAGAAAAAAATACAATATGCCTAGTTAAATTTGAAATTCAGAAAACTTTTTTTTGTAATATAAAGTATATTGCATGTAATAATTTGGACATATTCATACTTCAAAAAGTTGTTATTATTTATAAAAGTAGTCAATATTTAAAGTTAAGTAGGTGTGCGATGTTTTTATTTGTTAGCAATTCCACTCTTAGAACAAAACTGAAAGCTGCAAGAAATAGCTATTTTCCCCCTAAAATAATACATGGTCTATAACCCAACTCACAATAAGCATCATAGTGACCAAAGGCTTTGCAAGAGCAAAGCAAGGCACCAGCCTTGAAACTTGAATAGTCTAGTCCTCACCTCACTCCTTCAGATGATCCCATCTGCCAATTTCATATCTTAGAATATGTTATGTATAGAATCTCACTTTGGTTACAAAATTTTTACCAGAGAGGATGTTCTGACTGCAAGTGCCAGAAATTCACCTGAAAATAAGTATCGTAAGTAAAAAGGGGAATGGATACTTGATTTGCCAAATGTCCTGTGACAAGGAGGCTCGAGGATTAATGCAGTGGTTGAAGAATAGAATTAGGAACCAGGCTCTGTTCTTTCATACTGCTCTGCCACTATTTTTTTCCTCATTGTCACAAGATGGTTGCTACATTTCAGGGGTCACATGCAGACAAGATCCTATTCAGTGGACCAAAAATGATTATTTCTGAGCTGCTTTATAAAAGAAAGGAAATCTTTTAAAAATGACCTCAACTGATTTCCTCTCACATGTCATTGTCCAGCACTGGGCTATATTTATATCCCTAAATCAACTACTATCCAGGGCAAGAGAGTATGCAATTGGATTATTTATCAACATTTACCTCTGAGAAATATTCAAGAAAGATGGATACCCAATACACATTACCAGTAAGGAAGTAGAATTGGAAAGCAATAACAAAAAAAGGAATTTATAAAGGACTATCAATCATAATTTTAAAAAGTAGGCTTCTAATAGAATAATTTTTTAAGATGCGTCATTTTTCTTGTGAAGTGTCCACAAAAACTGACCATTAAATAAGCTACACAGAAAATCTCAAAAAATTGCAGAAGCAAATAACATATAAGAAGTTAACAAGTGAAAGCCTCTAAAATTTGTATGTGTATAGTTTTAAAAACATATTTATCAGTAAGTCTTAGAGTAAAGAAGGAAATCAAAATAGGAAATTACAAACATTTATAAATACTATAACAAGCATATAATATTTAAATGCTCAAAGAGTAAAGCAATAGTAATCAAGACAGGATGGTATCGGTGAAAGAATAGACAAATATATCAATGGATAAGAAGTGGGAGCCCAGAAATAGACTCATATAAATATAGATAACTGGTCTTTGACAGATAATATAGCTTAGATATTTGTCTCTTCCCAAACCTCATGTTGAAATGCAATCCCCAATGCTGGAGTTGGGGCCTGGTGAGAGGTCAATGGATCTTGGCGGGAGATTTCTCCTGAATGATTTAACACCAACCTCTTGGTGCTGTCCTCAAAATAATGAGTGAGTTCTTGTGAAATCTGGCTGTTTAAAAGTGAGTGGCACCTCCCTCTCTCTCACTTGCTCCTGCTTTTAGCATGTTACGTGCCTGCTACCCCTTCGCCTTCTGCCATGATTGTAAGCTTCCTGAGGCCCTCCTTAGAAGCTAAGCAGATGCCAGCAGCATGCTTCCTATAAAACCTGCAGAATCATGAGCCAGTTAAACCTCTTTTCTTTATAAATTACCCAGTCGCAGGTATTCCTTTGTAGTAATGCAAAAACAGCCCAATACAACAAAGGAGCAAAAGCAATATCATGGAGCAAGGATTGTTCTTTCAGCAAACGGTGATGGAACAAACGTCATGTACTGCAAAAGTTAATGTCAAAAGAATGAGAAAATAAGCCACAGAATAGGGCAAATATTTGCAAAAGACACTTCTGAGAAAGGACCGTTACCCAAAATACATGACGAACTCTTAAAAATCAACAATAAGAAACTAACAACTAATTTAAACATGGCTAAAGACCTTAACAGATACCTCATCAAAGAAGATGTATAAATACCAAATAAATACCAAATACCAAATAAAAGATGTCCAACACCTTATTTGTCTTAGTCTCTTTAACCTATTATAACAAAATGCCATAAATTTGGTAGCTTATAAGCAATATAAATTTATCACAGTTCTGTTTTTTTTTTGTTCAGATAAAATATTATAGGTTTATTTATTTAAAACTTAATTCTCACATTGGGTATGCAAAATACAAACTCCATAAAATGTTCATTTTACTTTGTACTTTACAAATATACAAAATACGCTGGGTGTGGTGGCTCACCCCTGTAATCCCAGCACTTTGGGAGGCTGGGGTAGGTGGATAGCTTGAGGTCAGGAGTTCAAGACCAGCCTGGCCAACATGGTGAAGCCCTGTCTCTAGTAAAATACAAAAATTAGCTGGACATGGTGGTGGGTGCCTGTAATCCCAGCTATTTGGGAGGCTGAGGCAGGAGAATCACTTCAACCTGGGAGTCAGAGGTTGCAGTGAGCCGAGATCATGCCACTACACTCCAGTCTGGGCAACAGAGCAAGACTCCATCTCAAAAACAAAACAAAACAAAAAACAAAAAACAAAACAAAAATATACAAAATAGAAATTTATTTAAATTTATATCATATATTTATTAAAGCAAGGAAGTATACACACACAAAAAATCTGTTCTTGGGAATAAACCATTGTACAAATTATTGCACATCTAAAACCACAGTGCATAGAGATTGTATAAAAATGTCAAAGATGTATGCCAGATGTATTTACCTGACTTAGGTCACAATGTAGATCAGAAGACAAAGATTGGGGTGCCAAGTTCTGATGATCAGGTTCTGATGAGGGCCCTTTTTCAGGTTGAAGCCTGGGGACTTCTCACTGTGTTCTCAGATGGTGGAAGGAACAAGAGAGCTCCTTGAGCCTATAAGGACACAAATTCCATTGATGTGCATTACCCTTGTCATCTCCCACAAAAGCAGGGATTTGGGGTCTGTTCTATTTAGTGATTTTTACTTGAGCATTGTGTGGAATATAGTAGATGCTTTCTAACTCTGTTGTATGTCAAAAATGAATCATTATCATTTTATGGATGACAACATTAAGGCATAGAGAGGTTAAGCACATTTCCCAAGACTGCTCATGAAATAAGTGGCAGGAGTGGGATTAGAAGCTAGTCAGTCTGTCTCCAGAGTTAAGGATTTCAACTTCTATGCCACATTGTCTCCACAGGGCTAGAGTTACCGTACTGGTAATATAGCCAGATTTATGTAGTGAGAACCAAACTGTGGGAAAAAAATCAATAAATATGATACTTCAAGCAATTATATAAATAACAGCTAAAACAAAAGAGAACTGAAATGAGAATGTGGCACCCTAGAACAGCTGACATGGGACAAAAATACCTTGGAACCCACACTCCGAGTCAAGAAAAAAATCAGCATTTATTTCAGAGCCTTGGTATATTATAAAATTATTTTATGTTTCAGTTAATCATACAGCAAATATATTCTAATGATGGCCAAAATTAATTATGCTCCTTGGTAGAAGTGATATAAACTTTTAAAAATAACTATTCTTTTCTGTTTGTTTTTACTTATTTTAAGTTTAGGGGTACATGTACAGGTTTGTTACATAGATAAACTTGTGTCATGAGGGTTTGTTGTACAGATTATTTCATTACCCAGGTATTACGCCTATTACCCATTTGTTATTTTTCATGATTCTCTCTCTTCTCCCACACTCCACTCTCTGAAAGGTCCCAGTGTGTGCTATTTCTAGCTGTGCACCCATGTGTTCTCATAACTTAGCTACCACTTATAAATGAGAACATGCAATATTTGGTTTTCTGTTCTTGTGTTAGTTTGCTAAAGATAATGGTCTCCGGCTCCATTAACATCCCTGCAAAAGACATGATCTCATTCTTCTTTATGGCTGCATAGTATTCTATGGTATATATGTGCCACATTTTCTTTATCCAGTCTATCATTGATGGGCATTTAGGTTGATTCCATGTCTCAACTACGTTTTAACAGAGACACAAACCAAGCCTTGATGAGGGATTCTTGTTATATCATTCTGAGAACGTGTCTCTTTGCCTTCTTTCTAGCCTCTGTATGGGTTGGAGGAGTCTTGCCTGTGAAATGTTTCCAAGAGTACAAGCCCAGTAGCAGCACTGGTTGCAAAAGAGGTAATAAAATGTTCAGGATTAGGGATCCCCAAGTGGGCCAGCTGAAGACCATACTGCCATGAGAGAATTGGTAGACAATGGATATTGTAAAACAAATCAGAAATCCTACTTTTTTCTTTTTCTGAACAAGTGGAAGTGAATTTCAGGGACCAAGGCAAGGAAGAAGCATTGTGCTCTGAAAGTGTCCTTGACTGCACTTCTGGTTATTGTCAGGAATATTATGTGTTATGTTTGCTGGCGTATGCCTTTCCTCTATCCTCAGTGTTCTTGCTTTTCCATTATTGTAAAACCAGGACTCAGTAATCTTAGTAATGGCAGTAATCTTAGTAAATGGTAGTAATCGTAGCAAATTGCCTTAACCTCTTTGAGCCTACTTTTCATTATCTGTAAAATAGGGCTACTAGCCCTTAATATGTAATGTTTTCATAAATATTTAATGAGTTGAAATTTAGAGTGCTATGCATATGCCGTGGCAATTAGCAATCAATAAATAACAAATAATAGTAGCCACTATTAATGCTATTTATCTGAGACCTAACACATGAGCTTGTCACACAATATGTGTTCATTAAACATATGTTACACATATGAGTCTGATTGTGAACTTTTACAGAAGACTGACTACCTCTTCCCTAGACCCCATCATATTGAGGTACTCCTAGTTGGTGCTTAGTGCATTTGTTCATGCTAAATATTTACAGGGATTCAACAGAGAACAAATCTGGTGTTGAAAGTATCGAAATTTAGAGTCTGATGAAGACGCAGTCTCCAATTTTTCTACCTGGTAAAGTTGCCCTGGTGTGGATATTATACTTTGTCTTCCGTCATGTAAATGAGCTTTCTTAGTCTGTTCACTAGCACTGGCCTCAAGTTGATGTCCCTCTTGCTTGATCTTAGGGATGGCTGGCATCTTGAAACATTTTCTCCATGCCAGTAGTCATATTTGAAAAAGGAGGTGGTGAGTTCTCAAATATGACAGAATGTCTATGTTTTAAAATTTGCTGAATATGGGAAATTGCCTTGGGCACGGCTTTCATTAGATGCTGGGGTTACAGACCTGGGTGCTGAGTTAAGCTGCATCGCCATCTCGTGGTCAGTTGATGTGGTGGCCAGAGACAGAGCGTTTAATGAGTATGTGAGTGAGCAGATTTCATATGCTAGAGTTGAAGGGAACTTGGGGGTCACCTTGTAGACCTCTCTTACTTGTACACAAGAAAAATGAATAGAAGAAAAGAAATGACCCAATCTTTTTGTTACAGAGGTTAATCACAGAATTGCCATCCCATTTAGTTGCTATTTCTCTCAACAGTGTGCAATATAGGATGTGTGTCTTTAGCTGAATACTTGAGTTTTCATGTAGTTGCATGACTTACTATGAACATGAACGCTCTTACTTTTAAAATGGGGCTGATATTATTGTTGTAAGTATCAGTTGAATGATGGAGTATGCAAAAGGACTTTATAAATAATTAATTATTGAAAGAAATCTAAATATTATGTTTTAAAATTTTTTTGGTGTGGAAACAGATGCCGTCTCATTCAAAGTTGCATCTGCAGTTGAAAGCCACTCACTTATTTATTCATAAGTTAACTTCCATGAGTATGTATTGGGCAGTTGCTATGTCATCACCACAGGAAGAAAGGACACAAAGAGTAAGAAAACACAGACTTAACTCTTAAATAAATTACAGTCTAATGATGAAGAAAACATTAATACAATGTGCAATGTGTTGTGATAACAGATATTAGAGTAGATCCCAGAGACTGGTGCCAACTTCAGTGCTTGCACATAAAAAGAGAGTGTTCAATTCTGTGAGTTGGGGTGGAGCAGGGTTGCAAAGACAGAATAAGCTTTATATAGGCAAAAATAAACTTGAGTTAAGTCTCAGGTAAATACCAGTAGTATGCCAGGGAAATAGGTGAGGGCAGTTGGGAAAAGGAAATTATGTATATGAAATGCTAAAACCCTGAAAAACAAAACTTTAAAAAGAACAATATTATCTTATAGTTATGAAAATATTTTAGTTCTGGACATATGTCTTAAGGAACTCATGGATCTCATTCCAAACAAATGACAAAATAATTTGGCTTGGGGCCAGTATTTCATAACATATAATAAAATTTGATATTTTTTGAAATTATGAAAACTAAGATAATTTTAAATTGTGGAATACGTTATACCATAAAGAGTCAATAGAAAATGATGAGAATCAAATGCTTTATGAAAGCTCATCTAGACTAATGGTTTTATCAATTTCTATATTACACACTCATCTTTTAGTTCCATGTATTAACAGCTGTTGGAGTTTTTTTCTATTTCCCTTTCATCATACCAGGTATTTGAAAGAAAACCTTAATGGCCTAAAAGTCATACTTTCTCATTTCAAATTCCTTCTAGTTTTCTTCACTATCCTCTGGCATTCAGAGAATTGCTTTGTAGACATATTGATTGACGGCCATCTATCCACACATCAGGCATTCTAAATGGCTCCCTTCTGGACTATCTCAGAAGAAGAAATATTCATTAGCCCTTCAAAACACAACACTGAGGACAACTCTGTCAAAGAAGATATTTCTACGCACAGCGAAAGTCAAAAATTACATTATTCCTGGGTATGTTTTCCTCTACCTCTGCACATCAAGGAGAACAGAAAAACTTAAGTTTTTAGACAGATAACAAGGTCACAAAATAATTTGAAAAGAAAGCAAGCATAGAGAATTTCCAAAATGCATACAAGGCTGACTGTGTTTTAAGAACTTGGTTTTTGCCTCTCTCATTTTTTACTTGCCCACACAAATACCGCACTTTTCAAAGAGGTACTGTGTCCTGACTTTATGCCTGCTTAGGTTACCCATGCCTTTAAGTGCCTTCCCTACCGCTGACTCTCATCCTTACCTTTTCAGTGACAACCATCATTCAAGATTAAGCCCAGAAATTGCAGCCTCTGGGAAAGAGCTGACTTTCTAGGCTGGAATATATGCATGTTCTATATGCTCCCTTGGCACCTTGTGCTATTTTACTGTGGCAGATTGATTGATTGCAGGCATTATTCCTGTTTTTCCTGCCTCTCTGTTTCATGTGTTTTGCAGTGGAACTTTGAACCTCATCCCATCAAGAGGCTATTTCCTCATTCCTTTGAATCTGAGTTTGCCTTGTGATTTGCTCTGGCCAATAGAATGCAGAAGAATATTTGTTTGCCAGTTTCAAGCTAGCACTCAAAAAGATTGCATCGCTTATAATCGAGGACTTATAAGATCCTAATAATTGCTAGGGGAGGGATAGCATTAGGAGAAATACCTAATGTAGATGACAAGTTGATGGGTGCAGCAAACCACCACGGCACGTGCATACCTATGTAACAAACCTGCACCTTCTGCATATGTACCCCAGAACTTAAAGTATAATAAAAAATTTAAAATAATAATTGGATACTAATTAATTGCCCAGTTTCTCCATGCAGTAGTCTTCAGGCATCTGCCATTATGGTGGCTCATAAGAAAGATAACAAAATACAGATGTATTAAGGCTTTTCTACACTAAAGGATTTCACTAACATAGACCAGAAAACTGCACCCTGAGGTCAAGCGGCCTTGCACAGTATCTTTGAGACTACTATCAAGGCTTATCTTGAGAAGTGGGTACTATCAAATATGTATGCCAGCTGAGGGCAAAAGTGAAAGCAAACAACTGATAACATACATACATATCTAGTGAGTTCTTTCAATCTCAAAAGGATGCTCAATTATTTCTTTGACTACTGTCAGTTTTCATTAATTAACAGAAAAGATTACTGAGAAATATATATTACTTTGTAGGGTTAGTTGGTTTAGTGGTGTAATTATTCTTGGCAGAACTCTGAAAGGACACAAGTAATAACACCTTCAGATGCCAGTTGTCTTGGCATTGAAGACTTGAAATTATCCCTTGGTGATTTCCAATCCTGCCAAACCTCTGTGAAAAAACACGCTAGGCATATAGTGTCCCAATAAGGAAAAATCACTGCGTCAGAAAAAGTGCCTATGATCACCAATGTGCTTGAACCTATTAATTATAGGGAACTAAACATTTTCTCTGGGTTTTGTGACTCCTATTGGAGGTTTCATTGACTTCTCAGTTATCATAGTAAAAACCCTGGGACATGTGGTTTAAAGAAGGAAAATGTTAAGTGCAATTGGAGTGCGTTCCTGCTTCTCCACCACCTCCCTGAAGCCCCGTCATATCCCTTGTTAGTTCTACCATGTCTTTCAGATGCCAATTTTTAGTCCACAGGAGGAACATGAGCATGCCAGAAGCTGTCACCATGTGGAATTGTTCTGAAAGTCACACATACTGTCCTCTTCACAGGTTAACATTCCTGGCCCAAGAATTTACCATTGCAGAAAAGTAATATGGATACTTTTTGAATTATGACATAATAGTTCATATATGTGCATACACCAATGCTTAATCAGATAACCAAATGGCAATGAAAGGCAGCCATAGCTGGCCCAGCCTATGGGCCTTCCTGAAAATACCGTATTCAAAATAGTGAAATTATTCTCAGGGAGGAGGTGAGAAAAATCAGGGATTCCAAAGGGATGGTACATATTTCTGAGAATGAAAAGTGGCTCTATACCGTTCTGTAAGCCAAAGCCTGAGGTGCCTCCAACTTGTACCCACAGAGATAGTCCCTCACCAGGTATGACTTTCACTGAATTAGATCACTTCCCATCCTTTCAGTATATAAGTCATGAGTTGTGTAATTTGAAACAAAGACTGGAAAAGAAAATTGTCTATCAAGGAAGAAATGCAATTCTTCCTTACGCAAAATAAATCCAGAGATAAAGCCCAGGGCTCCTAAATTATCCCCATAGAGTCTTCCTCTATCTTCTCTTTTATCATCTTTTGTGTGTGGCTTCTATCCTCATGGTCACCTTCCAGTTCAAAACGGGGAACTCAGACCCTGGCATCACATCTATATTCCAACATAGGAAGAAGAAGGAATAGAGAGGGAAATCAGACTTTCCTAGCTGCACACGAATTTTTTTTCCACGATGCTTCACTGAAAATTGTTACCAAAAACTTAATACTACTGGCCAAAAGTTAGTCATATGTACCTGGCTGAAAGGGATGCTAGGAAAGACAGTCTGTTAGCTGTGAACATTGTTGACTCAAATTACTTTAAGTTCTATTACTAAAAAAAAAGTAGAGAATGGATACTCAGAGGACAACTAGTCAAATCTGCTCTACTAAGTTAAGGATATGAGAGAAGGAAGAGTAACAATGAACTGACCCTGAACTGATAAAAATGATGACAGGCAAGAACTTCCAGGCAAAGGGCAGAAGAGTCAGGTTAGGTTCCAAGAGTGTAAAGTCTTGGCTGCAGATTGGAGCCATCCAGAAGTTATTAGTGCAATGGAATATTAAGAAGTTTAGGATTTAGAACAAGATAAGTGGGAAAGAAACTGTGCTGTTCTGTGCACACCACCTCCTGGTTTTGCTAACTTGTTCAGGAAGAGTGCTTTACAATAAATCTGGGTCAGGGTTTTTGGCCCAAATTGGCAGAAGCTATCAATTGATTCTAAATGCTAGACCCATGTCTCCACATCCAATAGATATTATTATCAGAGTCTACCTGATCTGGAATCTGTTTGTTGCAACAAACCCTTGGGGTTAGTTGTGCACAAATCTCTAATCTTCGGAACCAGAGAGATGAGGATTGTTAATGATGGAATAAATCAACTGTTATAAACAAATTCTGGCTAAACATGTGAACACTTCCTCCTTTGCATTTTGTACTCCTAATGGTCCCTCTTTGGCTGGGGGTGGGAATTCCTTAGGTTCAGCACTGCTCCTGGGTGGACTGTCACCAACCCCCTGCTTTTCTTTGTTCTCCGTGGGTCGAGTTATTTGCCTAGTCAGGCCCAATGTGAGAACCTGTATATTTCAGTTGCAGGTGCTGAATTCATGCACTACTTTCATTCACTCTCTGTGAGCGCTGTGGAACAAGGTGTCAAGGAGGAAGTGTTCACATGTTTAACCAGAATTTGTTTATAACATTTGATTTATTCCATCATATTCTTATATTGACACCAGAAATACTGCCTCTGGATTTCCACTTATTTTTACCATTCAGGAAGACTGGTTTGTTCCTGATCTCTACTTCAAGGGGGATGTAAGAGTAGAAAGGTGTGGGTAAATTTTTCAGTGTCCAGTTTGCTTTAAGATTGTGTTACAGAAATTGAACTGGGTGTATATTAACTTTCCTTTCCCCCATCACTGTAGGAAGAGTTTCCTTTACAGTATCTAGATGCAGATGAAGAGTTCTGGAGCCATGACATTTGGTGAAACTATTCACATTGCACAATGGTCAAGGCTGCATAGTAATTTTCTCCATTATCTACCTACTTCTCCAGTCACATTTAACTCCACACTACTGCTTTTCCCTCTTCCTCTTTCACTGTGCATTTTTCCCTGCTACCACAGGCCATTTGCGTGTGCTGCCCAGCCATCTGCAACACTCCTCTCACCTACTTGCTTGCCTCTGGCACTCCCTCCTCTAAACACACACATTTAGTTTGTATTCATCCTTCAGACCTCAGGTGAAGCAGCACATCTTAGAAGAAACGCTTTTTGAATCTTAAAGAGCACTCAAATCATTATAATATGCAAACTTGAACTGTCATTTCTACAAAAGTATATCTTAGCTTGAAATTTGCATACATTAATATTAATATGATTAATGTCCCTCTACCCTGTTTGGCTCTAATCACACTGACAGCAAGGAGTGGGTCTTTTATGCCAACTATTATATTACCAGCACTCAACATATGCATGGTAAATAGTAGGTGTTCAATAAATATTTTGTGACTGAATGCATGAATCTATATTTGTCCCTGGCATATAATAAGCCTTTGTCACTCTCTCTTTCACATACACACACACACACATCTTAAATAAATATATCAACTAAACAAGTTAATATATGTTAAGTGAATTTATGAAAAAATTGTTTACAATGCTGTGTGGTAGAGTGGAATGAACATGAACTTTACAGTCAGGCATTTAGGACCTAACAGCAGTTCTTCAATTAATGGCTGTCTGAGTTTGGCAAGTTATCTTACCTCTCTGAGCCTCAGTTTCCTCATCTGAGAAGAGGATAAGAGCTTTGAACTTAGTTGTCAAAGTCAAATGAGATAACGTTAAAAAACTGCCTAGCTGAGTGGTGAGTATTCCGTAAGTGCTTAATAAATGGAAGCTACTGCCATGATTGAATTTGTATTATCATTATGTTAAAGCAGGGAATAGAGGTCAGTTTAGTTGAATTACACACACAAAAAAAACAGTGCTGGCTACATAAATTGGTTCAGTAACTAGCTGTAGAATAAATGAATAAATTCATTTTGAGAATCACTTGAAATCTGTACTGTGAACAAAGTATTTTTCAAGAGTATTTTACAACAACTCAGAATCCCACCACTAGGTGTCGATAAATATACACTATAAAAACAAGACCTGGCTTCCTAGATTCTGAATCTGCCGTTAAATTTTCTTGTTAAAATATTAGAGCGCCTCAATTATTTATAAGTAAAATCATGTGTATCATCAATCAAAAGTTTCCAACTATCTAGGAGTGTCTATCAAGTAAATCAAATTTTCACACTCTTTCTTGTTTTCGTTTTCTTTCCTTTTTCTTTTCTTTTTTTTTTTTTTTTTGAAAAATACTAGGAAACACACTCGCTTCAGCCTGCACCAACCAAAATGACTGCTCAAAGGCCATTCAGCCCCTTTATCACTGTGGCTCAACTTTGATTTTCTTCCCAGTTCATCCATGATTCAGACTTCTTCTGTTTCAGGAGCTTTGCCCATGCGTTCTGCCACCTTCTGCCAGGAATTACACCTGTCCCATCCCGTCGTCTCCTGAATGTCCAGGTAAAGATTTATTTTTCCTTTGGGTCTCAAAAATGTTTTATTCTAGTCACCCTTCACTAGATATGGATTCCCTGTTACAAACTATATTAGTTTCCTGAACTTACTGTAACAAAATACCATAGACTGAATGGTTTAAACAACTAAAGTTATTTTCTCACAGTTCTAAATGATGGAAGTCCTAATGTTACCTGAAAGGGTCCCAATCCAGACCCTTAAAGAGGGTTCTTGGATCCCACTCAAGAAAGAATTCAGGGAGAGTCTGTAAAGTGAAAGCAACTTTATTAAGAAAGTAAAGGAATAAAAGAATGGCTATTCCTTAGGCAGAGCAGCCCCGAGGGCTGCTGGTTGCCCATTTTTATGGTTATTTCTTGATTATATGCTAAACAAGGGATGGATTATTTATGCCTCCTCTTTTTAGACCATATAGGGTAACTTCCTGATGTTGACATGGCATTTGTAAACTGTCCTAGTGCTGGGACATAGCATTGAGTGCTGTCATAGCATTGAGGACGACCAGAGGTCGGTCTTGTCACCATCTGTGTTTCAGCAGGTTTTAGCCAGCTTCTTTACTGCAAACTGTTTTATCAGCAAGGTCTTTATGACCTGTATCTTGTGCCGACCTCCTATCTCATCCTGTGACTTAGAATGTCTAACCATCTGGGGATGCAGTCCAGTAGGTCTCAGCCTTATTTTGCCCAGCACCTATTCAAGATGGAATTGCTGTGGTCCAAACGCCTCTGACACTAGATCAAGGTGTCAGCAGGGTTGGTTTCTTGAGGCGAAGAAAGGAGCCCTCTTACCCTGGCTTCTATGACTGTCTTCTCCTCATATCTTCACATTGTCTTTTCTCTGTACATGACTGTGTCCTAAAATCTTTTAAAAAGAACATCAATCATATTGGACCAGGGACCACCCTAACGGCCTCATTTTAATTTAGTTTTCTCTTTAAATATCCTATCTCCAAATGTAATCATATTCTGAGATGCTGGAGGTTAGTACTTTAACATCAGAACTTCAGAGGAACACATTTCAGCAAATAAAAATACACTCTCACACACCTCAAAAGTTCTCAATACTATTTACTATAACTGCAATTATTGATATGTGCAAGTCATTAACTTAATGTCTATTATGTGCCTAAAATCTATAAGTTTCCATAAGGGCAGGAACCACGTCTGTTTGGTTAAAGAGGTAACCTCAATATCCTGCAACTATGCTCAATGTCTAGTACATAGTAGGTTGTGTTTTTCTATTATTGCATTAATATCATCTTCTTTATTTTTATTTCCTACATAACTCCAATGTCTGGCACAAAGTGGCTCAGTAAATATTTAATTAAAGAAATATATTTAATAGCCAGCAGCTAAAAAGAATGCTCTGGATGCTTTTTCCTTTTTTTTAACTGACTCCTTACTCTCATTAGCATGACAGCCCACTGAAGTGGCTACATATTTGGCATCAGCAAAGAGAAGAAAGTTTCCCACAGACAGATAGGTGCATAATAGTAAATTAGCCCCAGCCCAGGTTTAACAGTTGTACTTTGGGTGGCTTGATAAGAATAAACATGTGCCAGTTTATAGAAGCGGACACCCTACAGAGCCATATTCAGTACTTTCCTTAGTCCCAGGTACTGGGGCCTCTGTTCTGGCCCGAACTGCTCCTCTGCCAGCTGCAGCCCTCTCTTACTATGAGAAGTCTGTGTGGCAAGGGTACAGGACTATCTGTAAACCACAATCCCTATTTTTCTAGATCTCTGGCCAGGTACTCAAGACTCTGATATTCCCTGCCAAAGTGGCCCTCTGCTTGCTGCTGGGGTTTGCAGAGTCTTCTTCCCCAGATTCATTCTGCTGAGGCAACCTCAGGCCCAAGAGAAAGCAGGAGATTCCTCATGGTGTGGGACAGAGCCAGATGTGGAGAAAACATAGGGGCAGGACATGCAGGGTTAGGAGCACCCTTCTGATCTCGTGGCTTTGTCCCCCCAAATATAGGGGTAGACCTGGATGTCTTTGTATATTTTATACGCTGATGTTTCACCTAACACGTTCTATTAGAACACATAGGAAAGTTTCCTAAGACACTATCCCAGGAATTCTTATGCCTCTGTAGAGTCATTGTTATTGAACATGTGCGGTGCCTGGAGCCAGACAAGCCTAAGCTTCAACATCAATTCTACCTCCACCATTTGTGTGACTTTAGACATGTCACTTAAACTTTCTGAGCTTTAGTTTCCCCAACTGAAAAAAAGGAAGTTAAATCAAATCATATGTTTATGACAAAACTTTGAGTGTGATGTTTCCTGTTGCCCTGGAATTAATTGCCAGCACCCAAGGCTGAGGATGAAAGAGGTATTATGAATCCCACATTTAAATGAGGCATCAGTGAAATATTCACCAACAATTAAGGCCAGATACCTCCCATAGGACATATGAAGAAACAGCCAAACCCTCTCTGCTACCCCCATCATCACCCAACCTCCTCCCTCAGTCTGTTTCAGTAGAGTCCTGGGAAGAGTAATATAAAAAGCATGAGGAATGCAATAAATAATATATAGTAATTGAAAAACGCATACACAGCAGAAAAGCAATAGGCGAAACACTGGCAAAAAAAAATATATGGAAAATAATAGACCTGGTATTCCTAATGAGCCATAAAGTAAATGGCAGCAATATGAAATGATTAAATATAAAACGTAATTCTTTTCAGGCTCTTGCATCTATGAAGTAAGCCTTCCTTTTTAATCATGATGGGCACGTGCACTAAGAGAAACATGGACCTGTTTTTAACCCTTGATGTTGAGAACACAGAGAAAAGGTGAAGAGATTATCAACTAACTGGGGAAAGCTATGTAAAAAGGACTAAGGAAACAATATTCAGGAAGGAGGAATACAAGAGGAATAGAAACAACTTTTTTCTCTTCTTCAAGTACCTGAAAGTGTGATCTTTTTCAGAGCTCTGTTGTATAGTCTTTTTTTTGAGACAGGGTGTCTTGCTCTGTCATCCACGCTGGAGTGCAGTGGTGCAATCACAGCTTATTGCAGGCTCGACCTCCTGGGCTCAAGTGATTCTTCCACCACAGCTTCCTGAGTAGTTAGGACTACAGGTGCACACCACCATGTCCAGCTAATTTTTGTGCGTATATTTGTATAGAGATGATGTTTCAACATGTTGCCCAGGCTGCTCTTGAACTCCTGGGCTCAAGCGATTCTCCTGCCTTGGCCTTCTGAAGTGCTGGGATTCCAGGCCTGGGCCACAGCACCCAGCCTGTATAGTTTTTGAAAAAGACAACATTGGAGGAATTGAATTTCTTTAGCAGTAGTAGGATTGAGGACAATGATATATAATTATAAACCAGAAATATAAAAGAACCTTTGCCATTATATTCTTTTGGCACTTTCTATGGGACAATTATCTATAAGCTAAAGTACAGAGCAAACTCTCTTATTACCAAGATGAATTGGCTGGAAAAATGCTCTCATTGTAAGTTGTTTGTCCAAATTAGGTAGACGGTTTACTGATCAGAAGATTGAAATAGAGCAATTCAACACCTGATGCTAGTGGAAATATTTCAGCTTTGTGTTCAAATCCTGGCTCTTACCTAGCAGCTGCACAATTTTAGGTGTCACTCGAAATTGCTGGGCCTAGTTCCTTCCCAGAAGAAAGAGAAATCACATTGTCTGCCTAGCAGACAAGTGTTGGGAGGGTAAAAAATGACTCCAAATGCAAAGGACCAAGATTGCATCTTGCAGAGTAGAAATGCTCCCTCTTTGCCAGTTATTCCTGCCTCAGTAGTTTTGAAATTCTACCCTACAAATAAAATGGGAAGTAGTACTGTGCCAATTATAGAACTTATAATATTAATAAATCTTGACATATTAGTATCTTTTATATTAAAAACAAATTTCTAATTCTTATACCTTTAAAAATTGCTGTAATTTTACTTATATATTCAAAAAAGAGGCCTATAAAAGTCCAGTTACTAGTTTTTATTTTTATTTATGTATTTATTTTGCACTACAGATAGAACAAGCCATCAAATCTAGCTTTCTCCTATTTGGAAAAAGTGAGTTCTCCTTTTAATTTGATTAATAAATAATTAAAGAGAAGAAAAATGGCTTTGTCACAGATACTCTCTTAAATTGATCAAGTGGTTACTTTTGATTAACTCAGAGGTTAATAACTGAAGGTTTTGCTTCTCTTTGTGGATGTTGGTGGTGTTGCCAAACCCAGATCCACTGCACCTGCTATGGCACCCCCCCATCAGTTGCTGAGATGACAGCTGTTCACAGCGCACACCTACCCCATCTCTGGAGAATTTCCTTCTTCAAGCCTGAGGGGTTATGTCCATCCCACCCCAGCCTTCTACAACCCACAGCTAATGACAGGCTGACAGGGAGAAAATGGTGGAGCATTTGCCTCAAGGCAGGACCCACCATGAGGTGCAATTTATGCTCCAGAGCTCTGCTCCCCATGGATTGAGGCTGAACCTCCTCTTCAGCTGAGACCACATTCCTGCTTAGCTCCTTCCCCTCCCTGTCCTATTCTCTTCTCTTTCTTCTCTTGAAGGCGCTCCTTACCTAAAACAGCTCCACCTGAATTCCTGTCACAGGTTCTGTTCCTAGGAAATCCAACCTAAGATGCTGGAGAAATGAGATGATTCGTGATCAATTTTATTTTTGTAAAACATTCTAAGAATGAAAGTTAGGATTCAGTTATAATGCAAAAAGAGAAAACACTTAAAACTCAGAGTTCTAAAACAATTTAAATTTCATTTCTGTCATTTGAAATCAGACAAATTATAAGAATTTAAAGGGAATCTTAAAATGTTGAAAGCATTCCTATTGCATTTATCACAGATCAATAATGGGATAAAACAGAAATTTGCCACATAAAACAGCCCATTAAGTTTCTCAATGTTATTAATAACGCCATTAGGGAAAAATATTTTCCCCACCTCTATACCCACCCATGCTTTTCAGCCTCTTGTTTTTTCTGTTTCCAAAGTTTAGAGAGAACAATGGTGACCTCCAGTGGCCAATAAGGCAATTTTTGGTCAAAACTCCCAAATTAAGTCACAGAGATACTGCACCCTAATGTTCATAGATTTTTTTTATAGTTTGCACAGTGTGTTAACCTCTATTGATATACTGTTAAAGATTTTAGAACTCAAATATCCTCTTTTTAATCACAAGCCTAAGGTAGAGTATCGCTTATAACACCATCCAAAGTTTTTAAAATAAACTGAGATTATTCCAAAGGAGTATGGGGTTTTAAACCCACAAATAATGAGAAAATTAAATGAGAGAAATTAAGGTTTTAACATACTAAATTACATTATTTCTAATTTCTATGGTGTTCTGTTATTGGGTGAAAATACATTTTTAAGTACCATGTTACAACTAAACATGAATAACCCATTGCTAAATACTGACCCAAAATACTACGTCTGATTTGCCTACTTTCATTTAACTGAAGAAATATGCAACTGAAACTAATGGTCTTTATTTATTTTCTTTGTAGAGACAGGGGTCTCCCCGTGTTGTCCAGAACGGTCTTGAACTCCTGGTCTTCAAGCAATCTTCCTGCCTTGGTCTCTCAAAGTGCTGGGATTACAAGTGTGAGCCACCATACCCGGTCATAGCGCTCTTATAAAATGCATCATCACATTTATTTTATAAATTCAGAAACAAAAGTCTGTATAGAGAAGTTTTGAAGTTACTAGGGACCTGAAAATCATACTGAAGATGTCTGCAACTAAAAACTCGAAGAGTTCCGAGGCTAGAGGGGTCAGGAGATGAATAAAAACGTTAGCCCCAGCTGATCACAATGAGGTTAATCACAATACTAATTAAAAATACTACAGATCCTAGGACAATGGTCAGAAGAGTGACTATACTTTCCTGTTTGCCCTTGGAAAATCGAGGGCTGACTTTTCTACGTGCTCAGATAACCTAAATTGATAGAGAGAAAGCTAGCAGAGGATAAGATAAACTAGTTAACTGTAAATAAGATTTTGCTGTTGGAGAATCTTCTTGTTGCTCTGGTTTTAGATAGCGGAGGAAGCCAAAAAATATCTGCTTTAAGTTACCAGGAGTTGAAGTTCATCCCTGCTGAAGTTAACAGGTTGCTTCCCTTTTTCTGGTGTATTCTTACTTTACTGGCAAAGAGAAAATAAATTAATACCTTATTGTTAAAAGGACTGTAGTGGGAGAAACTCTTTTATAAACTAGGTGATTTTGTATGATTTTCTGATAGAAAATATTTGATCAGTTAATTGTCTTTAGACTCCGGATTTCCACTGGCCAAATATTGTTTATCTTCTTGGAGTGCTTTGGCGGGCTTTCTTTCCTTAGGAAATGAGTTGGAAAACATCAGTGATACTTCAAAGCCATAGCTTGAGGTTATCATCTGATTTATGAAATGACTATTTCCATCATTTATCAGAACACAGAGTCCTTCCTGTGGAATTGGAATCCTAGTATGTAAATAAAATTGGGGAACTGCTGATTTTCACATCATTGTAGGAAACAACTGAACGAAAAGGTCCATACCAAAATGACAAGAGTTGGATTTTTTTTGGGCGGGGGGGGATGGAGTCTCCCTCTGTCGCCCAGGCTGGAGTGCAGTGGCATGATCTCGGTTCACTGCAACCTCCGCCTCCCGGGTTCAAGTGATTCTCCTGCCTCAGCCTCCCCGAGTAACTGGGACTATAGGAGCGCGCCACCACGCCCACATAATTTTTTTTTTTTTTTTTAATTTTTAGTAGAGACGAGGTTTCACCGTGTTGGCCAGGCTGGTCTCAAACTCTTGACCTTGGGTCAAGAGCCTTGGCCTCCCAAAGTGCTGTGATTACAGGCGTGAACCACTGCGCCTGGCCCAAAATGACAAGAGCCTTAACATCTTTGTAAGGTACGGGAGATAATTTGACGAATTTAACATTTTGGAGATTGGGAAACACAACCTGTTTTTCTTAATTTATGTTCAAGGATATACTTTACCAAATGAGGTCATTAACTGTCTCTCTAACATGTCCATAGATTTTCCCCATTTCTTAATTTTCCTTTCCCTCAACAACAGGAAGTCAGGAAAAGTGGATCTCATTCTCATGTGTCTCTGTCTTGTTATTTGAGCTTTGGAAAGTTACAGAACCTCTGTAGTCTTTAGATTTCCCACCCCTTAAATGAGAATCATAGGTCAGGAAACCTAGACATTAAAAAATAAAATAAAATAAAATAAAATAAAATTCTGATGCTGCCCTGAGAGATTCTGATGCAGGCGATATTCGTGAGCTTGGGAAATGAAGATATATATTTCTAGATAGCTGTCTAGGTGGTATCCATTATGAGCCAGTCTTTGGCACTGCTGGGTAATATTAGATGATCTCTGAGGACTTTTACAGACTTATGAATATAAAGTCTATTCTTCAGTAATAGTAAATTTTGATGTGAAATGGTTTTCTTACCTCAAGAATGTCAATTGTTCAAATGGTAACTTCCAAGTCATTATGCATATTCTTGGTAATATCAAATGTCCATTCATCTCAATGGGAAAGGAGGGAAGAAAGAATAGAAAAAAAATCAAATCAGTTAAACCTGGGTTTGGGGGACTGGCCAGACATTACACAGAATGAATTTTTGATTTTTCTTTAGTTGTGATGTTACGTAAATATTTCAATGGGGGGTCTCATCAGAATATAAATGGTATACTTAACTGAGAGTAACAAAGGAAAGTTTTACAAAAAGACTATTCTGTTCAAATATGGACAGGGTGAAAGGAAACCAGAAAGTGAAGTTGCAGTCCCCTGGGGCTAACATCAAGGAGGAGCTATTAATTACCCTCCTGAGCCTAAGGGAAAAGAGGAAGGAACCATTACCAGGATAAAGAGATTTAAGGCTGCTCAGTGAGAGCTGTTTTGGTCACGTGACAAAGCCAACCTGAAGTAATGTGACAGGAAAAAAGTCGAAGGACTGCATCCCTGGCCTTAATTTTCTCTTTTCCAGTGTGCTTTGGATGCCTAGTGCCTCCCATTGACTGATTCTAAATCTTAGGAAAGGCAAGGGCTGTGCAATGCCTATGTAAAGACAATCCCCTGAGGGCACAGAGGAAGAAGTGGAGGGACACAGAGGGATAGGAGGTAGTTAAGCTGCAAAAAGACCCAGCTCTTCCCCAGTGGTTTCAAACCTCCGCAATGTGAACATTCTTCTGTAATGTTGTTTCTTGACTTATTCACAAGAATGCTTCCTATTTAGCTCCATAACCCAGCTCAGATGACGTCTGATCTATGAAGTTGTCCTCACCCTTTGCCCACAAACCCATCTGTGTATGACCTCAAAACCAACTTTTAAAATTGCTCTTTTCATATCATGTTATAGGCCCACATCTAAATTATTATTGAATTGCCCATATTTTCAATAATCCAGGGCAAAATGTCCTTGAGGATTTGGTTGAGTCAAATTAAGGGGTCTGATAGAATAGACTGTTAATATATTTGTTTTTTGTTTTGTTTTGAGATGGAGTCTCTCTCTGTCACCTAGGCTGGAGTGCAGTGGCACGATCTCAGTTCACTGCAACCTCTGCCTCCTGGGTTCAAGCCATTCTCCTCCCTCAGCCTCCCAAATAGCTGAGATAACAGGAGCACACCACCACATCCGGCTAATTTTTGTATTTTTAGTAGAGACGTATTTTTGCCATGTTGGCCAGGGTGGTCTCGAATTCCTGACCTCAGGTGATCCGCCAACCTTGGCCTCCCAAAGTGCTGGGATTACAGGTGTAAGCCACCGTGCCTGGCCTCTATTCTTCATTTCTAACTCACCATTTTCGACCCACCTTTTTCCCAATCTCCATGAAACTTAATGTCCATGTCACTAAGTTACCCGAAATATGACAATTCTATGTAAATGAAGGATTGCTTTCTTTTCATATACCACATTTTGAGTCATGATTTCCTGTGGATCAATTACTGTTTTATGGGTAAATTCACATCTGCTGAATTTGGGAAGCCTCTACTAAATAACATTGGCAAACCATTTCTTAGAAATAATTATTTTTGATAGACATATTTGTTTTTGTGACTTGACCATTTATTTCAGATACTTTTGAATGATTTTATTTGTAAATTATGGTTAAATGATATCTTGTATGTAAAGACATTAATGTAATACCTGATTTATAAAAAAAACTGTCAACAAAAAAGCAACAATTATTATGTTTGGTAGTGCTAACAATAGCTTACACTTGTAAAACTGTAGTATTTTATGGCAATTTAATAGATATTATCTCATTTACTCCCATGAAGTAGATATTATCAGGACTTTCACATTATTGAAAAGATTGAAACTGATTACCTGCGTTTCTCAAACAAGATTACATAAGAGAAAAGCAACAGATTCCACTTTCAAATTCAAATTCCAAGTTGGAAAGCTGAATTTGAAAGTGGAATCTGTTGCTTTCCTCTTATGTGATATTGTTTTTGATTTCCAAGTCCACTGACATTTCACTATATTGTTTCTCTACGGAGCAAATGGCTTGTGTACTTCCGTGCACATGTTTTGTCCTAATATTATATTTTTTCTCACCCCTTTGAATTTATGATGCCCTAAATATGGAATCAAATTCTTCTCAGCCTCTAGAACTTAGAGAGTCCCCTGTAGGGGGTGCATGTATTGTCATGAGAAACCAGGTTATCTTCTTATATGGACCATTGTTCTAATTATACGACTCTTGAATTTTCTTGGCAGTTACTGCCTCTCTGGGTCTAAGTCTTAATTCATTACAAGGAATTGAATTTCTTCTCAATTTGGAGATCTCACTTGTTGTTGCCATCTGTTATGGCCTGAACTGTGTCCTCCCCAACCCACCAAATTCATATGTTGAAGCTCTAACCCCCAGTGCCTCAAAATGTGATTATATTTGGAGATATGGCTTTAAAGAGGTGATTAAATTAAAACGAGGCCATTAGGTTGGACTGTCTTAATCTGTTTTGACTGCTGAAACAAAAATATTATAAACTGGGTGGCTTATAAACAACAGGAATTTATGTTTCACAATTCTGGAGACTAGGAGGTCCAACATCAAGTTGCAGGTAGATTCTACGTCTGGTGACAGCTGCTTCCTGATTCATGAACGGATACCTTTTCATTGTGTCCCCACATGGTGGAAGGGAGTTGGGTGTGTTTTTGTTTGTTTGTTTGTTTGTTTTTTTGAGATAGAATTTCGCTCTTGTCACCCAGGCTGGAGTGTAGTGGCGTGATCTCGGCTCACTGCAACCTCTGCCTCCCGGATTCAAGTGGTTCTCCTGCCTCAGCCTCCCCAGTAGCTGGGATTACAGGTGCCTGCCACCACGCCCATCTAATTTTTGTATTTTTAGTAGAGATGGGGTTTCATCATGTAGGCCAGGGTGGTCTCGAACTCCTGACCTCAAGTGATCCGCCCACCTCGGCATCTCAAAGTGCTGGGATTACAGGTGTGAGCCACTGTGCCCGGCAGGAAGGGAACCTTTTTTCAGAGCACTAATCACATCCAAAAGGGCTTGCCCATTATCATACCAACGGGTTAGGATTTCAACATACAAATTTTGGAGTACATACACATTCAGTTGACTGCAAACCCCTCTCAGATGTTCAAAAGGTGATGCTGCTTTGCTCTTTTGAGTCATAGAAACATAAAGTTGTGAGAGGAAAATAAAACTTGGGACCCCCAAATCACTAAGCCAAAGGGAAAAGTCAAGCTGGGAACTGCTTAGGGCAAACTTGCCTCCCATTCTATTACTAAAAAGGAAAGCTACTAAGTTAGAAAAGCTACTTTCCTCCCTCTCAAGGAATTTCCTTGTAGACAAAGGACAGACAGAACTCAAAGTCATCCCTCTGCTCACTGAGATAATGTATATCTGATCGCCTCCTTTGGAAAGGCTGATCAGAAACTCAAAAGAATGCAACCATTTTTCTCTTACCTTCCTATGACCTGGAAGCCCCTCCCCACTTTGAATTGTCCCTCCTTTCTGGATGGAACAAATGTATATCTTACATATATTGATTGAGGTCTCATGTATCCGTAAAATAAATAAAACCAAGCTGTTTCCCAACCATGTTGGGCACATGTTGTCAGGACCTCCTGAGGTTGTGTCACAGGTGCACATCCTTAAATTTGGCAAAATAAACTACCTAAATTGACTGAGACTTGTCTCAGCTATTTAGGGTTCACAAAGTGTTGGCGAGCTAGTCAGAAAAATGGGGCTCTCTACCTGATGGTCTTGCCATTTTATGAAAGCCAAAGAAAGATATTTCAAAGAGAAGGGCTGGGGAGTCTGTGAGTCACTATTACTCTGTTTCTCAGTGGTCCGAGAGTACTAATATTTACGTAGCTGCAGCTGAGTCACTGATGTGCAGCCCACTGGGTCCCTGCATGGTGCCCCCTGCCATAATGGGTTGACAGGACCATGAGGTAGAGCTTGGGAGGGAGGCTTGGGGGCCGCAGGGCATATTAAAACTTCAATAAAATCACTCTTGTAAAGCGACTGAGCCCGAAGGTAGTACAGCTGTTTCTGTTCCTCTTGCAATATGTCAATCAGACTGCCTCGCCTGCAAAAGTACCTTTCAATTTTATTTCTTCCATCTCCTAAGCTCTGATTAGCGATTTCAAGTTTTACCAGAAGAGGAATCATGGGTCTTGGAGGCTCCCCTGTTTTACGTTTATTTTCTGACTCCCTTTTGTGTTCATTAGGTAATGATCAGTTTTCCTAATGCCTCATTTCACATTTCTTTTTTTCAGCTATACATCTTACAACATTTCCCTGAGGCAAAATAACCCTAGCCAAAATTCCTATAAAATGGTTTTGTATATATATCAAATCAGTATAAACAACATTATGATTTTAGACACTTAGCCCTTTCTAAATGAGTACTGACACTCCTGTTTATGTACCTTAAATGAGCTTTGGTACAACAGAATCCTTTTAAGCATACTCTTATTCTAAAAATTTTTCTCTGAATGTAAAGAATTCCCATTTGTATTCATTCATGTGAATAAAATGGGAATAACAACACAATTATTTGTTAAATATCTATCATGTTCCTGGTACTGTTTTAAATGCTGGGCGCACAGCAGTTGGAAAGATAAAATACTTGCCGTTGAAGAGTTTACAATTTGTTGGTAGTGAGATGAGAAAAGCCAATAGAAGTACATAGACTATTTATCTAAAGCAGTCTCTCTCAGTGTGGTCCCAGTACTGAAATCTGTATCACCCTGACCCTGCATTATGAGGAACTTGTAAAAAATGAAAGTTACTGAGCTCACCCCAAAACTTTTGTGCCAGAAACTTTGGGTTGGGACTCAGCAGCCTTTGTTTTTAACAAGCCCTCTTGTTGCTTTTGATGCATACTCAAGTTTGATTGTTTTTGTTTGTGTTTGTTTTGAGACACGGTCTTGCTCTGTCACCCAGGCTGTAGTGAAATGGTGTGATCTCCACTCACTACAACCTCTGCCTCCCAGGCTCAAGCGATCCTCCTGTCTCAGCCTCGTAAGTAGCTGGAATTACAGGTGTGTGCCACTGTACCCAGCTAATTTTTGTATTTTTTGTAGAGATGGGGTTTTGCCATGTCTCTCAGGCTGGTCTTGAACTCCTGGGCTCAGATGACTTGCCCGCCTCAGCCTCCCAAAGTGCTGGGATTACAGGAGTGAGCCACCATGTCCAGCTTTCACAATTAAGTTTGAAAACCACTGAACTACAATATAAGACTTAAGTGTTGGCTTAGTACAGGGAGACTTGTTTAAAAAGGGCTAAGAGAGTCTTGTGGGTTCAGGCAAAACTTCTCAAAGAAGTTATTTCTAAGAGGAGGATTGCAGGATTGGTAGAAATTGGCTGGGCAAAGGGAAGGCGGGTGGGCAGAAATGAGAGGATATGCTGAATCAGGCTAGAGGTGCAAAATGGCAGAGCTTATTCAGAATTCAGGAAGGGTTCAGGGAGGCTGGAACTGCCATTGGTGGAGAGTAAGGAACAGTTAACACCTCTTATCAAAGAACAGGCAAAGCCTACCATCTATCACATCTGCAGGTAACAGAACAGTAAAAGTAACAGCTGCTGTTAGCAGTGACCAGTAGGTTTTTTCCATCAGGAAGGTCTGCAAGTCAGAATAAAGTGAGTGAGGAAAGAGGCACAGTTGTGCATGTGAAGTTAGAGGGCCTTTGGAGGTCTATCCATGCAGGAAGACAGGGAGTGAGCAGGAGGGACAACCCAGATAATACTAGGATTCTCCTCAAGAGGATGATGTCTTAGTCTTATTGGGCTGCTACAACAAAACACCATAAACTGGGTGGGTTATGAACATCAGAAATGTATTTCTTATAGTCCTGGAGTCTGGGAAGCCCAAAATCAAGGCACTGGCAGATTTGGTGTCTGATGAAGGCTGTTTCCTGCTTCATGAACAGTTAGTTTTTTTACTGTGTCCTCACCTGGCAGAAGGATGAGGGATGTCTTTAGGGCTTCTATTGTAAGGGCAGTAATCCCATTCACTGGAGATTTGATCTCACCTCCCAAAGGCCCCAGCTACAAATACTCTCATCCTGGGGATTCGTTTTCAAGAACAACAAAAAAATTTTGATGACATACAAACATTCAGAGCATAGCACTAGGCCCTAATCCAATCTGATTGGTGTCCTTATGGAAGAGGAGATTAGAACATACTAGGGGACACCAGAATATGAGCACACAGAGGAGAGACCACGTGAAGACACAGAAGAAAGCAACCATCTGCAAGCTGAAGAGAGAAGTCCCAAAGAAACCAAACCTGCTGACACCTTGATATTGGACTTCTAGCTTCCAGAATTGCGAGAAGATAAATTTCTGTTGTTTGAGTCATCTCATCTATGGTACTTGATTATGGCAGCCATAGCAAAGTAAGACACCATCCTCTTGAGGATGGATTGCATTAGCCTTATGCAATTAGTATGAATGTACTAGAAGATGATGGCATCACTCGAACTGAAATCCAATTTGTGAACATACCGTCTGACTCCTGATACTTCTGCGAAATAATATTAAGTGAAGAAAGATAAAATGCTAAGAGGGGAGTTCTAAAATTGTTTGGATTAGTGGCATTAGATTTCTCTTCCAGATCCCTTATTCCTATATCTGTCCTACAAATTCTAACACAGGGTGAAAGGTTGGAGATCAACATGAATATCTTGCATTTCTCAGCCTTTAGCATAGGGAATGCCTACACATTGTATATCTTCTGTCAGAAAATGTTTCTATATCCAGTTTCCCATGTTGTCTCCTTGCCTTTTGATATTAATGACTACATTTCTAGCAAAGTTTGCAGAAAGTAGGGGATGATTTCTATGGAGATTTAGTCCCAGAGGTTAATGGGGTTGTGCATTGTGTGAAGAGTAATGCCTTTCAATGGTGACAAAGTAATGCTCAACAGCTTTCAAGCCACTGCATCCATCATCAATTTGGGCTGTGGTTTGTTACTGACATGAAGTGTAATATAGGGTCCTCCAGAAAGCATCATGATTCCGTTTCCCACGGTAACCCCAGCAGTGCATGTCAGCCAACATCTGGCTTCACAGCTGTGAAATTTACAAGAAGCCTGTGCCCATGCCTCTTTTCAAAGGTAATTTGCTGAACAGCACATACGCTCATTTGACGGACACACTGTGGCACCACAGGCACCAACCACAGGGTGATGGGTCCTACAAAATACCCAATCAGCTATTTTATTATTTTAACCAAAGGAAGTATAACATTGACATTGCAGTAAGTAAAGGATAGTACAAAACTAGACCCTGACATGGACATCAGTACTTACAGCCAAATTGGAAAACCAGCTGATTAACAAAGGACTTTTCTGAAACAAACCAAGTCATTATGCACCAAGGCAAACTACAGTGGTCATTTTAAAAACTACAGTCGACTTTTAAAGACTCCACAGAAGGCCAGAGGTGTTCCAATAGCCGCTTACCCTCCCCCCACCAAAAAAAGGGTAAGGGATTTTCGCAGCATTTTTTTCTAATAGTCCTGTATTTAAAATGGATGTTTAAAAGCATTCGTTTGTCATTCTGTCAGTTGTAAGCAACAAATCATTCTCACTGAGAAATTACAGAGGCTTTCAAGATGCATGAAAGAGAAAAGAGTTGCCACTGGAAGGAGAGGGCAGCTGTAAATAAGACCCCTTAGGCATGCAGCTGTAATGAGGACTATTCACAGTGCCACTTCATGCCTTTGCTTTCTGCTCACTTATTCCGGACATATTGCTTAAGAGCTCTGTAATCTTTGGGGTTTGAAAAATTTATAGTTATGTGACCAACACCCAGCCCCACCTCCTTCTGGATTGTTCTACATCTAACTATACTACAGATTTTCACATGATGAATGATCTTGGATGCCAATGAAAAGGAATAGTTCACTCGGATCTATAGATTCCCTTACTTTGCTAAAATAATATGCTTCTACATCAAGTTTCAAAATGGTTTGCATTTTTTTGCCCTACCTATGTTTTCCCTCAGCTTCTTTCCATATTTTTCCTTAGTGGAAAATCTATAATAATAGGTTCTGCTGTTTTATTAAAAATATAAGGGATATTTGGATTGTGTTATTTTATTCTGAGGTCTATTATTACACTTTCCAGTATTTCCTTTTGAAAACATAATTAAGTTTATTCTTATAATATAATGTAAATACAATTATTTTCTCATTTGGGGAATATATTTTAGAGTGGCTATTAGCAGTATACAATATTACTTTTATTTGTTTATAAAAGCCAGAGGAATTAAGACAGTACAAATTCCACGTTCCATTTTTAATCTTCATAGTTCTTTGTAGGTTTAGCCACATTTTCCTTCCTTATTTATTTCATAATTTGAAAAACCATAATGACATCTACTTGATCTTGAATTGCAATAAAATTTTCATTTTTGTCATAGCATTTACCTCATTTTAGATAAAATTTGACTTAGATGGTTTGGTTTTAAATTGTTGCTGTTGTTTTCATTTGTAAGCTTCATGGTAGCCTGTACACTAAAAATTACAAATATCACTTGTCCTTGCACAAAGTTACCCTCTAATTTAAATATTTTCCCTCAAACTTCCCCTTATTCTGACTTGGGATATCCTCATGTCATTAAAGATTTTGATTTCCTAAAAGGTCCTCAAAATTTTGTAGAAAAGCACTTTATTCATTACTAACCTAGTATATACACATATGATTCTAATTTTCTTCCCATGTTTTAAGGCTTTTATAGTAATATTACACAAATGGTCTGCCTAACAGCCAATCATTTCCAAGATAAAAATGGGCCAAGAGACAAATGACAGGCAATTATTAAGCCTTTTAAGGAGAAACTGTTAAGCCTAGAAGAATATTGATACAAACTGACTTTCTGCACAGTGGACTCAACAAAGCTAACATAATTCACACCAGAGATTCTCTATGGGACCATAAATTAATCAGATTGAAAAGATGGCAACCCAGAAACACAATAAATTGTTCTATGGCATAGTAAGGCACCCTCCACATTCTTATTTTCAATGGCACAATAAGACACATACACACACACCTGACAAAGAATGAATAATTTTGGAAAAAGCTGCCATGTTTTCAGTTTAATCTAAAGACAGAGAGAGAAAGAGGAGGAGGAGGAGGATCCTATATTCACTCCTAACTGCAAGTTTGGAAGAGGTATGAGGAATTTGGGAGTGAGGCAAAGAGGCCACAATGTAAGGGAGAATTGAAATACAACTCGAAAGCCTGGCATCCATGAGGTGAGAGGAGAGCAGGAGATGCCAGAGTTACCCATTACTGACTTGGCTTACTTTACAGAACACAGGAAACTGTTGCTTCTAAGAAAATATCTATTTCATCATAAAAGAATTACAGCTCTTTTGTACATATGAATTTAGCCTGTTTTAATTTTGCCTGGCATTTTGGCTTTGCAAATCTTTAGGTATGAGTGCTAAAGTGTTATTCCAACCATTTCACTCTTTCCCAGTGAATGTTAGAACAATCACCTTTCGGTTAATAAACATGCAGTTTTTTACAACTACTATCACAAGTAACAGTTTAGTGTGTAGAAAGAATCAATGGTAAATTTTGGTGTTTCCAGTAGCTCAATATCTCATTTATCCTTTAGGTATCTGGCAAGCTGTCTTTCCCTTTTCTGGTCACCACTCCTCTGGGGATGTAGCCAAGTACAAAATTGCACATTTCTCCTCCCACAAGTGTCTCAGCTCCCACAGAAAACAAAATCTACATCAAGCATGTTTAAGATGATCTACATGTGAAGTAGAAAGGTTAACACACAAGAGGAGTAACAGACTCATTTATTTATTTATTTTTACCTTCAAGGAGTTTAAATACAAACACAGAGAGAAAACTGAAAATAAGCATGATTCTAGAATTTGTATTATTGTTATATATATATTTTTTAAGTAGATAAGCATAAAACTAAGGAATTGCTCAGATGACCAAGTCTGGAGCAAAAACATCTGACACAGGAAAGTGAGAAAATAAAATGGGGGCCTTGAGTAGAAAAATTTCAATGGGTTAATTTCTGCTGGCGTTCAACATGTTATGCCATAGCAAACAAATAAGAATCATGCTGGGTCTCAATTTATCAGATTCCTTTAATTTACTAAGACTGCATATTAAACTAAATTGTTAGCAGCTGGTTGACTACCTCAACCTAACTCAACTCCTGGGAGCAATTACAGAGCTTCTCAAAATCTGTCCCTGTGTGCATCAAATTGATGTTGGAAAGAAAAAGATACCTCTTTCTAAAGTACTTTATTTCAGCCTTTCAAATTCACCTTCTGAAACCTAGGTGACATTCCTTCTAAACACTGTATACGGTATTGCTTAAGACAAGGAAAGTTTTCCCCCAAAACTATTTGTGCTCCCTTCACTCTGGTAGAATTTTTGGTAAGTTCTTTGGCCTATGCCCACCATATACTAGGCCGCCCTTGCTCACAGAAGGCCACAGCAAACCCCTTCTGCAAGCCCACGATGGAATCGTAAATCTTTACAACTTATTGAAGTCTTCCAGATTTTTAAATATGCCCATGATCCAGACTTTTTGCTTGCATGTTTAAATGGTTGCCTGATGGCTTGCAACAAGAAGTAGAAAGGCATTTTTCTTAAAATAAGCAAACAACCATGGCAAATGAGGTCATATTCCCAAGCTTGAATAATAAATATTGCTAAAATCTACAACCTGAAACATATTTTAAGAATTAGACATAGATTTGGGTTTTTTCTTTCTTTTTCAGGAAGGGGTCTCCCTTGCTGCCAATAAAAATTGCTTTGTGTTGTAAAATTTGGGTTCAGCTTGTCTCCTCCTTATATAAGCCCAGTTGAATAGACTGCTGAGGGAAAATCAAAGTTTAAGAGCCTGGCTTTTCCCGTTTGGCAACTTTCATTTCCTGATAATATCGGATAATTAACAAATTGTGTGTTTTAATGCCCTGTCTCTTGAAGCGCATTTGGGAAAAATACTTCTTGTGCCCTCTGAGTAATGGCTTAAATGGAAGAACATGCTCAAAAGAATGCTTTTTCTCAATGCATGAAACACACTCAGCATTTATTATTTTAATTGCTACACATCATGTGTATACTCGTTCGTGTAATTATATACATATTTAAAGGGCAAGAGGAAAAGATTATTTTAGGACTCTATAATTCATTATGAGCAAGGCATTGAAAATTTCTAACTCAAGATGAAAATTCATAAAAATTCTTTGGCAAAAACACCTTAGTATTCTCAATACGGTAACTGACTTTTTTTTTTTTGCGTTATGAAATAACTAGATACTACCGTGCGTTGCTTTTGGATAAAAGGGGAATGCTGTTTCTTAGCCTTTCTGTCTCTTTACTAAATGGATAATTCAGGACTGGGAAATGCAGCTCTAAGTTTGTTGTTTACGAAAAACACATGCTAATGTAACAGCGTATGAGGAATTAAAGAGAAAATGTCAAACGCGCCTTGACATCCAAAATGCATTTAGCTGTTGGCTTTTACTACAGGGCCTTTCACTCTCCAGCCGACCCCCTCCAAGACCAAGTGTTTTTGCGTGTTGGGCTAAAAATAGCCAGCCAAGCCTAACAACTAGCTTCTGATTGGCTCAGAGCAAAGGCCACTCAGCCAATAAGAGCTTCTGGGAACAAAAGCAATTCTTTTGTGTGAGATACTCAACCCACGTCAAAACAGCTTCAGGCTGTAGAAATGATTTTGGTTGAGCTTTAACAAGGTAATAATGCATTTCAGCCCTCTGAAAGGTTTGAAGCGGAACAAAGGGAGTAGTGAAATCTACAAAACAAATGGAGCGCTCAAGGCTTTCATGGGATGAATCATCCGGGTGCCTGAGCTACAAACAGTTGCAAGCTCAGAAAAGAAAAAGCGCTAGGATTTTCTTTCTTTCTTCCTGAGATTTTAACTTATTTTTCAAGCGAAAAACAAAACAAAACAAAAACAAAAAACTAACGAAAAGCCATCAAAGGCGTTGTATCTTGACTATGCCCAAATTTGTTATTATGCTTATTTGATGATGAATAAAAAGCAATTCTTCCACGGTTCCCTTAAATCTCACAAAGAGAAAACAAATGTATGTGTAGTAGATAGTAGGTAGTAAAGCTCCCGAAACTTTGGGCTTTCGTTTTTGGGCACCAAAAGCAGCCCATGTTTTCAGAGTAAAGGCAGGTCTTGATTAATGCTGTGATAGTTCTCAAGGTAAGCAAATTACAGCAGCACTTGATTGGAGAAAAGCATTGAAGTTTTGGAGGTTTTGGCCACTTTCAAGGCATTGTGCCTCTAGGGGTCGCTGTTGGACAGCGGACGAACCTCTTCAGGGCATCCTTCCCCCTTTAATAGTCACTAAAAGAAGAAGCTTAGTAGGCGCCTTTCAGGTAGAACAAAAGGGAGTGGGGAGTCAGTGTTTGAGACCCTTGAGCATGGTTTATGGTCATCACTATGGGACAAAGCATCCCATAACAATGCAGATTACTTTATATGGAAATGAAATGCCATAAAGGACAAAATGTTGCTACAGTAACCACTGAAAATGTTACATAACACATAGGAGCTCATAGGCCATTTCATGGCCTTAAACTGGCTTTATTGTATGGAAAATAATTAAAAGATGATGTGGTGCTTTATAGGCTTCCTTTTTAGGAAACAGAAGGACCCACACTTTAACCTCTCACATAGGAAACCTGTATAGGTTACCAAGTCCTGAAGTTGGCAGAGAAATACAGGTCACAAACAGACTGTTCCCATGTTCTCCTCCCAGAAAACTATGGATTCAATGTAACTTTTTCCCTTGAATATAGCTTTTATGATAAACAATTAGTAAATGAATCCTTAATTAAGCTTTATTCCTGGTGTGGCACAACAAGACCTAAGAAAATCAAACATCTCAGTAAAACTGAAACATATTTTTATTATCTGATTGGTTATAATCAAGAAGCAATATTTCTGTAACAGTTACCTGTCTAAGGAAATGCATAATCTGTCATAAAATATTGCATTCATCAATTATTGGCCCCAGCTGCATTTATGAGCCTATAATCTTTTGCCATAAAACATGGATGTTGGGGAGAGGGGCTGTAGAGAGGAGTATCATATTCATTAACCAATACTACAGAAACTAAAAGTGGTAGTAGACCCTTTTTTTTCTATTGCATTCAGTTTATAATAGTTTCCTTTGACAATAATAATTATAATAATAAAAGAAAAAGAAAAATCCACCTAGGAATTGTATTCCTAAACAACGAAATCTCCAGATGACTACGGATATGTAGTTTTCAACATGCAATATCTGGAAAGAATGTGGGTTCTGTTTCTTTGCAGTAATTCTGTGTGTTTTATAGTCTTTGCTTTATCATCCTGGCCTAGAGCCAGTTAAAGAAATTCATCACCAAATGTGCAACAACCCATGAGAGGGAGTCCAGCATTGAGTTTGGAAATAGAATGAGGTGATTGTAGAGGAAGAGGCCGAGGCTGTCAGTGATGTATTTCCCTATCTCCCTGAGCCTGTCAGCTATTGAGTTGCTCAAGTCCCAG
The DNA here is from genome assembly GCF_000001405.40 of Homo sapiens. NCBI lineage: Eukaryota > Metazoa > Chordata > Mammalia > Primates > Hominidae > Homo > Homo sapiens. Next base: position 91,383,459 of record NC_000012.12, read on the forward strand.
CCCTGACACCTAGCTGCCCCTGTGCCACCATCAGGATGCCCAGTGAGAGAAGAAGAGATGGGGAAATGGAAAGAAATCATCCTGTCCCACCTGCCCATGCAGTAAAGAAGACAAGGAAGAATTTGTAGAAGCCAGGGGTGGAGAGTCTTCCCCCAGAGGAGAGAGGCTCATTGGTCATAGGCCCTAGGGCAGTGGAACCACAGCCCTGGTCCTCAGATGAATGTGGGAGAAGGCAGGATGACTCCAGAGTTGAATATTAGATGTCAGGAGCCCGCAGAAGTGAGAGATGGCTACCAGGAGATGGGACCACAGCTGGGTTCGTTCCAAACATGACCAAAGATTCCCACCTGAGACTGGTACACAAGCACTTGAGAACTGCCAGATGTCAAGGGGATCTTCTGGATAGTGAAAAAATCAGAAGTGACCATGTTAGCCAGAACATCAGCTTCTTCCCTATTTTCATGAAGATTTAAGGCTCCCAGTCTCTGGTGCTATTTTGAAAAGGCTAGAGGAATTCTTGGCAATATGGTAGAATTGAGTCTTGGAGTTAAAACTACGTTAGATTAAGATAAATAATACAAAAGCCATTTCTAACATATCTGAGATTTGCATTATACAAAAGACCATAGTTTATATTTTCTAACAACTGTGTTATTTATCACTGCATTCGTTCCTCAGTACAATCCTATAATGGAATTAGGACAGGTGTCCTGATCCATTTATGCCTAGTGTTCCATTATTGGAACGCTAAGCATCTGGGAGTTATTTATATCCTGCTGCTCAAGGTCATCACCAAGATCTGATTGCAAAAATTCAAAAAATTGCAGCTTCAGGCACAAATGGGTTAATTAGCATTAACAAAGCAAGCCCTTCTGACTTTTATGTTATTCTTCACAAAACTCTCTGGGATTTGTCATTATTATATTAAGTAAACATTTTGAAGTTTTGTAAACACTAAGTTGAGGGACTTGGCAAAGATCATTCAGGCTCTGTCTTCTGTGCTGAAACAAAATTGATAATTGAGATACTTTTCTGAGTAATTTTATTATGAAATCCTCCTCTTATCAGAAATACCTGCATCATGTTTCATTGCTAATTTTGGAAACAGAACAACAGACCTTTGAGAGAGCACTGGCTTGGAAACTAGATTTTGAGATTAACTGTTATGTAAGGACTTAGGATTTTGCTAGTTACAGGTGCCAGGGAGAAATTGGTCATAGCTAGGAAGCTAAAAAATGGAAGCCAAGCTATATAAAAGACAAGATCCCGTAGCCATGCACTAGGTAAAGGGTATGGTCATGAGGACTGGAAGCCCAGTAATTCCAAAATTAGGTGGAAGTGATTTTACAAAAAAGTCTATAATTGTGACGGTATGGATAGACAAGAAATCAAGAATCCTGAGTAGCACAGCTAGAACTGGAAATGGTAAGTAGCAAATTTATAAAGTCTAGAAAGTTAGCAGCAAATCTTGGTTATGAATGGCCTAAGTCATATGAAATCCAGATCCTCACAAAGGGAACTGAAGCACCAAAATGGAGGAGGAGTCAATATTGAGGAAATAACTACTTCCTAGGAACCTAGTGTAGAAGTGCAAACAGCTGTGGATTCTCAGTTCTAGATCAGGAATCATAAGTGAGGGGCACTCCTACCATTGTCCTTTCATTCACATTTGTCAGCCACCAGGCATCACCAGTGAAACACAGCACCCTTTTCTGTGACATCTGGAAGCGGCCTTAATATCTTTCTCAATACAGTGACCCAAGAAACCACAGGAAATCAATTGGAATTACAGTTTTGGGTGTATATTAAGCAAACAACTTAATGTAGCCTATAGGAGAATTAGAGTCACAGTTCTATAGAGTAGGGTGACTATACGTCGCACATGTCCCAGAATGTTTTTTGTTTACATCTCTTGTTACAACATAATTAATAGCACCCCATTCACTCTCAAAGGTGTCCCAAGTATGGACTATAAATTATATTGTCCTTCTGTTTATGGGGAAAATAGTCAGACATCCAAGCCCTACTTCTGACTGACCATGTAATCTTAAGGCTATGTAAAACCACTGAATCAAGTTACTGAAGAAAACAGATACCCTGTATATTTGGTACCATGGAGATCACATTTGTTTTATGCATATGCATGATCTGTTTATGGATTATGGGTCTCAAATTCCCTTCTAAGAGAAATGAATACCTACATTCAAAACTAAAAGGGAGTGATCAGTGACATAAAAAATACTCAATGTGTTTTGTGATCCTTGAGATCAGAGGCTATGAAATGAAGTAAAGAATATTTTACTTAATATTGTTATATACATTGCAAGAAACATTACTTCAAGTTTGCTAATGTATTTGTTCTCTCAACAAACAATTACAGAATGCCTGTGATAAAAGAGCAAATGTGTGGGATAGGTACTGCCATTCCCAGTTTCCTACTCCCATAGCCGACATCGCTAATTGATCATGGAACTCTTTCCCTCTCAGAACAGGCTACACATCAGAATCCTTCTCCACAAGTCTTCTTGGCACCCACACCATTAAACAGAACTTATACTTGAGTTGAGCTCAAGTTTCTGTCCATCCCCAGCCCTGCCCTTCTGTCAGGTCCTGTACTAAATGGTAGAAGTACTGAAAAGCAATCAAATTATGATTGCTTTTGAGAGGCCTCTGGTCTACTGGAGGAGACAGACAAGCACATGCTTCATTGCAGGGATAGGACTAGGGGATGCTTGTGCACCAGGTGCCAGTATCATCGTTGTCTGCTGATGATGGACCTATATGCAAAACACTAGAAGGATTTTAGGTGAGCCTTTGTGCAGTCTAATGAAAGCTTGACAGATAAAAGATACTTACGTTGGAATTTGAAGAGCAGTTAAGGATCAGATCAAGAAGTAAGAGAGTCCAAAACAGAAGAAACAGCATACGCACAACCATTGTGAAATAAAGTGAGAGTAAAATCAGGTGGGGCATGGGAGTGGTGGCAGTGGGGGAGGCATGCTGGTGCAGAAAGGCTTGATTTTAGGGATTAATGTGAAATACAAATTAGAGGTATGTCCACATTGAAAGCAAATCAGTAGGAGTAAGACATTCACCAGTTATTTGCCTACGTGTAAAATTGTTTTGATGAAGTATTTTTTTAAAATTAATTAAGCTGTAAAGAATTCATTACATCAACCCCTCCCCTCCCCTCATTTGGCTTAATGTAGCTACAGATGCAGGTTCCAATATTTCTTGTGCAGTCTTTTACTTATTTCTCCTCAAACTCCTTTCTTAAATTAAGGGCAAACAGCCTTGTCTTCCCTGATACATCGGTCAGGTTTTTAGGTTTATTTGTTCTTTTATGTTTCTTATACTACAGCCATACTACATTTAGCTCCCATGTCTGCATCTAAAATCTAAAATGTATACTTGCTGTCTACAAAACCAAAAATGCTGTGGTATTTTAGTACGTGGAAGACTCAGTTCATGATTTTTAATGCCCAAATATTATTGAAAATGCAGCTTGTACGTTTTTCTACCCACAAGCTCTCCAGATCCATCTTTAGAGTATTTTATCAAGTTCCAGTCTCTGGAGTCATTCTGTAGTCTTGCCTGCCTTTTTCCATAAAATTTACTTAGCTCTGTGGACTGGTCCTCTCCTAGTTTTAATCCCTATTTGTCCCAGTATATATTTATCTAGATTGTACAGCTAGCTTTGGGTTCTATGCTACCTATTCCTCTAGTCTACCACTAGAATTATCCAGAATTATCTTCTATTGCACCTCAAGAAGCTCCCATCATCTCCATTGTCCCAAGTCCCATCCCAAGTACTATGGAATTTCCTCTCTTACCTCAAAATTGTGTTCTCTTTAGAAATGTCATTAGTTTTGTAGATCATAAATATCCTGAAATCATTGAGTGTATACCTCTAGGGTGACTATTCATTATTCTGGACTTATAATTTTAACCTAATTATAGAGGCAAAATATTTCTGAATCTATCTATACATGTTATATAGTTGTAGATCTAGAGGTAGCTTTTCTCAAGATAAAAAGTAAAAATAAATCTCAATTCTTTTTTTCAGGCAAAGGTTTCTCTTTTCCAGTTACAATTCTCTGATGACTATAACTGATATTTAAACCTCAGAATATTTTGGGTTCAGTTCAGATAAGCATCTACGACTTTGAATGTTATTTCAACATTTTGAGTACATAAATTAAAAATGTATGAACAAATAGCTCACATCAGATTTTTGCTCTGAGATATAATCATTTCCAGCAACAAAGTATGTGAATGACAAAAGCAGTATCAATTTTATCTGACCTACATGCTTATGAACAGGTTCTTTTCCAAGAGTTTATTTGTAGGTCATTTAGAAGTCCAAATCAGCTTTGCTCATTGAAACAGTGCTAAGCTGTGGTGAGGTGCTGAGGCCAGCCTGTCAGAGCCTGGCATGGAGTGCTAAGACTCCTGAAGGGCTTTTGTAGTAGACCCTGAGTTGGGGAACAGTGATAATGATACTTGACATTGATAATTATTCAGCTCTGTATGCTTTCCATGTGTTAACTCATTTAACCACAACCATATGAGACAGGCACTACTTTCATACGGAGTTAATGAGGACAAAGAGGTTGAATAGCTTATACACAGCACTCAACTTGCAGAAGTTGAATTTGAATCCAGATATTCTGGCTCCAGGGCTAGTGTTCTCAACCACCACTTCTGGAAAGGGGATGGGGAGGATGGGGAAAAGAAACTGCTCAGAACAAATGTGGGTGTGAGGGGAGATGACAACTGGAAGAAGGGATTGAGAAGAATCAGCTGTGAAGGAGGAGATGCTGATCATTAGCAGGGTGGAATTTTGCCTCCATTCCTTCCTCTTAACTTTCAAAATCTTCTTTATTATCTTTCATTATCATGTCCTCATTTAGTCTTCCATTTCTTTTCTTTCTTATACCACAGCAGATTCTACTACTGAAGGTGTATTGAGTAACAGGGAATATGGAATTGGAGATGAACTGGGTTAGGGTAACAATTGTCCTGGTTTGCCCCTGCCTTAAGGGGTTACTGGGAACACCAGATATCCAGTTTTAAGACCAGGAAAGTTTCTGGCAAATGAGAACTAGGTTGGTCACCTTAGTATGTGTATGACAGAACTGTTGTCACAAGACCCTGTACAAACACAAGGAGGAAGGGAAACGGGAACCAAAAAGAATTCCTCAGGAGCAGTGACCATGGGAAATTTGTGAGAGCTGAACTTCAAGCAGCTGGGATGGATTTTGAGCTTCAAACTCCCAAGTGCATTGAGAACATTAAGCAAAAGTTTCTGCTTGATCATTTCTCCCCAGTTCTTAAGTAGTATTTAGACAGATTAAATTTGGCCCCAAACTAGGTCATGAGGTTTTACAAGAGTGTGGAGGACAGTGGGAAGCTGCTTTTATCTGATGAAAGCAACTGGAAAAACAACACTGTTAAAAGTTTACTTGTCCCTACAGGAAAGAAATGTCTTATTCAAATTACCCAGGGCCACTTCATGTTCCTTCCTTGTTTAGTGATTGAAGGAAAAAATAACATTGCTATCAACTTAAATTTCATATACAGATAATAAATAGTTTTTGAAATAACTATTAAACATACTGAGAAACAGGCTGAAATACTCTCTAAAATTCTATGCTGTCTACTGTGTTCAGATTTACTCTATTTCTACAGTTATTAGTTATCAACTGAGTTACTGTCCTTATCTTCTTAAAACTATAATTTGTTGGGTTTATTTTTTAGTATTTAAAATATTACTAAATGATTTAAACAATTGTTTACCATTGTTGATTTTAAATGAGTATTTTCTATCATAAAAATACATTTTGAAGAGATTTACAATGAAAACATTTTCCAAAGTAGCAAAAATATAGCCTTTGACATGAATTAACTGCTTTTCCAAGCACCCTTATGAGACATATTTTTAAATTGTTTTTAGAGGTATTCTAAGTACATAAAGTTTCTGGAACACTCTTAATGAAACGTTTTTGAAGTTGAAAATATAATGGCAAACGAAGGCAGCCTGTCTAGATAAAACTATAAAAAATAGTCAAGTAACCTTTCCACCATGTATAATCAAGACACCTTATACCTTATTATATACCTGATATAATCTATTATATTTAAAATAAAATGCTTCAATTCTTCTAGAAAAAAAAATTTGAAATGCCCATTAATTCATGAGTTTATCATTAAAATTCTATATTACTATGTGAGGCAAAGCCAGATTTTCTACTGATTTCTTTTGGCACCAAAAAAGAAATAGAAAGAATAAGATAATAAATCCATAGGATCCTCAACTTAAATCATGGTTAATTTATTAGTCAAATCTTGGTGCAATGACAAACAACTCTAAGTTATCAGTGGTTTATGACATCTTAGTCTGTGCAGGCTGCTGCAACAGAATGCCATAGACTGTGTGGCCTACAACAACAGAAACTTTATTTCTCACAGTTCTGGAGGCTGGGAAGTTCAAGATCATGGCATTGGCAGATATTGATGTCTACAGCCTTCTTACTCTACCCTCACGTGGCAAAAGGGTTGAGGTGTCTCTCTTGGGTCTCTTTTAAATGCACACTAATCCTATTTAAGAAGGCCCTGACCCCTTGACCTAATCACTTCTCAAAGTCCACACTTCCGAATACCATCACCTTGGGGGTGAAGATTTAAATTTTTGGGGGGACATCAACATTCCACCCTGTAGCATAACACATTTAGTTTTTGCTTATATTATATGAGAATGTGAACTGGCTTCATCTCTGCTACGCTCAACAGGACTCAGCTTGATGGTATTCTTCGTGTCTTACCATTCTGGGATCTAGACTGAAGAAGCACCCACTCTCTGGAACATGCTATTTTCATGGTGGAAAACAAAAACTCAAGCATGGACAGAGCCTAATGCAAATACTTGATGCTATATGTCACATCATCCCAGCCCACTTCATTTTTTAAATTAAATCTAAAATTTGTTATGGGTACATAGTAGGTGTGTATATTTGTGGGGTACATGAGATATTTTAGTACAGGCATATAATGCATAATAATCACATCAGGGTAAATGGGGTATCTATCACTTTAAGCCTTTATCATTTCTTTCTGTTACAAATATTCCCATTATATTCTCTCTGTTATTTTTAAATGTGCAATAAATTTTTGTTGACTGTAATCATCCTGTTGTGCTGTCAAATACTAGGTTTTATTCACTCAATCTAACTATATTTTTGTACCCGTTAACCATACCCACTCCCCCCACTCACCATTCATAGCCTCTGGTAACCACCATTCTACTCTCTATCTCCATTAGTTAATTGTTTAAATTTTTAGCTCCCATAAATGAGTGAGAACATGTGAAGTTTGTCTTTCTGTGTCTGGCTTTTTTCGCTTAACATAATGTCCTCCAGTTCCATCTATGTTATTACAAATGAAATGATCTCATTCTTTTTTATAGCTGAGTATTCTGGTTAGTAATTCCTTGTCAGGTGAATAGTTTGCAAATATTTTCTCCCATTCTTTGAATTTTTTATTCGCTTTGTTGATTATTTCCTTTGCTGCACCGAAGCTTTTAACTTGATGTGATCCCATTTTTGTTTTGGTTGCCTTTGTTTGTGGGGTATTACTCAAGAAATCTTTGCGCAGTCCAATGTCCTGGAGTGTTTCCCCAATGTTTTATTTTAGTAGTTTCATAGTTTCAGGTATTTGATTTAAGTCTTTAATCCATTTTGACTCAATTTTTGTATATGGTGAGAGGGGTCAGAGGTCAATTTTCATTCTTCTGCATATGGATATTCAGTTTTCCCAGCACTATTTATTGAAGAGACTGTCCTTTCCTCAATGTATGTTCTTGGCTCCTTTGTTGAAAATGAATTCACTATAGATGTATGGATTTATTTTGGGGTTCTCTATTCTGTTTCATTGGTCTATGTGTCTGTTTTATGCCAGTACTATGCTGTTTACTGTAGCTCTATAGTATGATTTGAAGTCCGGTAATTTGATTCCTCCAGTTTTGTTCATTTTGCTCAGAATGGCTTTAGCTCTTCTGGGTGTTTTCTGGGTCCATATAAATTTTAGGATTTTTTTTTCCTATTTCTGCAAAGAATGTCACTGATTTTTTTGATAGGGATTGCATTAAATCTATAGATTGCTTTGGGTAGTTTGGACATTGTAGCAATATAAATTGTCCCAATCCATAAACATGAAATATCTTGAGGACTTGTGCATCCTCTTAAATTTCTTTCATTAACATTTTATAGTTTTTATTGCATAGATCTTTCACTTCTTTGGTTAAATTTATTCCTAGGTATTTTATTTTATTTGTAACTATTTTAAATGGGATTACTTTCTTGATTTCTCTTTCAGATTGTTCACTGTTGGCATATAGAAATTCCACTAATTTTTGTATGTTGATTTTGTATCCAGCAAGTTTACTAAATTTATCAGTTCTAATAGTTTTGGCAGAGTCTTTAGATTTTTTTCAAATATAAGATCATGTAATCTGTAAACAAGGATAATTTGACTTCTTCCTTTTCAATTTGGATGCCCTTTCTTTCTTTCTCTTCTCTGACTGCTTCAGCTACGACTGCCAGTTCTATGTTTAGTAACAGTGGCAAAAGTGGGCATCCCCACCTTGTTCCAGAACTTAGAAGAAAGATTTTCAGTTTTTCCACATTCAATATGACACTAGCTGTAGGTCTGTTAAATATGGCTTTTAATGTGTTGAGGTATGTTTCTTCCATAAGCAATTTTTTGAGGATTTTAATCACAAAGGGATGTTGAATTTTATCAAATGCCTTTTAAACATCAACTGAAATAATCATGTGATTTTTGTCCTTCATTCTGTTGATATGATGTATCACACTGATAAGTTCACGTATGTTGAACCATCCTTGCCTCCCTGGGATAAATCCCACTTGGTCAAAATGAATGTTCTGTTTGATGTGTTATTGAATTTGGTTTGCCAGTATTTTGCTGAGGATTTTTGCATCAGTGTTAATCAGGGATATTGATTGGCCTGTAGTCTTCTTTTTTTGATGTTTCTTTGTCTGATTGTGGTATTGGCGTAATAGTGGCCTCACAGAATAAGTTTGGAAGTATTCCCTTCTCTCCTATTCTTTCTAATATTTTGAGTAGGATTAGTCTTAGTTGTTCTTTAAATGTTTGGTAAAATATAGCAGTGAAACCATCTGGTTTCAGCCCAGCTCACTTCTGACTTTTAGTAGTTTGAGTCTGCTGCCAGTATCTCAACTGCAACACTGGCCAGGCTGTTCTCAGTCTTTCTGCCCCAGGGCTTTCTCCATGGCCTTCATAGTCTATTCAGCCTGCATGTAGTGATTGCAGAGCATTGCTTCCAAGCTGGTGCTGCAGCTTCAGACTTCAGTTGGTCATTCCAAAGCTCTATCAGACTATCAGTGTCTAAATGATGTGGCATAAAATATAACCAGTGTATCCTGTCTTCATGTCCCAACCTGTACTTCTCTACTGTGAAGTAAACTATCTTTTATTATTTTGTGCAGAGTTTTGAGTCTGTTAGTGGTGCTGGATGAGGATCTGCAGCCAAGAAAGGCAAACCCACCTAGAATGGGTGTCTATTCCTGGAATAACAAACCACTGGCCCTTTCTATACAGAAAGGGCTCAATCAAGTCAATGTTCAGCCAAGTGGGAAGTTGATCTTCTCAAGGAATAATGGCACATAAGGGCTCAGTTTTGGTCTCTACTGTGGATGGATTAGTCATTTAGAAGTGGAAGTAGTTAGTGGCCTTGATAAGTAAAAATTCATGCTGTTGGGCCCAAGCTTGGACTCGACGTTGGCCACTATGGCTACTCTGTTGATAATTGATAATTGACCCAGGATTCCATATTATTCATTTTAGTTGAACCCCTGTGCCCCAGAACAAGTTCAATGGGCACATCAACAGAGTAGCCACAGTGGCCAACATGGAGTCCAACATGGGGCCAGTGGTAAAGATTGGCTAATATCAATTGGCTGAGACCTTTAAACACATGATTGATGAGTGCCTCTTCTGTGATGAATGGTTCAACATCTTTCCACAGATGATCTCCTTTTACCTGATCTTCCAATAATTTCCTATTCAGGATCCTCCCTGATCAGCTGACCAGGCTATTGGCCCCTTTCCATGAATCCATCTGCAGCCTTACCCCAGGCCACTTCTTGGTTTTAACAAAATAATGACCAAGTGCACTGATTTGCTTTGGATCTCTGTCCCCACCCAAATCACATGTTTAATTGTAGTCTCCGATATTGGAGGTGGGGCCTGGTGGGAGGTGATTAGATCATGGGGATGCATCCTTCATGAAAGGTTTAGCATCATCCCTTTGGTGCTGTTCTCCTTATAGAGTTCTCATGAGATTTGGTTGTTTAAAAGTCTTCACCACCTCCTTTTTCTCTCTCAGTCCTGCTTCTGCCATGTAAGATGCATGACCCTGCTTTGCTTTCCACCATGAGTAAAAGTTTCCTGAGACCTCCCTAGAAGCTGAGCAGATGCTGCTATGCTTCCTGTACAGCCTGCAGAATTGTGAGCCAATTAAACCACTTTTCTTTATAAATTATTCAGTCTCAGATGTTTCTTTATAGCATTATGAGAATGAACTAATACATGCACCATTTAAAGTTCTTCATATTGAGAAAATTTCACTTCACCATTTTCTTTTAAATTCATTTCTGATTATGACTATAATGTAGTCACCATCTATTTTCTGCTTATATCCATATTCCAAGCTCACACATCCACAAACAAGTTCATGTTTTTTCCTCTGCTTCCGTTGGTCTTATGGAACCCCTAAACATAATCTCAGGTGGATGCTGATGGAGGGAAACTGGTTCAACTGGAATGAATAACATGAAAGCCTGGATTTCTTGTTCATGAAGCCTACTCACACTCTCTGACCCTATTTAGATAGATCCCAGATGTATCATTTCAATTTTATGATGGACTGTTGCTGGGCTACCTGAACTGGAAATTTCAAGGTACATGGTCACTTGTTTGATTTGATGGTGAAATATTCCATGTCTACCAATGCCCAGGAGCATGAGAGGAGCTGTTCCTTGAAAGAATTGTAATTTTCCACTGATAGGGTTTGGCTCTGTGTCCCTATCCAACTCTCACCTGGAACTGTAATCCCCACGTGGACAATGAAGTCCAGGCTGAGGTGGTCTCAGATGGACATGAGGAACTTCTAGGGACTTCGAGCAAAGGTCACTCTTGCTATGCTTTAGCAAAGAGACTGGCAGCATTTGGCCCCTGAACTAGAGATCTGTGGAAATTTGAACTGGAGAGAGATGATCTGAAATTGGAACATACATTTAAAAGAGAAGCAGAGCCTAAAAATTTGGAAAATTTGCAGCCTGATGATGCGACAGAAAAGAAAAACCCATTTTCTGGGGAGAAATTCAAGCGCATTGCAGAGATTTGCATAAGTAACAAGGAGCCAAATACTTATTACCAAGACAATGGGGGAAATGTCTCCAGGACATGTCAGTGATCTTGGTGGCAGCCCTTCCCATCACAGGCCCAGAGGCCAGGAGGGAAAAATGGTTTCCTGAGCTGGGCCCATGGCCGTGCTGCTGTGTGCAGCCTTGGGACTTTGTGCCCTGTGTCCCAGCTGCTCCAGCTCCAGCTGTGGCTAAAAGAGGTCAAGGTACAGCTTGGGCTGTTGCTTCAGAAGGTGCAAGTCCAAAGCCTTGGCAGCTTCCATTTAGTGTAGTGCCTGCAGGTGCTCAGAATTTGAGAATTGAGGTTTGGGAACCTCCTCTTAGATTTCAAAGGAGGTATGGAAATGCCTGGATGCCCATGCAGAAGTCTGCTGTAGGGGGTTGGGCCCTCATGGAGAACCTCTGCTAGGGCAGTGCAGAAAAGAAATGTGGGGTTGGAGCCCCACACAGAGTCCCCACTGGTGCACTGCCTAGTGAAGCTGTGAGAAGAGGCCACCATCCTCCAGGCCCCAGAATTGTCGATCCACTGACAGCTTGCACTAGGCACCTGGAAAAACAACAATCAACGCCACCCATGAAAGCAGCTGGGAGTGGGGCTGTACCCTGCAAAGCCACAGGGGTGGAATTGCCCAAGGCCCTGGGAGCCTACCTCTTGCATCAGTGTGATCTGGATGTGAGACATGGAGTCAAAGGAGATCATTTCAGAGCTTTAAGATTTAATGACTGCCCTGCTGGATTTCAGACCTGCATGGGGCTGGTAGCCCCTTTATTTTGTCCAATTTATCTCATTTGGAATGGGAGCATTTATGCAATTCCTATACTCCCATTATATCTAGAAAGTAATTAACTAGCTTTTGATTTTACAGGATCATAGTCAGAAAGGACTTGCCTTTGCCTCAGATGAGACTTTGGACTGTGGATTTTTGAGTTAATGATGAAATGAGTTAAGTCTTTACGCTACTGTTGGGAAGGAATGATTGGTTTTGAAATGTGAAAAGACATGAGATTTGACAGGGGCCAAGGGTGGAATTATATGGTTTGGCTCTGCATCCCCACCCAAATGTCATCTCGAATTGTAATCCCCACGTGTCGAGGAAAGGAAGTGATTGGATCATGGGGATGGTTTTCTCCATGTTGTTCTCATGATAGTCAGTGAGTTCTCACGAGGTCTACTGGTTCTGCAAGTGTTTAGGCCTTCCTTCTTCATTCTTCTCTCTCTTGCCACCTTGTGATGAAGGTGCTTGCTTCCTCTTCTGCCATAATTGTTAAGTTTCCTGAGGCATCCCCAGCTATGTGGAACTGTGAGTCAATTAAACCTCTTTCCTTTATAAATTACCCAGTCTTGGATATTTATTTATAGTAGTATAGAAATGGACTAATACATCTACTGTAGGAGGAATGATCTTGTTCCAGAACTTAATAAATGAATGTTGTAATTTTCCCACTAACTCTTGGTATGTACTCTAGATTTTACCCACAATCAACTCTTCCAAGAGCACAAAGTCTGCTGGATTATATGACCCAAGCAGCAGGGATGTTTGCAATGTAACCTGGATCTGCTAAACAGCCTTTATCTGCTCACATTCTGTTCAAAACTGATAGCCTTTTGTGTTACACAGCATATGGGCCAAAGACTATTCTTAGGTATGGAATAGCTTGCATACAGAGCTTGAAGAGCTACAAAGTTTTGTGCTTCTTACTTTGTGGTAGGGATGCAAGCTAAATCAATTTATCTTTTACTTTTTAAAGGGGATGACCCTATTTACTGGGGGACATGGGATACCTAAAATCTTAACAGAAATGGCAGGTCTCTTATTTTTCAAAGGTTTTATCTCACTCTGAGCCCATGTCTACCAAGGCTTTGAGCTTACTACCTATTTCTTCCTGGATCAGTTTGAGTGCAATGGAGCAAGGCTATGTTCTGAGGGATGTCCTCATAGTTTTGATCTCTTTGGAGTATGACAGACGGCAGGAGACTTAACATAGCTAAGAGACAAAAATGTAAATTTATAGTTGAAGATTCCATGTGAATGAAAACTTTAAAAAAATATTTTTTGCTGATGGCATAGAAAAGAATAAAACTCTCTAGATATGAAACACTCTTCAGTGCCCTCCACTCATGCCACCCATATATGGTCATTGCAACCTCCTAATTTCCAGCAGGTAAGCACTGCCATCTATGCTCAATGTCTTCAGGTCTCTATCATCTCCATTGCTATTAACAAGTTAAGCTATGTGACAATCTCTCCTACTGTCAGCCTTTCAGAAAAGAGCCATGACAGAAAATATTAGTGTATCTGGTATCTGTCTCACCAGCACTTTCCTTATACCTTTTGTGGACTATGCATCCACTGGGCTTTCATGGAGTATATTCCTCTGCTGGGTTTCCTGGCATCACAAATTGTATACTCACCCTCCTGAGCCTTTTACTCCTCCTTCTTTTACTCCTTTTATGCCTCTGCTACCTTCTCTAGTAGTTCAGACATTTCAACTCACCAAGTCTTTCTCCAGGTTTCTGAGGCCTACTCTAGCATCCAATCTTTCCCATGCTCTATGGTCTTTGTCAGGGCATTAAATCCCGTCTTTCAAGAGAAGTCCCCCAAGTTTAAAAAGAAAAAAAATAAACAGAAAACTTTAGCATTTCTACTCATAAGTGCTAGCCCTGGTGAGCAAGTACTCTGTTTTAGTCTATTTTGTGCTGTTATAACAGAATAACTGAGACTGGGTAATTTACAGGAAACATATTTCATACATTTTTGGAGGCTAGGAAGTTCAAGATCGAGGGCTTACCTCTGGTGATGGTCTTCTTCCTGTGTCATCCCATGGAGAAGGCAGAAGGGCAAGAGAGCACATGCAAAACAGAGGGAAGGAAGTAAAATTCATCTTTTTATCAGAAACTCATTCCTGCAATAATGGTACTAATGCATTAATGAGGACAGAGTCTTGTTAACAAGACTACTGAAAAAGAAGTATCAGATTTAAAGAGGCTTTATTTCCACAAGCGGTTTGTGAACGGGGGATACACAGCCTTCAATACAAAACAAAGATGTGTTCTACCAGAACAAAGACAGGGGTTGTCCTTTATAGAAAAAGTTCCTGCTGAGGTTCCCACTATGCTATGCTGTGCAAATGAGGGATGCAAGCTTGCTTAGTTTCAGCTGGTTGAGGTTAAGTTTCACTGTGGGTCACAGGCTATTGGTTAGATCAAAGTGATGGTAACCATTGGCTCAGGAGTATAAACAGAAATAGGCAGATATGAGAATCTCACAGTTATACCAATATGTGGTTTTTCCAAGAATGAAGAGTGCATGTGTAATGTCTGGTCAGCAAATGGAACTCAGCTCCCGTTTGAATTTAGGCCCAGTTAGCCACTCAGGTTCCATCTTAAAGGATTGGCTCTTTCAGGGTTCACAGCCCTCATGATCTAACTACTTTTTAAAGTTCTCACCTCTCAACACTGTTGCACTGGGACTTAAGTTTCCAACATATGAATTTTGAAGGATACATTCAAACCACGGCATACTCAAACATCCAATCTCATGGATACTATTCTGAATCCTGAAAGCACATACTAGCTAATTATTGAACTTAATGAAATGATTATCTCTTTTCTTACTTATCAGTCCCAGTATGTTTTTATCCCTCAGCTGGGTTATGCTGGAATTTAGCCATGATTTTTAGCCTAGAAGCCTAGAGAAAAAGTGGGAGTAATTCCTGATAAACATACCATTTATCTTATGTGAAAGTGGCCTCTGAAGTATCTTCTTGCATGAGAAAATGTCTAGCTCTTCATAGAGAATGGTGGGTCAATTCTTTAGGCTCTCAAGTTGTAGATCCTTGGGGAAATTTACCCAGATGTCCTCTTCCAATATTTTAATGCCTCAAGTTTTCCCAAGCAGATCTCTGACCTTAGCCTAAGAAAATTCCTCTATGAGCATCCAATCATCTTTGCAGCTCAGTGGCCCTAAACAGCAGATCCTGAATTTCCTCTCCAGCTATGGCCACTCTCTCTCTTTGCAAAAGATAAAAACACTTTATAGGCTGCCCAAGATGCCTTCTGGCTTTTACACTTACATTTGGGCTTTTGTTAACAATGCTCAATTTTTCATCATCCCACAAATGCAACGTATTCAATTTTCATTGTCCCACAAATGCAACTTAGTAATAATTAGTCAATTTCATTACCTTTCTATGTTTCTCACGCTGGATTTTTCAAATGCATGAATATTGTCCTGGTTAGGACATTCACCTGCAACATGACATTCTCCAAAGTCACCATTGATGAAATTTTTACCAATTGAACTACTGTCTTGTGCCAAAAAATATTCATATCCCACATCCACTTGAAAGGAATCCTTATTTTCTGGTTGGTGGCAAATGATCCACTTGCATAACTCCAACTTAATCACTGATATCACAGATTGTGTCCAGTATCAATTAATGTCACTTGGTTTTTCTAGAAAGGGAAAGCCAAGATTGAGTTAGAAGTGCAAAAAAAAAATTATTGGAGAATAATACCTTTTAAACATGTAAAGGCAAAGAAGGCAGGAACATCCAAAGGAAGCTTTCACACTGTAGTAAAGGCCTGGCTCCTATGAAAGGTGAGAAGGAAGCCAGAAGATTGGATAGGATGAGCCTCACACAGCACTGCAGCTCTGACAAAATCCCAGCCAACATGATGGGGATCTCCTTTAGGAGGACTGCTCTTTGAGGAGTCCTGTGCCTGAAAATTGAGGTTCTGTTGTACCCCTGCCATACTCATTGGCTGAAAAATGTCTGGGTATCATAAGGTCTTGGTTCAAATTTGAGGCATACTTGCACCTGGAGGCTGTTATCTAATTTGTCTTCCTTTTGACAGGTTTTCTCTTGAAGGTAGATCTGAGCCAAATACCTCCATGACTGCCCTAAAGACGTCTGACTGATAAGAGTCATGGCAATAATTTGTTCAAACAGCTAAACCTTTCAGCAAAATACAAAATAACTCCAAAAGTATGAAATTAAAGAAACCATCAATACCCATTTTGTAATAAACTTCTCACAATTTTTTGCTTTTCTCACTCTTCCTCTATTATTATCTTTTTATCCTTTATCTTATTATCTTCCAGTTTTATCTTATTTTGACAAAAAAGTTTCTTGCATCTTTATATTTTCTTGAAATAAAGCTTGTCATTATATTTCTTTTCTTTTCATAGCTGTGATATTGTTTTTATGTAAAATCTATGTTTCTATTTATTTTTTCTAATGAGAAAAACCTAATTGCCAGTATTAAGAAAGGTTTCTAACACATACACAAACACACACGCATGTACACATTTAACTTTTGCAAACACATGCACAACTTCTAACTTCTGCAAATGAATTATGAGGAATAAAATACATATACTCTTTGATGTCTTACGTCAAGAAGCTCACATTCAGCTAATCATAGTGCAGAATTAGGTTCCCTTTTCTCACCCTGGCTCCCTTCTATCTCCTGCTATCACAAAAATAACATTACGCTTGTGGAAGATAAAGACAGCATCCTCTTTCCAGTTTCCTTTTACTTCCTGCTAAGAGAGATTAGTTTATCAGGATGTGAGGATGTTGATCTTCACGAAAGCTACTCTGTTGCCTAATAAGGTAAAGTTTTCTCATCCATATTACTAGCTGGCTTCCTGCTTCTCCATAATAATAAATAATTTTGTGCGGCATGAAAAAAATGTTTTTTCAATTGTTACTAGAGCAAGCATTCCAATCAGTAAGTACAGTACATGACAAGGAGAATATCTCATCAAAATTCCTACCTATACATTTTATCTTAAGTATAAATCTAAAGTAATCTCATCATAACATTTGAAAACACATTGAATCAAAATTTCTTAAAGATTTTCAAGAAGGGAATCTCAAGTATGTGTTTTTTCTTTTCAAATGCACATTCAAAAAATACTTCTGGATGTATAATGTTATTTTAGGGGCCTGACTTGCTTTCTAACAAAATGATGGTTTTACCATTTGGTCTCAAATCATGAAATAAATTTACTTATATAATCATATATTTGTTTAGGTCTTTAGTATTATATGCCAAACACTGAGCTAAATACTCTAACACTTACATATCAGAAATATTAACTGGATCTATGACTCTAAATATGTAGAAGATGACACTCATTTTCTGAGAGAGAAAAAAATAAAAGCTGCAGATGCTCTAGAATAAAAATGAACAATTAATTTTGTAGTAAGCAGGTAGCTATCATATGTGGTGGTTATGAAAAATACAAAATGTGGAAGATATAGCCCCATTCCACTTTATTTTATGAGTTTGACTTTGCACCTTTGCTTTCCATATCTCATATTGAACAATTTAATGGGTACAGCCAGCCACTCCTCTTGTTTTTCACCCTGCCCCAAAACTGGCTCTTCTAAAATAGAACTAGTCTGACTAATACACTTTAGTTGGAAATGTGTGCAATTATATTGGTTTTCCTAATTTGACTGTGGCCTTGGAACACTGTGTGACAAAAGACTATTCACAGGGAACACACCCTCCCTTTGAAATATGAAATATACTTCCTCCATTAAAGAAGTAAGATGCTCAATAAAGTCAGTAGAATTTCACCAGACTCTTTTTCCCTTATACATATTATTCTTTGGCCAATTTTGCATGCAATCAAAGCTAGAGAAGACCCAAGTCTTAGGCCAAACTGTGAATGGGGATAGCAAGGAAAAAGTAAAATAATAACATCTATTTGGAATGTTAGCCCCTTGAAAACAAGGGAATTTCACATATGGTGAGGGGTAGAGGGAAGAGGTTAAGGCAAAGGACTTTGGATTCATATTGAGTGTGGGGCTTTGTACAGTTTACTTAACTCTTGTAAGTTTCAATTTTCTAACCTGTTTAAAGTATCAAAAATAGCTTCTTTATGAGGTTGTTATAAAGATCGAAATGAATTTTGTAAGCACTGACGTTGCTTTGCACATAGTAAGTGCTCAGTAAATTATTAATTTTTGCAGTATAATATTTTGCTCCAGAATATTACATTTATTACTACAAAAGTATTTGGCTGAAAGATAACTTTTGTTTTTAATGCTGTATCAAAATGTATCAAACTCCAGAAACCTTGTTCCAAGTGGATTACAGCAGTAATCACTGGCTACAAATATGTTAAAGGAAATAAATGTTTGAATCCTGGGGTCCATTGAGTAATTTAAATAAAATAATAATTAATATTAATATCAATCAAATAAAATGGATGTATATCCAAATTATTGTATAGAGTGAAAGGAGATGAGAAGAAAATTCCTGAAGCCATGGAAACATCTGAATATCTCTTTATCTCATGATTTTTCTATCCAAAGAGATATACAAGAAGTTTTAACAATTTGAAACACACAGTACACAGGCTTTGTTTAAAATATTTTGGCATACAAGCCTGCTAAAAGACAATTAAAGGGTTTGTGGGTGAATTAGTCTGCTCACCCTAAAGAGGTACTTCTGACTTGTTCCCGAGGTTACTAAAGACCTGGATCTTCTCTTTGGCCAGGAGAGAAACTTTGGAAGAGACTTGGGCCTTATTAATCTAGGACAATATTCTTTTCTCTGGAAACATGGATGATTCCTCAATGTATATGAATCATTTGTGGTTTTCAGGATGTGGCCTGATGTTAAGACTAGCTTCTGTGAGTTTAAGTTCTAGCCACCCAACCTGATTTTAAGTAAGAAAGATACTAAAAATAAAAGCCTTATATTCATGATCTCAAATGCTGACTGCAAATTGTAAACTTGTGAAATCACAGACCATTGTCTTGTCTTGTCACAATTGTATCCCCCATCTTCTAATGCCAAACATAGAAAAGGCTTTGTATGAATACATAAACTGTTTGCCCCTTTCCTCTGTTGGCGCTAAATGCCTAATCAAGGTATTAAGACTTCGACTCATGTGGATGCCATCTGGCTTTTCTGCTTTTTCTCATGGAGTTCTCAGTTCACTCCAGAACTTATTTTTCTCTGGACCTGACCCCTGGCTCTTGGAACCTCCCCTTTAATCCCTGAGATGCATGATATTTCTAAAAGAAATCAGATGGGTCCAATGGTTAATCAGACCATCTTTTACTTGGGATAAGAGTGCAACATAAAAATTCCTTGGTTCCCCCTCAACTGGTTATTCAAGAAGCACTCAACTTCATCCTATCTCCTCTACCCCCACCATGGGAATGACCGCTGCAGTTTTACAACTAAGAAACATTGTAAACCAACTCCAAAACCAAGTAGATAAAATTTCTATCTTCCCAAAGCAAATATTAAATCATTCTCTATGCTTAGCTAAACCAAATAATTCCTGACTTTGTTATTTGCTACTACAAACATAAAACCTATGAATAAAATCAGCAGAAGAGGATCGCAGGGAGGATATATTAATAGTTATATTTAATTTGACAGAAGCCCACAGTTTGATGAATTCTGGACCAAAGGTTAGAGCGAAGTCTAAATTTAGATTGCAAAGTTAGATGATCCTAACTCGGCAAGAATTAACTTATAGCTCTTATTTTCTAAATTTGTTGATTTTTAAATTATTATCATCATTATTATTTTCCTCTTCTGTTTATTTGCTTACTATACATCTTCTTTGGAGAAACATTCATTTAAATCTTTGGTCCGCTTTGTTTTGTTTCAAATTGTGCTGTTTGCTTCCTAATAATTGAATTTTGAAAGCTTTTTCTATAGTCTGGATACACGTCTTTGATGTGCAAGTATTTTTTTCCCAGCCTATGGCTTTTCTTTTCATTCTCCTAGAGAAGACAGGATCCTGGACCTGAGTGATATTGGTATTCTTCCACTTAGGAGAGTCTCCTCTGTGACTTTTATAAGACAAAAGTTATTCGGTCATTTTTGTAATGCTGATAAAGTCCAATTTATAACTTTTAAAATTAATTATGCATTTGGCACTATATATACAAAAATTCTTAAGAATATTTAATAGGTTTAGATTTTATACTTAGGCTTATGATCCATTTTCTCTTAATTTTTGTATAAGTTGCAAGCTATAAACAATCTTCTTTTTTTTCCATATGGATTGCCAATTGTTCCAGCATCATTTGTGTGAAAAGATTATACTTTCTCCACTTAATTGCTTTTAGATTTTGGTCAAAAATTAATTGAGCATGTATGCTTGGGTCTATTTCTAGCTCTGTTATATTAACCTGTATGTTTACCTGTATGCAAACCCCATGCTGTCTTGATGAAAGTCCATTTATGATATGTCTTGAAGTCAGAGAGTATAAATCCTTTGAGCTTATTACTCTCTTGCAAAGTTTTTATTAACTATTTTTATCTTTATCATTTCCATATAAATTTTAGAAGTATCCTATCAGAGTAATACAGGCCTCATAGAATGTGTAAGGAAATATTTTTTTTCTTCTTCAAATGTCTTGAAGATTTTGTACAGAATTAGCATTTATCATTTCTTCCATAAACGTTTAGTAAATTCATAAATGAAGCCATTTGGGCTTTCACTTATTAACTTTGAATTTCAAGGGTGCTTGATCAAGGAGGACAAGAATTCATTGACTTGAGGGCACTCTCTGCAGACAAGGGATTTAAAACCCTGTCAAGAACAGCCGAGAAAGAGGCAAACTTACTGCTATGGTGACCATAGAAACCATGGAGAGTGATGATTAATACTGAGCAAGTGGAATCGCTTGATTTGCCCTGCCAGAGAGGAGAGGAAGGAATAAAGAGGCTGATGAAAGCGGGCCTGCCAGAATGGATGTGTAAGGCCAGAAGACACAGCAGAGGATAATATTTCACAGGAGGGCCGGAGAACACCATGTACCAAGGTCATCAGGAATACACCTGTGTTTGTGGCACTAGCATCACTAATGAGTTTAGTAATAGGTTTAATCTGTAGACCAGAGCTGGGCTTGCTAATATCCTGGAGATGATAGGACTGCAAAAAGAACAAATAATAAATAAATAAATAGCCAGGTGGCAGCATTTAACTACCAGAAGCCAAGGAACCACAATTACCATTTAGACCCCACCAAGACCAGAGGGGCAGTAAAGGGGCTGTGACCTCCAGGGAGTTTATGGAGATAATTAAAGCATGGCATTCACAAGGGAAGAAAAGACAGACAGCCAAATAGACCTCTGATTAATGTTTACAACCAGAAACTGTCAAGAATTGGGGAGTAGGAGGTTGAGAACAATCTCCCAGATAAAAAGTCATTATTCCTTGCTTAGTTGTTAAACTGATTTTCTGATCTGGAACCCACTAATTGAAGGCATAGCTAGATCTCCAGCATGAAGGACCCCTAAACACAGCAGGAAGCAAATAATGTAGTGATTTCCTCAGTCCTTTCCCAAATAGACTTTTAGTTACTTATTCAAGTGACTGTACACTGGGAAAAGATATTACAAGGAGTGTTAGACCCATGATCTGAATTGACATTGATAGTCAGGGGTCCAAAGCAGCCTCATGGTCCTTCTGTTAGATCAGAAGCATATAGAAGACAGGGAATCATTGGAGTTCTGAATAAAGTCCACATCACAGCGGGACTACTGGGTCATCATTTCCCAAGACCCTAAGCATATGATTGGCATTCATACAATGGGCATTTAGGGTAACCCCCACAGGGAATTCTTGGCTGGTAGGGTAAGAATCATCATAGTGGAAACGGCCAATTAGAAATCCTTGAAATTGACTCCACATGTCCAAGATAACAAATTAAAAACTATATTACATTGAATCATTTGGGAAGAACAGCAAAGAGAAGTGCCATCAATGGGAAAGGAGTGGTGATCATTGTGATATTTCTGCTTAATTGACCAGCCTGGCCCCAGCAGAAACAAGATGGATCCTGAATAATGAACACTGCAAGCTCAACCAATTACTTGTACTGATTGTAGCTATTCCATGAAATGTAGAAATACTGCTAGAGCAGATTAATAAGGCCTCAGGTCTATGGCATGTAGATTTTGGTTTGACAAATGCATTATTTTGTATTCCCATTAGTAATAAATTTACAAACAGTTTGCATTCATGTGCAATAATGTTCATTTAGAGTTTTGCATCAGGCCTGTCGTAGTCCATTTGTGTTGCTGTGAAGGGATGCCTGAGGCTGAGTAATTTATTCTAAAAAATAGGCTTATTTGGCTCATGGCCCTGCAGGCTGTGCAAGAAGCATGGTGCCATCATTTGCTTCTGGTCAGGGCTTCAGGCTGCTTCAACTCATGGCAGAAGGTGAACAGGAAACTGCATGTGCAGAGATCACATGATGAGAAAGGAAGCAAAAGATAGGAGAGGGTAGTGCCAGGCTTTTTTTAACAACCAACTTTCACAGGAACTAATAGAGCAAGAACTCACTAATTACCATGAGAATGTCACTAAGACATTCATGAGGGATTTGCTCCTCTGTTATCCAGAAACTTCCCATTAAGGCCTCATTTCCAACATTGCAGATCAAATTTCAACACGAGGTTTGAAGGGGACAAATATTCAAACCATAGCAAGGGCTATATTAACTGCATTCGCCTCCCACAACATACTATAGTCATCTGAAGAACTCTAGACCACTGAGACATCCAAGGAACAACATATGGATCCATTATGTTGATAACATCACATGGATTGGACAGCAAGAACAAGAAGTGATTGTCATGCTAAAAATCTTGGTAAGACAATATATGCTTCAGAGAAAAGGAGTTAAACCCTATGAAGATTCTTGAACCTATCATTTCGATACAGTATTTAGGGGATTAGTGGTTGTGGCTGTGCTAGAATATTACCTTGAAAATAAACGGCAAATTGCTGTATCTTGAATTTCTTACAGCAAAAAAGATAGCATGGTGCCTGATAGGCCTCGTAGGGTATGGTGACCACACATTATACACCTGAAAATTCTGCTCTGGCCCATTTGCCTGAAGTCATTGAAGGTTGCCTGATTTGTGTAAAACCTAGAATAGGAAAGATCTTCATAGCATGTCCAGTCTGTGGTGCCAGCAGTGCTGCATGTCTTAACAGATCCTATGGCATTAGAGACACCTGTGGTAGGAGAAGATGCAGTGTGAAGTTCCTGACAAGCACCACTGGGAAAATCACAATACAGGTCTCTGAGAACCTGGACTAAGGCCATGCCATCCAAAGCAGAATGTGGCTGGAATTCCCCGAGGTAATCCCCAGTGAGTCATGTCTTTGTACAATCTTATGAATGTGGGTAGAACTTGGGATTTCCTTCTTAGCTAATAGACTCTGGTAAAATTACAGCATAATTATCCCTTTGTTAGGCTATGCTATACTGTGAAGGTGATGAGATAGTCACCCTCTTGATCATGTTACATTTTATTGACTCTGTCTCAGCCAACTGGAGTAAGCCCCTCCTGCTGGCTCTGAAGAAGTAAGCTGCCATGTTATGAGAGGGCCTTGTGGCCAGGAACTGGGGGTATAGCCTCTAGGAGCTGAGAGTAGTTCCTAGCTGACAGCCAGCAAGGGATCTCAGTGTTACAACTGCAATAAACTTAATTTCACCAACAACCTTGTGGAGTTGGAAGAGGATTCTGGACTCCAAACAGGCGCACAGCCTGGCTGACATGATCAAGGACCCAGCTAAGCTGTGTTCAAACTCCTGTCCCACAGAAACTGTGAGAAAATAAATGTGAATTCTTGTAAGCCACTGAATTTGTGCTAATTTGTTATGCTACAATAGGTAACTAATACACAAAGAAATATATGCCTATTCAGAAACAACTTCTGGCATGTTACTCTGCTCTCACACAGATAGAATGCTTGACCATTCTATCTGTGTCAAAACATCTAGAACTTTTCAATATCAGCTGGATTTTGCCAAACCCAACAGCTTATAAAGGTAGACTGGCCTCGCAATGCCCCACTGTCCCATGCAAGTGCTACAGCCAGGATCAAGCCCAAGTTGAACTGCAAAGCATGTATTACCTACATAAGCAGGTAGCCTAGAACCCTGTGTCACCTACTACACTTGTCCTCGTGTCCCTCTCCTAGCTCTGACCTATTTCCATTTGAAGACAGGGTGGAGGTATCCCACAAATCATCTGAAGGGTGAGGAAAAGCCCTGAGGTTGGTTTATAAATAGTTTGCCTTGGTATATGGGTATAAACCAAAAATAGATGGAATCTGCATTACAGCTACAATCAGGGATGCCTTAAAACAGAGTAGACAGAGAAAATCTTCCCAAGGGGCAAAACTGTGAGCACAGAATCTAGTCATTCACTTTTTTGATGAAGGATAAATGGCCCAAGGTAAGAATGAATAGAGATTTCTCTTTTCTTTTCTTTTCTCTTGCTTTTCTCTTGCTTTTCTGTTTTTTATTTTTTTACTCACTCTGTCACACAGGAGTCTGTCACACACTGTCACAGGAGTGCAGTGGCACGATCTCAGCTCACTGCAACCTCCACCTACCAGGTTCAAGCGATTCTCCTGCCTCAGCCTCCCAAGTAACTGGGACTACAGGCGCATGCCACCATGCCCGGCTAATTTTTTGCTATTTTTTTAGTAGAGACGGGTTTTCACTGTTTTAGCTAGGGTGGTCTCAATCTCCTGACCTTGTGATCTGCCCGCCTCAGCTTCCCAAAGGCTAAGCCATCACACCTGGCCATATATAGAGATTTCTGAGCAATGTTCAATGACCTGGCCATCTGATCAGGAGCTTATAAGAAAAAGGATTAAAAGATAGGTGCCTAGGAGATTTGAGGGAGACAGAAGTGGATAGACATACGGAGTGGAAATAAAATACAAAGAGTTTTGTACCATATGTTAATTCCTACTAGAAAACATCCAACCTAGAAATGGCACTGAACAACTAAGTTAACGAAGTGACTTATCCAGTTAATGTTCATTAGCCTTCATCACTGGCTTCCCTGAAGCTGGTATAGTCTCAAGTAAATGAACCAATCACCTGCAGATATTGGAGGGACAACTATATAAGTAAAGGACATAGATATATTTAAATGAAAAGACTAGGGAGTATTTTGCTTTGGAAAGTGATTTAGCCCAGTTGACACAAAATTATAAAATAGTAAATTTTTGTTGATTAGGGGAATAAACACAATCCTTTCAAACCATTTCCACCAGCACTCTGAGCTGGTGCTTCAGCTGGGTCTTTAGAAAGAAGTTCGAGCTCTCTGAGTCCAGTTACTTTTGGATTGTGTGGTATGTGATGTCGTTCATTGCAACACCTTCTTTGATGTGAAATCAGGACAATAGTTTGATATTTTATTTGGGATTCAGTGCCGGTGGATCAGGCTTGGCTCAGATGTCCCTTCAAGAAAGAATCTGCCACATGTGGAACAGTTAGCTCACCACTCTGGCTGCCCTGTTGGTAGGATTTGCTTCAGCTTCTAGTTGCTGGCTTGCTTTCTCTCTGCTCAATATAAAGTGCTGTGCATACACATAAAGTTGGAAAAATAGACAGGCTGATTTATTATTAACATATAACAATATAAAGTATTATATATATATTATACATATATGATTGGAAGTGGCTTGTCAGATGTCTCTGGCTACTGCTAGCATACAACATACAGCTTCCTTGTTAATATTTTTCCAAGAAAGTGCTACTCATTTGCATTTCAACTTGTTTCCTTTTGTAGACTTGGCAACTGAAAGGAAATGTGCATTTAATTGAAACTTTTCTCTTTAGAACATTGTTGATCAAGGAAGACAAAAATCAATAAAATAACTTCATTTGGGGGCAAGGAGTATATTATTTGCATTTTGCTTATAATCCCCATATGCCTGACATACCCTGCCTTCTTGCATAATGTTCTTTACTAGACTTCTAATCAATCTTGATTATCAATCATTTCCTAAGTTTTCTGTTTGTTTGTTTGTTTGTTTGTTTTTTGAGAAAGAGTCTCTGTCACCCAGGTGGGGTGCAATGGCATGATCTTGGCTCACTGCAAACTCCGTCTGCTGGGTTCAAGAAGCGATTCTCCTGCCTCAGCCTCCCAAGTAGCTGGGACTACAGGCAACTGCCACCATGCTAAATTTTGAAGTTTTAGTACAGACGGGATTTTGCCATGTTGGCCAGGCTGGTCTCAAAATGCTAATCTCAGATGATCTGCCTGCTTCAACCTCCAAAAGTGCTGGGATTACAGGCAAGAGCCACCACACTAGGCTCCATTTTCTATTTGTTTCTTATTTTTTCATTATTACAGCATTTTAGCAAACTTGATTTGGGATACATATTTTATGCATCTGGATAAATATGTTTAAGAGTTGTAATATTCACTTTCCACATGACTTCTTGCTTACATTAAAAAAAAAATTTTGTTAAACATATTTTAACACATCTGCTTAAAGAGTGAATTTTCTTTTTAAGTTATGTTTTTCTGTATTTTTATCAGTATAAGATTATTGTACACATTTTGGTGGTACATGTGATATTTTGATGCATGTAAACAATGTGTAATGATCAAATCAGGGTAATTGAAATATCCATTACCTCCATCTTTGTGTTGAGAACATGACAATTCTTCTATTTTAAAATATGAATAAATGATTATTAACTATAATTCACTTACTGTAGTATCGATTAAATTATTTTTAAAATTTTACTTGTCTTCTTCCCCTCTTCGTTCCTCACTTCCTTATGATATTTATTTAGCTGTTGCCTAAAATGCTTGCATTGTTATTTTTTCTTTCTTGCCATGTAACTCAGCGGAGTCTTATGGCTGTTAGTCTCAGGGCTTTGATTATCTGCTTGCTCAGGTAAAATTACATAATTCAATGTTTTTATTTTTTTTTCTTTAGTAACTATAAGTAAAACCCTAAGAAGTAGATCAGCTGCACCATGAAAAAATAGTCATCCCTCCTTACTTTTACTATGAAAAGATAGAAAAATTAAAATATATATATATATATATAGTCAGCCCTCTGTATTCATGAGTTCCACATCCACAGATTCAACAATTATGGATTTAAAATATTAAAAAAAATAACAATACAACAATGAAAATAACAAATATATAAAATACAGTATAACAACTATTATATAGCATTTACATTGTATTATAAGTAATCTAGAGATGATTTAAAGTATATGAGAGGAGGTGAGTAGGTTATATGCAAATAGAATGTCATTTAATGTAGGAGACTTGATCAACTGCAGAGTTTGGTATCTGTGGCAGTCCTTGAACCAATCACCTGCAGATATTGGAGGGACAACTATATAAGTAAAGGACATAGATATATTTAAATGAAAAGACTAGGGAGTATTTTGCTTTGGAAAGTGATTTAGCCCAGTTGACACAAAATTATAAAATAGTAAATTTTTGTTGATTAGGGGAATAAACACTTGCATTTTGTAAGGTAGAGGTGTTAACAAAGTTGTCATAAATTAACAATGTTGCGGATAAAGTTAAACAATAATAAGACAATTGTTGGCCTAAATAACATTGTTTAGCCTAATTATATTTTATGTTTTTTAGTATGCAGATAATTTGCCTGATTAGAGGACTGGTGTACCAAAAGGGCTTTTAAAAATAAATAACCTTGGGAATGAGAATCAGCACAACTATAATCCATCACTTTGTCTGCTTTGAGAACTGAAACCACCTACATCCATATATCTTAATTATTAGGACTCAGAACTAAGCTTCCTTGTGTCAGCATGACTTACATGTTTGGTCCAGGAGAATTCTCACCAAGGCAGATATGAATATGGCCAATGAATAATTTTACTATTAGTTTCATGAAATATGTCAAACCAATTTGGGCAAATAGTTTGCAAATTTAAACAAAAGATCTCCTATCAGGACAATAGATTGCTCACCTAGCAAATAGCTCACTTATCAAACATTTTACTTACCAGAACTACTTGAAGACCCTTGCCTCACTGTGTCTACCAACTGTATGCCACAAACCTTGTCCAATACCCATCAATTTTCTATCCTGAAAGACCTACCTTAAATCAATTATAACCAGATCTCAAACCTGATAGATATTTGGATCTGACCTTCTCCTTCAAAGACAGAACTAACCATACAGGTAATGTTGTCCTGTACTGTACTGCAGTAGGTCTGATAAACGAAACTTTGCCTGGTTGATATATTTTTTGTGTGTTTTTTTGGAAGGGGGAGGATGGTGGTAGAGTTGATGAGATAGCCACAGCACTCGTCCATCACTCTTTCACTGCTACCCATACCATTCCTATGCCACTTCAGTTCCATCATACCTAACTGCTTCCAAGAGAAAAGACACATTATAGTTAACAAGAGTACATTTCTCCTGTATGCAGTTTTTCTCATTTTTCTGAATAAGATTCATTTGAGCAAGTAGATGCTTATAGTACAGACTTTGTTAATTCCACACTAACATGAAGGTTCTGAGATATGAACAAGATGCTAGCAGTTACAGTATCTAAACTATATGACCTTGGGCATGTTTCCCAATCGTTCAAGGTCTCAGCTACCTCATCTGTAAAAAAATGATGATAAAAATGACAATGATAATTGCTAATACATATTTGAACTTAGTACATCTGACGTGAGAACTGAAACCAACATACTTTTCTGTTTTTGTGTTAAAAGATTCTGGGGACCTGGTAAGAAATACATAAACATGGGGCAGAAAATAATTGTCCCTGGAAGATAAATGAACTAAAATAACTTGTTTTATAAGACCAACTACTTACTTATTCATTAATACTTGTACCAATGTCCTTGCCTTACTGTGTCTACCAATCCATAACTCTCAAGTCATCAGCTGCCCAATCCTAATTAGTCTCCTGCTTTTTAAGATTCCTAATAGAACCATCAGCCAAAACTATATATATGTGTGTGCATATTATATATTTTTTTCTGAGATTTCCCATTTTTTTCCTGACATATTTTTTTCTGACATTTTCTATATATTTTCTATATAGAAAATTTTCTATATATTTTCTATATAGAAAATTTTCTATATATTTTTCTGTCATTTTCTATATATTTTTTTTTCTGACATTTCCCATTCTGAGATTCTCCTATCCTACTAGAATGGTATTGACCTTGACCACAGTATGTTTAATAAGTTAGGTTCTGCTAGCTCAGCTGGTTTCTAGCGGTTCCATTTGGGGTTTGGCAGATGGCACAGGCCTTATCCTTAGTACCTTATATGCATTAATTTCTTTAATTCTTAAAATAGCCCTATGAGGCAAGTAATATTATTATCCCCATTTTACAAAAGAGGAAGCTAAGATCCCTGGAGCTTAAAAAGCATATTAGTGCTTTTGTCAAAATTAAATATAAGAAGACATACACATACAAAAAGCCCAGCAAAGGTATCTAGCACAAAGTAAGGTTTATGAAATCTGATTACTATTTTTCTGTTATATTGATAATAGAGGAAAACAATAATTACCTTGCCAAAGAGATCTCCACCGTGAATACTTCAGTGCTATGAGAATTGTATGTATTTTTAAAATCCTCAAAATGTTTGATCATAGAGATCTTAGAAGTTGGGAAATTTTCAGCAAATGTTTGTTTCTCACTTGTGCACAAAATAGCATATATTTATAATGGTCTATGTTTATTTTCTAATAAAGCGTTTTACAAAAATCACTAAGTGTATATATTATTTAAATTTTCTTTTAATCCTTGATCTAAAGTGAGACTATGACATTCAGAGAAGTTTTCTGTTATTTCCAGAGCTGCAAATCTAAGTTCTCAGCCACGTATCACCTCCGTCAGGAGTCAGCAATGGTTTTCTGTAAAGAGCCAGGTAGTAAATATTTTAGGCTTTACTCACCATGTGGTTTCTATTACAACTATTCCACTTTGCTACTGTAGCACAAGAGCAGCTGTGAGTGATATGTAGGGGTGTGGCTGTATTTCATAAAACTTTATTTCCAAACACAGTTGGCAGGCTGTTTCTAGTCTGTGAGCTGTAGTTTGCTGAGGGCTCTTCTAGATGTGACTTTGAGAGCTTCCATGGGGTCATGTGTTTTTTATCCTCTTTGATTTCCTGCTAAGGTCTGACAGCCCTGAGATGCTCATTCATAGATACAGCATTGCATCAACATTTAGATACGCTATCACTAACTTTTCTCGGTAGTCATGACATTTAATATTGTACTTGGGTGACTTCTGTGACAAAATAAAGATATTGTGAGTAAACTCTAGCTGGAAAACAACAACTACTTTACTGTGAGGATCTGAGAATCTAATAATACAATGCTGATGTCACCTGGGGCTCTTCTTCAGAGAAGGCAGTCACTCTACGAGCTTAGACAACAATTTCCCTGAGGATAAAAGAACTGTTTTGTCAAATTCAGCACCCAGTGTGGTTTCATTATTTTAGAATATAAAACTGTTTGGTGATTAACTTTGTTTACACTTGGCAAGTATTGCTTCCTTTTCTGAGGGGGCAAAAGACAAAAAAGCTCATAAAAATTTTAAAAAGCTTTTGACTTCAAATAGTTCTTACAAAACTGCACTTGGATGAGTTAAGTGTGGAGGAATCAAAACCATATGGATTATACTTCTTTTAAAATAAACACTGATTTAAAAATTGAGGGAAAATTCTTAAACATAGACTTTCGTCTTCACAGACTCCAAACAGTCAAAAAGCAACTTTAAGAAATTTGATCAACCCAAAGCACAGCTGGGTTTACCCATTCTTAATTATAGTGTTTTCATTGTATATCATGTAAAAATAAACAGCCTCAGGAGTGGGCTACATTCAGCTATTTTAAAAGAGTGTGGGGGCTTTCATTTAGCTCTACTGCAACTTTTGTCCAAGCCCTGGATTTGAGGTAAATTACATATGGCATTTGAAATGCTAAAATGTTAAGCACTGTCACTCATCATATTTTATTTTTTAATTGTCCAGTCATTGACCCCAGAATTAACAAAATGTTGAGAATTGCCTATTTGAAATTATCCTAAGGTGACTTATCCTGACTAGATTTTCATCTAAATGCTTAGTCATCAAAAAATGTGAACCTGGTACCCTTATTTAGTGAAATAACATTTCTGCATGGGGTTAATGCTCATCACATGCAAACAAAATCAAGTTTTCTTAACCACAGTCTTACTTCAAATGAAATCAATTTAGCTATTTATTCATTCCCTACCAGGGTTCAGGAACTTTGCTAGGCACTGAAAGTTCAAAAACAAAAAGATATCTGGTCTCTTACAGGAACTCAAGAAACAAAAGGTGAAATGTAGTTAGGCAAACTATTGCAATACAATGCAGCATTTGCTATAACACATGTAAATCATGGAAGAGAAGACCTGTTTCCTGGAGGACAGGGTGAAGGCTTCTTAGACAAAGGGAAATTTGAATTGGGTCAGTAAGGGTTTCCCTAATGAAAAAGGTAAGCAAGGCATTCTGTGTAAAGAGAATTGGCAAGAATCTAGAGTGTCTTTGTGTGACATAGAGTATAAGGTGGAAGGAGGAATGGCCAGAGATGAATCTAGAAAGTCAGGCCACAGTCACATAGAGAAGGACTTTGTAGGTTACACTATGGAGTCTGGAGTTTATGGTCACTATCAGATACAGTGAGAAAGACAAATTTCATAGCTGTTTGGAGAATAAGTTTTAGGACTGTGTGTGTTTATGTGTGTGTGTGTGTGTAAGAATGGAGGAAGGGTGGAATGCAAAAATAAAATAGGGAATCTTGTTAATATTCTCCAAAAATGCATACTGCAAAATGTAACATAGTTACACAAAAATGTAAAATAAATGCACAAAAAGTCACAAGCCAGTTTTGGCAAGTGCAATTGCTATAGTGACTTGAGGATAGCCTCTACAAAGACAGGAACCAAGGCTGACTTACTGACTGCTTTGTCCAAGCCCTTAGCATAGCACATGGAACATAAGTTGGTAAGCAGCAAGAATTTGTCGAGTGAATGAAAGACAAGTGTGAAGGTCATATTGTATTGATATGAGCCAATGTAATAAGTCATTAATGAACCTCAGAAGATGGAAGATTCACAGGGGTGATACCTGGGAAAACATATCTGAAAGGCAGCTTCAGATTTTTCAATCCATTTACATCAATCTGGAGGGGAGGAGAAAGAGGTAGTCTGTCTCCTCAAGGCTGGATCAATAGCTGTTGGGGCAGCCTCTTAATCATGTTACCTCCTATGTGCTGCTCACTCAGTTTCTATTCGTTCCCCACTGGTGCTGTGTTCAGACTTCCAAAACTGCCCTCCTAGTTAAAGGGAGCAGCACTGACCTAGGAAAGAAGAGATATTCTGTCTTGTGAACCATTAGTCTCTTTCTTCCACCCCTTCCCTTAAGTGACACACTCACCCTTTACATTAAGGATCTAAAAGCAGCATAGGACAGAAGAGGGAACACAACCATTATTGACTTTGACCCATTTTAGTTATATGAGGTTAGCTGAGCCTCAGTTTTCTACTTAGTAAAATGGGCACAAAAATAATGACTAGTATGAAAAGATTTAATTCGATGAGATCACGATTCTGAGTAAGCACTCACTCTCTTAACGAGATCTCTCCTTTCCCATTCCATAGGCTGCCATGTGCCAGCTCTTGTCTTCCTTTCATAAGGGAAGGGATATATCTTCAGGTATAGGCAATTAAATGGAAACTCATGCTCAGCTTTTCACCATTAGAGAACTTTGTTTGTAATTGTGAAATCAATTTATTAGTTTTTTTGTTGAAGAATAATTGCATGAAAAGTCACCTACCACTTCCAAAAGTGAATAACAATGTTCAAGAAGACTGCAATGTAAAGCTTTAATTAAGGCAGAAAGGTGCTTTAATTCTGCAAGGGCACAAGCCATGTGAAGTGTGTAAGTAAAGACTGTGTCTCACAGACCTTCAACAACATGTAGCACTATCGGCCAAGAGAACAGACACTGCTTTGCGATGCCTCCCACAAGCCAAGACCAGTTACTTACTGACCAGGCCAGGAAGGCAAAAGCAGGTCTTCCTGGAAGATTCAAAATTCTTCTGATGGTTAGCATTCACTCAAGGATTTCTGACGCCCTGGCTGAACATTCTGTAGATGATCTGGCAGTTTAGAACATGTCTTCTCAATTTCTCCTTTGCCAGGGATCAGACCTGCATTTTTTTTTTTTTTCAAATTTCCCAGCTCTGTCCCCATTTTCTCTTACAGTTGTGTTCTCTAATGCAATTTCTGCATATTTAATCCCATCTCAGTATCTGTTTCTTGGAGGACTGGAATAACATACTAAAAGATCCCCATGAGAGTTATCTTCTGCTCCAAATGGTTATTAATTTCTTCACCTTTGGCCGGGCGCGGTGGCTCACACCTGTAATCCCAGCACTTTGGGAGGCTGACGTGGGCAGATCACAAGGTCAGGAGATCCAGACCATCCTGGCTAACATGGTGAAACCGTGTCTCTACTAAAAATACAAAACATTAGCCTGGTGTGGTGGTGGGTGCCCGTAGTCCCAGCTACTCAGGAGGCTGAGGCAGGAGAATGGCATGAACCCGGGAGGCGGAGCTTGCAGTGAGCCGAGATCGCACCACTGCACTCCAGCCTGGGCCACAGAGCAAGACTCTGTCTCAAAAAAAAATTTCTTCACCTTCAAAGATCAACCTTGCTAATGATCTTTAAGTGACATTTTACATTTACAGTATGAAACAAACATGTTGTGTGGCCTGCCACAGCTACCACAACTATACATAGGATTACGTCGATTAAGTCTAGACTTTAAGTCCATTTCATAGCCAGTATAGATACCTATCTATCCTCTCCCACTCACATATCTCACACTCTAAAATGATTCAATTTCACCATTCCTCAAACAGTCTTAACCCGCAAATGCTTATGTCTTTGCCAGTATTGTCTTGGGTCTAAACTGATTTTCACAATGTCAGCTCATGAACTCAAGGCCCACCTGAATGGCTTCCTTCTCCTGATACCTCCTTCCATGCTCCCAAGCAGGAGTAACTCCCATACAATTGCTTCTTCTACGGGCATGCCAGTGGCTGAGTAATAAAGCTATTTATAGGTATCTCTGATCACACTATGTATGATTCTTTTTGGTGTTTTGCATAGTGCTTGAGAGTCTGATACATTGTAGGATTTAAGTTCAATAAAAAGCCCAAATCAGCAATATAATATAAAGGAAACAGAATGAATTTGGGAATAGGACAATTTGGTTTAAAATTCCAGATCCCTCATTTATCGGCTGTGTGATTTGAGACAAATCATTTAATTTTCCTGAGGTATATAAAACGGGATAATAGGCCTCATATGACAGAGGCTTTATGAAGATTCAATGTAAGAAGCCTTCTATGTTGCACTCATTCAACAAACTGAGTGCCTACTATGATCCGTGCACTGTGTTACATCCTGAGGATATTTCAGTGAAGGAGAGAGGGTGCTTTATCTCAGAAAATTTTATTTCAGTTATGTAGAAAGACAGTAAGTAGTTAATTTTTTTTTAATTTGCAGATTATCATGACTTTTAGGAAGAAAATAAACAGGATGCTGTGCTAGATAATGATGAGAAGGAGAGGCTACAGACTTCAGGAAGAGCAGCAAAAGTGTCTTTGAAGAAGAGCTGGACAATGTATACCATATGTGCTCCCTATCGGTTAGGGTTCCACCAGAGAAACAGAAGCAGTGTGACACACACACACACACACACATACACACACACACACAAACAATTATATTGTACAATTATTTCTCACCAAAAAGAAAATAAATGTATTTCAATTTTAGACACAAAATCTAATTGCAAACACACATGTGCATATATAGTGTGTGTGAGTGAGTGTGTGTCTGTGTTTATTTCAAGTAATTGGCTTATCATGGTGGTTAGCTAGGCAAATCCTCAATAGGACAGGCTGGAAAATCTCAGGCAGGAGCTGAGGCTGTAGGACACACATTGAATTTCTTTTTTTTACAGGAAAACTTCAGTTCTTTTAAAACTTTTCAACTAATTGGATGTGGCCCATCCAAATTATCAAGATTAATCTCCTTTACTTACAGTCAAGGATTGTATATGTTAATCACATTTACAAAATACCTATACAGCAACACCAAGATTAGTGTTTAATTGAATAACTGAGTATGGTAGCCAATCCAAGTTGACTCATAAAATTGTTCATCACATGCTCTAAGATGTTAATCCCTTAACCATAAATTTCTTAAAGCATACTTTTGAGGATCTGGATGTATAATCAGCTTTTCCAATAGAAATCTCTCCCAACACTTTGGTAACATCTTTCATATCAAAATCACAGTGAATAAGGATTTTAAAATGAAAGACATTTTGTCTTCCTGAAATGTTGTAAGATTCCACACCATGGCAGCTGAGCAGGCTGACCTCTAGGCCATTTATTGTGGTTAAATAGGCAAAAAATAGTAGAAAAGATTTTATTGCTCTAAAACACCCAGCAGGCAGCACAACTATCAAATATCTTTACATACTTATAAGGAAAAACTATATTTCCTTCCGTGTTACCTCACATTTTTGATTCTAGATAAATGATTTAATATTCATTTTATATTAAATACCTAACTTTTCTATATTAAAACTAAATTGAAAACTTATTTTGCAAGTCAATAGTAAGCAAAATGTGAGTCAAAAAGCCCAAGTTAAAAACCACTGTATAAAGTTTGTTAAATACATGTTAAATGAACACAAAATATAAACTGTTATCCCTCTTCATTTATCAAGCATAAATGCTCTTGTGTTTTATTTTCATCACAGAAAAATATAATATTAAATTAATGGTGGCTTGTTTCCTCCCTCCCTCCTGCCTTGGTTCTTAAATGCCGAATAATAGTGTCTACTCTCTTGGTTTTTTAAATGTGGGCCTTGGTGTGTCTTGCCAACTTTTCCCTTGGGAGTTAGGGAGCATCACTTCTGCCAGCACTCCATAAAGATGTGAGAAACCATATTGATCAAGAAAGGCAGAATGGCCCATGGACTCATTGCAATTCATTATTGATTAGGCCACTCTGTCATGTTAACTGGAAACTAATGCTTTCACTTGAGTTTGAAGTCACCCTCCTTTCAGGTGGAGGGAGTTTGGTTTAACCCAACTGTTTTTCTAAGTGCATATCTAGCTCCAAGTCTAACCACAATGTTCTGCCTGTATCCTTAATGCAGAGTACTTCTAGTCATCTTGAACAGGCCAGCTGTAACCCATAATTGGTACTTTGAGGTCCAGTGTTTCCCTCTGACCACACAATGGAAGGTTGGAACAGTTTTGTAATTCAGAGTTATGCTTTCATCAAAGGTGATTTTGCTTTCTTAACACCATTTTCACCCCTGCTCTCTCTCCTAAAATTATTTTTAGTACACATCATAAACCAAAAGTAATCTCATTAGCTGCTCTGAGGAAAATATCTCTCATGTGAAGTAATATGATGCTGAAATTTCAGGATCATTGTAACTGTTACAAAGATGTGTAGTTCAGTAAAGATGATAAATTATGAATTAATATTACATTGAATAACAAAATGTAATCTAATTTTACAGAAAAAATTGGAAACATGGTAGGAGAATAAAATAGATGAGTAAACTGAGGAATGGGAAGATACCAGAATTACTCAGATTCCCCCTGCTAGGCATGGCAATTTTTAATGCCCCATTACTTGTTATTATATCACCAGGTTGGTGTTTTGAAAAGTATTTCTAAATGTTTCTGCAAAACTCCCCGTGGATAAGATTTTTAAGACAAGTATGTTTGATAAAACCATATATCATAACCCCTGCCAAATAATACATAATGCACATTAGTATATTAAAGACTTCACAACAAAGAATCTTGAGTTCATGTTGCCCAAACTTATTTGAATGTCTTTCTTATTATATTTTTATTATTGTTGTATGTATTTTTTAGGCAATTAATAACCTGAGGATGTAGTATTCTCTGGAACACATTTTAGGCAATATTATGCCAGCTTTTACAGCTGGTGTAAAGGAGTTGGGGGCAAAACCAGGAAAATATTGCCCATGGAATTAAATGGGGAAAAGAAGTTTCAAAGAAGGGATAGACAGTAGTGATTCACAGAAAGTAAAAAAGAGAAAGGGTGGCCAGGCGTGGTGGCTCACACTTGTAATCCCAGCACTTTGAGAGGCAGAGGCGGGTGGATCACATGAGGGCAGGAGTTCGTGACCAGCCTGGCCAACATGGCGAAACCCCGCCTCTACTAAAAATACAAAAATTAGCCAGGAGTGGTGGTGTGTGCTTGTAATCCCAGCTACTTGGTAGGCTGAGGCAGAAGAATTACTTGAACCCAGGAGGCGGATGTTACAATGAGCTGAGATCGAGCCACTACACTCCAACCTGGGCGACAGAGTGAGACTCCATCTCAAAAAAAAAAAAAAAAAAAAAAAAAAAAAAAAAATCCCAGAAGGCTTAAAAAAAAAAAAATTGAAAGGCTGATTTTAAAATTTATAGAAAATGCAAATGACCTAGATTTCCAAGACAATTTTGAAAAATAACAAAACTGAAGAAATAACACTACCTGACTTCTAGATTTTATAAAGGCATTGTAATAAAGGTAGTGCAGCATTGGTGCCATGATAGAAGACAAATAAATCAATAAGTCAATATTCCAGAGACAGAGGAAAACTTGAATCTTTATATTGAGAAACCTTCCTGAGTATTCAGCACAATATATACTTAAGTAAATTTACAATTTTGTTTTCTTTCTAATATCTGGATGTTGAACCTAATTATTAGGAATTAGGGTGGGGATGTCCTAAAATTTTGTAATTTTTGCATAAATATATATTGTGCTACAATAATTGTTGTATCCAGATATGACATCTGGGAGTTCTAAATTCCTAAATTTTTTCTATAAATCCTGTCAGAAAACAGGATTATTTAAAATCAGAAGAAAACAAAGTTTAAAAAACTTTTCTTTCAAGACTGCAAACCAAAATTATAAAATAATGTTTAGAGAAATGAAAATATGCTAAGCACCACCCCACCCCAAAAAGGGGAAGTTTGATAAACAATTTCATGCTGGAGGTTATCAATTTCAGTAAAAGAGTAAAAGCCACCCTAGCTGCAAAATGCTAAAATGGAAATTTAGAGAAAAGAGGTGGCCAGAAATGGTCATCATAGGGTGAGAGACAAGAAGCCAACTACCTTAAAATACAAACGTCTTGGACTAACCATAATGTGTTTCATCTGTGATACTTTGTTTTACTCAGCTGTTGCGTGACCAAAATTAGAATGAATATTGCTTCTTTCTCTGTGAGAAAATACAACCAAGTAGGTTGCCGCTTCCTGGTCTGGATTGGGGTAAGTGGTCCCTTCCTCTGGGTGCCTTGGGTCCTGCTTGTTCATGCTGTAAGACAGCAGAGAGAGTGGGCAGAATGGGATGGCAGCTCAGGGAGTCCTGCATCCTGCCTTTATGACAGTAGATAACAGCCAAGAGAAACACACCTTTGCTCCATGCACAGGCTTAATGTGCACCACAAGGATACTGGGCTTAGCTCTGCTTTGAAGTCAGGATCTAGCTGGTTTCTTTGTTGCTGTTTTTTAAGGCACCACATAGTTTATGAATTGTGTGCAATGTTCAAGGTAATCTATTTAGCACACGTGTTTGGTATTCTCATAATCCCTAATTGCTGGCATTTCCTAGAACTTGGATCACTCTTCATCAGGCATCAGGATTTTTCAAAACACAATTGTTGAGAAAGATCTGAACATCTTTTTATTATGACAGATAGTACTGTTTGCACAGAAATCACATGACACTGGCTCATAGCATAAATTGTGTTCACAAAGAAAAATATTTATTTGTTCAAAAGAGACTCCATGGAGTTCCTTATTAAACAGTGTGTTGTGAGCTGAAACCCCCTCAAAAGAAATTTGCTTATTAATTCATAAAATGTATTAAATTTTAGTAATCAAGGTATATTTATAGAGCACTAAAACTGTGTTTGTCAATATAAGATGTTTGGGAAAAGGCATAGCAAAGACTAAGAAGTGGTAGAAATACAACAGAATATTTAACATAACATGGATAAACTAAGGGTATATAGAAGGATGTAAAAAGTGTTTTAAGAGCCCAGAGGGAGGAGGTTGGGAAAAGTTTCCCTCCAAAGATGACATTTGAACTGTTGCCTGGGGGATAAATATGAGTGTGATTGAGGAGTGGAGTAGATCACAAACAGAAAGGTGAGTATGTACAAAGGTACAAAATTAAGGCTGTGGTGTTTTTAGAGAGGCAAGGAGTTCGGTGAAGCTGAAGAACAGGTTTCCCTGGGGTAGGTGGGGAATGAAGGGCCATGAAATAAGTAAAAAAACAAACAAAACAACTTTTTCGTTTACGAAAAGGGAAACCAAAGGAGATTTCTAAGAGAAAGTGACAACACAATGAAGCAGATGGCTAGTTTAGAAATAGCATGATGGTAGGGTAACAGAAATGGTCTGAAAGGAGTGGTGAGTAGTTGAAGGCAAATAACACACATAGATCTCTGAATTAACATTTTCTCTTCTCTAAATATTTATAATTTTTGAAAGACAAGAGTTTTGATTTCGGAGAAAATGCATTAGGTCTTGTCAAAATCCCAGAGCTGATGGTGAATGCGTTTCTAGAATAATGGCTCTGTAAAAGAACATGCCTAGCAGCCACTGGGGTTTGAGAGTGCTAGTAACCCAGACCGAGGAGGAGGGCATCTCTCCAGAGTCATTCAAAGAGAGTGGGTAAAGCTAATCGTTTTTGCATGTAAATGGTGAGGATTCTGGGTGCATAATCTGTTTTGAGTTAGACCAAAAGAGATTTGCTCTCTGAGACATGTTTCAAGACAAAGTCTGATACTGTTTGGACAAATACCATCAAAGGCTAACCAGAAAAGATTACTGTTGTTTTATGGTGATATATGATAGAAAAAATTCCATAGTGTTCTTTTAAAAAAATTAGATTTTAGCTGATGAGGTTTATGTTTACAGTAAAACCTCACAGAGCTCCAGGCTAGAAGAATCCTTGGCTTGTATCCTGAATGTCAGCAAGCTCCTGGCATTGCCATCTAAAGGTATGAAAAACACTTCTAACACATTTAGTTTGGCCTTTTTAACTCTTAAATTGGATGGACTCTGTGAACCTGTAACCGATTGCACAGAGCATAGTTATCCAAATACCTGGGGACCTGATCCCGTGTGAAATGCAGATCTTGTTTACTTTAGCCTTCTACTTAAACCAAAACCAAATTGCAGTGTGTGAAAAAACCTCATATTTTTGTTTTTAATTTTTTTCAAGTCACTGTTGACTATTTCCCCCAGGATGTTATTTTGGTTCTCTTCTTGATGGTGACATTTTTACTAAAGCAATTCAATTTAAAAAATTATTCTTCACTAGGAGTTAGGCACCATGCTAGATACTAATTCAATGATGACTAAGACATGCCATGAAATTACCTGTAAGTTTCGGGAGGGAATGTGGATGTGTATACCTTCTTGGAAAACCATTAGGCAATGGTGGTCCACAATCTCTTAACTAGAATTCTGAAATCCAGAAAGCCCTAAGAACAGATTCGTTGGCAAAATGACGTGACATGATGGAAATATGGTTATTTATGCTCTTCCTTCAATTGTAGTGAATATTTGTACATTTTGCTGTATTGATCTGTTTAATTACTAAGTGCTGCTCCCCACAAACACTGCTATAGGTGTTACATAAAAAATGACATATATCCTACATTATCTTTTCACATTTTTTTTTTGAGACAAGTTCTCACTCTATTGCCCATTCTGGAATGTAGTGGCACAATCATGGCTCACTGCAACCTTGACCTCCTGGGCTCAAACAATCCTCCTGCCTCAGGCTCCTGAGTAGCCAGGACTACAAGCACATGCTACCATGCCCAGCTAATTTTTAAATATTTTTGTAGAGATGGAACTCAAGATCAGCTTAGTCTCAAACTCTTGACCTCAATTAATTCTCCTGCCTAGGCCTCCCAAAGTGCTGTTATTATAGGCGTGAGTCACTGCACCCAGCCTGTCTTTTTAAAATCTGAAAAATTCTGAATTCTGAAACACATCTGACTTTGAGAATTTTATATAAGGGAGCGTGGATCTATATTTCCCTCTTTCAACATGGTTAAACCTTGTGATATGTGAAATCAGCTGTGTACATACAACTATCTGCATCACCCCAAATCTTTTATTTCACAGACTACTTTTAAAGAGTGAAGGTTCCTCAGACTTCCTACAGTTTTCTTGGTAATGCTATTTTAAAAAAAGCCTCATTATAATGTAAAAGTATTCTTTTTCAAGTGAACATCTCTATAGTGCAAGTTAAGTTTTTAAAAACTGTCTTCTCCCTCTGTGACTTGAATTTTGTACTTTTCTGCAGGTTGCTGTGGTCCTTCATGTAACACTAGCAAGCTGGAGGACTCATTTGAGAACTGTGATTTGAAAGGACTACTTTAGATGGCATATTAAATAGCACAAAAACAAAATTAAATATTGCCCCTCACTTTTGCATATGGCACAGAACCAAGACTCTCCTTCATTCTTAACTGGGCCCTGAGTTAAATTAGTTCCTTGTGTGCCAGGTTTTTTCTTTTTTTTAGTTTTGCAGTTCATTCTGTACAGCCACAGAAATAAATGAATAATAAAAGCCGAACTAAGTCTTACCAGAAAAACACAACAGGATTCAAAAAGGAGGTAATTAAATCTCTCAACTCTTATGAGGCAAACATTTAAAAACTATGAAGATATTGGTCTCCCTTTTATATTTTGGCATACCTCATATTATCTGCATCAGTGAAGCTTCTTCACCAGATCTTAATCATTTGGCAAAACTACTTAGAGGCTCCGTTCAAGGACTCACTCATAGTTCTGAGCTCAAGCCACGGGAAGAATAATATCTGCTTCTCATTGAATTCAAGTTTATGATTTCCAAGACTGGACCTCCCTTAAAATAGCCATTTTGTATATGTGTGTATAGTGTTGAAGATAACATCACCAACTGAGCATTTGTTTACACTAAGAAAATGTATTCATAAAAAATAGAAGTTTAACAATATTGGGTACTATTATCAAGGATTAAAATACTAAAAACTAACCCTGAATTCATTACCTGATATGTGCTATTTATCTCCAAATTTAGTCATATCCTCCTTTTATACAAATTATCTATTCCATACGATAGTCTTACCTTTGCTATTGTCCATCACGAGCCACTGGCTTAGGAATTTCCCATATTTTTCTGTAATCCAATAATTAAAATATACCTGATATATATCAATATGTTTAGGGTTTGTATTGGCTACAGATTTGAGGAATAAGGGTGTGTGAGTGTATGCACGCATGTGTGTGTGTGTGTGTGTGCTGTGTATGCACATTTGATTTCTCTTTTGCTTGCTGACCATCTGATATGAAGATCTACAGGTGAGGCAAAGGTTAGAAAGGATTACAGTTCTTAAATAAGAGGGTTTTAGTTGTGAACATGATGTTTTGAGAGGTGATTTTCAGACTGTTTTCCACAGACCATAGCTCTTAAAGGTGTTTTGAGAGATCCGTTGACACTTGATTCCAATTTAATATTTTAACTGTATTAATTGCTAAGGCAAACATTCAAATGTGTTATATAATACATTTTAATACATTGTAGACCACCAGCATATTGACTTTCGCTGCCAGGTTAATTCATTTTTGTGTAGGCCTTAATGCAAAAATTTTTCTTACCATCACTGGGACTGTATTTGAACTTGAAAACATAAGTCAATGATTAAGATGGTCTTAGCTCTGCGTTGGGTTTTCTTTTTTTGTAACTCACATCTGTGCATGTGTATACACACACACATATACAATACAAGGTTGCACTCCTATTTGTCTGAGAGTTAGGATGTCCTATTTTCTAAACAACCTGGTAAATTATAAAAATAAATTGAATGCCAAGGTTGATGTGACTTCAACAGTCACCTAAATTACTGTCTGAAAGTTTTGTGTGTGTCAAACAGAATTTTCACATATTTTTTTACCTCGTCCACTTCCATGCTGTTTGAACGTTTGCAAGATATATATGCCTTATTATTGTCAAAAAGAAAAAAAATTAAAAATTGTACTTAACAGTCATGTTAATTTTAACTGATAAGTATTCAGACCATGGATATAAATTGTTTTTTCATCTCTTACTACATTTGTGTACCTGGTAAGAAACTTAACATTACCTCTCATCTACCACTTCAGCAGTGAAGTTTGTAATAACGATCTCTCTGTTTGTTGCAGGGTTAATTGTAGAGACTGAGAACAATTCTTAATTTAACAATGATCTTCTTCAATATATGCTCTTTTAATTATAAATACTTTAAAAGTGTTAAAGTATATAAAATAGTTTAAATGTATTAAAGTTACTTTTGAAAACAAATCAATTTAAAATGTATGAAGCTTTGTTGCTTGATACCAAGTAATGTGTTTCAAAAATTATATTACCTAGGGCTTCTACAGCTTTTATTCAAGTCACAGGAAGAAGAAACAAACAACCAAATAAACTTAGAGAAAAATCTGCTTCCCATGGAATATACAACAGATATAAAAGGGTTAAGAGCTAGGTTCTACTGGAAATATGCTAAGATCAATTATATTTTACATTTTCACAACTTCTCTAAATTGACTCTCCCAGTTTGCAGATGGCATTAAGCCGTCTCTGAGTAGTGAAATGTCAGGCTACGGGTGGAGATGGGGGGATGCACAATGTTATTGTGAGTGGGTGGAAAAGCACTTGGATGAGTTACAGAACAGAAGGTAACTGGTTGCAAGGGGGAAAACCGTGCACCATAGGATGCCCATGAAGCTGCCCCAGAGCAACCACTCACAAAGCAGGAGTGAAAAGGGTAGCTCTAGTGGGAGAGTGCCCAATGAAAGGAGCTCTCAGTGCTGCTGACAATAAAATGATGAGCATTAACACGTTTCCTGGAATGTAACACTTAAGTCAGTTATTCAAAACCTGGTACATGAACACCTGGAGCACAGTTTGCAAAGCTAGCCATTTCAACAGGAAAAATAAACAAATCTGAGAAATTGGCAACCAAAGTGATCACATGCCTAAGGGGCTATTTATTTGAATATAAAATTGACAATGCACTTCCATTTTAA
This sequence comes from Homo sapiens, assembly GCF_000001405.40. Classification (NCBI taxonomy): domain Eukaryota; kingdom Metazoa; phylum Chordata; class Mammalia; order Primates; family Hominidae; genus Homo; species Homo sapiens. Next base: position 91,427,932 of record NC_000012.12, read on the forward strand.
AAGGCATATGTACTTACAATCATCATTAAGAGTTGTCGGGAGGCAAAATAATGATATAAACAGAATTTACTCCATCATGCTCTTCAGAAGATACTTAGCAGTGGCCAGCTCTGTGGCAAAACAAGGTAAATTAGACTAGCATCTGACCTTTCACAAAGCGATTGCATATCTATTATCTCATTTAGTTCTCAAAAGAGTTCATAGCAGTACATGTGGAGTGAGAGGAAAGATTGGCTGGCAATATATGAGTTATATTAGACGGTTCTGCATACTATACTCAGCCACTTGTATTCTCAAGCACCATTAATAAGGATGGCATTCTGTGGGAAAATCGAGGCATTAGATATTTTTATAGATGGATCTATGAATTATTTTGGCAATTTTAAAGTGCTTTTAAAAAAATCTGTTTTCCCCCAAGTCCACATTATTGTGTGCTTCCTATAGTATTTTTAGTTTCTCAAATGCAAACATAAATTAACTTATGATAGACAATTACTTATTTTTGCAGCAACTTCTTTTTTCTAGATTGAAATTTGAATGTAGGGAACTTGTCATTTCTTCCAGTTTTACATTTAATAGATAAACTTTCCTATATCTAAGGTTTTCCATTTCTTTATATTGTCAAATATCATTCAGAATGCCCAGTAATAAAATTTTGCATTGTATCAGTTAATTTTTATATTTTATTCCTTATAGTTCCAAGTGATGACATCTGAAATGAAATTAAAACCAATTAACGTTGAAGTCATTGTGATGCAAATCAGAACTTTCCATGATTGGACACATGACCCTAAATCTTGTTTATTTTAATCTAAATAATTGTTGAATATTCTTTTTTTATTTTTTTACATCAGACTGATATAGTCCAAGTGGAACTAGCTGATCTCATTGAATAAAAACCTTTGAGTTTTATTTGAAACTGAGATACTGTCAGAACAAAAAGAGGATATTTTCTGGCATAAAAAAACTGCAGAGATATTTTATTAGAATGCAGAAACATCTGGGGAGTTAACCATTGTACAGATAGGATTCACATATACCTTATTTTCTGTGGGCCTTCCTTCAAAGTTCTCTCAATTATCAGAATTGTACCAGAGTTGTACCAGAAATTCTTTGTTCTCCATGAGCTGAGACAGCAATTGCAACATAACTGCATCTTGATGGTAGTTAAAAATTTCCAGCACAAACACAAACACACAAACCAAGAAAAGCAACAACAAAATCCAGACATAGAATGTCAAATGCAATGTTTTTATAAAAGAAATATACCCCTTACTTTTCTTCACTTATTTTTATCTCTGATTATTATGCCTATTTTCATAAATTTGACCCAATTTTTTACATTAAAAGCTCAACATGTTCCATTTACTATGCGAAGCCTTTCAGATTACCAGCAAAACCATGAGAAATAGATTTCAAACAGAAGAATGAAAAATTTATTATAAAGGTTAGAAAAAAATGAGACATGGAGTGCAGGCAACTGAACTGATATATTCTATACTGAGGATTTGGGAAGTGTTGCATTTGATATTTTGATGAGGAAGTGATCTGTAGAATTAGTTGGCTCCCTAATGTTTCCAGCTCACGTTAATCACATAAGGACAGAGACTGTTAAAGCGAACAAGCCAGTTTTGTGGTCGGGAGGGTATTTAATTCTTTTCATTCTTGAATTCAAGCACACAGCAATAAATAATGCACACACACTTCTGGACAAAGCAAAATTTAATTAGAAAAAAATAAATTTTGTGTCATTCCCTAAATGAAGAATAGTCTATGTAATGTAAATAGTATACATTATTAATTGCCCATGTGGGGATGAAATTAATTCCATTTGGAAAGTTATTTTTCCTCTTAAGTCAGCAGAAAGTATAATTATGCACATTTTGAATAAAGGTATATATTTTTTATTCATGTCCATAGTGTGTTACAAATGATGAAATATTAACATATAAGGAAGAAGGATAACAGCATGGCAAAATAGATAAAAGTATTCAAAATGCCTTGAGTAAGCAACCATTTATGAACAGTATGAATGTAGACCTTTATGCAGAGACTGAAGAAGTACCACAGAGGAGGCTGTAGCTGAACCTTGGTCATCAGTATGAATAACCTGGCTGATGAAGTAAAAGGGTTGTTTCAGGCTTGAGGATAGAAATAGACAAAATATGGAGGGAGATGTGAATGAGAGATTTCACAGCACTAACTTGTTTATTTCCCATTTTCTGAGCATGTCTTGCATTTTCTCACCTCTGCACCCTTACTGGACACAATTCTGTATGCCTCTGATGCTCGCCTATTGTCTCTTAGAGATTTCCCATGTGGAAATTCTATGCAGACATTAAACTCAAGCTTAAATGCCGAATTCCCCACAGAGATTTTCTAATCCCTCAAGCTCTGACCCCTACCATCTCTAAACTCTTTCAACAGTTTATAAAACACCCCATGTTAATTAGTCATTGCTCTACATTAAGAAAGACCTTTATATATATACATTAGCTCAGAGAATTTTTGCCAAAAGCTTTATAAGTCCATTATTCTCTTTTTAAATATGGTGAAATAGGCTTAGCAAAGTTAATAACCTGCTGAAAGTTGCATAGTTAGGAAGGGGAGGATTTGGATTCCAACCAAGCTCCATTTTATTTTATTTTATTTCATTTCCATTGAATTCTCTTTTAGGTAACAATTTTCCGTGAATTCTGTATTTCTTTACCAAGTAAAACACTTTAGGTTGTAAGCAATAGAAACCTTAAACAAACCAAATTAATCATTCATTAAGACATTTTAATAATAAAATGCAGTTATATCCCAGAGCTTAAGCACAAGGAGGGCAATGGACCCTCACAAAGGAGTGGCATCAAAAGTTGACCAATCACAAGGTGGATTGAGAATTCTCCATCTGGGATTGGTTCCCTGCATTTCTTCTACCCCTGCCACGACGTGATATGAGTAGGATAGACCTTAATTCCAGGTTCAGGATGTATCCTGTTGGTCTAAGTCACCCAGGATGATCTCAATCCTAGGTATTAGACAATCAATGTTTGGCCTTCTCTGGCTACAGCAATGATACAGCAATGATTTTTTTTGTTGAACATGTGACCAAGTGGACCCAATCAAAATGGCACCTGAAATTTTTTCTGATAGTTGAGAAAACAGAAGTTCTCTTCTTTTGATGGATGATTTCTGGATATAAGGCTTGGAATGATTGTCAGTTTACTACCACGAGGAAAGCTGATCTGAGGTCAAAGCCAGTAAATGGAATAGGGTGGAGACTCACAGGTAAATAGAGCCAGGCCCAAATCAAACTATTCCTGAATTTTATGTGGTATGGTACATTATCACTCCAAAGTACTTACTGCTTATCCCACTAAGAATTATACTCACCCACCCTTTTGACATCAGTCTTTGTCATGAAACCTGCTTTGGTCAATAATATGTGAATTGAAGAAAATGCATGTGACTTTTGAGAAGAAGCTTTAAAAGCCAATACATAATTCTACCATTGCCACCATACATTTCACTTTGTTTTATGCCACGAGATATCCTTGGTAGGGGCAGCTCCTTTAGCCTGAACCCCAGAATGAAGAAGACACATGGAAAAGAGCCCTGTACTGACATGTAACATGTAAGACAAAGAAATGTTTGTAGTAAACCACAACAATTTTGGATTTTTTTCTATAGGGTAGCCTAGTGAAAGCTGACTACTACTATCACCCCTGAACATTACTGTTAAATAAGCCAGTGAATGTCCTTCATGGTCAAAACTGGTATGAGTTTTATGTCATTTTCTTTTGAAAATATCTTAGCAGAAAAACCCATTTCAATCAGTTAAATAATGTGATCAACCCTAAGCAGTATCAGGAAAGCCTTTTAACATGAAAACTTCCCAAAGATACATCATAATATAGTCTTTCATCTGTAATGCCAGATATGTAATTAAGGGTGGTGATGGCTACAAGGATGGAAGTCACCATTTCTGTGGCCATCTCTGTGGACATCCAGACAATATGGAAGAAGCCTTCCCATTTCCCGCAATTATCTTAATGAAATGAGGTAAAATGAATTTAATATAATGCATAGAATTTTAGCATTGCTCTGTCAATAATTTTTTTCTCTCACGCAGAACGTTTTCCCTCATTAACAAATAAAATCAAAAGCTGAAGCAAATAAGTGAATCTCTTTGATGCTTATTTCAAAGCATTTCAGAAGAATTAATTACTGCAACACTGAGAAATATTTAAGTGCTATTAGTTCTTTTCCATACATGGGAAAGTGGAAATGCTGACAGTTTAAATAGCTTTCCGGTAGACCACACAGCAAGTCATTGGCAGAACTCAGCATTCCTAACCTCGTTGACCTCTGCAATCTCAGTGTGGTCTGTAACCTTTTTACATCAGAACATTCACAGGAAGTGGAGACTTTTTACCAAAACATTCTACCAACAGTAAAACACATAACTTATTTTAACACTTATTGCCATGTATAGCCTGTCTTGAGTCCATCCTTAGGACCAGCAAGATATTAATATTTGAATTAAGTTGCTGCAAGTCCTGCAAATCAGCCAATGTCTGTGCTAGAGGTCTGTGCTAGCATCAACATAAGCAGAAACATACATTGTTCAAGTGTCCTTTAGACACATCCTCTTCTCTAATCAACTGAATTGCCATAGTAGAGCTAGAGAATGAGGGTTAGAGAAACAGCAAAGACCTGCTGAGAATAACAATCATTTTTCCTCAAAAGAATATGTTCCTTCTATCAAAATTACACTAACACTAATAACAAAATCGTCATACCTGTGAATATGACCTAAATTTTAACTTTTTTAATGATTATATCAGATATATTACACAATGTTCTAATAGGCCATGCAAATATTAGTGGTTTAGTTAATATGGAAAAAATGGAATCAGATTTAGTTATCAGGAAAAAAAACGAATTTAATAGAAATTCCAAGTGCCAGGGTTATACTAAAACTTGGAGTCTCTCATAGTGAGCTTTGAAGTGACCTTGCAAACTATACCATTTCTTCTAGATGACACAGCAAAACATGACAATAGGAATTTAAAAATGCATATTATTTTTCTTCATTAACTTTTCCCAAGGTTATAAATATTCTGCATAAGCATATGTTTAATGCTTAAATTGTCAAAATGGTATATATGACAAAAGACTGTAAGTTATAGTATACTAAAATTTGAGATTTCAATTACAAAAGAAAAAACATTTTTATTATTTTAATTCTAAAAATTATCTAAAAATTGCCAAAATTGTACTATTTCACCTACTTTTAATACACCAAAAAAGTACAAGTCTACTTATTTAATTTAAGAAAAACAGAATTGGTCTAATCCTCACTCTTCCTGGGAAAACTAGCACTTTTTCTCAACTCTCATTAATTCTGTGGAACATCTCGTGTGAACATATTTGTGTCTTGCATTATTTTTCCCATTGTGCTAATTTTACAATAACCTATGTTAGTTTTGCCAGCACTATTATAGGAGCCCTAATGTCACAAAATCAGAGAACCTACACATGTGGACAAAAATATAGAAGTCCAAACTCTTAAAGGCAGCAACCACGGTGAACTGGCAAAAACAGTATACCTATTAATCTAAAGAACAACAACAGCTTAAGGTGGGCATGGTGGCTCATGCCTGTAATCCCAGCACTTTGAGAGACCGACAGGGGCGGATCACCTGAGGTCAAGAGTTCTTGAGACCAGCCTGGCCAACATGGTGAAACCCCATCTCTACTAAAAACACAGAAGTTAGCCGGGTGTGGTAGCCCACGCCTGTAATCCCAGCTACTTGGGAGGCTGAGGCGGGAGAATTGCAAAAAAAAAGAACAGCTTAAATATCATTGCTCTTTTCTGATACTAGCTTCTGCTAATCCAAACTGGAATAGTTGACAGAAATAATTACATTCTGCTATGTTATTAAATTTCAATTTTTATAATCAATTTTGAAACAATTATCATTCCTTTGTCCATTCAAATGTGCAAATATTTTATACCATGAAAAATTCTCAGTATGAATATAAGCTCGTCTTAGAAATGTCACTTTTAGAAGAGCTAGATATTACATAATACCTTACTCACTTCAACTAACTCATCCATTATTTATAATCTTTTAAATAAAAATCCAAGCAAAGAGCTCTAGCCTTATGGAAGTGAGGGCTAGGTAACAAAGGTGAATTTTAGAGGAGGCAGGAGGCCTTCTGTCCCATGGCTTTGTCAATAGATGCTTGAAGAATGTTTAGTGTTGTGAACATAGACTTTTGTTTACACATTCCGTGAACTATATGGAACTGGATAAATTATGAGATGGGTTTATGGTATGAAGACAATGTTCTGACAGTAAGCCTGGGAGAAAAACACTGGCCTTTAAAATGAAAAAAAAATTATTGTGATAGTTACAAAACACATCACCAAAATTCCATGTATATTTTGTCAAAATATCTTATCAGCTTTGATAATTGTGGATGCAGCTGCAGATATTGTTCTTTTAGCTCTTTTGAAATATTTAACACTGCAAAGAATAAAGGTTTCTAACATTCACCTTTCAGCCCAGCCCTGAAATGTTACTGTTTATATTTGAAAATAAAGATCATAACACGTTCTCTTGGAAAAAAAATCATGATGTGAAATTCAGTTTCAAAATAACATCCTGTGAATACTGAGCAATTTAAAGAGAGAGATTTTACACACACACACACACACACACACACACACACATGCACACACATACACATGCACACACAAAATTTTATTAAAAGTACTAATTCTTCCAAAATCTGGTGGATATTATTTTTTACAGTATACATTTTAAAGAACTTCTCCACAATTCTCTAGGAGAGATGAAGGTAGATGAAGATGATATTGATATATCTTCTTCATGCATGCATTAATTTATGCATCAAACATGAATTTAGTGCATACTCTGTGTCAAATTCTGGGGATACAAAATGAAACCACACATAGTCCTGGCTTTTGAGATTTCATTTGGGAGAGACTGATAAGTCATTATGAAGAATATAGCATTATGCTATATTCTCAGGAGTTTCTAAAGATTGCTAAAGGGGACCAGAAGAAAAGCATCTTCATCAAATCTGAGTATTAGAGAATTATTCAAAGAAAAGTCATTTTATGCTGTTTTTTTCAAGGAGTTACCTGTATATATTAAAGAGACCCATGAGCGTTAGCAAGAGAGAAGTCCAGTCAGAGGGAACAGCATGTGGAAGATGTGGAATAGCACAATATGACCAAGGAGGTTTAGAGTGATTGTGGCTAGTATAACTGGAGATTAAGCTGAAAGAGAGGCAGCAGCCCTTGCATGCAAAGCTAAAGAGACTGAGACTATGGAGAGGCACTCATAGTCTCTCAGCCCTGTGTTTAATATCAGATTTATGCTTTAGAAAGGTTGCTCTGGGAGAGGAATAGTAGACAGACCATTAGGTGACCAGCCAGCAGTCATCTCTCTGTTTCTGTGATTTTCCTGTTATTAAGCAGCACACTCAGTTAATGACCCAACCTACAAAAGACAGTTCTTTTTTATTTACTCAGTCTGCCTTCAGTGGCACATGTAGCCAACTCTGCATACAAAAGTGTCAAAGGCCTCATTCTTGAAATCTCCTTCATTAACACCAATCTAGAAGGTTAATTTTAAAAAACCTGAGTTAAGGTATTGTGATCTCTAGGAGAGCTGTAAATGAGTTAATTATCATATTTCTGCTCTTGCTAGGCTTCAGAGATCAGAACTTGCAGGGAAGTTAATACGTAGTTCATTTTTTGGCTCACTGGAGTTGCAAAGGCATGAAGAGGGAGAGGTAGAAGAGAAGAGTAGGGAAAGAGGGGAGCTTAGTATCATGAAGTCTCCTAAGAAATGGGGAAAGAAAGAGAACTTGGCAGGGAAACTAGGAAGGGTGGGCCTGAAAGGAGAGCTGGGAAAAGCTCTCAAGGCATGCTGAGTGTCATGGTAGGAAGAGCTGAGAAATTCAAATTTTGATTTCTATTTGAGAGTTAATTTTGATTTCTACCTTGGGCAAATTACTTATTTCCCTAATCTATTTGTTTCTGTACAAGAATGATACAGAAATTAGAGGATCTCTGAAATTCTTTCAAGTTTGAAAATGCTAAAATCCAACTATTTCACAATTTTGCCCAGGGCTGCTCCTAGCACATATACCATGTTCTTGGTTCTTCCCTGACTCCCCAATTTCATTTATGCTCTTCTTCCTGAAAAGAACAGTAGCAGGTTAAAAAAATTAAACTCATTTAGTAAATATTTCAGTGATATGTGTATGTAAAATTGAGCTTGCTTTTAAAAGGAGAGTTGTTGGCTGGGCACGGTGGCTCACGCTTGTAATCCCAGCACTTTGGGAGGCCAAGGCGGGTGGATCACCTGAGGTCAGGAGTTCGAGACCCGCCTCGCCAACATGGCAAAGCCCCGTCTCTACAAAAATACAAAAATTAGCAGGGTGTGGTGGTGCATACCTGTTATCCCAGCTACTTGGAGGGCTGAGGCAGGAGAATTGCTTGTACCCTGGAGGCGGAGGTTGCAATGAGCCAAGATTGCACCACTGCACTCCAGCCTGGTTGACAAGAGTGAAAGACCATCTCAAAAAAAAAAAAAAAAAAAAAAAAAAATAGAGTTGTTGTATAATAAAGAATTTGTCTTTGTCCAGGATTCCTGGGAGATAACTTTTAAATCCCTGGAGTTTCCTGAATGATAGGAGTATTTTTATTATTCATTGTGGGCCCCTGAGACCACACTTGAGTTTATTGTAATTAGGTAACTCAAGGAAGGCCCCTAAATAGTTTCAACATGGAGGCTGGCCATGCCGGAAACACCAATGATTTGAGAGTTGGAACATTGAGCCACATGACATCAGTCTGACCTCTAACTTCTGGGGAGAGGCTGGAGGCTGGTGATTTGAGTTCAATCATGTGGTCAATGATTCAGTCAATCATGCTGATATAATGGAACCCCAATAGAAACTTTGGACACTGGGGCTCAAGTGAGCTACCATTTTTTGTAATAATGCACTGATGGGCCAGGAGAGTGATGCATCCTGAGGACACAGAAGCTTCATTTTTGGGACCCTCCCAGACCTCACCCCATGTGTCTGTCTGTCTTTGGTAGGTTCAGATTTGTATCTTTTACTATAATAAAAGTGTATTCATACATTCAGTGTTTTTCTGAATTTTGGGAGTCATTCCAGCAACTTATTGAATCTGATGGGATAGTGAGAACCCACAAACTGGCAGCAAGTCATCAAAATAGCAGGTGGCCTGGGCACCCTCAAACTTGTGGCTGGTGTCTGATGTAAGGGCAGTTTCATCAGAGACTGTGCCTCTAACCTGTGAAGTCTGTGTTAAATCTGGGCAGTTAGCCTCAGAATTTTATTACAGGGCTTATTGAATATTTTAGCAGATTTCAAAATTTAACTATTAAGACAAATTTAGTGGCACCTTTTTATACTTAAACTCTAGAACATTATGAACTTACATCTCATTACAACATCCATGAAAGAGTTAAATGTAGATACCACAGAAGCACTGAGTCCCTTTAAAGGAAAAAAATTAACATTATTTAGTTGCTGCAAGAAGAAAAGATAAAATTAAGAGACAGTGTTTTTTTGCGACTATCAAACTGGAAAAAAAGGCAGAAAAAACTTTATTTTAAAGAGGAGATCAAACTTCTTATAAGCTTTTATAAGAAGAATTTTAGAGATATATGGTAAAAAGGAAATAAATAAAAGAGTTGATACCAAGATTCTTTAAAATATTATATAAGTTAAAGTATGACAGAAGTTTATAATATGGCTTACTGGAAGAACATCAATTATATATTTTCAAAATCTCATAAATAGGTATGGTGAGGTCATGAGAAATTTCACTGACTTATAAATGCTTGCAGAATTTTTAAATTCATTATAGTGAGATGTAATTGTGACCCACCTGATAGATGTAATACCATTTTTCCTATTTTAGAGATTACACATTTCTAAAAAAAAATAATGCCAGGCCAAGTCAATTGCTTTTTCACACAGCTAATTTGTTCAGTAATGAAAGTAAATTGGTATGATGTATACTGATTTTTATGAGACAGTTTAAGTTTGACTTAAAATTTACTTAAATTATTATGTACTCTTTCAAATGTTAGTCTGTTTTTCTGGGTGACAATATTATGTTTTAGGGGGCAGGATTTAATTCAGATGAGAAGGCAATCCATTTGATATACAATCACACTCATTGAAAAATAGAAGAACATATAGAAAGATAAATCATTAGAAATACCATCAAATTCTGTTCAGGTTTTTTTTTTTTCCAGAGACTTGCTACACATGGCAAGGAAACATGTAGTTATTTTCATCAAAGCACTTAGTATTCAGGTGTCTGTTATCTGTGCTAGAGCACCTGTCAATTCCAGAAGTCTAGTGATCATCCTGGTGTGAGGCGGGAGTGTAGTTAAGTGATTTGACTAAAAGAGAACGTTCGCACGACTCAGATGATGACTGCTGCTGTCTGTAGAGCTACTACCTCTTCCTGGATGAGAGCCTGTGGGGTGTGAAACCAGAGAGCAGTACTTCCTTGGTTCATTACCCTTTCTGGCAAACTCTGATTCATCATCTAAGGCCCAGAAAACCACACTGGCAAAAAATCACTCCATTACCTAGGTTCCTACAGCTTTTTTTTTTTTTTTTTGAGACGGAGTCTCGCTCTGTCGCCCAGGCTGGAGTGCAGTGGTGCGATCTCGGCTCACTGCAATCTCAGCCTCCCGGGTTCACACCATTCTCCTGCCTCAGCCTCCAGAGTTCCTGGAGCTTTTTAAGAGATATTCTAATATAGACATGCATCTACTTACATAGTTTGCTCTTCCAAAATGTCTTGCCTAACAAAAATTTTGCACATTGATCATATGTGTGTATGTCTGTGTGATGGGTAATTTCATGTGTCAACCTTACTGGGCTAAGGGATGCACAGACAGCTAATAATACATCATTTCTGGGTGTGTCTGTGAAGGTGTTTGCAGAAGAGATTAGCATTTGGATTGTTTGACTGAGTGGGGAAGATGCCCTCATTAACGTGGATGGGAATCCTTTAGTCCACTGAGAGATAGAACAAAAAGGTGGAGGAAGGGCAAATTTGCTCTCTCTGCTTGCTAGGAAATTCATCTTCCCCTGCCCTTGGACATCAGTGCTTCTGATTTTTGAGCCTTTGGATTGGCTTCCCTGGTTCTCTAGCCTTCAGGTTTGGACTGGAACTTCGCCACTAGCTTTCCCAGGCCTGCAGCTTGCAGCTGGCAGATTGTAGGACTTCTCAATTTCCATAACTGTGAAAGGCAATCTCTTGTAATAAAATCTCTCTCTTCATATATATATACACACACACACACACACACACACATATACACACACACACACACACACACACACACACATATACACACACACACACAATTGGGTCGGTTTCTCTGGATAATCCTAACATAAAATATGTATAAATTATATATGTGCATAAAATTATACATATATTCTACAGCTGTTAGGATAAAGGCTAACTTTCTGTAACAAAGAGATCCCAAAACATCTCAAGGTGGATGGTTGATGCTGATGAGGCTCTTCTGTTTCAAAAAGTAATTCAGGCAATCTGTCACTGACAAAGTAATTCCATCTCCTTGTTTTTCTGTGTTCTAGAGAGTTACCATTCTTGCATTGTTGAAGCTGGGTCATCCCTGTCATTGTTCCAGCCGGAAATAGTAAAGAAAGTAGAGGCAGAAGAGAGCATGCTTTTTATTTTAATGCTAAAGCTTAGAAGTGCTATTCATCTCTTCACTTAGTTATTAAACATGATCATATGAGTACATCTACCTGTAAAGGAAGTTGATATATGTAGCCCCTAATGGCATGGCTATGTGCTCAGGTCAGCTTATATGGCTACAGAAAAAGGAGAGAATGGCTTTCAGGAGAAGTTTATCAACCTGCCACTTTTATTGCATATATAATGAAATATAAAAGTGGATACAGCAAAAATCCAAAGAATAGCAACAACAACAACCACAACAAACTTGGTTTCTCAATCAGGGCCATTTTGCCCAAGGAACATTTGCTAATGTCTGGATATACTTTGGGTTGGTTCTACTGGCTTCTAGTTGCATAGAGACCAAAGACACTGTTCATCATCCTACAATACACAGGAGGACAGCCACAAAAACTACCTGGCTCAAAATGGCAATAATGTCAAATTGAGAAAATCTACTTTATATTTTTCATATTTTCAAAATATTTCATGTCATTTGGAAAAAATGACATAAAAGTTGTGTGAGGAGAACATGTTAGAGTTATTTATATTGGCTCACCTGTGTCACCCCTGCTTGACTGTAAGCAACTTTATATTAGAAATCTTATTTTGTTCTTGTGTTTATTACAGGGCAATTATTTTATTTTATTTTGTTTCATTTTATTTTATTTTTTTTGACAGAGTTTTGCTCTGTTACCCAGGCTGGAGTGCAGTGTTGTGATCTCAGCTCACTGCAACCTCCGTCTCCTGGGTTCAAGTGATTCTCATTCCTCAGTCTCCCAAGTAATTGGGGTTACAATAGCTAGGATTACAGGCGCCTGCCACCACACCCAGCTAATTTTTGTATTTTTAGTAGAGACGAGGATTCACCATGTGGGCCAGACTGGTCTTGAACTCCTGACCTCAGCTGATCTGCCTGCCTCGGCCTCTCAAAGTGCTGGGATTACAGGTGTGAGCCACCACACATGGTCTATTTCATGTTTCTGAATAAGTAATAATGAGCATGGAATATCTTTTTGGTGCCTTTTTCTATACTAAACTTTGTGGAAATTGCTTCGAAACACATGAACCCTGTTCTCAACGTCCTTGTCATTGCTTTTATTATTTCTCCGTCCTTGTCCTCCCAGATATCAGTAATAGTGCTACTCATTTATCTCACATTTGCTGAGATATCTGTATTTGAATGTTACTTCCAACACCACAGCCACATCACTTCAAAAATCCAACATATAAAAAGGAACGAGATCATGTCCTTTGCAGCAACATGGATGGAGCTGAAGGCCATAGTTCTAAACAAACTAGCACAGGAAAAGAAAAACAAATACTGCCTGTTCTCACTTATAAGTGGGAGTTAAACCTTGAGTACACATGGATACAAAGAAGAGAACAACAGACACTAGGACTACTTGAGGGTGGAGGATGGGGGGAGTGAGGATCGAAAAACTACTGATGGGGTACTATGCTCATTACCTGGGTGAAAAAATAATCTGTACACCAAATCTCTGCGACATGCAATTTACTCATGTAACAAACATAAACATGTATCACTTGAATCTCAAATAAAATTTAGAAAGAATTAAAAAAAAAAAAGGGAAGTCCAACCTAGAGACACATAGCCTTGCCCGTCACATTAAGAAGTGCCTCCCTTCACTTACTTTTCCATGAAAGAGTAAGCAAGCCAAAGCAGGAAGCAGTTCTAAATCATTAACTTCTTAACAACTCAGCTCAGATGGAAACAAAATTAAGATTTACAGGACCAGAAAGGAGGTGGTTGTTATTTACCTATTCAAAATGGGAAATGAAAGAAAATCCCAGGCTTTCCAAGATCCTGTGGCATAACCGGTATACTCAAAAGGCAAAGAAGAATGAATGAGCGAAATGAGTATTTGATGAATTTTCATACGAACTTTTGACCTTCTCAAGGATGGCAAAGTTGCTTTTACATCCCATGATCCAGCCTTGCCAACAATTTCTATTTTTTCTTTGTCTTCTGTCTCTCTCTCCATCTGTCTCTGTCAGTCTCTTTCTGTCAGTCTCTTTCTTTCTCTCTCCCCCTTTCCTCCTTCTCTCCCTTTTCTCATGTTTCCTCCTTCTCTCACTTTTCAAACTGTAGCAGCTTTCATTTTTAAGCTATCAATTCAACATTGCCCCTATCTGATCTAGTGACCTGTTGGGAAACTTTCTTAATCTATGTCAGAGATTATGAAATATGAAGGCTCATCTCTCTCTCTCTCTCTCTCTCTCTCTCTCTCTCTCTCTCTCAATCTTCATGTGCCCTCTAGCTTACACAGAAACAAAAGTTTGATTTTTCGGCATTGATTCAGTGTTCTCCATTGGGGGAAAAAAGTATTATGATCATTATCAACAGCACCATAAGGAATCACATGAAAGGCAACACTGTGCATGGAGCTTATTGAATTGCAAACAGCTTTCTCAGAAATCAAGGCCGCCCCAATGATGCAAATCAGATGCTTACATAATGCTGTTTCCTTAGAGGGTGACAAAGGAGTGATGGGATTTAGATGCCCCTTTGTGGTGTGGCAAAGCTTTTCTGTCTTCTTGCTTCAAGCAGAATATTTTGACATATTAACTGGATCAGCACAAAATGTATCTAAAGCTATTGAATGCACATTTTTTTTTTGATGGAATGTATACTAAACCTCTTTCCCAGGGATTTGAAGCAGCTGGAAGCTGCTATGACATTTCTGCCCTTTTTCTCCTCTTGTCTTTCCATATCCCTTCCAACCCTTTCCATAATCTATAGATATGCATATTTGGAATAACAGTGCTGGTCACAGAATGAATGAAAAAATAATCCATCTCTTTCTTACTGGATTTCATAATTTTGCATGTCATAATATTAGTTGTATACACATGTGCTACAGTGTTTTGTTTTTTTTTTTACAGATGGCACATTGAATTGGGACCATTGATCCAGTAAGTCATATTGTATAAAGCCAGATTCCAGTTTGACATGTGCTATGCATCACCATACATCCTTAAGAAAAATGCTTGCTGTGTATACACGTGTCTTCCCAGCAGCTGATTTCTGAATATGGGCATTGATGCATGGCATGTATTAGAGACTGGAATATATCTCCTACTGTGCAATCCAAATGAAGCTAAGTGTATTTTCTACAAGATTACCCTGCCTTCCTTTCTTTTCTCCTTTATATTTTCTTTGCTATCTCCTCCCTACTTTCTTTCTTACCTCCCCCATAATTCATTCCTTTAATATTTTCCTCTTTGAATCATGGTCTTTTTTTCTTTTCTATTAGTCTAGAGATGCCTTGAAAATATCATGATATCTTTGTGTAATATCTGAGCCTCATTGTCTGGTTATCAAAGAGAGTCGGTAAATGCTTATTAAATAAACTATTGATCCTATTTTTTAGTAGTTACATGCATATTTATCTAAGACGGCATAAGGCTGATGTGTAGAAATTTTATCTTTGTCATTGTTATCACCATCACCACTTCTGTCATCCTTGACATAATCATCATCATCACCATACTGAGTGCTTACTCTCCACACCAAGAGGGTTAAAATTATTCTTTCACTTAATTTTGTACTGACCTTGTTAGTGTCCTCATCTGTAAAATGGAGACGATAATAGCACCTTCTCCATATACTTCTTGTAAGTACGAAAATGGAATGATATACAGAAAGTGTTTCAAGTATTACCTGAATACTAAATAATTCATAAATATTAGCTATTGACATAACAATTATTATTTTAATCTGCACTGAAGGGGAATAGAGAGGTTAGGTAATTTGCTAAAAGTCACTCAGCTATTAAATGTCAGAAACTGGAAACAAGCTCCCAGTTTTGGCTTCATGGTCCAAGCTCTTACAAATACTGGCTTTCCATTATCAGAGAGTCTCTAAATTTCTTGACAAAAGCAGAGGTAATAAGTCAAATGCATACTATGATAGATTTTGAGAGAGAAACGTTTTTCTCATAAAAAAGGAAGAGTTTGAACAAAATTCTAAAAGAAAATAAATAGTTTCAAAAATTTTTACCTTTACCATTAAAGCCTTCTGTATCACAGATTGGATGTGCAGTATAATTATATTTATGTCAGAAATATACTTATGAAGTTACTCTACCTGCTAATGCAATGATATCTCATCTTTATAATTTTATACTTTGAAGTCAAACATAACGTTTTGAACAGCTAATGACACTGCTTCTGTGGTAATGTCCAAACAATGAAACCTGCTCTAAAGAAGAAAATAGCTGGCCCTTCTTCCTTTCTTCTTTCCTGCTTTGATGGTCTCTGGTTTTGCTTAACATTTGTTAAAGTTAGTGATGAAATTTTATGTCAAAGGGACAAAACGTTTAGATTATTATGAGTCAAGGTAAATATTTAAGAATTTATGTAAATATCTAGATGGGGAACAAGGAAACTAACACATTCTAAAAATTGTATTAAAAAGTATTTTGCACAGAAAAAAATTCACAAAAGATGAATAGAAATGAGTCAAATGACTACCTATTGGAAATTGTTTAAAAATTATGACATATGAACAGAACATTTACCAAAGACCATATTTTACTGAGTTTCATACTATTGCTTGTAAGATGCACCTTATTTTTTATAAAGCTAAGAAAGAAAAAAAACCTACTCATCAAATATCACCATACCTTCTTACCCTTTGGACTTTTTAACTTCAAATTCTAAAAGAGCTTTCAGACTTATTAGACAAAAATTTTGGTAATATTTGTCTTGTGTCTACATAAAAAGAAAACATCTATCAACTATTGACTAAGGAATTTCTAAAGTGTCTTTATATTCAGAATCCAAGTCTTTTCTTTTTATCAGTTTTTGAGTCAGTCATTGATGTCCATGTTTTCCCACATGATATTTTCCTCTTTATCAAAAGAATATTAATAATATAACATTTCTCAAGATAATTAATTTAGGAATTAAAGTTATTAATGCTAGTGAATTATACAAACAATGGACTGTCCAAAAAACGGATTAAGAAAACAATTCCACTACAGTAGCATTGAAAACAATAAAATATTCATGAATAAATTTAAATCAGGTGATAAAAGATCTCTGCACAGAAAACTGTAAAACAATAGTGAAAGAAATTGAAGAAGACACAAACAAATGACAAGATATTCATTGGGATTGGAAGAAATTAATATTGTTGAAATGTCCACACTACCCAATTTTATCTACAGATTCAATACAATCCCTACCAAAAATGCCAATGGCATTTCCCCCCAAAATACAAAAAAAGTTAAAATGTATATAAAACCACAAAAGACCCCCAAATAACCAAAGAAAACTTGAGAAAGAAGAACGAAGCTGGAGGCATTGTACTTCCTAATTTCAAATTATATAATAAAGCTATAGTAATAAAAATAGTATGGTACTGGCATAAAAGCAGATCCATGATTTTTTTCAGACCAATGGAACAGACTGGAGAGCCCTGAAATAAACAGAGCATGTAGAGTTAACTAATCTTTGACAAAGGTGCGAGGAATACACAATGAGGAAATGATAATCTCTTCAATATGTGGTGTGAGAAAAGCTATATATCCAGATGCAAAAAAATGAAATTGGAATTTTGTCTTAAACTACATAAAAAATAAACTCAAAATAGATTAAACACTTAAACAGAAGACCTGAAACCATGAATCTTCTAGAAGAAAACATAAGGAAAAAGCTTCTTGACATTGGTCTTGGCAATGATTTTTTGGATATGACCCAAAAAACACAGGCAACAAAAGTGAAAATAAACAAGTGGTACTATTTTAAACTAAAAGTCTTCTTCACAGCAAAGAAAACAATCAACAAAATGAAAAGGCAGTCTATTTACAAATATTTACAAATCATTTACCTTATAAAGGGTTAATATCCAAAATATGTAATGAACTCATACAGTTCAACAGCAAATAAAAAACAAAAACCTGATTTAAAAATGGGAAAAACATGAATAGATATTTTTCCAAAGAAGACATAAAATGGGCTTCAGGTTTATGAAAAGGTGCTCAACATCACTAATCATCAGAGAATGCAAATCAGAACCACAGTGAGCTATGATCCTGCACCTGTTAGGATGGTTACTATAAAAAAGGCAAGGGATAACAACAGAATGTGGAGAAAAGGGAAACTGTGCATTGTTGGTGGGAATGTAAAGTGGTACATCCATTATGGAAAACAGTATAGGGGTTCTTCAAAAAAATAAAAATAGAACTACCATTTTGCAATCTTACTTCTGGATCTATATCCAAAGATACATGACTTCAACGTATGAATTCACAAAGAAAATGTAACAAATACATACACAATGGAATCTTATTCAGCCTTAAAAAAGAAGCATATCCTGCCATTTTAGACAATATGGGTGAACTTGGAGGACATTATGCTAAGTGAAATAAGCTGGGCACAGATATACAAATACTGCTTGATCTCAATTTTATGCAGAATTGAAAAAAGTCAAACTCATAGAAGCAGAGAGTAGAATGGTGGTTGCTAGAGGCTGGGGATGGGAGAAATGGGGTGATGTTAGTCAAAGGGTATAAACTTGTTTATAGATGAAAAAGTTTTCCGGGGAATCTAATGTACAGCATGGTGACTACAGTCAATAATACGGTATCATATACATTAAATTTGCTAAAAGAGCAGATATTAATTGTTTTTAACACACACACACACACACACACACCACACACACACACAAATGAGTACCCATGTGAGGTGATGGATGTGTTAATTAACTTGATTTTGGAAATCATTTCATAATGGGTACGTATATGTGTATCAATTTATGTTGTATCCCATAAATATATACAAACTGTCAATCTTACATTAGTAAAGCTGGAAAAAAAAAGAATGTCAGAAGCCAATAAGCTATCATCACCTTAAAAACCACAAAAAGAAGAAAAAACTATAAACAAAGCAATCAGAATGAAGAAAATAAAGAGGAGAAATGAATGAAATTGAAAAAATAAACACTAAAAACAACCAGACACTATGGCTCATGCCTAGAATCCCAGCACTTTCAGAGGCTGAGGTGGGAGAATTCCCTGAGGCCAGTTTGAGCTCAGCCCAGCTTTGGCAACAAATTGAGACCCCCATATCTAAAAAAATTATTTTAAAAAATAAAATCAAATCAGTGAATCTAAAAACTCGTTCAATCTAATTGATGAAACTATAGCCAGAACAATAAAGAATAAAACAAAGTAGATAAAATTACCAATATGAGGAATAAACAGAGGACATAACTACATGTCTTACAGGCATTACATGGATAATAACAGAATATCGTGAGGCCTATGATAGTAAGTTTGAAAACATGAAACGGATAAATTCCTGCTAAAAGCAGACTACTGAATCTCACTCATAAAGGAGATAAACTGAATAGTATGTCATTTAGTAAGTTATTTGAATTTTTAATTAAACATTTTCTCCCAAAGAAGACTCAAGGCCCAGATGATAGCGTGAGTGAATTCTGTGAACCATTTAAAGAAGAATTATGCCATTTTTATACAAACTGCTTCAGAAAATTTAAAATAAGAATGCTCTCCAATTTGTTTTATGAGACCTGATGATACCAAAGCCAGACAGCAACATTACAAGGAAAAAAAAAAACAAAACTTAAACCAATACAAAAATGGTACCAAAAAATGGAATGTTGACATGGTTCAGTATCCTCACCTGAATCCTCACCTGTAAAATTCTTTAATACATTATTAGCAAATCAAATTTAGAAATGTTTAAGAAGAATGATACAGCATGAAGAGTGGTATTTATCTCTGGGATGCAAGGTTGATTTGTCATGTGAAAGTCAATCATTGTAATTCACTATATCAAAACAATGTAGTAGAAAAGTGTATTATCTGAACAGATACAATGAGTTTTTAAAAAGTCAACCTGTACTCACAATAAAAATATCTCAGCAATCTAATAGCAGAGGGAAACTTCCTTAACTTGATAAAAGACATCTATAATAACCTGTAACTGACAGTAAACTTAATAGTAAAAGACGCCTGTAATCCCAGCACTTTGGGAGGCCGAGGCGGGCAGATCACGAGGTCAGGAGATCGAGACCATCCTGGCTAACACGGTGAAACCCCGTCTCTACTAAAAACACAAAAAATTAGCCGGGCGCGGTGGTGGGCGCCTGTAGTCCCAGCTACTCGGGAGGCTGAGGCAGGAGAATGGCGTGAACCCGGGAGGCAGAGCTTACAGTGAGCCGAGATCGCGCCACTGCACTCCAGCCTGGGCGACAGAGCAAGACTCTGTCTCAAAAAAACAAAACAAAACAAAACAAAAAAAAATAGTAAAAGACCAGCGCATTTCATAATGTGACCAATAAATGAACGTCCAATCTTATCACTTCTATGCAACATTATACAAGAGGTCCTAGATAGTGTTATAAGGCAAGATAAATAAATAAAAAAGTATATAGGTTTGAGAAAAAAAATCATTATTTGCAGCAAACAGCCATCTAGGAATATAATCCCAAGGAATCTACAAAATACTTCACAGAAATTATAAATAAATTGAGAAAGGTTACCAAATACATGGTCAACATACAAAAATCAACTATATTTTCATAAACTAGTACTGAACACTTGAGACTAAAATAAATTTTAAGATCTGCATAATTTACAATAGCATAAAAAGGAACATGAAGCACCTAGTGACGAATGTAACTAACCTACTTTGTGGAATATTTTTACATTAAAAATAGAAACACTGATGAGAACAATTGTAATGATCTAAATAAATTGAGATATATTGTATTCATGGATTAGAAAACTCAAATTATTAACTTATCAAGTCTTTCTAAATTGGTATAGAGATTGGAAGGAATACTAATCACAATCCAATTAGGATTATTTTTAGATATTGGGAAGTGACTCTAAAATTTAAACGGAAAGGCAATGGTCATAGAATAGTCCAATCAATTTTGAAATTAAATAAAACAAATTTGGAAGACACACAAAACCTGATTTCAAGACTTATTATATGGCTTCAGTAATTAAGACATCGTGGTTTCAGTGGTAGGATAGACTTGTTAATTGATAGAACAAAATAGAAAGTCCGAAAGAGACTCACATATCTATGGTCAATTGATTTTCTATAAATGTAATGTGCCAAGGTAATTCTAGAGAGAAAATATATTCTTCTCAATACATTTTACTGGGACAAAAAACCCAACACAAACAAACAAAAACTGTGTCCTCTCTCTGTATTTGTATACACACTGTATACAAATGTTAACTTGAAATGGATCATATAACTTAGTGAGGAACTTAGAAATATATAACTTCCAGAAGAAAATACAGGAGAAAACCTTTGTGAACTTGGGGTGGACAAATATTCCTATACGGCACACCAAAGCACAAACCGTAAGATAAAAATTTTGCATTTGTATTTCATCAAAATTAAAACTTTCTGCTCTCAAAAGGTCTCTTAAAATACAATAATAAGAAGATACACAATCCAATATAATGGGCAAAAGTTTGAAAAGAAATTTCACACACTCATAAAAAATATATATGCCAAATAAGCACATGAAAAAAATGCTTGGCATAATTAATCAGTAGGAAAATTCAAATTTGAACAACAAAAATATATAACTACATACCTACTAGATTGACTAAAATTACAAAAATCATTGCTGGTGAGGGATGCAATGCATGTATTTCTCCCATTGATTGCTAGTGGGAAAGGAAACTGGTACAGTCACTTCAGAAAATAGTTTGGCAGTATAGAGTTAAACATATACTTAACATAAAAGTCAATCATACTACTCCAAGGTATTTTCACGAGAATGTCGAGAACATATCTCCACACAATATCTGTATGTGAACATTTGTAACAATTTCATTCATAATCACTAAAAACTGGAAACAATTCAAAGAGCATCAACTGGTGAATAGATACAAGCTGTGGTATATCCATATAATAGAATATTACTAAGCAAAAAGGAACAAACACTACATCAACAATATGATGCTGTTAGCATTAAGCCAAGTGAAAAAGCCCATGTTTCCAGTTATATGACATTCTTGAGAAAGCAAAATTATAACCACAAAGATCAAATTAGTAGTTTGCAGGGGTCCAGGGTAAGTGGAACCTTCCTCCATGCAAAGATCCATAAAGATAGCTCTTTAGAGTAATGGCAATATTATATAAATTGGTTTGAAATTGTGGTCACACACATTATATATTTGTCAAGCTCAACAAACTGCAAATAAAATAGGTAATTTTCACTGTATGTAAATTATATCGCAAGTAATAATAATGAACAAAAAATTAACAACAAAAAAGAAAAATCCACATAGTAATACTAATGTGTGTGCTTATATATTTTAGCAGCAACTGGAGTAGAAATATTTTGAGAAATAATTTGGCAATATGTATAAAAAGCTTTAAATATTATCATGGATTTAATTTGAACATCTTCATTATGGCACCAAAAGAAAATAATCTAACAGATAAGAAAAATTATGGCCATAAAGATGTTTTCTGCAGAATTATTTATCATAGTGAAAACATGGAAGTAACTTTAAGGTCTAACAAAATATGTGAAATCTGTGAAGGACTGAGTAAGATTTAGAGTGACATCTTGATTAGACTTTAAATGAATACAGTTATTCAATAAATAGAAAAGGTCATGATGCAACATAAATTAAAAAGAGCAATATACCCAATTTTATTTAAGGTCTTCTTTTAAATCATGGCTGACCAAACACACACGTGTACTTTTCAGTCCCTAGAGCTGTTATAGTTGAATCTACAGGAGTAGTAGTGAAACTTTATCCAAATGGTCTTCCTTTTTTTTTCCCGCCTTCAACCTGCTCTCAACCCCTACTTCCACTTTTGAGGCACCTAATCACAAACTAAAATTCTGTGTACCTCTTTTAAAAAATCACCATGGTAAAGTACTTTTCTCAGCATTTTTTTTTTCTGTTTTGAATTTAAATAATAAATCTAAGGTCATGGCTATATTAATAAAACATATTGTTAAAAATTAGTTAACAAAGAAAAACAAACATAAATAGCTGCAAAAATACTACATATTTTTAAAAGTAACTTTATCATGTATAAATATCTATTTGATTGTAGCATTGATTTGATCTGATATTAACTCCTTATTGATGATTAACAATAATAAAAATGATGATATAATAGGTATGTGTGCATGCAACTTATTTAAACCCTCTTTGCCATTTTTAAAAATCTTAAATACTAATGGATGGTTTTCAAAGTTATAATGTTGTGATAAATATTATATTTTAAGGATTAACTACCAGACTACCAAAAAGTATTTAGGACTACCAAGACAATTTCTGAACAGTATTTTAGTATGTTTTAAAATTTCCTAATTATATTCTACATCACTATCCAAACACAGCCTTCAAATGTCTTAGTTTCTATTACACACATGGAATCAATTTTCATTGATTTTTGTTCTATTTGACTGATTTTTAAAAGCAATTTTTATTTTTGAATAAAGATAGATTCAAAACTTACTAAAGAGATGATATAGAATATTAACTACTCTGAATTTGCCTTACATAGAATCAGACTTGTAAAGATTGTCTTTAATTAATTGAATATTAAGAAATATATTTGCTTTATATAAATGTATTTACTATAATTAAGTGTTATAAACTTTCTTTACCATCAGATTCTCTTTATATGGTAATCAATAATCTGAAATGCTACCGATTTGCGGCATTTCCATTCCCTTAACATTATGATTGTTTATGTAACTAATTAGTTCATAAGCTCTGATTCTTAGTTATCATTGTTTTCTAATGCTAATCACAGCTCAAGGAATTAAGTGTTTAAAAAGCAGTGTTTGTTAGACTTAATGGAAATATAGCATTTAACAATATTTTTTCATATAATATCTTGTTCAGTAAGTACTGAACTGAGCCTACATTCAAATTTCATTGCATTCCTTTTTGAAATCTATCCAATTTTCCAGAAAACGCTTGGGGTAAAAATTGACTCATGCTTATGTGGGGTTTTGGCATAATTTGCCCCAGCTTAATATCTTCCAAAGAATCTTCATTACCTTAAAAAAGATACTTAAAAATATACAAAAGTCCCTCTCATGGCTTATCTGTGCCTGTTTCCTCATTTATAAAATGAGGATGATAGTAGTACCTACCTCAAATGATTGTTATAATCATTAAATGAGTATCTCTTAGAATGCTGTTTATGGCACGTAGTAAGTGCTATATGTGTTAGTGGCAATTAATATGGTCCCTAACTACACTTCCACCTCAGTTCTTACCCCAACAACCTTGTACACTTGTACACTTTCCTGAATTCACACCACTTTACTTTCTAACCTCTTTTTACCTTGGTCTTGCTGTTTCATTTACCTAGAGTACACAACTTTCTCCAGTTGGCTAACTCATGATTGTCTCTTCAAGACTCAGTTTAGCATTGTGTGCTTAGGAAAGCATTTTCCAGATCCCCTTGTAGGTGTTCCTACATAGAAAGGGCTTATTATTATACTTAAAGTTCTAGGGTACACGTGCACAACGTGCAGGTTTGTTACATATATATATATATGTGTCATGTTGGTGTGCTGCACCCATTAATTCGTCATTTACATTAGGTATATCTCCTAATGCTATCCTTCCCCTCTACCCCCACCCCACGATAGGCCCCAGTGTGTGATGTTCCCCTTCCTGTGTCCAAGTGTTCTCATTGTTCAATTCCCACCTATGAGTGAGAACATGCAGTGTTTGGTTTTCTGTCCTTGCAATAGTTTGCTGAGAATGATGGTTTCCAGCTTCATCCATGTCCCTACAAAGCACATGAACTCATCCTTTTTTATGGCTGCATAGTATTCCATGGTGTATATGTGCCACATTTTCTTAATCCAGTCTATCATTGTTGGACATTTGGCTTGGTTCCAAGTCTTTGCTATTGTGAATAGTGTCGCAATAAACATACGTGTGCATGTGTCTTTATAGCAGCATGATTTATAATCCTTTGGGTATATACCCAATAATGGGATGGCTGGGTCAAATGGTATTTCTAGTTCTAGATCCTTGAGGAATCACCACACTGTCTTCCACACTGGTTGAACCAGTTTACAGTCCCACCAACAGTGTAAAAGTGTTCCTATTTCTCCACATCCTCTCCAGCACCTGTTGTTTCCTGACTTTTTAATGATCATCATTCTAACTGGTGTGAGATAGTATCTCATTGTGGTTTTGATTTACATTTCTCTGATGGCCAGTGATGATGAGCATTTTTTCATGTGTCTGTTGGCTGCATAAATCCTTCATATCCTTCACCCACTTGTTGATGGGGTTGTTTGTTTTTTTCTTGTAAATTTGTTTGAGTTGTTTGTAGATTCTGGATATTAGTCAGAAAGGGCTTATTCTTGTAATAATCATCTATACAATGTATTGTAACAGTTTGTTTTTCTATCTCACTGTATTAGTCCGTTCTCACACTGCTATGAAGAAATATCCAATATTGGGTAATTTATAAAGAAAAGAGGTTTAATTGACTAATAGTTCTGCATGGCTGGGGAGGCCTCAGGAAACTTACGGTCATTGCAGAAGGGGAAGCAAACATGCCCTTCTTCACAAGGCAGCAGGACAGAGAATGAGTGCTGGCAGGGGAAATACCAGGTGCTTATAAAGCCATCAGATCTTGTGAGAACTCACTCACTATCACACGAACAGCATGGGGGAAACCCCATGATTTAATTCCCCCCACCCCCACCGGGTCCCTCCCATGCCATGTGGGGATTATGGAACTACAATTCAAGATGAGATTTGGGTGGGGACAAAGAGAAACCATATCACTCACCATCCCAACTGAGTAAGTAGCTTGAAGACTTTGGTTGTCATTTGTCACCACTATATTCTTTGCTCCCTAACTTCAACATTTGGCACATAATAGGTGCTCACATAAATGTTTAACTGATGGATTAACTGAATCAAAAGTATTATCAGTAAGAAGGAAATATTTGATGAACAGAGTCATAGAAAAAAGATGAATACCAAGCTAGTTTATAGTCTATAAAGTTCCAAAACAGTGGTTTCTAATGCAAATATACATAAGAATTTTTCTTTTTTTTTTTAAAAAAAAAAAGCTTTAAAAACACAGATTCCTGGGCCATGCGGCTAATCCACTGAATTAGAATCTCTGGTTACAGATATTTAAAACAAATTCATCATAGTTTTTCTAACATGGTTAATAATCTCTGCTCTAAAATGAACTCTTTTATACACAATTTGAAGTGTTCTACACTTTCACCCTTAGCAGTTATATAAAATTCTCTTTAGAATAAGCTTTAGGTTAATTCATTATTTCAGATTTTTAAATTGTGAGCACTTAATCAATGACTTGATGGAACTATGTAAAATTATTCTGAAATATTTCCTATGTAAAAAATTCTACTAGTTTAAAAGATATTTTTCAATCTTTTTCTAACAATTGTCATTTTATTCTCTTCACCCCAGCCCCTTAAAGTAAGTATAAAATTTCCAGATTTAAAATATGCCCTTGCTATGAACCACTCCAAAGTAAAGGGAACCAAGTGAATTCAGGCGATTTCTTACAGTGCAATTGCCTTCTTTTCATACTAATAAAAGTGGTCTCTCATGCCTACTTTCTCTGGCTTGTTCATGTAACATAGGCAACTGTGTCAACATTTAGCAACCTTAAATATATTGCAGTCACTAAGGTGCACATAAAAAAACGTTTCTGTATCCAATAACCATCTTATAAATGTTTCTGTGCTCAATGTGCATATTAAAATGCCAGTTTTTCCCTCCCAACAATGACATGTGTTGAAATGTGGATAAATGTTGAATATCTGTTATGTATGTTGGCAAATGATAAAACATTAAATAGACCGCTCTAAGTGAAATCTAATGAAAAGACCATTTCACACAACTTCTTTCCACCATTGGTACACTCTAACCCTCATTCTGAAAAGATACGACCTCTGGGTGGGAAAAGAAAAACATCACAGTTGGAATGCCATGGTAAAAAGAATCTATAAAGAAAGAGACTGAGGGCATTCATTTTAAAATTTGAATGTAAATGTTACTTTTTCCACTTCAATTTTAATTAGAGAATATGTATCTAGAGTTGACAATAAACAAAATCTAGTAATAAGGGTAGCTGCAGAGCCAGTTATATTGATGGTAAAGAAGGTTACTATTTCTGTAATTTTAAGAGTGATAAATGCTCTTGGTGTTTTTAAAAAAATTAATACAAGAATATATTAAATTTGTATGTATAAAATAAAACATGGAATTCCTGTCTTTGAATATCACTATTAATGAGTCAGCTAAATATGTTTCCAGAATTGTAAATATATAAACACATATATACATAGGCATATATGTGTGCAAGTGTGTGTGTGTGTGTGTGTGTGTGTGTATGAAAGGTGCCCTGTGTTGAAATTCTAATGGCTTCCATAAATTTGGTAGAGCCTTTCTGCCAGTAGGTAATAGAGATATTCACATCACTGAAGGGAGAATAGAGCTGCTCCTAATTGCCTATCACATTACTTTTGGAGCCAAATGGATGTTACATTATTCAGGATTAAGGGATACATTTCCAAAGCACCAAGCAAGATGGATGCTTCAGAATCCCTTCATTGGCTCCAAAAGCTGTTCATTGTTTGCCTTTTCATTGCTTTGTCATTGCCACAGTAAAGGATACCTTTGGTGTACGATGCTGTTTGCAGGGCAATTTTTGCCACAAAAAAAGGATTAATTTTTTCTGCCATTTTCCATTTTCATCACCAATTTCCAACTGTCATGAAAGTGAGCTCTGTTTTTACACGACATTCCACTCTTATTACCGTCTTCGTCCCAAGAATGAAAGTCTGTAATGAGAGCAAAGCCATGGCTGGCATCTGAGGGCTGTTATAATTCACTCTCATGACAAAGATAGTAATGAGAAATGACAGTGGCACAAAATGAAGCCTTTCCGATCCCAGCCCCTTGGATGATAATGAAAACAGAAGATGGCACCAACTTTATTCATCTTCATGACACCTATTGTGACAGGATTGAAAGCTGCAGCAACAAACATATCCGAGATTACAATCTCCCAGTCTCATTCACATATTGCGTTTTTTTAAAAAAACTCCATAACACTATTTCTCCTGGGAATCCAGTTTTGGGGGGTGCTTTCAGAGGTTGAAGAATTTACTGTCCACAACTGAAAGTATGTCAGAGAGGTAGAAGTGTTTCCAGCTTTGAAAAGTATGTGATTTATTATTATTATTATTATTATTATTATTATAAAATCAGCTTAGCAATGCCTGTAAAAGAAATGATGAGGAGGAGGCAGAGAATATGGAAACAAAGCCAATTTTTGAAGTTCTAATTCAATTCTCTGACTCTCCAGAAAAAAAAATGCAAATTTAAGGTGTAAAATATCCAGCTAACACAATGAATACAGGATCTTCCTTGCACTTGCATGTTTTCCCTCTCCACTCCCCTCCCTTTCCCGCTCTCCCTCTCCTCATCCCTCCCTTCCCTTTCCCCCCTCTTTTAGCTATGTTTATATCTTCGTAAAATCTGAAAGGGAATTTGTAGCTAAGTTGATCCAATCTCTTCATTTTATAAATAAAAAAAGAAGGCTTCAGATCCTGGCTAACACGATGAAACTCCGTCTCTACTAAAAATACAAAACAAAATTAGCCAGCCTGGTGGCGAGCGCCTGTAGTCCGAGCTACTCCGGAGGCTGAGGCAGGAGAATGGCGTGAACCCAGGAGGCGGAGTTTGCAGTGAGCCAAGATTGCGCCACTGCACTCCAGCCTGGGCGACAGAGCGAGACTCTGTCTCAAAAAAAAAAAAAAAAAAAAAAAAGGCTTCAGGAGGTGAAGTCACTTACTCACAGTAACCCAGACAGTGTCGGGATGTCTCATTCCCAATGTTCAATCTCATCCTTCTAAAATATAAGTTGAAATGCCGAAGACAAAGACAGCATGGAATATATGTATTACATTCAATTTCTTTGCAGCCTCTCTATAGAGGGAATGTGGCATTCTCTCAAGAAATTTATTTTGGAGTCACAAGACTCCTGGCTCTGTGATCTCCTACCTCTGTGCCCTTTGGTCACTCCTCTTTCTGCATTTCAGTGTTCTTCAACGCAAAACAAGGATAACTAGCATACTAAACAGTCTATCTTCAATAGAGTAAATAAAGTCGCCATTTATTCTTTCTTCTCCCTGCTGACTTCAAATATGACTTTGCTCTCTTTGTGTGGGCTTACTTAGGGCTCATAGAGACCAAAAGTAGAAAAAGCTTTTCTTTCCTGTTCTTGATCTGCTCTGAAAATCTGTTTCTTTTACCTCCTCCTCACACTGCTTCTAACTATTCTGTGGTCAGGAGCTAAGAAAGGGTGCAAAGTAAAGTGGCAAAAGCCCCTCCTCTGTTGCTGGGTATCTCTGCGCTGCACCATTTCATGATGTAGGTAATAGACCCTCTGGGAGACGTTTCACAACTCACCCTTCTCTCCTGGCAAAAAAAGGAAAATGGTCCATTTTTCCTCTTGGCAGGCATCTGAGTCCTTTCAAAAATATTCAAGCCTGCCTAATTTACTAGGTCTTCAGGTGGTCCATGTGAAAACGCATACCAGCTGGCCCTGACAAACTTCAGGAGTGAGGCCAATTCATTGCATTCTTTTTCTACGGGCTGCCATTGAGACCTACTCTAGGCAACCTCCAGCATTCAGAACTCTTCAGGCAAGACACAAGCATCATTCTCTGCCTCTGCAAACTCCAGAAGATAACTCCAAGCTGGAGATATCTGTTCTATATCAACATGAGCAGACTTAGGCATTTTTGTT
This sequence comes from Homo sapiens, assembly GCF_000001405.40. Taxonomy (NCBI): domain Eukaryota; kingdom Metazoa; phylum Chordata; class Mammalia; order Primates; family Hominidae; genus Homo; species Homo sapiens. The sequence goes on from NC_000012.12 coordinate 91,457,558, forward strand.
GCTGCCAAGCATCAAGCAAGGAATTAACAACATGTTAGTGAAACATTAATCTCCCCTTTTAACACAAATTCTGATCTCTCTGGGTGGTTATTGGGAGACAACCTTACCAGACTAGAGAGAAAAGGGAATGTGATAGTCTTATATATACCTACCAGATTTGCTCATCAACTATGCTCTTCAACAACCCTCTAACCTACATTTACATTGGCTACTGGGAGGTATGATGACTGAACTAGTCTGGCCATTTGAGGATAGATCTGCTGCTTCTTTTTAGATAAGTAACAATACTTCTTCGTTGTCTCAACTTTCAGATGTTAAATGAAATTTTGAAACCCAGCAAAAGTCTTACTGCATTTTCTACAGTCCTCTCATGGTTGTTGTAATAAGCATACCATTTTCATATTGTGGTAACTTATTTTGTCTTTCTATTAAATGCTGGTATAACATCTCTTGTGTTATGGGATAACTAAAGCATAGAAAGAGGAAATGTCTTCTTCCAATAAAGGAAATCAGTGATCTGGTTAAATCAAGTATTTAAAATAATATGAAGTAAGAATATGTGCTACAGCACACTGCAGTGCTCAAACAATTAGAACATCCAGGGATCCTAGACTGTCTAGAGCTTTCTATGCCTGGTAATTTGTGTGGCATTATAAAACTCAACTACAGTCTATCTGATAGATCCTCTAAATTGAAGGTCCAGTATACCTTCAACCCGATCCTAGAGTTAGCCATAGCTCTTGTTCTTGGGAAATACCTCTCGTCCTCTGGGATGATGTACACAATAAAGCATTCATGGTTTTAGTGGCAGCCAGAGGCCCACCAGGCCTGTGCGACAATGGTACTTGGACTGAATAGTTTGCAGTCCCCTCAAGATATTGTACTAAGAGCTCTTCCAAATGTTTTGTAAGTTCTTTGCCCTATTCATAGGCTTTTGGGTGTTTATTTTCACAACACCATTCTCCTCTTGCACTTTCCTTTGAACATTTTCAGACAAATGAAGACAACATTCTATTAAACAACAATAGTAATTCTGATGTGAAAAATGCCCCGGATTTGTAGGTATGCCTCATTCACTAATTAATATAACATCCACCCTGGCAACTAATATTTTGAGACTTAACATGTACAAAGCTTTGTGTTCTGTGACCCTCATTTGTGACAAGTTGCTTCATGTCTTCAGGTTTTTGTTGATTTATTTGTAATATGACAGAAACTGGAATTGCATTTGCAGTGTCTTCTGAGGGCCTCTTGTATTCTGTTGAGATGCTCAAGAGCCTACATGGATAAAGATGTAATGGGACACGTGAATTGCATGGGGAAACTCAGTAGCCTCTTACCCAGTCAGTGAAGGAGCTCAGCTTATATCATTTTATGTATAGGGCTTCTACACAAGATTGATTTTTGAAAAGGGAATTCCATTCCAAAACCACAGGATTGGAATTTCCTTCTGATTCTATTTATCCATGATTCTATGAAATAGCATATGGATTAAAAAACTCCTGAACACCAGAATTTAATTCACATATTATTCATGACATGGGGTGAGATTGGAGTCATATGAAATTGCTCTGATGCTTGATATCACCTACTCAATGTTATTTAGTGAAGAAATAATATTAAAAAACAAACCGCCTCTTTCCATACTCATCCCAGACAAGGAAAAACTGGATTTTAAATACATATTATGTGGTTCAAAGTAACCTCAGAAATTGGTATAAACTTGTCAAGTGGGCAAAGAAATATGCTTCAGCCCTTATCACAAGAAGACAAAGAAAGAAGTCAGCCATGATGTAACTAAATATCTGTGATAGTCTCAGTGGAATCTATTTCCATAGTTCCTGATTGCAGCTCCTTTAAGAAAAGAAATGGCAATGTGCAATTTATTTCTATATGAAAAATAGATTTATTTTTGCTTAAGGATAACTGAATTTTTTTCTAGTCATGCATGTAAAGATGAAAATTATACTCAGTTAAAATGCTATTGATATTTTCTATAGTCATTCAAACTATATAGAATTAAAATCAATGAATAATATCAGGACAAACAGATTAAATACATATAAAAATCTTCATTCTATTTCTAAACCTACTGTGGAGTTAAAACAACAGCAAGAAAAAAATTTATATTAGTTTTAATTTTCATTTTTTTCCATTTGTAGATTTACTAGAAGGTATAGAAGATCACCGAATATTTTTGACAAATTAGTCTTACATTTTGTGATTAAGGCATCTGTAATATTAAAAAGATGGTTCAAAAATTCCATTCCTGGTGACTTAAAATGAAATCACAATTACTGCTTTGTCTTCCTGCTTGGTTAAATGCAGTGTTCCCACCACATTTGGATTGCTATAATAAGTGAAGCTTAAAAAAAATGCATATACAAAAACTTGCTTGCAGTAACTTTGCCTGACATTCATGCAAAATGCAATTAAAAGGTTTGAATTGTACAGGTGCTAAAAAGAAGTGTATTACAAAACAAGCAAACCATAATGTCAGAAAATTCAGTTTGGTTATTAACATTTTATTATCTTAATTATGACATTCAAGCATTGTAATCCCAGGTCTATTGCTAAGGAGACGAGGTTATAAAGGTAGGTTGTCAAAATCTTTATCAGAGAGTAATTTTAACATGTTTTTAAAGAGAATTTATTGTTTAATTATAAGGGTAATATAACTACAATCTAGAAAACACGTAAAATGGTGAAAAGAAAAATAACTGCCTATTATCCCAGCACTCAAACCACCATTATTATTATTTTGGTGGAGTTCCTTCCAGGCTTTCTCCATAAGCTTTTATTAATTATTTTGTTTACAATTCTAATGTGTATGCATCACATTTTGTACCCTCCTTCTTCACTTTATTGTATATTGTCAATAGAGCTTTATATTTTCAAGATGAGTCTTGTTTATATCGTAGGAAATTACTTGGTAAGAGAAAGTGGTCAGCATGAGCCTCAGTTCTGGTCCAGAAGGTAATTTGGTTTTACTGTGAGGCTTGAAACAACTAAGTCATTTTCATCCCTTGCAGTCATTTCATGAGAAATGCTTTGCTCTATCCTGAATACTAAATACAGGACAAAGTCTCCACCAATTAAGTCTTGGAATTAGGCCAGACCTAAATCACTGGGGGTAGAATCTTTGCATCTCAGCTTCATGGGGATGGCCATAAAAAGAGACCAGATGATACAGAACACCATAATTGCTGCCCACAGAAGCCAAAGAAGGGCATTTTAATACACTGAAATAAAAGCACTTTTTCCCAAGGACACCTTAAGGATGTCAGGCAACCAAGAGCTGCAAGAAAATCAAAATTGTTTCAAAAACTAACTGCAATGTATAAACCATTCTAAGAGTTAGTGTGTCTTGAATTTAAAAAAAACCACACATATAAGTAATGTAAACTCTCAGGGTCTCTGTATTTTTGTTATTTGAGACAGGAAAGAGTGAATATGCAAACATATGTTAATAAAATAAACTTTATGTATATATGTATAGGCACAGTTTAGCAGACAAAATGCATGGGAACAGTAAGTAATGTTTAATATAAGCCATACCTAAGTAATCAAAAAAAAAAAAAAAAAAGAAGAAGAGGACAAAGATTCATGAAAATATTCTCAAACTCTGAATCTCTCTAAAGCTTCAAACACCTTCATTCATCATTCAGAAACTGCAACAGGTTAATGATTAAAGCACTTTATTATTGGTGTATAGGAATGCTTGTGATTTTTGCACATTGACTTTGTATCCTGAGACTGCTGAAGAGTGAAATCATGAGCAAACTCCCATTCACAATTGCTACAAAGAGAATAAAATACTTAGGAATACAACTTGCGAGGGATGTGAAGGACCTCTTCAAGGAGAACCACAAACCAGTGCTCAAGGAAATAAGAGAGGACACAAACAAATGGAAAAACATTCCATGCTCATGGACAGGAAAAATCAATATCATGAAAATGGCCATACTGCCCAAAGTAATTTACAGATTCAATGTTATCCCCATCAAGCTACCATGGACTTTCTTCACAGAATTAGAAAAAACTACCTTAAATTTCATATGGAGTCAAAAAAGAGCCCATATAGCCAAGACAATCCTAAGCAAAAAGAACAAAGCTGGAGGCATCACACTACCTGACTTCAAACTATACTACAAGTCTATGGTAACAAAAACAGTATGGTGGTACCAAAACAGATATATAGACCAATGGAACAGAACAAAGGCCCCAGAGATAATGCCACAAATCTACAACCATCTGATCTTTGAAAATCCTGACAAAAACAAGCAATAGGGAAAGGATTTCCTATTTAATAAATGGTGTTGGGAAAACTGGCTAGCCATATGCAGAAAACTGAAACTGGACCCCTTCCTTACACCTTATACAAAAATTAACTCAAGATGGATTAAAGATTTAAATGTAAGACCTAAAACCATAAAAGACCTAGAAGAAAACCTTGGCATTGCTATTCAGGACATAGGCACAGGCAAAGACTTCATGACTAAAACACCAAAAGTAACGGCAACAAAAGCCAAAATTGACAAATGGGATGTAATTAAACTAAAGTGCTTCTGCACATCAAAAGAAACTGTTATCAGAGTGAACAGGCAGCCTACAGAATGGGAGAACATTTTTGCAATCTATTCATCTGACAAAGGGCTAATATTCAGAATCTACAAGAAACTTAAAAGATTTACAAGAAAAAAAACATCAAAAAGTGGGTGAAGGATATGAACAGACACTTCTCAAAAGAAGACATTTATGCAGCCAACAAACAGATGAAAAAAAAAGCTCATCATCACTGGTCATTAGAGATATGCAAATCAAAACCACAATGAGATTCCATCTCACGCCAATTAGAATGGTGATCATTAAAAAGTCAGGAAATAACAGATGCTGGAGAGGATGTGGAGAAATAGAAATGCTTTTACACTGCTGGTGGGAGTGTAAATTAATTCAACCATTCTGGAAGACAATGTGGCAATTCCTCAAGGGTCTAGAACCAGAAATACCATTTGACCCAGCAATCCCATTTCTGGGGATATATGCAAAGGATTATAAATCATTCTACTATAAAGACGCATGCACACATATGTTTACTGTAGCATTATTCACAATAGCAAAGACTTGGAAATAACCCAAATTCCCATCAATGTTAGACTGGATAAAGAAAATGTGGCACATATATACCATGGAATACTATGTAGCCATAAAAAAGAATGAGCTTATGTCCCTTGCAGAGACATGGATGAAGCTGGAAACCATCATTCTCAGCAAACTAACACAGGAACAGAAAACCAAACACTGCATATTTTCACTCATAAGCGGGAGTTGAACAATGAGAACATATGGGCACAAGGAGGGGAACATCACACACCAGGGCCTGTCAGGGGGTAGGGGGCAAGGGGAGGGATAGCATTAGGATGAATACCTTATGTAGACGACAAGATGATGGGTGCAGCAAACCGCCATGGCACATGTTTACCTATGTAACAAACCTGCACGTTCTGCACATGTATCCCAGAACTTAAAGTACAAAAAAAACAAACAAAAAAAAGCTTTAAAGAATCTACTACTTAGAATGTCAAAGTTACACCAATATTTTTGACAGCATTTTCAAGAGTGTGAGGGAAAAGTGCAGAATTTCTGGAGAGTAGATTGCAAATTCACATCATAGTCTTAAAACTCATTAACTGTTTGACCCTTTAATTGCTCTTTAACTTTTTAAAAATTTTTCTCCCTCTGGCTGCCTTTCAATATTTCACTCCATTGTTTTCAGCACTTTGCTTATGATGTCCCTAAGTGTGGTTTTCTTTTTATTTATACCATGTGGCGCCTATATATCTTTTTGAATTTATGGCTTGGTATCTTTAATCACATCGGAGGAATCCTCAGCCAGTATTTCTTCAACAATTGCCTCTTTGGTTAAACATGATAGACGTTTCGCTTGTACTTTACATGTCTCGTATTCTCTTCTCTGTATAATTTTTCTCCTTGTGCATTGTGAGGCGTGAAACAACTAGGTCATTTTCATCCCCTGCAACAATTTCATGAGAAATGCTTTGCCTTTCTCATGGTAAATATACACAATGGAATACTATTCAACTACAAAAAGGAAAGAAATCCTGTCATTTGAAATAACATGGTTGAATATGGGAGACATTATATTAAGTCAAATAAACCAGACACAATAGAAAGTATCTGAATACATTTTATTGCTCTATCATCCATATTTACTAATTCTTTTGTGTTTTGATTTGTGATTTCTAATTTGCTAATAAACTACTCTAATGAATTCTTAACCCAAGACACTATTATTTTTTAATACAGAATTTCCATTTGACAAGGTTTCTTTTTAATAGATTCTAGCTTTCTGCTAAAGTTTCCTATTCTTTCCTCTATTTTCTTGAATTGTATCAAATGTGCTTAAAGTCTTTTATAACTTCAATACCTGATTTATCTGCAGGTCTGTTTCAATTGTCCTTTTTCTCCTGTTTTGTTCAGTTGGTCCTGAATCTTAACATGCCTTTAATTTTTAATTTGATACTTAAAATGATAGGGTTTTTGAAAATTGTGTGAGCTCTGAAAAATGTAGTCCTCTAAAGAGGATTAAGTTTTCTTGTGGAAGACAGATATAATATTACACTATCACCTTAGTCCCTTCCTAAGTTGATTTTCTTTCTTTTTTAAAGGTTTTTATGTTTCTATTTTGTCATTATTCTGGCATGGCCCTTCTGAGAGCTCGGTGAAAAGCTCTGTGTACTTACAAGTTCCTCTGAGTTGATAGAACTTGAACTCCAATCTCATTCCTTAGCAGTAGGCAGATACGAAAATCTGCTCAATTCTTTTCCTCCCAGATGCTGGTTTCTGTTGGTTTTATTGCATGCATAACTAAGAATCCACCAATATCTTGCAGAGAATCAGTAGGATTTTAGGGCTCTCCTGAAGCTTCTTAGTCTTTGGGATGTTGCCACTCAATTTATACCTTCTGTTTCAGTTTCAAACTCTGACTCTATCTCTTCAGTGGTGTAAGACTCTTCTGTTTGGACTCTATTCCCTCACATTGCAGAAAATTTCTAAGTACCCTCTACAGAAAAGCCAGCTGAATGTAAAACTCCCCTAGTGCCCTTTTCTCCTTATAATGGTATAGTTATTCTTGTCCCTGACTACTCTGATTGTATGCCAGGGCCTTCAAATTATTTGCATTTTATATCTTGTTCATCTTTAATAATTATAACAGCAGGAAACTTAGCCTAATAAAGTCATTCCATTCATAACTGGAACTCTAATTCTAAAAAAGAAATTAATTAAAGAAAATTATTGATGTGACCAAGGTTTAGCTACATGTATAATCCACAACAGAAATTTTTCTATCAGTAAAAAATTGGAAACAACCTATAGGTCTGACAATATGGAATTATTTAAATAAATGATGATTGATCCACTGTAAGTCAGAATTGCTGCCAACATTAAGGGCTTAACTGAGGTCATGAATTCAAAATGTGACCAAGCACTATGTGTGTCTGTGTGTTTTCTTCCAGTCCTGTTTACTCCACAGGTGCAAACATAACTTACATTTATCATATTGACCCCCAAATCCCAACCAATGTCTACACAAATCAATAAATGTGATACATGACATTAAAAGAATGAAGGACAACAATCCTCTGATCATTTCAGTAAATGCAGAAAAAGCATCTGGCAAAATTCAACATCCAGGTCAGGTGCAGTGGCTAATGGATGTAATCCCAGCACTTTGGGAGGCCAAGGCAGGTGAACTGTTTGAGCCCAGAAATTCAAAGGCAGCCTGGACAACATGGTGAAACCCTGTCTCTACAAAGAAGAATACAAAAATTAGGCAGGTGTGGTGGCGTTTGCCTGTGGTCCCAGCTACACAGGTGGCTGAGGTGAGAGGATCACCTGATTCTAGAGAGACTGAGGCTGCAGTGAGCCATAATCTGTCACTGCACTCCAGCCTGGGAGATAGAGTGAGACCCTGTCTCAAAAGTAAAAATAAAAATAAAAAAACAATAAATAAATACAAATTTAATATCCCTTCATGATAAAAAATGTTTAACAATTTAGATATAGAGGGAATGTAGCTCAACAAAATAAAGGTCATATATAACAAACCCACAGTTAACATTATATTGAATGGGGAGAAGTTGAAAACTCTTTCTCTAAAATCTAGAACAAAATAGGGATCCCCACTTTCGCTGCTTCTATTCAACATGATACTGGAGGTTCTAGCCAGAGCAATAAGACAAGACAAAGAAATAAAAGGCATCCAAATCAGAAAGGAAGAAATTAACTTGTCCCTGTTTGCAAATGGCATGACCTTATATATAGATAACCCTAAAGATTCCAGAAAAAAAAACTGTTAGAACTAACAAATTTAATAAAGTTGGAGGATACAGAATCAACATACAAAAATCAGTTGTGTTTTTATGCACTGAATAAAATTTTATACAGTGAATTATCTGAAAAAGAAATCATGAAAACTATTCTATTTATAATAGGAGATGTATTTTTTTAAAAGTAAATAATTAGGAATAAATTTAACCAAGAAGGTAAAAGAGATCTACATCAAAAACTGTGAAACATCAATGAAAATAATTGAAGAAGGGGTACAAACAAATAAAAATATATCACTTGTTCATGGATTAGAAAAATTAATAATGTTGAAATGTCTCTATGCCCAAAGCAATCTACAGATTCAGTACAATCCCTATCAAAATTATATTCTTCATAGAAATAAAAAAATCTTAACATTCATAGGGAACCACAAATGACCCCAAATAGCCAAAGCAGTCTTGAGCAAAAGAACAAGGCTGGCAGGCATCACACTACTGACTTCAAAATGTACTAAAAAGTTGTAGTAATCAAAATAGCATGGCACTGGCATAAAAACAAGACACACAGACCAATGGAACAGAGAGCCCCGAAATAAATCCATGCATTTACAGTCAGCTAATTTTTGAGAAAGATTCCAAGAATATGCAATGGGGAAAAGACAGTTTGCTCAATAAATAGTATGGGGAAAACTAGATATCCATATGAAGAAAAATGAAATTAGACCTTTATCTCTAATCATCTACAAAAATTAACAAAATAAATTAATTACTTTAAAATCCCAAACTATAAAATTAATAGAATAAGTCAGAGAAGAAAAGATCCATGACATTGGTCTGGACAATGATATTCTGTCTATAACTCAAAAGCTCAGGCAACAAAAGCAAAAAGAGACTAATGGAATTGTATCAAACTGTAAAGCTTCTACACGGCAAAGGAGACAATCAACAGAATGAAGAGACAGCCTACAGAATGGGAGAAAATATTTGCAAACTATACACCTCATAAGGGTTTAATATCTAAAATATATAAGGAACTCAAATAAATCCATAGCAATAAAACAAATAATCCAATAAAAAATGGGCAAAGAACCTGAATAGACATTTCTCAAAAAAAAGATATATAAAGGATCAACAGGTATTTTTTAAATGTCAATATTACTAATCATCAGAGAAATGCAAATCAAAACCACAGCAAGATACCATCTCACTCTTGTTAAAATGACTTTTATCAAAAAGACAAAAAAAAAAAACGTGTTGGAAAGGTTGTAAAGAAAAGGGAACGCTTGCACAATGTTGATGGGAATGTAAATTAACACGGCCACTGTAGAAAACAGTATGGAGCGTCCTCAAAAAATTAAAATAGATCTAGCAATCTCACTGCTGGATATATATCAAAAGGAAACAAAATCATTATGTTGAAAAGATATCTACACTTTCACATTTATTGCAGCACTATTCACAATACTCAAGATATGGAATCAGCCTAAGTGTCCATCAGTGAATACATGGATAAAGAAAATGGTAAATATACACAATGGAACATTATTTAACTACAAAAAGGAAAGAAATCCTGTCATTTGAAACAACATGGTTGAACCTGGAAGACATTATGTTAAGTGAAATAAACCAGGCACAGAAAGACAAATACCACATAATCTCACTTACATATGGAGTCTAAAAAAGTTGATATCCTAGAAGTAGAGGGAGAATGGTGGTTACTGAAGCCTGAAGTGTTTAGAAGGGTGGGAGGCTAAGGAATTGTAGGTAAAAGGATACACATGTACAGTTAGGTACGAGAAACAAGTTCAAGAGATCTGTTGTACAGCATGGTAGTTATAGTTAATGACAATATATTGTATTTTTAAAAATGCTAAGTGTGGATGTTAAGTGTTCCTACCACAAAAATAACTACGTGAAATAATGCATTTGTTAAGTAGCCAGATTTAACTATTTTCCGATGTATATGTACTTTAAAACATCATGTTGTACATGATAAATACGCACAATTGTATATGTCAGTTTTAAAAATATAAAGGTTACAAACTAGATACATTAAAAAAATTAAATAATGCACAATGACAACATATTTTGCCCAGGGTAGGCTGAGATAAAACTAAAAACAAAATGTCAGTTTTATCACATTAAAATGTATTCATGCAATCATTTTATTTATTTTTTCTTCCAACTTTTATTTTAGGTTTGGGGGGGTACATGTGTGGGCTTGTTATACGGGTAAATTGCATGTCATGGGGGTTTGATGTACAGATTATTTCATCACCCAGGTAATAAGCACCCAATAGTATTTCTATCCTTACGCTCCTCCCCACCTCCACCCTCAAGTAGGCCCTGGTGTCTATTGTTCCCTTCTTTGTGTTCACATGTACTCAATGTTTAGCTCCCACTTATAAGTGAGAACATGCACTATTTGGTTTTCTGTTCCTGCATTAATTTGCTTAACTCAGGAACAGAAAACCAAATACTGAATTTTATTTATCCAGTCTGCTGTTGATGGGCATTTAGGTTGACTCCACATCTTTGTCATTGTGAATAGTGCTGTGATGAACGTGTGTACGTGTGTGTGTGTATGTGTGTGTGTGTCTTTAGGGAGGCTGAGGCGGACAGATCACGAGGTCAGGAGCTTGAGAACAGCCTGACCAACATGGTGAAACCCCGTCTGTACTAAAAATAGAAAAACTAGCCAGGCACGGTGGCACACGCCTGTAATCCCAGTTACTCAGGAGGCTGAGGCAGGAGAATAGCTTGAACCTGGGAGGCGGAGGTTGCAGTGAGCCAATATCGCACCACTGCACTCCAGCCTGGGCAACAGAGCAAGACTCTGTCTCAAAAGAAAAAAATATATATATATTCCTTTGTATATATACCCAGTAATGGGATTGCTGGGTTGAACGGTAGTTCTGTTTTAGGTTCTTTGAGAAATCTCCAAACTGCTTTCCATGGTGGCTGAGCTAGTTTTAGTTTACATTATAATCAGCAATGTGTAAGTGTTCCCTTTTCAGTTAACCTGACCAGCATATGTTTTTTTTTATTTGTTTGTTTGACTTTTTAATAATAGCCATTCTGACTGGTGTCAGATAGTATTTTATTGTGGTTTTGATTTGCATTTCTCTAATAATCAGTGATGTTAAACATTTTTTTCCACATGCTTTTTGGCCATGTGTATGTCTTCTTTTGAGAAGTCTCTGTTCATGTCCTTTGCCCATTTTTCAAATGGCTTGTTGATTTAAGTTCCTTACCAAGGCTCAATTATAGACCATTAATAGATGCATATTTTGCAAATATTTTATCATTTTCTTACGGTTCTCTGTAAACTAACTTGCAATAATCCAAAGCATTTTCAGATGGTTTAATTCTGTTTTAAATAATGAATATCACTTATAAACTCTCAAGGATTGATATATGCTATTTGAATTCAAGACATCTATACATAATTCAATATTGACTTTACATATATGTATATGTTTAATTTAATGGATATTGATAAACTTTTTACTACAGGCTTAAAGAATTCAGTTTAATGGATAGTGCCAATTTTTCAGAACTAATTTTTAAAATAAAGTTATAATGAGAAATAACAAAAAAAAGAGAGAAAGTGAGAGATAGAAGCAAGAATGTATTTGAGAAGATTAGATAGCTCACAGATCTCTGGGAGAACCAGAGGAGTAGGAATGGGGCTACACTCCTAGGAATGGCTTCAAAAATCATACTCAGAATTGCTCCATGTAGACACCACAGCTGATACCTCTTGGCAGGGATGCTGCTGCTGATCCCCCCGATACCACCAATATTTGACACTGGATGTTACTGCTAGAAACATCACTGCTGTTTCTAAGGTGGAAACAGCTTTGACCACTGTAGCAACTCATTCCTGAGAGATTCTGTAATTGTTCCTTAATGGCTATGACTCCTTTTTGAAACAGGTAAGTCCTTCCAAAAACCAACTATTCACAGGTAGTTTATGTAGCTGGAGGGCAAACATCATGTCCTTGGTTATCAATAATTCTCCATGTAATTCAGGATTGTATGCATAAATTATTTAGCTTTTAATTCTCTGAGCCATCTGAGACTGGCAGGACAGGATGCTCACCCTGGAGTATTCTTCTCCTCCATCCTGCCTGTTTAAAAGACTGCATTCTGTGGATGTAACCTTCTGTGCATGATTCTGCATTTAGCCTAATCTTCTCTCCTTCTTAAGTTTTCATGGCCAACCTGGGTCCAAACAATGAGTTATCAGATTCTCCCCCTCAGTCTAGGTTTAGGCTATGCAATTTCGTAAATGGGCCTTTTTTTTTTTTTTTAAATATTCAGGCACAAACATTGCCTTTTGGAAACCTTTCATTTCCCTTTATGATAGTCAGTAAATTTAGCAAATTTAGCAGCCCTTTCACATATTTAGGATATTTTATTTGTTTACTGCTGTACATTTCAACTCTGTGACAGCACTTGGAGACTATAGGGTACCCCATAACCATTCTAAAAACATTTTATAACATTCATATAATTACTGAATAAATCAGCTCTCTTCCTAGTTTTTTTAGAGATTCCATTTGTATTTCTATCGCTCATTCTTCTGATGCTTTAATGTAGCTTCCTAGAAAAAAAAGGATGAAGTTGCCATCTTTATTATTATTATAAAACCACTAAAGTAGCCAATTAATAAATTTTTTTGAGCTGAACTAGTAGATATGCAAAAACAATGCTAAATGGCTGTCTGTAGGATATATCTAGGGACAAATACATTTATATCTCTAATCAAAAATTAACGTGACTGCTTATTGAGTTATGCATTTTTCTTTACTTTTATCTATCCTTAAGAAGGAAAATAAAATGGGCCCTCAATATTCCAATCGTTCAGTGTTACTAAAGTGAGACTGTGGGGATAAGAAGTTTAATACAAAATTTCCGTACCCTGCACAAATGGGAATTTGAGGGATCTGTATTTGGGGTTTATAACTTTCCTCTAACTATATAACAACAAACAAATTGTCAAACTAAATTCATCATCAAGCAATCTGGAGACTGTTTACTCTGCCTTTAATTTTGTGAAGTCTGATGGAAGCCAGAAAGAAACAAACCAGTAAAAGCAATAAAATAAACCTGAAGAGGTGAGTAAGGTAAGACTTGTACAGAAGAGGAAATCACAATTATAGTTGTGGAATAAATATGCCATGTTAATAATTTACCCGTTAAAAAAGATATCTGATGGAAAACTACAGAAACATCATGGCTTAGCCATCAGACCCAGAAACAAGTTTCTCTTTGGATACAGTATCCTATTTGCCTTCTGTAAGAAGCAACATGGAAGAACAAATCTCTTAAATTTTTTTTTTTTTTTTTTTTTTTTTTTTTGAGATGGAGTCTGGCTTGGTTGCCAAGGCTGGAGTGCAGTGGCGCAATCTCGGCTCACTGCAAGCTCCGCCGCCCAGCAAATCTCTTAAATTTATATCCCCCTTAAGTGATTCTACTTTTGCCAAAACTTGGTATTGTCAAACTTTATATTTGGTCTTTCTGATGGGTCTGTAGCAGTATTTCATTGTGGCTTTCATTTCCACTTCCTTGATTACTAGAGAAATTGTTTTCCTTTTTATCTGTTTATTTGACTATCTTCTCTTCTAAAATATTTGTTCAAGGCTTGCATAATTTTCCATTTGGTTACCTTTCTCCTTACCCATGTGTAGGGGTTCTTTACATATCTTGAATATAAAATCTATGGCAGTTATATGCATTGCATTTTCTCTCACTCTCTGGTTTACTTTTTTGCTTTCTACATCTTATATTTTCTAAGGTGAATTTCTTATTTTTAACTAAAATTTGAAAATATTTTCTTCTATCATTAATTACTTTCGTATCCTCTTTAAGAGATTTCCCATTTCAAGGTCTTTAAAATGGTGTCTTATACAATTATTTAGAAGCATTGTTTTGTTCTTCACATTTGGAAATCTAAATGTACCTGAAATAGATTTTTATTAGTGCTGTGAGATGAATGCTGTTTTTAAAAATACAGCTATCTAAATACTCCAGCAGCATTTGTTGAAAAGAGCATGTAACATTAGCTTTGTAACAAATAAAGCATCCCTAAATATTTGGTTCTGTTTTTGGACTCATTGTTTTTCTTTGGGCAGTTCATATATTTTTTGCATCAATATTGCATTGCATCAGTGAAACTTTATAAGTCTTAATGATAGATAAAGCTAGTCCTTTATTGTTGTTATTGTTTAAGAGTGCATTGGCAATTTTTATTTTTTATAAAATTTGGAATATTTGTCATGTTTCTTGTAAAATTTTTCCTAGCATTACATTCGATTTTAATATCAACTTGAATAAAATAGATATATTTGCAATAACGAATCTTCCAAGCCATGAACATGGTATGTCCCTCCACTTATTTTTGTGCTCTTTATCTCAATAATATTTTGTAGTTTTCAGTGACAAGGCCTTGCAAGTTTTTTTAAGTTATAGTTAGTAATTTGAGATTATTGGGTGATCTTTTAAACAGAACCTCTTAAGTAGGTAAGGAGTATTGAATTATATCATATCTACAGGAAAGGAAAAATTCATATGTCCACAGCTCTATGGATATTTACAAACCCATCATACTTTTGTAATAGGCAAACAGATCAAGAAACAGAATGTAAGCAGCAGCCCGGCAGCCTCCATCAAGTGCCATTTTAGGCAGTATCATGATTTCTAAAACAAAAATAATTTTGCCTGTTTAGGGTTTACATAAATGGAATCATACAGTATATGTAGTATCTTGTGTCTGGATTTTGTCCCCCAAGGTTTATTTATAAGATTTCTCCATGCTCTTGTTTTAGTTTATTTATTCTCATAAAAATATAGTATTTTGTTAAATAAATACATGATAATTTATTATCCAAATCACTACTTACAGACATTTCAGTCGTCTCACATTTTTAGCCATTATGAATATGGCAGCTATGAACATTGATGTTTTCCTGTGTTGGTCTTGGTCTTGAGGGTATTTCTTTTGGCTGTTGGGAATGATGTTATTATTTATAGATTTTTACATGTCTTTTAGTGAATACATATGCATTTTCATTGGACATATACCTAAGAGTAGAATACTGTATCATACATGATTATGCACATATGTACCTTTAGCCCACACCTCTAAACTGCTTTCCAAAGTGGCTATGCTGATTTGCATTCCCACCAACAGCATATGAGATTTGCAATATCCTTTCTCAATATCCTTGTCAAAACTCCATAGTGTATGTCTTTTTTTTTATCTTAGCCATCCTGGTAGGTATATAGTGGTATTTCATTGTGATTTTAATTTTATTTTCTTAAAGACTAATAGTGTTAAGCAACTTTTCATTTACTTATTATTCAATTATTTTACTTTATCATGAAGTGTCTTTTCAAGCATTTTAAACATTTACTATTGGGTTGGTTACATTTTAAATTGATTTGTAAAAGTTTATATATATATTCAGAATAGGAACCATTTGTTAACTATATATTTTGAAAATATTTTCTCTCACTTTGTGGTTTTTCTTTTTTCTAAGAACTTCTTTTGACAAATGGATTTTCAATTTTAATGTAACCCAGTTTATAAATTTTTCTTTATAGTTAGGGTTATTATTTACTATTTAAGAAATTTATGATCACCTCAACCTTATAAGACATTCCTTATGTTTTCTTTTAAAAGCCTTATTGTTTTACTTTTGCTGTTTACTTTTACACTCCATTTGGAATTAAATTTTGTGAATAGTGATGGTTATTGAAAATACCCAACTTTCCAGTGTACTGCATTTAAATCAGGTAGCTGCATATGCATAGTTCTGTTTTTGCCTTCTCTATTCTGGTAAGTTGGCAAATGTCAAATTATATTAATTGCTCTAGCATCTATATTGATTATTATTTTTCTTTCTGAGATTCATTCTGGATATTTTTTAGCTTCTCTTCCACTCCACCAATCCCCTTTTTACTCAGCTCTAATCTGTTAAACTCATTTCTAGAGTTCTTAATTTTAATTCTTCATCTCTAAATTCTATGATGTTTTTAAAATATCTTTTCTTTTCTTTAATGTGGCACATATATACCAGGGAATACTATGCAGCCACAAAAAAGAATGAGTTCACATCCTTTACAGGGACTTGAATGAAGCTGGAAGCCATCTTTCTCAGCAAACTAACACAGGAACTGAAAACCAAACGCCACATGTTCTCACCCATGAGTGGGAGTTGAACAATGAGAACACATGGACACAGGGAGGGGAACATCACATAATGGGGCCTGTCAGGGGATGGGAAGCAAGGAGAGGGAGAGCATTAAGACAAATACCTAATGCATGCGGGGCTTAAAACCTAAATGACGGGTTGATAGGTGCAGCAAACCACCATGGCACATGTATACCTATGTAACAAATCTGCATGTTCTGCACATGTATCCCAGAACTTAAGGTCAAATAAAAAAAAAAAAACCTCAATAATCCTATTTACCTCCATCAACACAATAAGCAGTTTTTCCTTAAAATATGTATCTGACAACTGCAAATACTGGTTCCTCTTTTTCTTCTTTCTTTCTTTCTTTCCCTTCCTTTTTCTTTATTTTTTTTTTTCTCGAGACAAATTCTAGCTTTATCATCCATGCTAGTCTCAAATGTCTGGGCTCAAGGGATCTTTCTGCCTCAGACTCCCAAGTCACTGGGATTACAAGCATGAGCCATCATGCCCCCTGAAGCTCCTTTTTCTGCTCATTCTGGCTCATGCTGTCCAGTCCCTTTATGTGTGTGGTTAAACTGCTTTTTTAATATTTTGTATCTCAGTATCTCAGAACATAATTTTCCCTTCCATACTTTGAGGTATAGAGCTCATTAAGGTATAGAGCTTATTGGTATAAAGCATATCTAAGAAGTCCTTTATAACAATACTAAAGCAAACTTAAATGTCCCAATAACCTCCCCTTTCTCCACTTTTTTATCCACAGACCTGGATATTGTGTGTAAAAAAATAATTTGAAGTCAAGGACAACGTTCTCTTTCTCCAGAAATGATGGGCTTTTCTTTCTGTCAGAGGCCTAACTCTTGAAATCTATAATCTCTTTAATCTGATTTCAGAGATTGGCATACTTCAAAACTGGGCTTCCATCTTTGTAAGAACCAGATGACTTCCTAGTCAACCTTTGCAGTGTGCATATTGCTTATACCCACCCTCATGGGTCTGCTGCCCCATTTTCATATGGATCCTCACAAGATGCTCTAATAATACCATTCAGTTTCCCAGATGTTCAGCAACTCTTTCAGAATAAGCAAATATCCACAGGGGACAAGCACCCTGAACACCAATCATTTACCTGCGTACATCTCTGTTTTCTTTCTGATCACAAACTATTCAATGATTATTTAGCATTCTAAGCCTTCAAGCAAATTATGTTTATTTTTTTCTAAGTTTTCAAGGATTTCTTCAATCAGAGAATTGCTTTGAATTACTTAGTGTATAATTACAAAAACAAAGTCTTTTTCAAACACTTTTAAAGGCATTTTTTTAAACAAAGCAAGTTTCTCCCCATAGCATTCCTAGGAATGCTACCGAGTTGCAGAACAAATACCCTGAACATATACATGTGCAGGCCTGTGTGGAATAGAGGGAAGAAGAAAAGATTGCCCTTGCTGTGCACCTGGAATATTTTGAGAAGAGAATGGGCAAAGGTAGTCAACTGTTGGGATATGTGATCAGAATTCTGCTTAGCTTAATTATATTTTAGCTGTAGGAAATGTTTTTTTCCCACCTGTTAGGGAAATTACATTTAAACACAGCAATAAATGAAATAATCTTCCCAGAGGATTGGACGTTAGCATAGAAGAGGGTCATAGAAGGTGGGAGGGCTTCAAAATCAGAGCATTTTAGAGCTTTGGTGAGTCTTGTGGTACTCTGTTGTGGTCTAGAAGTAATACTGGGGCCAGAAAGTGTCATGGTGGGGAGAATTCAGCCATACTTATCAATGCTGTTGTCCACACCTGCTCTATTATCCTTCTCTGAGCTAGTGGACTAGGATAGACCTGTTAACAATGACGCAAATGGATATCTGCTATTAAAGAGGTGAATGACAGTCTCCAATGAAGGTGGGAAGAGGGTCATGTCTGATTTTATTGATAATTGGACTGCCATGCCCAGTGTGATAGGTAGAAAAAAAAAAAAGAAAAGAAGAGAGGATGGAAAAAAACAAAAGGAGAAAGGAAAGAAAAAAATGTTCAGTAATTCCATTAATTTTAAAACATCTGACTTAATAAATTTATTGCTGAAAAACAACCAAAGAAAAGAGAATCCATGAATTGTGGGTCTTCATTCTTGTAATAAAATCAAATGCTTTTGCTTATTACTAATATAAGAGGTTTTTATTTTCAAAAATAGCTGTACTATGACTTCAGGCCATTCTGTGGTGCTTTTCTGGTCAATGCAATACATTGCTAATTTATATAATAAAATCAGTATCTCAGAACATAATTTTCCCTTCCATACTTTGAGGTATAGAGCTCATTGAGGTATAGAGCTTATTGGTATAAAGCATATCTAAGAAGTGCTTTATACCAATACTAAAGCAAACTTAAATGTCCCAATAAACTCCCCTTTCTCCACTTTTTTTTCCAAATTCCCCACCCTGCCCACACACAGACACATACCTATTCTCCTATATCCTATTATGCTTTCTGAAAATTATATGGTTTTCTATATGAGTAAGAAGGCAAAACAGGCGCCTCAGATTCCAGAAGATTTTATAAACTCTGCCATCTGCACATCTGGTATGTAAGATGCCTGTAGTGCTCTTTAATCAGCAACACAGATGTATGCGCTTTGGGCACTTGTCAGAGTTACTTCACAAATTGACTACAAGTAACCAGGTCTTGTCAAAACTTTACTTGAAAATGGGATGATTTAAAGAGACAAGCTAACCACCTACTTAAACATTTTCTCCAAGCTCTTACCTATGTTAAGAAATACAATTAGAAAAAAACATTGTTGAATGATGCCATTCATTTTCCTGAAATTAAAATTGGTTTGGTCCATAACTTTAATTATGTATAATAAAAAAGAATTCATCTTTATAAAGATTTCTACAATTTTTTGGTGAACTATGTTTTTACCTATTGTCTATTATCATGTACACAGCTTTATATAATAATCTATGAGATAAAATTTTTTTTCATATACTGATTTGTTGGTTGGGTAAATGTCTATCTCCCTCACTGGAACTTAAGCTGCATGAGGGGCAGAGACACTGTCACATTTATAGCACTCGAAATGGCATTTGGTATATAGTTGGTACTCAATGATTACTTGTTAAAACTTATTAGCCATGTCTGATACAATCTAAAACTATAGAAAATTTAAAATTCATTAGACAATATGAGACTTTTGTAATATTTAAATGTTAAAATAGGGGACAATTTCCTAAATTTTTATTTTCATTGATAGAAACTGAGGTTGTTATATTGTCTAAAGTAACACCCACTGAAAATGGAAACAATTAAAATGTAAATATATTAAGTGGCAACTAAAAAGCATGCTTGAATTATTTTTCCAGGAATAAAGGAGTTGCTATGTGCAAAGAGTGTTTCTCAGTCAAAACCTAGAGTCATAGTCTAGGCCTCTGACCTTTCTTCCACCCAGACCCTCCAGCTAAACCTTGCTCATCCTCTCCCTTCCTGCCTCTGTATTTTGGCTCACACTCTTCTTTTATCCAGAACACCCTTGCCCAACATCTATGAGATAAATTTATCCTAGAAATCAGAAGCAAAAAAAAAAAAAGGCTTTTCAAGTGACCTTATTATGTTTTATTCAGTGGACAACTAAAAGTACATTCTTTAATTTCTTTTATCATTTTTTCCTTTTTTTTAACAACTTATCTCCAAGTTCTATAATTCCTTTTTTTTTTCTTTGTTGTCAGGAAGCTCAGAAAACAGTTTAGTATTAAATTCCCATTTACTACAATTTAACAAATATAAAGTGAATAATAAAAATAAGGAAGCTTCTGTACTGGATGCTGCAGAAGAGAGAGAGATAAATGGTTCAATCCATCCTTTAGGCAGGGGGACAGTCCAGAGTTCTTGTTGTAGGGAGAGAAGCTAAGGCCAATGAACAAACAAGGTGGATAGGACAATAACCATTGATGGTTCCTGAAGACAGAATTAAGGGGAGGCAAAGGAGGAAAAGAAACATTCAGGTCTGGAACTCTATAATCTGTATAAAAGAGATGAGCGTTTTGCATGAACATTTTGGCTGAGTTTTCGTTCAAGTTTTGGGGTAGGAAGAGAAAGCATTTCAGGTAGAAAAGAAAAGCAAATGAGATATGTAGGGCTTATCAAATGGTCTGCTTTGATTGGAGCAGAAGATGTGTGTTAGGACAAAGTGTGAAATAAGCACAGAAAGGTAGGTTTTGCTGTATGTTGTGCATGACTTTCAAAGCTATGATGAAGAACTTCAGTTTTTACTTCATGCCAGTTGTTTTCTTATCTTCCTGCAGAGATTTATTCTGTATGTTAATTTAAGTATTTTTTAATAAATGTTTCCTGTTTTTCTAATGATTTAAATTACCTCAAATTCATTTTGATGGTAGATAGATATAAACACTATAATGTATAAATGTTGCTAAGAAAAAAAACTCTAATAACTTTCATTTAAAAATATCATTCAAAACAGTTATCTGATGTAGGATAGAAAGGACATAAAATGACAACTCAGTTTGTCTAGAGCATCTGCAAGTCACTGTATAATGTATTTTTCCATGTTTTATTTAATCAATGAAAATCTGATTAATAAGCATTTTTATCTTAATTGTATAGAAGATATTCTAAAGTTCAGAAAAATTAAATGGCTTTCCCAGAGATACAGAGCTCGTAAGTGTTCAAATTCAGATTGGAACACAAAACTCTCTGACCCTGAAGCTCATTTTTTCCCTATGACATTGTGCCATAACCAATATAACAACTAAGTTATCAATTCACTCTGATTTTTACATTTTTGCTGATTATCCTGACACATTTCTGCTTTTATCCATAAGAGTATTTAAATATGGATATAATTCGTCAACAGATTTAATGGAATGGTACAGAATGGAATGGTACAGAATGGAAACTTGGATGATGGTCGTATTTACTATTTTATTTTTTGAAACAGCTGAGATCATTTATTTTGAGAACAGAAGCTGCCTAGGTATGTAGTGAGGCTGTTTTGTCATTGTCTCTGCAGATGTTGATTGACAATAGTTGTCCTGAAAGTAGCCACACAGACCAGTCTTCTTGGCGAAGACATCATAGCAATTAACAAATTCTAGACCTTAGAGGAACACACCTAGAAAGACATGAGAATTCAAGGTTCTTTGGAATTCAGAAGATGGTTGTTTCTCCTGTTAAAGCTCTATTCTGTTCAACAAGGCAAAGTAACATCAATGAAATTTGTTTATATAAACCCCATAACTATAAATTGAAAAAAAGAGCTAGTTTCTCTCAATGTAGTATATATGTCATGACTGAAAGACTTAATTCCTTTTCCTGTGCATGTATTTACATTTCAACATAGGGTGAAGCAAAATATAAGCTACAAAATGTGGAAGACTGAGGGACCCGACATCCCTCTGTCAATCTCCTGGTCAAACACCTTCAACAGCTACCAATTACTATGGAAGAAAGCTCAAGTCCTTACGGTGGTATTCGACATTCTCCACATTCTATTTCCATCTGCTCTTTCTAATATTCTTCTCATTACAATTTTTCATGTACCCAGCATACCACCTAAATGGAAATATTTGACATTTCCCCAAATAGTCCTGTGTCTTCTGGGTAATATAATGAAACTAGACAGGCTTGGGCCCCGCCCCCATGGAGCTTACAGTTCACCTTCCATTATATAAGCAGGTCTTGCTGGGCTTTACCAGCCTGTGAATATAAATGGGACCAGACTAGTAGCAATAATAGTCTGCTCCTGCTAAGTAGCAGACTCTTTAGCTTCCTTCAAAGTCTTTCTCGGTTCCATCTGAAGAGTCTCAGATGGTTCTCACTTAACACACAAATCCTCTTTTCTAGCATGTGGCACTGGCCACATTCTTTATCAGCACCCCTTCTTGACTGCCCCAAAGCTACAGATCAATCATAGGCCAAAACAGCATTGTATTTCCCAAAATCCTCTGTGGTTCACACAGAAACAGAAAAATGTCCCTGTTTCCCTCTGCGTGTCCAATTTCCCACCTAGGCATGAAAGTATGTAACTTGTGAACATGTATTGTAGGATCCTGCATTAAATCCAGCAACTTCCTTTCCTGCTCATAGCTCGTCTCAATGTAGCTGAAGTGATTCTCTTTTGATAGTAAGTACAGAAGATATTTTCATAAGAGACATTTCTGATACTGTTAGGGTAATATTAAATATAAGTATTCTTCTGAAAATTATTCTATGCTTTGGTTACCAGCAGTCTGCTCAGCCTTCAAATCTGTGTTCATGTGTCAGGAAAATTATTTTCTTTTTCTTGACTAATTTTAGAATAACTGTAGAACAAAAACTAGAAAGACTTCCCTGTAAGGAAAGGATTTAGTGGAAAATATATGCAGTCATTTGTGTATATTATACTCCATAATGTCAAATGGTCACTTATTGTTTGGAAAGTCAGTGGAGTCAGTCTTGGGGACCAGTCTCTGACAGACTCCAAGCTGCTCTTCCCGCTCTATCCTCCTTCATCTTCCCCTCAAACTGTGAGATCCTGCGTGGGGTCCTTTAGGCTCCTTCAGCCTCAACTCCTTGAGTCAAGTGGCAAAATATAGGTCCTGAGAATTCATCCTACCTGCTAAAGGAAGTCCGCACTGCAGCAGGAAGCAGAGACCAGGCCATAGCTTGGCCCCCTGTTTCGGTTTTTTACCTATGTAGCTTTTCATCCTTTTTAGTTTTAGAACCTTTAGAAAAAATAACCAGAACTAGGTTCCCTATAAATCCTAGGACTCCTTGCACATAGTATTCACTTGAAAAATGATTGTTGAATTGAATTTTTAGGGTCAAGTTATACCCACTAACCTCAATTTGTTCTAAATTAAATATTACCACATACACTTTATATCTAACCTTAAGTCACTTAGGAAGGAATATAATCTCATAAATAATTTCAAAATATAAAACTGATTGTTTTTGTTTCAAAATGAAATAGATTTTCCTGCTCTTTATTCAGAAGTATGATGTTGTGTAGACACTGCCTTGAAAGTAGTTGTAGAAAGTACCTGAATTATGTTACAAAGCCATCTGATAGAAAAACAATTATATTAGTGTTACTCACATGATATTTGACAAGGAATGCTTAAACCATTAGTTCCCTGGAGTACTTCTAAACTACTGTTGCTGGAGACAGAAAGGAAATATAACAGTGGCTATATTTTACACAATGAGGGATTCATTTCTGATGGGAACTTTTCAAGGGAAATTATACTTAAAACAGCATTCTCATCAGAAATAATAAACCTAATAGAGAATGCAGATAGCAAAGAAAACTGAGACTCAGAATTCTCAGAGAAAGAGAAAGCTTAAGTATCACAGTCTTTGCAACATTTCATAGAATGTATTGGAAGAGAGCAAAGCTTTCAGCAGAAATCAAAACATACAACTTTTGTATTTAGAGATGGTATTTTGACAGCAGGCATAAACAAAATCAGACTTAGTTAAGAGATACCGTACATCAAAAAGTAGACATCCTAGGAAATATGTAAGTTGGGACAAAGTAAGCTGTGATTCACAGGAAATTTCTCCCACCTTAAATGAAAATACCTGTAGCCATTCTGGACACCCACTTATCCTTATTGAAGAAAAAATAGAGAATGGTCTTGCGTAGCAATGATGTAGTTCAGAATAGTCCAAATTGTAAACTGCATATATTCCTTATTACAGTGTATGGACTCAGTTTTATTAATGAATGCTTTCTTTGCCTGCATAAAGTGCTAAGCTGACAAAGCCATCTGGTTATTATTATAAATACATAATGGACTGGTGGAACTATGAAAATTTCTAGAGTCAAAATTAGTGTGGCTGAAGTTATACAGTGCCCCTTAAAGAATTATGTCTGAATGAGGCCCTTTCTCTCTGAATGTAACACATTTTAAATTTTGACACTAAATATTCTTCACTTTACCCATAGGTGATCCCTCAGTACCTCCTTCAATAAAGTAGGTCAGCAAAGATCATTCTTCAAAGAGTCTGAAGAAGCTGATGTAAAATTATTACATAAAGCCAAAAGAAAAGAGTTATATAAGATGTAACCCAGAAGCAATGTGCTGTGGAGAAACAAAGTCTGAGAGGGAGGCAAATAATGAATTCTACTCTTGGCTTATCTCTAGCTCTTTCTTTGGCTAATTCAGCAAACTGCTCTTGACCAATGCCTTCCACCTCAGACCCCAATGGAGCACCACCCTACATGAAGCTAATGGTTAGATGGCACGTTTAAAAGTAAAACAAAGCATTATTGTCTTTTTATAGCACCCCTGAGCTGGGCTCCTGTTGCCTGATTTGAACTTGTTAAAAACATTTAGGATAGAAACACTCTGGTGGCACTTTGAAAAGGACAACTGTTAAAATGATGACTCACAACTCCAAGAGTATGAAATTAGTAGTGGTTCCCAAGTGAGTAAACAAATATTATATAAAAATTTTTCTTGCTTGCATATTAAAAAGTATTTAGTTTGGTGCTATGTAAAAATAATTTTCTTTTCTAAAATAAAGTCTAGATTTTTTTTTTCCAAAAGCAAACCCTAGACACCAACACATATGGATTTTTTTCTATATAACTAAAAGCAAGGCATCTGGATATTTTAAAATATTAAATTTGGGGCATTTAGCAAAAAATCAGAAGCTTTTTAACATGAAATTATAGAATCAATAGCATATTTGAGGGATAATAGTCTAAAAAATAATCTTATCTGGCCATTTGCTGTTATAGATGAGGGAAAAAATTCTCTCATCCTCCCTGAAAGATTTTTATTCCAAATATCCTATAGGTTTTTGTCTCCTGATTAACCCAAAATTTCTAAAAACCTTTAATATAATAACAGTATTAATTTCAAAGAGCATTTGTTGTGTAACCTTAACTAATTGGACACAACTGAGAATCAGTCATTTAAAAGAAAAATAGCACAAAGAATCCTTGATGAACCAAAATTGTCTCTTTAAGTTTTGACAGTAAACTTCTACACTTATCATAGGTGATCCCTTAGTCCCTCCTTCAACAAATATTTATAATTATTTTAGGCCCAATGACGATAATTTCACCTCTCATCTTTTGCAAATCACATTAAATTTAAAATAGCAAATATAAAAAGTCAATTAAGCACATACTAAGAAAAGGCCTGCAGTGGTGCACAGCGGTGATGTAAACAACGATTACTCTTGTTTTGTGGAGTTGATAGTTCAGGATAGGAATACAGAATGCCTGAAAGAGCAAGCTGACTGACCACGGAAATAGAGTTATCTGTAGAATGACAGAAAGAAACAGAACAGAAAATTTTAGAAAAATAGATGAAAGAGCTGGACTATCATCATTTGTTTGTTGAAACTTAATCCCTAGACTTAAGGTCAAGCTGCTCTGCACATATCAGGAATTCCTGAGCACATCATCACAATACAATATTTTGTAGTCTGTGATGTTCTAAATCATGGACTTGGTCATCAGGAAAATACTCAATAAGCTCTATTTTAAAAGGCAGAAAAATATGTGCACATTGTAGATTTCTAAGAGGGATCTCTTCCTGAGCCAGGTTTTTGTCTAGTGATGAATGTTGCAAGATATTTGGTTATTTCTGGAGAATGATTGAGGGATTCCCACAATGTCCACTCACTGGAAGGAATGTCATATTTTGTACGAAGTTGGCTCCTGCTGGTGGGTTCGTGACCTCACTGACTTCAAGAATGGAGTTGTGGACCTTTGCGGTGAGTGTTACAGCTCTTAAAGATGGCACAGACCCAAAAAGTGAGCAGCAGCATGATTTATTTTGAACAGCAAACCCGAGAGGGTTGCCGCTGCTGGTTGGGGTGGCCAGCTTTTATTCCCTTATTTGTCCCCGCCCATGTCCTGCTGATTGGTCCATTTTACAGAGTGCTGATTGGTCCATTTTACAGAGCACTGAGTGGTCCATTTTACAGAGTGCAGCTAGATCCATTTTACAGAGCACTGATTGGTGCATTTTACAAACCTCTAGCTAGCTACAGAGTGCTGATTGGTGCATTTTTACAGAGCACTGATTGGTGCATTTTACAAGCCTCTTGTAAGAAAAGTTCTCCAAGTCCCCACTCGACCCAGGAGTCCAGCTGGCTTCACCTCTCAACATAAGGGATCTCAGAACAAAAATGTAGCCAGGTACAATAAATGGACCCAGTAATAAACCTTAATCATGGAGTAGAAATCTTGAGAAAAATATGATAGTTATTATTTTAGCTAGCTTCAGGATTCTATCTCATTTCAAAGAGGCATACAACAAAGATTGAAGCTCACCTTGAAAAATTTAAAAGCACTTCTCTGTATTAATAACTACCTAGACGACATAAAAATATGAAGTATACCTCACAATAGAAGCAGAACCAACAAACTGTACAGGAATTAATAGAAAACAAAATGATCTCTATGGAAAAAAAAATACTCTTTTCAAAGGCATAGAAGCTGATTTGATAAATAGTAAGGTATTCCATGCTCTTTAATAGCTCTTTAAAAGGAAATGTCAATCTCCTCCAAGTTGTCAATAAATTTAATTAAAACTAAATTAACATTTCAGTTAGGTTTTTTCTTTTTTGAGAAATATGAAATTAAAACATAATATAAAGCCACCTTTGAAAATAAAAATCTGTGGCACTGGTGGTAAAGCAGACAAATAGGGTGTCTTAGCTCATTTGTTCTGCTATTAATAAATACCCAAGACTAGGTAATTTATAAAGAACCTAAATCTATTTCTCACAGTTCTGGAGGCTGGGAAGTCCAAGATTAAGGCACCAGCTGGTTTGGTGTTTGGTGAGAGCTGGGTCTCCATTTCCAAGATGGCACCTTATATATACCCTGGAGGGGAGAAATGCTGTGTTCTTTCACAGTGGAAGAGTGAAATAGCAAAAACGGACCAAACTCTCCGTCATGAGCCCTCATGTCTTAAATACCTCCGAAAAGGCTCAACCTCCAAATACTGTGTTACTAGGGATTAAGTTTCAACATGAATTTTGGAGGGAACAAAAACATTCAAACCACAGCATGAGCCAGCTGAAAAGAACAGAGATCTCAGAGCAGAATTATGTAATAAACAATTGTGGCACTATAAAGCAACTGGAGTGTTTAGTAGATGTTATTGGCAAAACTTTTTCATATTTATGTGGAAAAAACTAGATTCGTACCTAAACTACTCAAAAAGACAGCACTAGAAAGATGAAATAAAAATGTGAAAATTAGGACTGTGCTGGTAACAGAAAGAAAATAGTGTAAATATTTTTGTAGCTTAATAAAAAGTAAAAACATTTTAACTAATACTTCAAAAGCAGAAACTATAAAGCAAAAATGGATCAATTTGATTACATCAAAACTCATGATTTCTGTTTACAAAGGACAGCTTGAACAAAGTTAACAGATGAGACAGTGGAAAGAGATATTCTGATTGCCTAACAAGAACTAATGTCAGAACATAGAAAAAAATCTGTGCATAAAATTTAAAAATAAATCGCAGATCTCCAGGTAAAGAAAAATGAATGAGAAATAAATGCTATATTGAGTAAAGAAGAAAACAAAAGGACTAAGAAATACATGAGAAGGTGGTCACAGCCACTAGTTATCAGAAAACTATAAATTAAAATTACTTAATTATTACTTTGTGCTTCCTATACTGGCAAAGTTTAACAAGTTGTATATGTGAGTCAGAATGGGTTAGGTTATGCTGTGGCAAGAAGCAACACACAAATTCTAATGACTTCCAAAAGAAGCTTTATATTTTGCTTATGCTGTTTGTATATATTAGACCAATGGGTCAGTTTGGCTCACTTCATCTTCTTTTAGGCCTAAGACTTATGGGCTGTCCACAATCTAGAATGTTATTGGTTGCAGTGTCAAAGGCAAAGAAGACAACTCAGGCATCAGCTCTCATGCTACTTCTGTACATATTCCATTGCTCACCTAGACAAAGGAAATAAATGACACATTGAGTAAAGGAGAAAATGAAAAGACTAAGTAATGTTGTGAATCGGAAATACTGGAGAACCTCAGTACATTGCTAGGTAATTCCAGGTGTTAATATAATGTGAATATAGATAGGATGTAGCGGTGGAAATGTACACTGATATTGATATTCTAGAGGGAAACCTGGAAGCACATAGTCAAAATAGCTGTATTTATACTGTATCACCCAGCAATTCTTGTTCTAGGTATGTAACTCAAATAAATCCACACAACGGACCCTGAGGTGGTGTGATATGTCATGTAAGTTTTGGCATTATTAGATGAGCTGGCTGCAATCTAGGTGTCTATCACTAGAAGTGGATAGGCAAAAATGCTGTACTTACACACACTAGAGCACCACGCAACAGTCAGAAGGAATGGAGTAGACATTCATAAAGCATACTCGAAAGCATAGTGTCAAGAAGAAAAATAAGAAATAATTACAATATATGGCATGATATGACATTATGACATTCATTCAAAATAACAATACATGTTTCAAAAGCGTAGTTACAAGACCAAATAGATATGCCTTAAACATGTTAGAATTATTGAGCATGAAGAGAAGGGAGAAAACAAAGTGAGAAGTGGACATAAAGGAGTGTGTATAAATGAATACATCACAGAGGGACTTTGTGAAAGCCAGTGATGAAAGAGATAAAATCAATGACCTGGACATACAGTCCAACAGAACAAGACAAGCAAGCAAAACAACCAGTAAAACTTCAGAGAATTATTTCAACTAAATTGTAAAGCAAACCTCCACACAAACATCATTGTCTTGAAATTTCCCACACTGTCATAGGACAGCTTTTGCCTTTGGCACAATGAATATTTGGGCAGCTATCAAGGAGTCCTTGGAAGAACAGCAGTAAAGTTTCTAATACTCCAAAGAGCAGCATGTAAAACTGGTGGGGACCTCCTGGAACCTAGTAGAGTGGAAACACTGGCAGGGACTGGAGCTAAGGGAAATGGAGAAGGCAAAATTCATTTTGCACTGAAGGGGCAATGGCATCGTTGTTTCGCCACCTGGCAAAAACTTTGTAGGCCAGTGAAGCGAAGCCCAGTGAAGAAGCAGTCACAAGGGCAGGAACCTAGAGGTTCCAAGGAGTTCAGGGAAGAACACAGCATTTATTTGAGTAGTGTGAATGCTCTGGTAGATCTCTCAAATACCTAAAAATAATTGGCAAAACCCACAGGAGTGCAGGTGGGATGTTAACAGCAAGGGATAAAGGAGTCTAAAAAACTCAGGTGTCATATTAAACTAATATCTCTGGTCACTGGCTTGGAGATATTTGGGTTACATATAGTTAAAAATGGTGCCTAAAGTAATATATTCTTCAAATATTCAGAAAATCCCCTTATATAAATAAAATTCTCCATTTTGATGTTATTATGAATATAAAGCATTAATGTGACTGAATAAATGCTCCATTAATTCATCCTAATCTTTTCAGTTAAATGTGAATGTGTAGCTGTTATAGTGAAACAGTAGCAAACAGTTTGTGTAAGATTACAATAACGGGAGAGAAAAAGTTGAGTCTTTCCTGAGAACATAAATATATACAAGCTGGGTGTCTGTCTCCAGATTAGTATTTCAGAAAAAGAGGGAGAGACAGCATACCAAGAAATACTGTAAGAAAAAAATGATTGGTTAATCCATTCTGTATGTCAAAAGAAATTAAGAAAGGGTCTCAAAATCACACTGAGGCTGAAATCTTCAGAGACAGGAAAAATAGTGCCATCATTACCACTAACGTGAAAACAAAGAAGAGAGAATACTTGGAGAGAAATATTATAATTTTAGTTTTTTAAAAAATTGTCAATATCTGAGGCTCAGCACATTCAAAAATCAAGGGATAATCGAAAACACAAGGACAGAAAACCAAACACCGCATGTTCTCACTCATAAGTGGGAATTGAACAATGAGAACACATGGACACAGGGAGGGGAATATCACACATGGGGGCCTGTCGGGGGGTGAGGGGCTGGGGGAGGGATAGCATTAGGAGAAATACCTAATGTAGATGAGAGGTTGATGGGTGAAGCAAACCACCATGCCATGTGTATACCTATGTAAGAAACCTGCACGTTCCACACATGTATCCCAGAACTTAAAGTATAATTTAGGAAAAAAAGAATAAAAAGAAAACACAAGGGAGAGATGTCAAAGAGACAAGATATCAATGTGAAGTGATGAGTTCCATTCCTTGGTAACTCTCTGCTGCCACAGATTTTAATATTATGAAGTTGGGAAAGAAGTCTTCAATCTGCAAAGTATGTAATTATACATGTAATTAAATATGTAATGTATGCCTTTACCAATTCAATATTACAGGCTCTAATTTATATATAAAGAATAGTGGAGAAGCAGAAGAAAAATGAGACAAGAAGCAAAAGACATAGATTTCACCATAGACCAAGACTTGAGTATCTTTTGGCAAAGAATTTTGCTTATAACCTCCAATTTCCTGGGCTATGAGATGGAAATAATGGTATGATTATATATGTCAGGGTTGTTAAGTACTCAAATAAAATCACCTGTTTTGTTAAAGTCCTTTCTCAGTGGAAATGTGCTACAAAAACATTACTTATTGGTATTATTCTAAAATGTTCTTAACAGTGTTTCTTCTCCTATAAGCTGTATTTAGTTGGAATGTCAAATCCTAGGACTGTCCACTGCATAGCCAGAGAATATTTAATAAGCCAAATCTTAGATAGTATAATATAATCGAACGTGCTAATAACTATTACAGAAATTGTTCCTGTTAAAGAGATCACTGGAAACGAGGAAAAGATAAAATCAGGAAAAGTGTTTACACCAGACTTCCACAGACAAATAAAAGGTGAGATGTTTAGATTCTTGAGCCAAAATACAATAATATACAGGAGTTATAATTTTTTAAATAAAATCTAAGATATATTTAATTCTGAAGTTTTCAAACTGAACTTTAGAATCATATTGACACTTATAGTTGAACATTTACATTTCAATCAATTTTTAAATATCCTAGATATGAAGGAAAGCATTATATTTTAAAAATGAGTGTGGTTGCTGTATTAGTTTATTCTCACACTGCAAGAAAGAAATACCTGAGACTGGGTAATTTATAAAGGAAAGAGGTTTAATTCACTCAGTTCTGCACGGGAGGCCTCAGGAAACTTACAATCATGGTGGAAGGAGAAGCCAATATATCCTTCTTCACATGGTGGCAGGAAGGAGAAGTGTGGAGCAAAGGGGGAAAAGCTCCCTATAAAAGCATCAGATCTCACAAGAACTCACTCACTATCACGAGAACAGCATGAGGGTAATGGCCCCCATGATTCAATTACCTCCCACCTGGTCTCTCTCATGACATGTGGGGGTTATGGGAACTACAGTTCAAGATGAGATTTGGGTGGGGACACAGCCAAACCATATCACTTGTTAAAGTTGAATTTAAAAAAAAAAAAAAAAAGGTAATGGCCGGGCGCAGTAGCTCACACCTGTAATCTCAGCACTTTGGGAGACCGAGGTGGGTGGGTCACGAGGTCAGGAGATTGAGACCATCCTGGCTAACATGGTGAAACCCCATCTCTACTAAAAATACAAAAATTAGTCAGACGTGGTGGCAGGTGCCTGTAGCCCCAGCTACTCAGGAGGCTGAGGCAGAAGAATGGCATGATCCCGGGAGGCACAGCTTGCAGTGAGCCGAGATGGTGCCACTGCACTCCAGCCTGGGAGAGCAAAAGTCCATCTCAAAAAAAAACAAAAAACAAAAAACAAAAACAAACAAAAAAAATCAACCAGGTAATATGTTAGGCAATCACTTGTCCCAGAATAAAAATCAGTAGAATAAGTGGTTTTGACAACCACAAACTACAGAATTAACTGTAATGCCAGTCTGGCAGATTGTATGAAAATTAATAATAATAATAATAAAACCAGCAATTTAAATAAAACTAGTTGAGTTGATTTACATATTGATTACATATTCCAAGCAAAATAACATGTGATTGAAATACCTGACAACTTTAACCGATCCAATTTCATTTATAAAATTAAAATATAATATTTTCATTTTAACCCATAAGGTCTTGTTGGGTCTCACTTGTCTATGCTATTCCATTCTCAATACATAGCAATATCACCTTCTCTCTCTTAACTCCAGTCATAATTGCCTTTGCTTAGTGCCCTGTGTGCATTAGCCTCTTTCTGCTATTCAGAGACATCCAGCACACTCTGCCATGTTCCTTCTCCCATGCTTTGCGTTACTAACTCCGACGTATCTTCCATGTCTTGTCTCAAGATCATTTCTTCATTGAAGTCATCCTTAACTCTCCAGACATGGCTGGCATCTCCTCCTATAATATTCCATATGTTTGTTTCTGGTATTCATTTTATAATTATTAATGTATATCTCTCCTACAAAATAATAAATTCCTTAAGAGTAGAGAACATGTATATCCTTCTCATTACTGTAGCCTTAATATCTATCAAAGTGCTTGCCCATAATAAGGAGTATATCCTCAAATATTAAATGATGAACTAAATATCCTCTAAGTGGCAGAGATGCCATACAATCTTCAGTTCACAACTAATTTTCTTTTATGTATTACCAATAGAGAATCCAAATGCTAAATATCATTATGTAATATTTATTTTGTTGGCCATGTTGAACTAGTTATACAAAATTAATAGTAGAAGGGAAATAAGATTTACATTCAAGGGAACATTTAAGCTCAATTTGTAGAGCACGTGTGGACTGGTTACTCTATTCTCTGTTCACATTCATTCCCATCTTCATTACCCTGTGGTGGGTGAGTATTCCTATATATAAGCTGAGGACAAAGTTGTTCGAGTAAGTGTTTCAGCTTATGGTCTGCATGTGTGACATGTGATACATAAATTAAATAATAAATATATAAATAAATCGCCTATATAAAACCCTTACAATGATTTCTCAAAGCAATTTGCACTTCCATCTGTGTGAAACTCAGAAATTCCCAGAGCAGTCAGCACATAAGAACTAATCAATACCTGGCTTCGTTCCCAATATCTGCTCCTGAATTTTATTACACTGTGGAGCTGTTGTGATCAGAGGAAAGTAAGATGCCCTATTTATAGGTGGGCTCATGTTTTCAGACCCCACCAGCCCTGTTGGTATATGATTGCTTTCAGAGAAAAGAGTGATAAGACAGTACCAGTACCATGCTTAAATGTGATTAGTCTTTAAAATTTCAGAAGGGAGAAAGTCTTTCTAAAACAATGGAGTTTTGGAAAATGTCATATATAAAGCAAGTCTGAGAAATATTTCAACTGAGCCCAGTCACTTATGGTGTGAATATAAGTAGGAAGGCAGCACAGTGAAGCAGGGTGTACTTAGAACCACATGATCTAATTGAATCCCTATGTTCACTTTCGAATAGTTGCTTGACTTCAAGTATATTTTTGAGCACTTGAGCTTTACTTCCTTCATGTGTTAAATTGGGAATATAAAAATTACAATCTCTCAGGGTTCTACTTTTTCTTTTTAAAATACAGTCATCTCTCAGTATCCCTGGTGGATTGATACCAAAACCTCCCTCTGATAACAAAATCCATGGATCCACAAGTCCCTGATACAAAATGGCATAGGATTTGCACATAAACTACACACATCCTCCTGTATACTTTAAATTATCTCTAGGTTACTTATGATACATAATAGAATGTAAATGCCATGGAAAAAGTTGTTATACTGCATTTTTCATTTGTATTTTTTTATTGTATTGTTTTTTATCGGATTTTTTTTCCTGAATTTTTCAATCCACAGTTGTTTGAATCTGGGATGTGGAATCTGTGGATACTGGATACTGAAGGCCAACTGTACTAAATAGTACCTTCCACTTGTTGAATCCTAGGTAGTGCTAGGTACATTTACCTGTTTTCATCTAAACTTCCTGTAAAGTGGTATCAACATTTCCAGTTTACAGTGAGGCTCATAGAGGTCAAAGTCTCACAAAGAATAACTATCAGAGTTCATGATATTGAATGATATCTTTAGGGGGCCTCTATCAAAGCTGAGACCTCACAGCTGTTGCCACAGCTATTGAAGCTATGGACCAAATCCCAGCAGCTCTGAACCAAAAAACGGTTCTCAATGGCCTCTGACCTTGGACAACAATATTGTTAGCTTTAATGTATGCACCATTATGATTATCAGAGGATGCTCCTTTGTGATTTTGTAACCACCAATTCCAAGTTTGGTTTCTCCAAACATAAGGTAAATCGACAGGAATACTCTCTAAATATGGATATTATGATAGTTGTCATTGTTCCCCTTCTACATGTATGTCATCATGTTAGAGATGTCGCAGAATTGAATTTTAAAAAAATTTACGTAAAAGGATTGTGCAACCTTGGGATCTTGAGAGGCCAAGCTCATCATATTTAAAAGTGCTCAGGGTTCGAACAAGCTCTTTCCTCAAAGCCATCTCACCTGCATATTCCCTCTCTGTATCCTAGCAGAGACAAGGCACATGATAGTTAGTAGCACAGAGTAGGAGAACAATATGTTCAGTTCCCTCTGTGAGAAAGGAGAAAGTTATTCTAAAAGTCTGAACCCCAGAGTTTTTACATAGAAAATTTTCAGAGCACACATGGCATGTGACTAATATTTTTAGATTTAAAACAGTTTAGGGGGGAAAGTCCTGGCCTGGTTGTTAGAACACCTGGCTGTAAATCCCAGTTCTACCATCTATGGGCTGTGTAATGTTTTCCATTGTCACAAAACATCAGCCTGCTTCCTCATTGTGAAACAGCCATAACAATGCCTTCCTAGCCACTTTCCAGAGTGTAGTAAAGTCCAAGTGAATAAGAGAGCGTGGCAAGGATATGATTCCCATATTTTGTTTGATTTTATATAGTAAACTCTTTTTATTATAGGCAGTATCTTCCAAAATGTGTTTTACAGAACACAAGTTTTGTAAGAAAAGCAATGGAAGTTATTTTTATAAGGGGTTTTGCCCTCAAATATGTAAAAAAATTCTGGGCTAAACAAACTTAACCCCTAACCTCAGGAATTCGCAGAGCCTCTGATGGGCTAAGGTAAATTTCCAGAAAGGGAAAATTCTATTCAATACTTTCCTAAATTCATTTAAGTTCATACCTTTTACCTTTAAGGACTTGTATTATCTAAAACATATGAGAAACTTAGTTCTTTGAAGAAATGGATAGGTCTGAATTAGATTATCAGATAAAACCTTTCTATACATTAAAATAATGGCTCCATGCATGATTTTCTGTGTGCCAAAAACTGTACTAAATGCTTTAAACCTTGTAACACAGTTATAAACATGATATAAACAACTTAACAATCATTTGAATTTCATGCCTTAACCTCATGTTATGTGAAGGAAACAAAAAGGTCAAAAGTAGGCCCCTGTTTGATGAGTAACTGTGACATCATCCAAGTACAATAAAAAATGGCAGAACCTCAAAAGAATATTGAGATACAGATTAACCTTTCAAGAATATGTATTCAAGTCAATTTAACAGTTTTATACAGAATTTCAAGATTTTAGGGATTTTTTTTTCACATAAAGCTATCTAATTTTATCTCATCCAACTCAGTTTATTTTTACATTAAATTATTTAAGAATATTGGTGTGATCCATAAAAATAGAATAAGTGAATATTATAAAATCTCTTAAAACATACCGAATGTGGCTGGGCACTGTGGCTCATGCCTGTAATCTCAGAAATTTGGGAGGCCAAGGCAGGCAGATCATGAGGTCAAGAGATAGAGACTATCCTGGCCAACATGGTGAAACCCTGTCTCTACTAAAAATACAAAAATTAGCTGGGTGTGGTGGCAGGCGGCTGTAGTCCCAGCTACTCTGGAGGCTGAGGCAGGAGAATCGCTTGAACCCAGGAGGCAGAGGTTGCAGTGAGCCAAGATCGCACTACTACACTCCAGTCTGGTGACAGAGCGAGACTCTGCCTTAAGCAAAACATACCAAATATATCTATCTGTGATCTTATCATAAAATCAAAAGTTTTAAATTCAGTCATTTACAAAAAACACCAAATAGAGGCATTGAGTATAGAATTATTCCATTACTAAGACTGATCTAACGCCAAACAGCTTTGATCAGCAGTGTTCGTACTTTTTTAACTAAAAAAATACTCTCTTTAAATAATATTTTACAAAGATATCTATATGTTAAATGAAAATAGACAGAACTTGTCTGCGAGAAGCAAGAGTGGAAGGCTGGAAAAGCTACCTTCTCAGACTATCCCTTTTACCAACTTCTCTAGCCCCTGAAGTCTGACAAAAGGCCCCAGGGTCCTCTATGAGCCTGTGAACCACTGATCCACATAACATTTCAGACAAAAACTGGGGAAAGGTGATTTTTCTCTGTTACTTAAGCTGAAACATAATACTAAGCACACGCATAAGGGCATGAAAAAAGCATTTTAAAGCTGGAAAAGATCTTGATAATCAAAAAGTCCAATGTCTACCAATGTTATGAATGATGAAATATGCCCAGAGAATTGTACTGATTTGTCCAGGATCACACAGCTAATTAGGGGCAGAGTCAGAAATGAAATATCTGCCTCCTGACACAGTCTGGTGCTCTCCTTAACACACTACATGGACGTGCATAAATCATTTGGAGGTAGAATAATTTTCCAAAATGCTTTATCATGAGAGAAAAGGTATAAAATATATTAAGAATGTATCAGACCGTTCCTTCAATTTGAGGCATAAGTATAATATCTCCAGTGAACCAATACAGTAATCAGTGCATGTTTATGCATCCTGAAGTCTCCTTCTGGCGCCATGACATTTCTCTGCACAGAAAAGCACGGAGAGGGGATCTACATATCACCCCCTCACCTCTACTATAGTGGGGAAGCCACTACTCAGCTGAGTGCTTTTGTCATTAGTCCTTCTCACCATCCAGAACACATGCTGAACAACTGCCCCAGAGACGATCCTTCAGCATTTCCAAAGGTTTACATTGCACATAATCAAAGTACTTCAAATATCAAGGATCATAGCAATTTAATATTCTCAGCTTATTCCAGAATGTTCCAAGTACTTAGAAAATGATTCCGAAAATAATGACATTTTTCATGAGAACATTTTCCTTTCCACCTCTTATATTTTAATGTATTTAATACGAACATATGCATGTGCATTCTTGTCATCTTTTCTGCTCTTATTCCATTTTTTTTTTTCTGAAGAAAGAAGATCCCTTTGGAGAAATCAATAAAGATCTGCTACCTAAGTGAGGATAAAATTTTCTTCCTTAAAAGTATCACATTAACTCAAATTTCAGAAAGATGATACAGTGGCAATATTTTGATCATCCCTTCGGCTCTAAACAAATAGCAATGATAGATAAAATATAAAAAAGATATGCCTTGGCTCAAACACAAGATAAACTACTTTGTGACAAGAAATGAGAGAATGTGCAGAGATGGTACTGTGGAATGGTCAAGGTTCACATCCAGAAGCAAACAGTGGAAGCCAAGAGTTTGACTCCTGTCAGAATAAGAAAATTAAGAGTATTCTTTGTGGTATTTGGGAGCTGACTTCTGCCTTTCTCAGTGAAGCCAGAGTCCTCACCTAATAAAAAGAGCCTGAGAAAGACTGTTCCATTGCAGGGGCTGTGGCACATGGTGTGATCCAGGTCTACAGGGGCACATGGTGAGCGGCAGGCCTATAGGGCAGGAGGATATAGACAGCTTTGAGCTGAACCAACCCAAACCCTCACTGGGTAGCTTCATTTGGATTTTCCCTCATACCTTCAGGATAAAATATCACAATTAGAAGAATGGTTTTTAATTCAGCCCCTGAAAGGAAGCCTTTGCTAGAAAATGATGGATGAGGGTAGAAGAGCAAAGAGAAAGAGGAAAACAAGAAGATAAAAACAAAATAAAAAAAAAACACACCCCCCTCTACACGCTATAAAAAAGTCTGTTAAACTGAAGGCAGAAACACATATTTGCAAAGCTTTCAATAAAACTTTCAGTGAAACTTTATTTATAAAAACACACAGTGGGCTGGATTTGTTTCACAGGCCATAGTTTGCCAACCTCTGACTTGGAAGATTATTATGAAAAGTCCAACAAGTAAATGCTAAAGTCCTGAATGGAGCTTTGAGCATTGTGATCTTAATACCTTGTCCTTATTTACAAAATATCTGAAAATGTTTCATAAAAATATTAGTTAAAAAAGTTTTAAATGGATGATGAAGATTGCAGTGAAATAAGCTATCCCTCCTCAGGGGTTAGAAAACTGGGAGCACATATCCAGAGATAACATGACCAGCACCTGCTAATCCTAACTGAGTTTCATTTTAAATGGTCACACAATACAAGGAAGAAAAGCCTTGAGTCTGTTCATGGTGAGAACGTCAGACAGAGACTCCCACATAAAATGAAGACTCTCAAAGACATAGCCCTTGTATAAATTGTGACTCATTAACAACAATGACAAAAAATTTCCACAAAAAGGACCAGGGCGGAAATTGTTCTATCTGGACTTTAGCTCTTGGTGGAGGAGACATATCAAGTGTTCTTAAGTCAACTGTAATACTTTTTTTGTATTATGAATTCACACTACCTAAAGGATATAAAAAAATCTCGAGTAGAGAATTGGATTTAGGTTGCTGCTGCCAGGTTGGTAGTGCCCCTTACCCCATGTTCTTTGAAAAGAGAAAAATAAACCCTTTCTGAATAATGCATTTTAAATACAGGTCTTAAAGAAGGCCCACAAATAAAATTTTAATATGTATGAAATCACTAATTTTTTTTAATTACAAAGCATGCCCCCAAAAAATACCAAGAGGGAGAGTAAGCAGAAAAATAGCTTAAGAATGAGGCCTGCAGAGACTTCATACATTGAAATTAACAGAAAGATGATATGCTTAATATGATTGAATAAATAAAAGAAGAAATTAAAAGCATAGATAAGGAGTAATAATCAATAAAAAATAATCACACATATTTGAAAAAGAACCAAAGATATATAGATGGACAGATACAGATGTAGACATGTAGGTCTTTCTATCCATGCCTATCAACACGGCTAACTATGGAGCTGTTTCTACTTCAACTTATTGCGGATTACAAAAGCTATGGTTGAGAAGCTTTGCAGAGCTGCTAGTAGACATATGGAGCTGAAGAGGCAAAAACTGGCATTCAGAGATCTACAGGTATAGAGTCTCTCAGCTGGGAACCTTTAAAAGCTATGTCCTAAGATAAAGGTGAATTGGAAGTAGACCAGTCCTCCCCCAAAATCTCAAAGCCTAATTTCATGCCCTTTCAATCCATCATAAAGAAATTTTCATCCAAAAATTTTCCCACTCTGAATAAAGATAACATCCTGTGGATATCATGTTATTTCATATTTTTTGTTATAATGTTTCATACTTTTTAAAAAATGGTTAGACAAATAAAAAGCTAGTCTTGAGCAAAAACTAAAAGAAAATAAAGCAATACAAGAAAGAGATCCAGATACTGGCATACTCGAACACAGATTCTTAAATGACTACAATTTATATACTAAAAGAGTTAAATGATAAGATGGATAATTCTGGTGGAGAATTGGAAACTATCAAGATGAATCAAATGAAATTAGAAAATTAAAGTACAATACCTAAAATTAAGTACTTGGTGGATGAGTCTACTAGTAGTTCAATCACAGCTGAACAGAAAATTAGTAAAACTGGAAGATACCCAAAATAAAATACTGAGAGATAAGATGGAAAATACAGGAAAAAGTACTATAAACCGATAGGCTCTGGTGAATTCAAAATGACTAAATTAACTAGCCACAAAGAATCTCACAGCATATTACTGAACATAATAAGAGTAATTCACATAAATACTTATAACAGTATTTATTTATGTTGTAAAATTACAAAACTGAAAAAAAAATTTAAATTTTCCTTACTAGAACAAGTCTAAGGAAAAGAGAATAATATATGCTCAATTCAGGATAGAGGTTACCATTGAGAAGTAAGAGGGATGAGCTCATGGTGGGCCACACAGGGAGCTACAGCAACATTGTTAACCTCTATGGTGGGTACAGAGATCTCTGTTATATTATCTTTAATATAATAAAAGATAACTTAATTTTCTGTTACATATGAAATATATTATACTAAATAAATGCATCCAACAAAATTAACAATAGAAACAGAAGTTTACTCTAGATAAAACAACATAAAATTTAAAATAAAAATTATTGGTATATACAAACAAATTAATAAAAACAATGAAATTCAAGCTAGCAGAAATGAAATAAGAACATACAGCTATGTAAAATAATTAGAACTCTTGAAAATTTTAAAAAATACTGTAATTAAAATATTCAGAAAAATTCAGATTGGACACAAAGAGTTAACTGGTTAATTGAAACATAGTGAAAGGGCGCTCACTTGGAATCTGGGGCAGACAGAAAGGAATAAAACTATGAAAGAACAATTAAGAGTCACAGAGGATAGATTGAGAACCTTCAGTGTTTCTTATTTATGAAAATGGAGGCCGGGGGCGGTGGCTCATGCCTGTAATCCCAGCACTTTGGGAGTCCCAGGTGGGTGGATCACAAGGTCAGGAGTTTGAGACTAGCCTGGCCAACATGGTGAAACCCCATCTCTTCTAAAAAAAATACAAAAACTAGCCGGGTGTGGTGGCATGCACCTGTAATCCCAGCTACTTGGGAGGCTGAGACAGGAGAATTGCTTGAACCCGGGAGGTGGAGGTTGCAGTGAGCTGAGATCAGGACACTGCACTCCAGCCTGGGTGACACAGCAAGACTCCATCTAAAAAAAAAAAAGAAAAAGAAAAAGATAGTAAATGACAAAAATGAAATATATTGATTAAACTTTAAACTAGAAATAGTAAATAGTGAAGATGCTATTTACTGTGTTAATAGTAAATGAAACCCCATCTCTACTAAAAATACAAAAATTAGCCAGGTGTGGTGGCGGGTGCCTGTAATCCCAGCTGCTGGGGAGGCTGAGGCAGGAGAATAGCTTGAACCCAGGAGGCAGAGGTTGCAGTGAGCTGAGACCGTGCCACTGCACTCCAGCCCGGGTGACAAAAGTGAAAATCACCCCCCCTCCCAAAAAAAAAGCAAGAAAAATGAGAACATGAGGAATACGATCGTCACATGGGCTACATTGTTTCCTCTCCAAATATTGAAATCCTGACTCCCAGTATCTCAGAATTACACCTAATCCCCAAATAAGGCTAAAGGAATAAACTGAATTCACATGGGGTCATACTGGAATAGGCTGAGCTCCTAATCTAATATGACTGTTGCACATATAACATCATATTATACTACATAAATACATGCAATTATTATTTGTCAATTAAAAATAAAAGAAAAAATGTAAAAATATGACAAATATCCCTTTGAAAGGGAAAATTTGGACACACAAGGAGGACGTCATATGAACATGAATGCAGAGATCAGGATGATGCCTGTAAGTCCCAGAATGCCAAAGATGGCCAGCGAACCACAAGAAGCTAGGAAGGAGGCTTGAAATAGATTCCTCCTCACAACCCTCAGAAAGAACAAACCCTGCCAACACCTTAATATTGAACTTCTATCATCGAGAACTATGAGACCATGAATTTCTGTTGTTCAAGCTACCCAGTTTGTGGCACTTTGTTCCAGCATCCCTGGGAAACTCATACTATGATCCTGTTGGCTTGATTATATGAAACCATATTAAATTGTCATTTTAAAAAATAAAAAATGGTCAAATAACGGCAATTTCCTAAGATTTAAGTATGCATGGAGCTGCGTACTGACAATTTTTATGGCTTGTTATCTACAAAAGAAGTTTTGCAATTTGGAGAGAAAGAAATAAGCAAACTTTAAATCACACCACTGAAGTTCTTCTTACATAAAGGCATGTTGGAAATGCAAAAATCTCCCGTTATATCATTATACAGTTGGTTTTTTTTTTCCAGTATGTGGCCTGCTCAGCATCACAGAAATGCATCTATTACTCTGAATTGTTATATACAATAGACTTATTTCTGAGCCACTTTTGCCTTCACCAATCCCATACAAAAGAAAACAATTAAAAATTTTTTTTTCTCTCTGACCTCATGATTGATCATGAATCACTGATTTGCCTTCTCACCCACTGAATCTGAAATTCTCTCAGTTTTTTTAAATCTGAAAATGTCTTTATTTATGGATATCTAGTAGACTGTACTGTTTAACTATTTAGTACTTTGCAGTATACAAAATGAGATGACGGGGTACATTGAATGGTAGATAAATAATTAGCAAAGAATAAGGCCCTCAAATACAGCTGTCACTGAAGAATTTCTATAAGAGAGTAGGACTGGTAATACAAGATCAATTTTAACTTTCAAAGATAAAATGAAAAGAGTTTACATAGATCATATTGTTACAGCTCAAGACATGTTACTGCTCCCAGTAGGGATGCAATAACAATTTGTAATAACATTCAAGTTAACCAGCAGCAAATTAAACTGGGCTTTGAATAAATAAAAAAGAAATTGGGGCATCCATTCATTAATATTTATTATTCCCTAATAAAAATGAGAAACATCTAGGCCATTTTTCTAAGATTTCCTGAAATATTTCTAAAAAAAAGTGACATATTCCTTAAAATCTATTTCAAAGGCTAAAAAAACTTACTGTTAAAGGTATTTTTTTGGTCTCATCTAATTCCCTCCAGCTGCAATTTAAGCTTCTTTTTGTCAGTCTGATCTTTCTCATATTTGAATTGGCATTAACAAAGGATATTCTTACATGGATTTCCAAGTGACCGAATTGCCACT
Source organism: Homo sapiens (assembly GCF_000001405.40). Classification (NCBI taxonomy): domain Eukaryota; kingdom Metazoa; phylum Chordata; class Mammalia; order Primates; family Hominidae; genus Homo; species Homo sapiens. The sequence continues at coordinate 91,500,905 of NC_000012.12, forward strand.
CAAGAAACCTTGGAAGCCTGAATGTGAAAGAACTCCAAAGTAACTCTGAAAATGGCAAGACTGTGTTTGTGTTATGAGATTATAAGGAAGAAGAGAGAACAAATGATCATAAACTTCTAGTAGGAGAATAAAAACATTTCTCATGAACTATGTATTAATTTTTTTTCTATTTTTAAAGTCTTTTTCTCCATAGTATCTTAGCAAAGGAAACCATTTAAAATTTTGCTTATGGACGAAATTTGAAAAATGTTCAGCCTCCAAATACAATCTACAAATGTTTTAAAGGTTCTTTGAACACAGAAGCTATTGAGATTCTACAACTTGCCAGAGAAAGAAATACCTTCTTGAGGTCTTCAACACTGTTTTTAAATTTTTGTATGGCTCATAATTTACTTCCGAAATGTAGGTGGAACCTGACCAAATACTGAAGTCTTCAGAGATTAAGAAATTCATTTTAAAGAACAAAAATTAAAATTCTTGATCATAAAACAGGCAAAATTAAGGTTTCTGGAAAGAAGGAGAAGTTTTGTTATCTTGAAGAATGATCCAGGAATTGGAATTTCTGAATAAGAAATGTTTCTGAAATTGTAGCCTATGGAGTAGTAAACATACTTTTCCTTAAGGAAGCCTCACCCAAAGTGGTGCTCTCATTACCTCATAAAAAACTAAGTCTCATATACAGAATTGCTATTTTGCATATTTATTATGTCCAAAATATTTATATATGCATTTTTAATCTGATCTTTTTAATAGCTCTGGGAAACAGGCATTTTCTTATTTATTTAAAGGATATGAAATTGTAAAATTACAGAAATTAAGTAACTTGACCATAGTCACAAAGACAATGAGTAAACAAACTAGGACTCAAATCCATATGAATTTGTCTCATTTCCATTCTATGAGAGCAAGCATACTGGGTTTGAATTAGATCTCTAGAAATAGAGACTCCTGTAATATTATATAAACATATTTAAATACAATTAGCCTGTGGGAAAGAATGTATTAGTCTTGTCCCTTGAAATCTTTATTATTAAGGGGCTCTGTTTTCAATGAATGAGAGTATTTTCATTGTCAATATTCCAAAACTTTAATTTAATTCTCATTATACTAATTTACATAGTAATTTTATTCTAGTTTCTACTTTGCTTAATTTGACAAGAAAATTCTAGTTGTAGTAAAATTTACATTAGAACTCATCTAGGAACACAGCTCATCATGTTGATAGCCCCAGGCATCAGCTGATATATTAAAGAATAGCTTTACACAAATATTAAATATAGAAACCTAGGATACAGATCATACTGAAAGATGGTAAGAGGCTTTGTTCATTTATTGATAGGAAAAATCAGTTGTGTTAATGAAACTAAATATTAGGAAGGAAAACAAAAGTGTTACTGAAATGGGAGAGTTCCCTGATCCCCCTTACAGGATGTGTAACAGAGGTGTGGCTTGCCTGTTGGTCGCTGCTGCTACTCAAACCCCTGATGGGAGGCAGACCACGCAGATGGTCAGGTGCAAGAGGTGGGGCGAGTGCTTTGGGCTCCAGCCCCGTGGCAGTATCTAGGGGTGGGTGCCTGCAGCCCCAGTGTTACAATGCTCTTTTAGCTCTTTTAACCTTGCTGTCCACAGACAGCTTAAGTGTTAACCAACTCAACAGACCCTCTTTTTGCAAGGGCAGAGGGCTAGTGTGACAACTTTGCAAGGGCAGCGGGCCAGTGTGACAACTTTCTGTATCCTGAACTCTTGCCCAGAGTCCTGGAAGAATTGGGTCACACATGGGCTTGAAGGATGAAATTGGGGTTTTATTGAGTGGTGGAGGTGGCTTTCAGCTAGATGTATGAGGAGCTGGAAAGGGGATAGAGTGGGAAGATGATCTTCCCCTGGAGTTTGGCCATCCAGTGGACTAAATCCTCTCTGAATGCCCTCAGCCAAACTCTTCTTGGTGTTCAGATGTTACTTCTCTTCTTTCTCTTTCTCGGCTGTGCCATTCTGCCATTCACCGGCTTGTCTCCTCATCTCTTTGTCTGCTTCTGGAGCCTGGAGTTTGGGGTTTATATGGGTACAGGATAGGAAACATGGTGGGCCAAAAGGCAACCTTTTGATGCAAAAACAGGAATGCCTGCCCCCATTTAGGGCCACAAGTCTCCAGGCTTGAGGGTGAGGCCTTTGCTGAGGAACTGCCCACTTCTACCCAGTATTTCCGTGTCTCCTGCCCATATCATTATAGTGCCTTGAATAAATAGCTCCTAAAAAAGTTATACCTACAAGCATATGTGTGTATGTGTGTGAGTTGTACGAGTATGTGTGTATCTGTGTAATGGTAATAGCTCTGGTAAGGGGATAGTACAATGAACACTCTAAATAATGTCAGTGAGAATATAAATTGTTTCAGTATCAATGAGAATGTAAGATGCTTCACTACATACACAAGGCATTTAATAACGTTTGTCAATAATTTAAATATATTTAAATCCTTTGTCCACACAATTTCTAGAAATATTTCAGAATATAAATAATAAAAAATATAGACAGAGCTTATGCACCAGATTGTTGATCTGAGTATTATTTTACATAGCAAAAAGTTGAAAACAATTTTATGTCCCACAATAGGACAATGATTAAAAATTATGCTAAATTTGCTTCATAGATAATTACATATCAAGTTTAAATGATATTTTCACAAATTGTTTGATACTATGATGAAGAGTAGACTATAAAGTTATCTACAGTAGGAGCTCAATTATATGTGCACATATGCTCATAGAGAAAATAGAAAATATATAGCAAAATATTAATAGAGGTCACCTGTATAAAGTGTATTTTCTTTTTGTTCTTGTCTACTTTTACTAAAAAAATTTATAATAATTACGTGTTATATTTTAATAAAATAAATCATCTTTAGAAATGAGCACTTGAGAGGTGGTACCCATAGAAGTTAGAGTGGAGTTCTCAACACCTCAGTAGGGTGATTCCAAGGAAACCAGCACCCCATATGAATGCACATCTCTGTTCAACTCCACATGCAATGGTATCACCTTGTGCCAGTCAGATAGTGTGTTTCAACACTTTTCACCTGCCTCTGTTTGGGGTAGTTCTATAGGAAATAAAGCTTTCGGTTGTGATTATTTTCTTTCTTATTTATCTCAGAACAATTTTAGATGCAAGTATTATAATCCACCAGGCATTTAGAGGTAATGGACTGGGCAGAATGGTTCTAAGAGAAACTTATTCTGAGTTTCCAGTTGAGATGACTATGTTACATACATTACCTTTTTAACATTATCTTTACAATATCCCCTTTTGCAGATGTGGAAGCTGAAGCTCTTGAAGACTGTAAGATTTGCCCATGTAAGCATGGTGAATGAAGAGCAAAATTAGAAGTCTGTACTCTTTCTACTGCAGGTAGTGGGTTACTGCCTCGTAAGAAATTACCATAGCTTTTAAGCTGCATTTGTACTTAGAGTAATAAACATAATCAACCTGGTATATAACTTTTGGGATAAACTGAATTTCAAAGATTTACCTGAAGGGTAAAATTCAGCCAAACTATGCTTTCCTCAAACAATCCTTGTGTTCCAAACAGGGAACATAGAATGCGTTGAGTTCGAAGGCATAGTGGAAAGAATTCTGAACTAATTCATATGTTGAATAGAGGCAGACCTAATCACTTTGTATATTTTTGGTTTCATATGTGCAAATAAAATATATTTAGACTGAAACCAGTAATTAAGCAAATGGATTACATTTTACATATATAAATCCAGACAGGCCTTAATATAAAAATATATAAAGATACCATTTGTATTTATTTATCCTCACAAATTTATAATAAAAATACAAATAAATTCTAAACTATTACATTGAAATAAGAGAAATGATACACAAGATGGACCACAAAGAGGAAGGTTATATTACATCTATTAGAAATATGCTTTGGAGAAATCTATTTTTCTATACACTGTGGGGTTCATTCCAGGTAGCAATTCAAAGTTTTATTTATCATTTTAGAACAATCACAAAAAAAGTCCCTGCTTGCTAATTTTTTTTTGTTTTTGAAAAAAGTCATCTTGTGTTTTTTTTGTTTTTTGTTTTTGTACCAAATAAATGTATATCCAGCACATTAAGGAGCCACTAGCTCTAAATTCACTATTTTAATCAATGCTGTGCAGCAGCACTGGGCTTAGTCCAAAGAAACTTACTGTTATAGTAGAAAACCTCCTCCAACTCTTCCAGAATGTTATTTTAAAGGTCTCAGGAATTAAAATTAAAACAAATGCTTTAAGCCTTTTCAAAACTCTGTCCAAGAAAATAAAAGTCAAGTGCCTGCTCTCCAGAGCATTATGAAGAAATGCATTTGGCTGAGTTTGAAAATGTCTCTTTAATGTGAGCAATTAGAAAAACTAGGATTGAACAATGCTAAGTAACTTCCTTGAAAGATTAAAAAACAAAGTTAGGATTATTTAATCAGCAATATTCATTCTAAAAGAGAAAATGACCTTACACATTTAAAAATATATACATTACTTTTAAAATATAATTTTGGACATGTAGCATTATGAATAAGAAAAATTAAGTCTCCATTTCTGCTCTAATACTCTTTTAATAGATCAAAACAAAACAAAACATGACCTATCTCAACCAACAATGACTTTCATTAACTTCTTTTCAAGAGCTCTTAGGAAAGGAAAGCTATAAAGAGGTTGCTTTCTATTGATAGAATTTTGGACATTTATGTAAGTACAAATGTTGGTTTTGACATTAAAATATTAATGTAATTAAAATCTAAAATGCTCAATGTATATAAAAAATAAAACTTTTAAGGTTCTGAGGCATTTTTCCCATCTTATACTTTAACAGACTTTTTTTTTAAAAAAATTATATTTCAAATATGTTTATTTGAGAACTAACATTAAAGTTGAGAATAATTGTAATTAACCTTTTCCACCAAAATATTTGTGGAAATGGTTTGGGACCAGTAAGTCCAAATAATTGTCCTCATCTAACCCACTACTTTAGAAATGAGTAAACTGAAGACTTTTTAGTGACAAACACAAGAATGTAATGTCAGAGTCTTGCCCTCCACCTAGTATTCTTTCCTTTCTCATCTCCCGCATTGTCTCCATCTACACAATAAATACTAAGAAAAATGCTAGTTACATTGACTCAATTTTTGGAAGTAAATGCTTTAAAACTTCAAAAGCCCAAGCTTTTGCTTTGTTTCTTTAACATTGTCCCCCACCCCTTGACCAAAAGGAAGGAGCTGAAAAACAGATTTCATAATGCATGTTCATTACAGAGACAGTCTATAAACCCAAATTGAGTAAAATATGCATTATTTCATTTCAGGATTTGGGTTTAATGCAGAACTCAGAAAGGGACCAACTTTCTTTTACTCTTTATTCATTCTTATGTCATACTAAAATAATAGATGTTAAAATGGTAACATTTTCAGAAGATGCTCCTCAGTGGAGTAGATTAAATTGATATCTCAAGACTAGTAAAATGTACAATTGTTCTTGTCCATATAGGAAACTATAACATCTTCATAGTATTTTTAAGGAACTCTAGTTAAGATATAAATCAAGGTGACCATCTCAGTGAAAGACCTATGAATTACTTGGTGGTTGTGACTTTTCCATTATAATTAATAAGACTTCTATTACGCTTAGACTAGTCAGTGGTTGTCATGCCGATGCAAATATTAGCTTATCTCCATGGCTATATCCACCTATTTGATCAAGTAACAATGGCTTATCTAACTCCAGATATAAAGCTTTCAGAAAGAGAAACATGATATATTACTCACTTGTTTTTCTGTGGAACTCTCAAAGAGTAAATGGAAAATTAGCTTTGTGTTTTTGTTTGAAGAAGACTATGTAGAGGAGAGTTATTTGAGCTCTTAGCAAAGGAAGCTCCATTTGCCTCTTTTCTTTTCCTCTGTCTAGTTTTTCCATGAGATGAGGATAATTGTAGGAAGCTGGAAATAATAACACAAAACTTCATTGATTTCTGATTTTTAAAAGTGTTTTAAGCATTAGAACTTTTTCTCAAAGCAAATCTTAAGCAGATTTCCAATATATAACAAAGGTAAGTGTCAAGCTTTTAGCTATGAAGTGGATTTAGAGAGCTGAGAGTAGGGAAATTCAACCCCTCACCTCTCTCCTGCATTATCAACTTGACAGAATCCCAGGGCTCTGCAGAACACAGCTTTGAAAGTATGGTTGTGAATGACACAAAAGAGTAGCAGAGTAAGTGAAAGAGTTAGTCTACAAAGTGGCATTACTTTGCTAGGTTAATAAAGATTATTTATGATAGGAAAACATGTCTGCACAAGGTCCGATGCATAGGGACAGAAATTTCAGCTCAAATAGTTAAATACTTTTTACTAAACCTAGAACTGAAAATGAATTAACAAGAAACATTTTTAATGAAGTACATATGTATCATGGTTTGATTAAGTTTTAAAAGAAAGAATAATGAGAATAGAAATTACTACTTACTTTAAAAGTTGCTCAATAATTTTCTTCCAGTAATCAAAGAGTGCACATCTTTTATAAAACTATGTGCTTGAAAATTTGGACATTTGTATGTCTGGAAGTAATTGGATGGAGAAAAACAAGGGTGAAGGTCTTAATATTTGCAAGTAATTTGTGTCAGTAGACTAATGAAAAGCTAAGCTATAAAACTAAAAATATATGTGTTGATGAATAAACAATGTTAGTATTCATTTCAAACAATTGATGAAATTATGAATTTCTTCACCAATAAGAAGAGAAAGTCTTCTCCAGATTAGAAATGAGTTATAGTAATGGGAACTGACATAGTAGATTTAACCAGAATATTGGTATATTAGCCCATATAGTTGGATCTTAAGAGGACCTTTGTTAATTTCCTCCAAAAAAACGGTGGAAAAGAAGCTGTGCCCTTCAGTATCCTCTGGTTTTCTAAGTTCTTCTAAATTTACTTTGGTGAACAGGGCATGTGACCATTTAGCTAGAGACTGCCTTCCTGTCCTTCCTTTTAGTCAGTGACTATATTTAGGCCAGTGGGGCATGGCAACAATATGTAAAACTCCCAGATTGTTTTCTTAAAGATAAGACTGCTGGCCTAATACATTTTTGTTTCTCCTACTCTTGGCCAAGAGTAGGAGATTTGCAGCTGTAGAAGATCTTGGACCCAAAGATGGAAGTCACATGTTGAAGATGATATATTCATTGTGTCAATCAGGGTCCTTGGGGCCCACACACTTATCACAAGAGAGGAATATTTTATCTAATTAAAGATCCTGTATTTTGAGGTTTCTTTGTGATAAATCTTTAGCCTAAGTCTCAGCTAATGAAAAACTTGGTACCAAAGTGGTGTACTGCCATAGAAAATATGTGGCATTTTCTTAGTAGTTGAGTTGCAGACTATGAGGACATAAACATTGCAGGCTGGAAAGCTAATGACCTTTCTTAGGTCACAGCAAAATATTTACTAAAACTGTTTTCTGTAATGAAACGAAGATATATCTCTGAATTCTCTTGCTCTAAGGAAGATTATTAGGTAAAGGCAAAATATTTGTCTATGTTATCTGCCCCTTGATGCTTTTAGCCATATACAATGAGAGAGAATAGCTTGGGTAAGTATTGCCAATGTGCAAGTAGAAGTAGAAATAAATAGACCTTGCAAAGGGAATCAGTCTCTGACAGAGGTCTAGACTTGAACAAAAGTGGTACATCTTACGAGAGGAAAATCTCCTGCTTCTATGTCTTAACTAGCAGAAGATAACAGAAGATAAGACTATTGCTCAGAGACTTTCTCAAAAGCCTCTCATATGTACTTTTCAGCCAGAAAATGGAAGCTCTACTCAGCTACAAAGGTAAGGTAAAATTGTTTTAACTTCTCTCCAGAGTCCAGTCTCAGAGAGATGGTTCTAGTACAGAAGCAGAAAACAAGAGTGAAGAAATGGGAGAGATCATCAAGTATGGTAAATTTCACACAGAACTGAATAGAAAGCAAATAGAAACTTCACTACGTTTTGGAGTAAATTAATATTGCTTTCAGAAAAAAAAAAAAAAAAAGAGACAAAAGCCTGGCCTACAAGCAATACAGCTAGGTTCCTAAATGCGTATCATCAAAAAAACAGTGTGTAAAAACTATACAGCCCCTAAACACAGCATAACCCCAAGAACTCACTTCAAGTTTGTCCACAAAGTATAGCATGTCAAGAAAAATTTTCAGAGGGCTTCAGAAATCATGGAGGACAATGGCCAAGAGAGTCATCCAAGGGAGCAAAACCTGGGGTAAATTAAGCAAAGACTGGGATATTTCTGAGTTTTTACATGTCAACATGTAACCGCCTTGGACCACTGAGTGCTCTGTGTTTTCTATTTTTATGTCTATTAATACATAATTTTCTATTAATTAATTATAAAATTATGAATACATAATTTTACATTAAGTGATGAGGATCGGTGGAAGAGATAACGTGTCTCTTGGTTTATAGATGAGGGTGTCACAAGAAGAGGACTGCACATTAGTAACAGATTCTGAACTTTAAACTGGATGCAGAAAATATAAGGCGTATGTGTGTCTCCACTGAGGATGGTGAATACATTCTGTATATGCAAAAACGATATACAAAGGGAAGGCTATTGTCAACAGTCTCCTATATCTACTCTGTTTTATCTCTTTAAGCAGAAATGTACATATGTTTAAGGCCTAAAGATGGACACAAGAGACCATATTTCCCAGCATTGCTAACAATTAAGGTAGCCATGTAATTCAGTTTAAGCCAATGAAACATGAATGACGGATATATGTGAACGAACCAATGATGATTGAGAACTGTCCCTAATTATAGGGGGAAAATTGCTAAAACTAAAATAGAAAGGCCTACGAATTAAAATTATGATATAATAGGAAGAATCACACCTCCCCACTCAAGATTTCAATTATTCTATAACATTTTCCATAAAATATCTTCGAATCTCCACAGTGAACTAACAATCAGTTGATAATTTAGATTAATTCATATAATTTGAGTTAATCCTGATTTATAACTTTAATCCAATTAGAGGAAAAAGTGTTTGATTTGGAATTAAAGATTTTTATTCTTTTTGCCTCTCCATGCTTCACAAATTGAGTGCAAATTAGGGAGGAAAGGCATTCTAACAATTAGGTAGTTGATCCAAATTAGTTTTTGCTAGTTCAAATTTTAGAATATCTACCCCAGCTTTTATGTTCCATATTGTTACTGATTTTTAAAACTTATCAATATACTTTTTTCATTCCACTTGACTTGGCTTATTTAGTTATATGTTTCTGCATTTTAAATTACAAGACTTGCACAGTATGTTCTTTTTAAATTTCATAGAACACCACAGGTACAGATGGTCCATTAATAGCAATAAAAAGGCAAATTAAAATTATGCAAAACTCTTTGGAAAGCAATTCATTCCACAGCTATTTCAAGGAAAGTGTCTGCATTTTAAATCTAATGTGATAAGACTTCCTGCTGATATGACAAGTCATCCCAAAAGAAGTGTGTATCATCTGAATTATCTTCTTTTGGCAAGAAGGACAGACTATTTAATTGATTTTAATAAACAATAGCTATGAGTAGGATTCCAATCTGTCAGGGTTACATCCTAACTCTTTATATGATTTGATAGACAATGACATTCAAACTCACACATTTCTGATTCATATATCTACTATTTACTAATGTATCTCTATCGATATGATAGAATTTTTCTATTATCTAGAATTATTATGCTCACTAATATTTCTGTAGGGGTTGTGGTTTATGAAGCTTTTGGTTGAATGAGGCACTATGTTGCAACAGATACCAAGAAACTTTGGAACTGAATACACACATGGGTTTAAATCTGCTTTTTACTCTTTGTTATTTGTATTTATTTGAAAATATCTATTGGTCTTATTTTTCACCTATAAAATTATAATACTTAATAACAAGCCTTTAAAATGTTGTAGTCCATTATTATAAATGTAAAAGTACATTACATATTTTAAGTCCAAGCAAATATTAGTGTTATACATCTAGATAGGGAAGAGAGAAAGCAAGGTATACGAAAAGACTTCCATTTAGGATTTGATGTAACTAACTGCCATTTAGTTAATTTTCTTAGAAGTGTAAGGAATGACTTAAAGAAAAACTTGTGTCAATGGCAGAAAGGAAAAATAAATAACAATACATTTCTGAAAAGGAATAGATGAATGCAGTAGCAAATTGGAGAAAGATCCAGAGAAGAAAGAAAAGAGGAACATACCTAAAAAAGAATATCTGAGCAAATGAAGAAAGCCTTCTCCGGTGATACATGGTCAGAATATTAACAAAGGGAGAAGCAAGATCAGGCACGGTAAAGAATTCTGATAGATTACTCTCCAAAAGAAATGTATTTTATGGTAACCCCCAATTGTAGTCTTATCTATATGAGTGAATGAATTAGGTTAAAACCATACCAAACAAATCCCCATTCTTAGTCATTAGTTATGAAAATGTCATGCTTGAATGGGTATTTTTGGAGGTTAAAGGACCAGAGATACTTCAAGCAAGGAGCATAATCAGATTGCATCGGACCTATAAAAAAGAAAGCAGGGTACCTCTAAATTTTTGGAGCAGCTGTGCAATAATTATGCCACAATTAATTTTGTGTGCATCTGTATGTGCGTGTGTGTGTGTGTGTGTGTGTGTGTGTGTTTTAGTCTCAGGATTACATCTTTATCTTGTCCAGCAGTTTAAAATAATCTTAATTTCCTGGAAGGTGTTTGGAGTTTATTATGTGCCAGGATGCTGAGATATTGAGTTTAGAGCAACTTCCTATGTTATTTCTTATAATGCCACAGATGAGTTGCATTCTTTGTACAAAAATATATTTGAGGTAAAATTCTTAAGGACAAACCATTCTGTATTCATAGCACAAAAGGAACTGTGTATACTAAGCAACCTCATTTATGATAGGACTATAAAATTTTGATGTTTTTCCTGGGGCCCATTTTCTCTTAACTTACCACTTAAAACCCTTTGAAAGGTTTCCCAGGGATTAATGGTCAGCACCAGGGAAGGAATTGGGGCTGCTTCAGAACTGCTAGGCAAAGCTGACACAGACTTCATTCTTCAGTGTCCTGGGGTACCAGGTACACACTTTTAGGCTTCATCACCATCCTAAAGAGATGAAAGCCCCTTGAAGTCAGTGGGAGATTCATTTTAAAATTAGTTCTGTAGGAAGCAGAGTAATCTGAGAAACTGGGCTGCAGATACTATTTGAATAAGGCTGATATGCACAATGCCAGCTTTGTTATTTGAACTCCTCTCAGTGTAGGTGGCTCTGTGTGTGTGTGGCAGGGAGGCGGTGGCAATGGGGTGGGGGGATACATTGTGGAAAATGTGCATTTGAGACCTTACTTTGTTTCAATAACTTCAATAGTTTAGGAAACTTTTCATCATTTGTTTCTAAAATACCTGTGTGCACATAATTGCATAAATATAAAAACCAATGTCCATTAAGAACAGATTGCAAGTAAGCTGTGTGCTTACTTATGTTTACCTCCTCAAAATATGATTTATTTATGTTAGTGTATGGTGTGGACCTCATTGGAGGCAACTGAAATAGCCAAAAGGGGTTTTTGAGACTGGATTTTAAGAACCTAAAATGAAAAAAAATAAGGAGCATCATGCATTGGGGAGAAACCAGAACCTGTTGCCAATCTCGTACCACAAACTTCCAGCAATGACTAGGATGAGGAAAGATACTAGAAGTCCATACATAACACAACTCTCCTTTTGCTACACTGTAGGAAACAAATGTCAAAACAAAACAAAAAAACAAAGTGAAATCCCCCAGTAATTGGTATGCCATGGAAAGATGAGAGGCACATTACTTAAGTACTGCATCTCATCATTGATACATTTGCTTTCACAAAAGTTGTAACCCAGCATCCTGGAGCCAGTTTAGTAATTGCAGCAGGGGCTTCCTCAAAGGGTGAGTTCTGGAAGGAATTGTAATCAGTAAGGGAGACCCTGGGGAAGAATTATATGAGATAAATTTTCACAGCTGCTTACTATAAAAACAAACAAAGGTGGCTGTGACGAGGAAAATGTGAAGGTTTCCACTAATCAGATAATTAAACTGCAGATCATTTTTATAATCTAACCTGATGCCATCTCCTGGCTGTGACTAGCTCACTCTGAAGAGAGGAACAAATTAAAACTTAAGGATTCATGTGATTATGTGTGTGTTTCCCCGATCAGGTTTCTTGAAGGATTTGCGTCCAAGGAGGAGGATTGAAGGATAGGAGAGTGTTACTCTGAGAAGAATGGGTCATTGTGAAGGACTTTGGAGTTAAAGTAGATGGTATATGCATGTCACAGAGGCAGGAAATTGGGCACCAAGCAGTTCCATGCTACTGCAAGGATGTGGCAAGAGATTGGGTTGCAGAGTCAGAAGCCTGATTATCTGTCATATGTATATTTATAGAAATGTACAGATTCATGCATATGCATATAAGTGAGTCAAGAAATGTGTGCATATACAAGGAAGCAGAGCACGCATAAATTTGTACCTTTGCTCTTGCACCCCAGCTCCAAGCAGAAGAGCAGCATGATTCACTTTGTCTTTGACATTTCTTGCATAGCTCTTGCATAATCTTTGTCTACAGTGGGACTCTCCATCAACATGTGTTTAGTAATGCTGTGAGCAAAGTGTTTTCAAACCATATGGATTTAAACTTGGGGACAACAATGCAGTGGGCATGCATAGGAACACCACATTGATAAAGAAAAATCAGAGTCATTAATTAGTTTAATAAGACACATGTACAACTAGCTAACAGCATGACCTGACTCCTATTATGGTCCAGGGACGTGGCCGAACTCCTTGCATCATTACCTCATTTTCTATTTGTTATTCTATTATTTGGAAGATTACCTGCTTTACTTGTAGAAGCGAATGGGTACATTTAGAATAATAAGAAAAGAAGTCAGCCTAAGGGAAAATAAGAAAAAGGTATGAAAGCTTGATTCGAGGACAGTGATTCAGGTTTGAAAGTGGCAGACATTTGTGAAAACGATATGAATATATAATGAGTAGAAACAAGTGTGTGTTACTGCTACAGTGAATCTAGTTTTCTCTAACATGGTTCTGTGTACTGGGACAGCTGGATTATAAATATCGACATAACCAAAACCTTTAAGGAAAATTATATTATGATAATATTCCTGCCATGTACATATGCCTTTTTCTGGAGAAGTTAAATCCCAAAAGGTCTTCATTGGTTTGTTCTTTAAGCGAAGGTGGCAGGGTAAATAAAATTGTAATGTTAACGGCTGGCTCAGAGTTCCCCTTAGAGAGAACACTGTCTTTGTTTAGAAAAACACCTTGCTATTTTGCTTTAGATGTGTGAGCCCCGAGGATGTGTTCTGAAAGGATCTCAGAAGAAAAAAAAAAAGACATCTTTTTCTGTCCAAAAATTTAATAAGAATTTAAAAGAACACATGAAATAGGAAAGGGCAGAAACTCAGACATTACCCCTTCCAAAGTAAAGATAGAGATGAGAAAGAAAGAGAGAAAGAGAAGAGAGAGAGGAGAGAGAGAGAGAGGAGACAGAAGAAAGAGAAAGAGACTAGAAAAATGTAGCAAAGCAGGAATCCAGAGATGCAGGAACTCTGTGATTACTAAGAAATTTCTAGTGGGTGGCTCATGGACAAAAGCCTCTAGAACAGGTCTAATGCTCAGTATTAAACAGTTTGGAAACTATTGCTGCTATACAATACTCTTCTTGGTAAAATCTGATGCACCTGCAAATGACTTGTGTGGGTAGCATTTTGGAGAAAGCAGAGATGAATAGGTCAGCATAGGACCACATGTCATGAACAAACATTGGAGATGAGACACTCTTGAGAACTGGAGTTCAGTGGGAATCGGAATTCAAGGCTAGAGGCAAACCATGAGAATGTCAGCCATTGGAACACTGTTGAGAACCTCAAACTTACCGTCTGGGAAGGGAGATTGTTGCAAATTTATGTAAACGTTGAATGATGGTGCAAACTCAGTTGATATTAATGTTGTTTAGGACAAGATCATGAACTAGGCTGGATAATTTCTAGTTAGTTCCTTGGAAAATCACAGTAAACAAGAAGTGAGAGAAGAGGAGGAGGAGGAGAACAAGGAGAAGGAAAAAGAGGTATACAAGGCATGCAGAAAAGTAAAATAACAGAAAAGCTGTTATAGCTGAATCCAAGTATAAGGACTAATGAGGTAAAGACTGGAGAAACTAGACTCCAAATAATATAAATTGGGCATTAGCTGCCTAATAATTAAATAAAAATGGTCCTAGGAAGAAGACTGAGAATTTAGGCAGCTTTAGATGTGTGAGCCCCGAGGATGTGTTCTGAAAGGATCTCAGAAGAAAAAAAAGACATCTTTTTTTGTCCAAAAATTTAATAATAATTTAAAAGAACACATGAAATAGGAAAGGGCAGAAACTCAGACATTACCCCTTCCAAAGCAAAGATAGAGATGAGAAAGAAAGAGAGAAAGAGAAGAGGAGAGAGAGAGAGAGAGGAGAGAGAGAGCTGTAGCTGCCTAAATTCTCAGTCTTCTTCCTAGGACCATTTTTATTTAATTCAGAGTAATCCAAAAGTTATTATAAATTCAGCCTAAGCTAAATAGCCATGACTTGATTGCCAGCATAAGGATCATATCTGGCATGAAGGTCATAAAAGCTAAAACTCCATTATTATGATTCTTACAATCAGTCAATTCTTTTTAACAGGAGGTAAATTCTAAACCATTTCTAAAACAAAGCAAGGGCAAATTAGAAATATGAGCCAAGTTCTTCCTAATATGTTTAGTCATTGACATTAAGTAGTTCTACCAAAACATTTTGGTCATGGTCACAATCAGATTCTAAATAAGCAGGTTTATAATGGGGGTAAATGGGGGTAAAGAATTTGCATGGATCATGTATGTATAGTGCATTTCAGGAAATACATTTCATGCATATACCTTACACGGAATTATCCATTCTGCCTACCACTAGCCATGTATGTAAAAAGAAGTTCTCACAGGGCTGCAGCATCAGATCAGGGAGACTATAATTCTACTACATTGAGAATGAGTGAACAAATTAGGAATATTATACTCTGACAACATTTTAAGAACATTAGAAAAGACTGATGTTATCTAACGCAATCTCTAGTAATAGCAATTAACATTCATTGAGTCCTTTATGCTACCCTAAGCACTTTTCGTGTACTATCATAATTCATTCTTACAAAAATCCCATGAAGTAGCTCCATCTTATAAAGGCAGAAGCTGAGGCTTAGGGGAGCTTAGAAGAGTTTAATTACCTATCCAAGGTCACCCAATTAAGAAGCAGCAGGCAGAAACTCGGGACCTTTATACTCATTTGCCTATGAATCATGTTATTTTTACTTACTAAAAATGGATGTCAGCTTGGTTCATCTTTTGGGAGTTTTTTCCTAGATTCCTAACTTTGGCTTAGCTTGGCCACCTATTTAATTCCTGTGTGTAGCTAGTCTATGACGTTTTTTATTTTTCTTCTCACTTTTGACTCTGTGTTTACTTTTGAACTTAGGCATAGATTAGCCTATTTCCTTATAACTCTTTGATATATGGCTTGTTCTTATCTTTAGCTCTTTCTCCACTTAGCTTTTCAGCGTTCTAAACATTGAGAATTTATTATGTTCAAGATATTTTGTCAGTCTCATAAAGGGAAGTGCCAAAAGAAAACACCACAGATAATAGTTATGACTGAATTCTTTATTTTAGGGAACTAATCTCTGTATAGGGTGGGGGTAGTTCTAAAAGTCTTGGGACATAAGAAAAATTGAGATCTGGGTGATATAGACCATCACATAAGAAAGAATGACCTATCCACTGGAGTCTCTGCATAGGATGTTGATCAGGGCAAACCCCAACCCAGCTAGTCATGTGCACCTGTGTATTAATCCTGACATCCTAGAAGTCCAAGAGTCCCAGAATTCTACTGTGGTCACTTGTTTGAAGTAAGGCACATAACCATGGCCTTGGCCTTGTCTAAGCCTCCCAGCAAAGCTTAAATCCTAGACCTGCATAAGGAAGGATATCAAACAGTCTTAGTCTTTCATCAACAGAAACATTTATTTCCCTCCAGTGCTGGGTCATTTTATTATCAACTTAGTTAAGCTGAAATATGTTTCCAGAATGTCCTTCTCTGTGTGGTGCTGGGTTAGTCTTGATAAAGAGGGAGAGAAACAGACAGAGAGAGAGGCACATACACAGAGAGAACTTTGAAGAGATTTGGGAGGCAAAACTAAATCAGTCTCTCAGTAACTATTACTCTTGGACGGTTTTCATGGTGATATGTGATATCACTATGAAACTCATTCTACTGCATTCACAATACAGTAGAATGAATTTGAGAATCTGCATTTGAGAATCACTTTTCAAAGTGATAGACAGGCAACTGTCCATTGCAAATGTGCCTGGTGGTTTCCTCTTCGTCCTTGTTCTACATCATTCTACAGCCCCCAGCTCTTCATCCTAATTGTTGGACATTCTGACCAACACAAAGGCAACAGCTTCCAATAGATCTGGCCACACCCATCTCTTTCATGGTTCCACTTCAGTGGCTGGACTTGCTTGGCTTTTCAGATTCTGCATGTGAGTTCCAACTTGTCATCCTGCACCAACTTTTACTCCCCAGATCCTTTAAAAATTATGTAAGATCTAAGTCTTGTAGTAAATCCCTTAATGTTTAATACTCCAATTGATTCTGTTTCCTTGACAGAACCCTAACTAATTCAGGCTCTTAGGAGTGGGGTGTTCCAGAGATAAAGCCACACACCTACAGCCATCTGATTTTTGACAGAGTGAATAAAACTGAGCAATGGGGAAAGAACCCCCTCTTCAATAAATGGTACAGGGATAGCTGAGAAGCCATATGCAGAAGAATGAAACTAGACCCTTCCTTACCTTTCACCATATACAAAAATTAACTCAAGATAGATTAAAGATTTAAAGTTAAAACCTCAAACTATAAGAATCCTAGAAGAAAACCTAGGAAACACCATTCTGAATATCAGCCTTGGGAAAGAATTTATGACTAAATCCTCAAAAGCAATTGCAATAAAACAAAAATTGATAAATGGGACCAAATTAAACTAAAGAGTTTCTGCACAGGAAAAGAAACTATCAACAGAGTAAACAAACAACCTACAGAGTGGGAGAAAATAGTTGCAATCTATGCATCCAACAAAGGTCTAATGTCCAGAATCTATAAGGAACTTAAACAATTGATCAAGCAAAAAGCAAAGAACCCTATTTAAAAAGGGGCAAAAGACAAACAGACCCTTTTCAAAAGTAGACATATACGTGGCCAACAAACATATTAAAAAATGTTCCACATCACTCATCATCAGAGAAATGCAAATCAAAACCACAATGAGATATCATTTCATACCAGTCAGAATGGCAATTACTAAAATATCAAAAGCAACAAATCGCTGGCGAGTCTATGGAGAAAATGGAATGGTTATACACTTTCGGTGGGAATGTAAATTAGTTCAACCGCTGTGGAAAGCAGTTTGGAGATTTCTCAAAAAACTTAAAACTACCATTTGATCTAGCAATCCCATTACTGAGTATAGATCCAAAAGAAAATAAATCATCTGCCAAAAAGACACATGCACTCACATGTTCATTGCAGCAGTATTCACAATAGCGTGGACATGGAACCAACCTAGGTGCCCATCAATGGCAGATTAGCTAAAGAAAATGTGGTACATTTACACCACAGAATACTACACAGACATAAAAAAGAAAGAAATAATGTTCTTTTCAGAAAAAATGGATGCAGCTATAGACCATTATCCTAAGCATTTAATGTAGGAATCAAAAACAAAATACCACATTTTCACTTACATGTGGGAGCTAAACATTGGGTTTCCATGGACGTAAGGATGACAACAATTAAAACTGGGGACATTTTTTCATGTGTCTGTTGGCTGCATAAATGTCTTCTTTTGAGAAGTGTCTGTTCATATCCTTTGCCCACTTTTTGATGGGGTTGTTCTTTTCTTGTAAATTTGTTTCAGTTCTTTGTAGATTCTGGATATCAGCCCTTTGTCAGAGGAGTAGATTGCAAAAATTTTTTCCCATTCTCTAGGTTGCCTGTTCACTCTGATGGTAGTTTCTTTTGCTGTGCAGAAGCTCTTTAGTTTAATTAGATCCCATTTGTCAATTTTGGCTTTTGTTGCCATTGCTTTTGGTGTTTAAGACATGAAGTCCTTGCCCATGCCTATGTCCTGAATGGTATTGCCTAGGTTTTCTTCTCGAGTTTTTACGGTTTTAGGTCTAACATTTAAGTCTTTAACCCATCTTGAACTAATTTTTGTGTAAGGTGTAAGGAAGGCATCCAGTTTCAGCTTTCTACATATGGCTAGCCAGTTTTCCTGGCACCATTTATTAAATAGGGAATCCTTTCCCCATTTCTTGTTTTTGTCAGGTTTGTCAAAGATCAGATGGTTGTAGATACGTGGTATTATTTCTGAGGGCTCTGTTCTGTTCCATTGGTCTATATCTCTGTTTTGGTACCAGTACCATGCTGTTTTGGTTACTGTAGCCTTGTAGTATAGTTTGAAGTCAGGTAGCATGATGCCTCCAGCTTTGTTCTTTTGGCTTAGGATTGACTTGGCAATGCGGGCTCTTTTTTGGTTCCATATGAACTTTAAAGTAGTTTTTTCCAATTCTGTGAAGAAAGTCATTGGTAGCTTGATGGGGATGGCATGAAATCTATAAATTACCTTGGGCAGTCTGGCCATTTTCATGATATTGATTATTCCTATCCATGAGCATGGAATGTTCTTCCATTTGTTTGTGTCCTCTTTTATTTTGTTTAGCAGTGGTTTGTAGTTCTTCTCCTTGAAGAGGTCCTTCACATCCCTTATAAGTTGGATTCCTAGGTATTTTATTCTCTTTGAAGCAGTTGTAAATGGGAGTTCATTCATGATAAGTTCATTCATGATATGGCTCTCTGTCTTTTATTGGTGTATAAGAATGCTTGTGATTTTTGCACATTGATTTTGTATCCTGAGACTTTGCTGAAGTTGCCTGTCAGCTTAAGGAGATTTTGGGCTGAGATGATGGGGTTTTCTCTATATACAATCATGTCATCTGCAAACAGGGATAATTTGTCTTCCTCTTTTCCTAATTGAATACCCTTTATTTCTTTCTCCTGCCTGATTGCCCTGGCCAGAACTTCCAACACTGTGTTAAATAGGAGTGGTGAGAGAGGGCATCCCTGTCTTGTGCCAGTTTTCAAAGGGAATGCTTCCAGTTTTTGCCCATTCAGTATGATATTGGCTATGGGTTTGTCATAAATAGCTCTTATTATTTTGAGATACGTCCCATCAATACCTAATTTACTGAGCATGAAGGGCTGTTGAATTTTGTCAAAGGCCTTTTCTGCATCTATTGAGAAATTCATGTGTTTTTTGTCTTTGGTTCTGTTTATATGCTGGATTACGTTTATTGATTTGCACATGTTGAACCAGCCTTGCATCCCAGGGATGAAGCCCACTTGATCATGGTGGATAAGCTTTTTGATGTGCTACTGGATTCGGTTTGCCAGTATTTTATTGAGGATTTTTGCATCAATGTTCACCATGGATATTGGTCTAAAATTCTCTTTTTTTGTTGTGTCTCTACCCAGCTTTGGTATCAGGATGATGCTGGCCTCATAAAATGAGTTAGGGAGGATTCCCTCTTTTTCTATTGATTGGAATAGCTCATCATCACTGGCCATCAGAGCAATGCAAATCAAAACCACAATGAGATACCATCTCACACCAGTTAGAATGGTGATCATTAAAAAGTCAGGAAACAACAGGTGCTGGAGAAGATGTGGAGAAATAGGAACACCTTTACACTGTTGGTGGGATTGTAAACAGGTTCAACCATTGTGGAAGACAGTGTGGTGATTCCTCAAGGATCTAGAACTAGAAATACCATTTGACCCAGCCATCCCACTCCTGGGTATATACCCAAAGGATTATAAATCATGCTGCTATAAAGGCACATGCATATGTATGTTATGATGTTATGTTTTTTGTTTTGTTGTTTTTTTTTTTTTTGAGACGGACTCTCGCTCTGTCGCCCATGCTGGAGTGCAGTGGCGCGATCTTGGCTTACTGCAAGCTCCGCCTCCTGGGTTCGCACCATTCTCCTGCCTCAGCCTCCAGAGTAGCTGGGACTACAGGTGCCCGCCACCACGCCCGGCTAATTTTTTGTATTTTTTTTTTTAGTAGAAACGGGGTTTCACTGGGTTAGCCAGGATGGTCTCGATCTCCTGAGCTCGTGATCCACCCACCTCGGCCTCCCAAAGTGCTGGGATTACAGGCGTGAGCCACCGTGCCCAGCCCTGCATACGTATGTTTATTGTAGCACTATTCACAATAGCAAAGACTTGGAACCAACCCAAATGTCCATCAATGATAGACTGGATTAAGAAAATGTGGCACATACACACCATGGAATACTATGCAGTCATAAAAAAGGATGAGTTCATGTCCTTTGTAGGGACATGGATGAAGCTGGAAACCATCACTCTCAGCAAACTATCGCAGGGACAAAAAACCAAACACCACATGTTCTCACTCATAGGTGGGAACTGAACAATGAGAACACTTGGACACAGGAAGGGGAACATCACACACCGGGACCTGTCATCGGGTGGGGGGAGATGGGAGGGATAGCATTAGGAGATATACCTAATGTAAATGACGAGTTAATGGGTGCAGTACAACAACATGGCACATATACACATATGTAACAAACTTGCACCTTGTGCACATGCACCCTAGAACTTAAAGTAAAATAAAAAAGAAAAAAAGAAAAAAAAACAACAACAAAAACTGAGGACAGAGTAGAAAGAGAAGGAGGGGGACAAGGGCTGCAAAACTAACTATTGGGTACTATGCTCAGTTCCTGGGTGATGGGATCAATTGTACCCTAAACCTCAGCATCATACAATATAACCAGGTGACAAACGTACACATGTACCCCCTGAATCTAAAATAAAAGTTGAATTTTTTTTCTTAAAGAAGTAGGGTGTTTGTAGTCTCAAAAACCTAAAACGTGTGGCAGCGGCTAGGAAGTAAGTGCTAGACAGAGACTGAAAGGCAGCTAGAAATCTACTAGGAAATGCTTTCAAGAAAATGGGCAAGATGTCTTGTAGGTTAGAGGAAGGATGATCCTTACTGCGTTACAGAGAAGAAAAAATGCAAAATGCTTCTAACAATGTGAAGGAAAGAAAATAAACCTAATGAGTTTGTAGATCTGGCCAATTTTACCTTTACATAAAATGTTGAAAGTGCCAATTGGCTTCTTCTAGCTGCATATGACAAGTTATGTGAAGATAGAAATGTGTAAAGGAACTGTTCTGTTTATAAGCAGAATGCTAAAGGAAATACACGAAGGCCAGGACTTACTGGGCTGAAAAATAAAACTATATTTCATCCCAAGTACTACCAGCCACTAAAAAATTCTCAAGGTGATACGAGGCATGAGATCAAAGATCAAATCTAGGGTTTATCTCTAAGACCCCTTGTGAAGATCTCTGGAAGATTTAAGGCAGTGTTACACATGTAAGCCCAGGTGATTTATGGAAGATCCACCCTGTCAGCCCACATAATTGTGAGAAATAATAAGTCATCGTGTTTTTAAGCCACTAGAAGTTTTGGGATAATTTGCTGTGCAGCTCACAAATATAAGAGTTATCTATAATTAATATCCTTAACATATTTTAAATCAAAATTTACTCAATATGTAAATCTAAACATGGACAACACAACTCTCCCTCCAGACAAATTAAATAATTTGGTGTTCATTAAGTTATTACTCATAATTAGTAACCCAATTTCTGCCAAGATAACACTATGAAATTCTTTATCATGATGTACTTCTTACAGGTAATACATATTTTTATTGTAATGAAAACTTTCTGGAGCTTACTGTACATAGTGGTTGAATACATCATTATTGAACAGAATAATTTGAATTCAACTACTTGATATTGAACAAGATACCTCTCTGAGCTTCAGTTTTCTTATCTACATAATGAGGATACATGTTTCTCAGGGTTGTTGTGAAGAATAAATGAGGTTATGCCTGGTATAGAGTAAAACTTAGTATATGTTAGCTGTTATTAGTTTTCAGACAATGATTTACCCTCTAGAATGAAGGTCAAGTGGCATTAGGCATCAGACCATATCCAGAAGAAGAGCCCAGTTCTGACTTTGGACAGAAGAAGGGATGTATAGTTTTAAATCCACTGCTGGTCCTACAAAAGCAATCCAGAGGGCAGATCTGCTATGGGCGCACTTTCCTTCTTTCTGAGTATCTATCCAGAGAGATATATTTACTGTTAATATTTCTGGAAATGCCAAGAAATTATCAGATGAATTTACGAGATCCAAACTGAAGATGTAAAACATCCAATGATTATTTGTCCTGGCAAGATATAGGCTGATGTGAAAAACTGGGAGAAAAGTCAGGCACATTTTCCTTGATTGCCCTCACCCATTTCTAATTTTTAATAAAGAAATACTTTTGTTTAAAAATGTTCCCAGTGTGCTTTTATTATGTCTTTATAGTTTTAATTCTTTTTAGAAATGTAGCTATTTATCTAAAATCTTAATAAGTATTCATTATTGGATTACTCATATAACAAATATTTATTAAATGCTTGCTATGCTCCTATCACTACGTTAGATGTGGAAATACAACAGCGAACAACAAAGACATAGGTCTTGCCCTCTGGGAACTTTCAGTTTAGTTAGAAATATAGAGGAATGAACAGAAAATATTACACAATATTATAATTATTGAGAGAGGGAAAATATGTGTTACTAGAAGCTCAAAGAAATGGTATATGGCCCCAACGTGGGAGTAAGGGATAGTGAAGTCCCATGTAGTGCTAAAGAGTACAAGCACAGCAAATAGGAGAAGGTATTGGAGGCAGTAAAAAGGAAATGCACAAGAAGACACTCAGAGGCAAGGAAACATAAGACGTCCGTCCTGCCAGCGAGGAAGGGAGATCCCTGTGGACAAAGAAGCAATTGCATAGATACCTGGAGTCTAAAGCACAAAGAGCCCACATACCTTATTATGAAGGCTCCTGTTTACCTGGAGGACTATGACCTCCTACTGGGTTTTGGGCAGGGGTTTATGTATTTAAACAATCACCCTGGGATGTAGAGAATGGCTTGGAAGAGAAGCAGAAGAAAAAGTGGGAGACAGGGAGCTTTGTTAAGAACCAGCTTCAGATCTAGGGGAAGTATCTATGCCAGAACACTTAGTGGAGACAGAAAGGTGGATGGTTAGAGAGTTATTTATAATGTAGAAACCATAGAACTTCTGGCTTAATTAAATGTGAGATACAACAGAGGTAGAAGAATCAAATTTTAGACTTTATCAACCACAAAAATAGTGGCATCTTTTTGTGAGATGGGGAATATAGGAACAATAGGGGAGAAACAAGTGTTTAGGATGAGATAAATAATTTACTTTTGAGTATGATGAGGTATAAGTTTAGAGGCCCAGTGTGTAAGTGGGTATAGTGGTCTGAATTTTAGGAATTTGGCCAACAGAAGAGGCAGACATTCACTTAGATATCCAGAGGTTTTCTTCCAATAATCTGTTTTAAAATTAGCATTAGAGATCTCAAGTATCTTGAAAGTGAGATGAAGATTTTCGCTTCTTGAATGAGTTCTATTAATCAAAAGCCTGTGGATGCCACATGTAAGTATTGCCTTCATATGAAAACATTTCCAGCTGATAACAATGGATATGTTGCCTTGTCGTTTACTCAATCTGTTTATTTCTCTTGGCAACAGAATACATATGGAAATTTACAAACCAATCCCAAAAGAAAAAAAAATCATTTGATTGCTTACTTTTTAATTCTTAAATATGATTAGTATGAGTATTAAATAATGGGTGAATGAATGGTATGAACAAGTTGATTCTCACTTGGCAAAACTTTTTTGTCCATCATTGTTAATCATTCAATATTGGATTCAACTTGGAATAACATTACAGAAAATGCAGACAGAAGGTTATCAGTGCTATCTGAAAGGTATGAAGTATGTAGCTTGCTTTGTGTTTTGTGTATTTTTTATTACCTGAGGCTTTGCTATAATCAGGCTGGCACTTTATGTTTCATGATGAGCTCATTATACAAAGGCAAATGGCAGCTGAAAATTGGCTGACTAGTGTATTTCTACAGCATAGAGATGCTTTTTATTAATGAGGCTGATAAAGAAGTTAATTCTTTGTGTTTAAAATAAATCATTTCCAAAAATAAATAGCAAAGAGAGCCATAGAAATAGAGGCAAGATGAGAAGCTTTGAGAATGATTTAAGAAGGAAGAAGAGAATTCACACATGTTCATGGTTAGAAGTCAAAGTGTTATCAGAGACAGTCTTGGCCAGTAAAGTTCCATAGTTATTTCAAAGCCTCTGCTAGTTTAAAAACAGTTGAAAAAGAAAAGTTAACACATACTGGATTAGAAGATGTAGAAATTTAGATATACAGCCTTTGATTTGAATTCTTGGAAGAGTTTAGTTCCACTTCCATATAGTTTCAATATTACTGGATAGAATCTGTCACTTAGTCCCCTGGAAAAGTCTAGGGGTAGCATTTATAAAAATCCCTTATCTTAAACCTTATTTTGTTTGAATTGGCTATAACAGCAATAATGAGAACTTAGAAATCATTCTCTTGAAAGATAAGCACAATTTTTCCCTTGAAAATTCAGCTAAATTTCCAGAATTATCTTAGACTAAAGCTACTTAAATAATGAGCTGTTTATAGTTATGGAAATATTTATGATCATAGACTTGAGAAAAGAAGGGAAAATTGGAGAAGATGAGGGATTAAAGTGGTGATGTCAATGAAATTAAATAAATTTATGAGGCATCCATTCTTTGAGGCTTGGCTTACCTTTCTGCAAATATCAAGAATGTTCTCAATAATGGCAGAATCCTTTTATGAACTGTATATCTACTAATTAAGGGTCTTCCAATACTATATTATAACCCTTGTCTGGGAAAATTAAACTTACAATCAAATAAAACGTATAATTGGGTGCACATCAGCTGTGCAACTGCAGGCAAACGACCTAATTTCTCTGAATCAATTTCTTTACCCCCAAAAATGAAACAGTAATGCCCACATCTGAGGATTAGTGTAGGTATTATGTCATTTTGTCTAGACTCTTTAAGCTAGAGGAGTAAGCTGTATGCCAACAGTAAGCTGATAAAGCAAACAAGGTCGGGCACAGTGGCTCACGCCTATAATCCCAGCACTTTGGGAAGCTGAGGTGTGCAGATCACTTGAGGCCAGAAGCTCAAGACCAGCCTGGCCAACAGAGCAAAACCCCGTTTCTCCTAAAAAAAGAAAAAATTAGCCAGGCATGGTGGTGCTCACCTGTGGTCCCAGGACTCAGGAAGTGGAGGTTGCAGTGAGCCAAGATCACACCACTGTACTCCAGCCTGGGTGACCAAGCCAGACTTTGTCTCAAAAAAACAAAACAAAGCAAAATCAACAAGTAAACATGACATATTACTCAATGGCAAATAATTTATACCACATTTACCATGTCAGTGATTTCATCAGGCCATACATAGCTCCTTCCCAAAATTATAGGGATGTGGAACAATAATTATTATGATTTATTAAGATAATTTTAGATTAAAAATGAAAAGTATTGTTTTATATGTACCTGGTACACAGTAGACCTTCAATATCTTTTTTAAATTATAAGAAAATCTCAGATATCAGAAAGTAGATGTTGAGTACATAATAAGTGCATATAATAAGTATACTTACTATGCATGGATTATTTCATTGAACTTCATAACAACCCAGGAAGTAGGTACAATTATCATTGCTACTTGTAGGTGAAGAAACTGAGAAAACAAATGTAAAATAATGAGTCTAAGTCCTGGAGGCTGATGAACAGGGAAGACAAGATTCAAACTCAGGTCATTTGGCTCCTAAATTTTTGCACTTTACTACAAGGCAGTAGTAAAATAAAAGGTGAAATCGGTAGTCTACAAAACCCCTGGAAATCAGGGATTCATGGAAAGGCCGGGAACACCTGCGAGAACAAAGTAACGCTAGGAAACAGTACATCTTATAACCCAGA
The DNA here is from genome assembly GCF_000001405.40 of Homo sapiens. Taxonomy (NCBI): domain Eukaryota; kingdom Metazoa; phylum Chordata; class Mammalia; order Primates; family Hominidae; genus Homo; species Homo sapiens. The sequence goes on from NC_000012.12 coordinate 91,527,122, forward strand.
AATGGTCTGGTTCGAATGATATTGCATGCACAAGGTCACTGCTGAGCCTCTCTTTGCCTCTCTCAAGGCCACTTCTGTTAATATTATAAACTTTTTCTACATTTCTCTATTTAATTTACTGAGTCCTTGGAAGATATGTATGATTGGCCCAGCCTGAGTTACGTGTCTGAATCTTGAATTTCAGGATGCAGAAAGACAATTTTTTGTCCTTTGACATTCAGTAAACTGAATGGTAGCCTCCACTGAATCACAGAATTTGGGTTATTTCTCCAAAACAGGATGGAGCAATTGATGCTGAATAGTTAAAAAGATTCTGTCCACAAATTTTCCACCTAACATGATAAAAATATTCTTGGTAAAGCTCAATAGAGACTCATTTGTTTCCCAAAAGGAGACAATCCAAGTATTAAAGTCAGCATCACCATGTAATGTACGTTTGTCCTTTGGTTCTGTCGCATCTCCTTTGAATATTTTGCAACCTCTAGACCTACATTTTCCCATATGAAAGGCACAAGTCACGAGAGTGGCTCTTAAGCACTTGAAGTAGGGCTAGTATGAATTGAGATGAGCTTTAAGTGTTAAATATACAGTTGATTTTGAAGACTATGTTTAAATGGTAATATTTAAAATATAATTAATTTTAATTGTTTCCTTCTGAAGGTTCAAGTCTAAACCTTTTTAAATGAATTGACAATAAACAAATTAACAGTATAGAAATTTACTGCATAAAGGAAAACAGTATAGTATTTATTAATGAGCATAAATGTGGGAGCCATATGCACAATATGAGACTCCAAGAAGGCTGGATGGTTAAAGCTCGAACACCCTCTTCAGAACCGAGAGAAAACTGGGGGGCTATAGGCAATTTTAGAACATTAGTAAAGCATTTTAGGAGAGATGAAAGGCCCCATGAGACAGAAATTAGCTTGTAAATAATTCTTTTTGTAAAGTGAATAGGACATGAAAGCAAACAATAGTTTGGGCTCTAGATGTGCTGTTAAATTTTCAGTCTTGTTCTCTGTGGTATGAAATTTAATCTTCTCTGGTTAATGAAATTTTAGGGATGGGATCAAAGGCATTTGTGTTCCTCTTTGTGAGGTGGGGAAGGTCAGAGAGATCTTGAGGCTGCATGTTTAGATCAGTATGTCAAAACACCATATTTGGAGGTATAATTTTGATCCCCTATAGTCTGAAGCTTTTTTTTTGTTAACAGTTTTAGGGAGGTATAATTTACACAATGAACTCATTTGAAATGTACGGTTTGATAGTTTAATATATATGCAACCCATTAAACCAGCACCACAGTCAAGATACTGAACATAAACTTTTCCACCCAATAATTTTCTCATACTTCTCTGTAATCCCTTTTTCTCACTCTTCTGTGAACCCTCATTCTCAGGCAACTACTTAGCCACTTTCTAGCATAATAGGTGAGTATGCATTTTCTAGAATTTTATATAAATACAGATATAGAGTAGGCCATCTTTTAACCTGGCTTCTTTCACTCATGATCTATTCATATTGTTGTATGTACCTGATATGATTTGGCTGTGTCCCCACCCAAATCTCATCTCATATTGTAATACCCATAATTCCCACATGTCCAGGGAGAGACTTAGTAGGAGGTAATTGGATCATGGGGCCAGTTTCCCCCATGCTGTTCTCATGACAGTGAGTGAGTTCTCATGAGATTTCATGGTTTTATAAGTGGCAGTTTCCCCTGGGCTTTTTTCTGTCTTTCCTGCGGTCTTGTGGAGAAGGTACTTGCTTTTCCTTTGCCTTCCACTATGACTGTAAGTTTCCTGAGACCTCCATAGCCATGTGGAACTGTGAGTTAATTAAACCTCTTTACTTTATAAATCACCCAGCCTCGGATAGCATCTTTATAGCAGTGCAAAAATGGATTAATACAGTACTAATAATTCATTTCTTTTTATAGCTTAGTAGTATTCTGTTTTATAGATGCACTACAATTTATTTATCCACTAGTTCACTGACATTTGAGTTGTTTCCAGTCTTTGGTTTTTACAAATAAAGCTGCAAAGAACATTGGTGTAAAAGTCTTTGTATGGAAGTATGCTTTCATTTCTCGAGAAATACCTTGAGATAAAGGTAAAATCACATGGCAGGCATATGCTTAATTTTTAAAGAAGCTGCCAAACAGTTTTCTAAGGTGATTGCACCATTTTGTATTCCTTCCAGCAATACATGACAGTTTCACATGTTCCACATACACAGTTGAAATGACAGGACTTTTTAATTTTAGACATTTAATAGGTATATATTAGTATTTCAAGGTGGTTTTAATTTGCATTCTCCTAGGGAGTAATGATGCTAAGCATCTTTTCATGTGTTTGTCATCAGTATATCTGTTTTAGTGAAGTGTGTGTTAAATACTTGACTGTTTTTAATTGGATTATTTGGTTTCTTATTAAGTTTTGAGAGTGATTTATCTATTCTGGATAAGCCTTGTCTTAGATATATAACTAGCAATTTTTTTTTCCATGTCTTTGGCTTGACTTATTTTGTTCAGTCTTTTAACAGTTTTTGAAAAGAAAAAGTTGTTAATTTTGATGAAGGCTATTTTTTTCTTTTCTGGATAGTGCTTTTGGTGTTATATTTAAGAACCTTTGCTTAAGCCAATGTCACAATAATTTTCTCCTATACTTCTGGAAGTTTTATTCTTTTGGGTTTTACATTGAGATCTCTGATCCATTTGAGTCCATTTTTGTATACGGTATAAGGTATGCATCAAAGTTTATTTTCTGCACATTGTTACAGGTTAAAATGTATTCCCTGTAAAGATGTTGAAATCTTAACCCTCATTATCTGTGGTGCCTGTGAATATGACCTTATCTGAATACAGGGTATTTGCAGATGGTCAAGTAAAGACAAGATTCATAGAGTGACTAATAGGTTATTAATGTGACTGCCAGCCTTATAAAAACAGGAAATTTAAACACAGAGACACACACACACAGAGGACCATGTGGACATAAAGGCAAAGTTTGAGGTGATGCCAAGTTATGCCAAAGATTGCCAACAAACTACCAAAAGATAGGAGAGAGACATGGAACAGATTCTTTCTTACAGCCTTTAGAAGGAACCAAGCCTGGTGGCATCCAGAACTTTCAGACAAGAAATTTCTGTTTAACAAGCCATCCAATATGTAGTACTTTGTTATGGCTACCCTAACAAACTAATATACTCATGCATATCTTGTTCTAGAATTATTTGTTAAACAGAAAATTTTTCCTCCACTTAATTGCTTTGCATTTTGTCTAAAGACAATTGATTGTACAGTTGTGGGTCTTTTACTGGATTATCTTCTGTTCTATCAATGATTTGTCTATCAATAGCAATACCACAGTACATTGATAGTGTAGAATATATATCTTGAAGTCAGTATAGGACCTCAATTTTGTTCTTTTTTAAAGTCGTTTAGCTATTACAGATATTTTGCATTTCTATAATATTTTTAGAATCAGCTTTCCAAATTTTACCCAAAAGGCCTGATGGAATTGTATCAAGATTGCTTTGAATGCATAGGTCAATTTGTGAATTGACATATTTTCAATACTGAGTCTTCTGGTCTATGAACATGGTATAATTTTCCATTTATTTAGGTCTTTAATTTACTTCAAAAAGTTTTGCCATTTTCATTGTACAATCTTTGCATTTCTTTTGCCCATGCATTTCTGGGTGCTTCATATTTTGGATTGTATTATACAAAAATAATATTTTAATAAAATAATTTTCTGATTGCTCACTGCTAATGAATTTTTTGTATGTTGATTTTGTATGCTAAAACCTTGCTAAACTCACCTATTAGTTCTACTAGACTTTTATTGATTTTATAGGATTTTCTACTCACATGATTATATATCTTCACATATAGTTTTACTTACTCTCTTCAAATCTGGATGCCTTTTATTTCTTTTTCTTGCCTTAAGGTACTGAGTAGAATCTCCAGGAAAGTATTGAGTGGAATGGGTGAGAGCAGTCATCCTCTTTTTCCTGATCTAGAGGGAGAGCATTTAGTCTTTGTATGTTAAGTATCATGTTAGCTACAGATTTATTTTAGGTGTCCTTTATCCAGTTGAGGAAATCTCATTCTATTTCCAGTGTGCTAAAAATTTGTATTAAGATTGTATGCTAAAGTTTTTTTTTAAAGTCAGAAATTTTGCATTTATTTTGCAACTATTAAAATGACTGTGTTTTATATGTATATACATATATTCCTTATATAATATCTAAGTGTGTGTATATGGGTGTGTATATATATATATATATATATATACAGACACACATATACACACACATATGTACCCATACACACACATATAATACACCCATAATACAATAGACCCATTTGCAATATAATACACCCATATATATAAGGGTGTGTGTGTGTGTATATATATATGCATGTGTATATGTGTGTGCAGTGTATATACATAAATATGCACACACTCATACACACCCACCCATATATATGTGTATTATATAATATACATACACCCATATATATGGGTGTATTATATTACATACACACACACACTCATATATATGTGTGTATATATGTGTGTGTGTATATGTAATATAACACATCCATATATATGGATGTATATAATTACATATACACATACACACATATTATTAAGGAATTAAATTGATTTAATATTGAGTGGTAACCCAACCATTCCTGAGATAAACTCTAATTTGTGATGATGTATTATCCTTTTTATACGTTGTTGGAGTCTTTTGCTATCATTTTCTTAAAACTTTTCTAGGTATACTTTTGGGTACTATTTGTCTGTAGTTTTCATTTTTTGTAACATTTTTGTTTGGTTTTGGTTTAAGAGTTAAACTAGCCTAATAATTAATTGGTAATTATTCCCTTTTTGTCAATTTTCTAGAATAACTTAGACAGAATTTGCATCATTTATTTCTTCTTTGAATATTTGATACCATTCACCAGTAAAACAATCTGGGCATTTAGTTTTCTTGTAAAAATATTTTTAAAACTAAGTTCAATATCGTTAATAAATATATAACTCTACAAGTTATGTATTTCTTGAGTGAACTTTTTAAATTTATGTCTTTCAAGGAATTTTTTCATTTCATCTACATTGGCAAATTTATTGGCACAGTTTTTTTATCATTATAAATTTAATACCTGTAGAATCTATAGTAGTGCCACCCCCTTCATTCCTGATATTGATAATTTATTTTTTTCCTTATCAGTCTGGGTAGAGGTTTATCAATTCTATTGATATTGTCAAATAATCAACTTTTCATTTTAATAATTTTTGTATTATTTTTATTTTTTTAGTTCATTCATGTCTGCTTTGATCTTTGTTGTTTCCTTTATTCTGATTTGTCCAGATTTTATTTTTTCTTTATTTGTTCTTAGTTTTTAAAATTTTCCTTATGCAGTCATGAATTTTTAACTTTTTTTCTTTTGTAATATAGGTGTTTAGTGCCATAAATCACCCACTAAATATTGCTTTACCTATATCCTACAAATGTTGATGTGTGCATTTTTATTTAGTTCAAAATTTATTCTAGTTTACCTTTCAGTTGCTTATTTGGCCTACAAATATTGTGATATTTAATTTCTAAATCTTTGAGGCATTTTCTCTAATATCTTTCCCTGATTTCTTTATTAATTTCATCATGGTGAGACAATATATGTTCTATAACTTAAAATATTTCTATCATTGTGAGAATAGTTTTATGGCCTAGAATATTATTTATTGAAGTTTTACTTATTCCTTAGATCTTTGTTCAATTTCAGTAAATGTTTTACATGCATAAACTTTGTTCAATTTCAGTAACGTTTTACATATACAAATTTTTCATGTGTTGCTATAGTCTCAATAATTATATGTCCCTAAAATTTACATGTTGAAACCTAATCACCAATGTGGTGGTATTAGAAGGTGGGGCCTTTGGGAGGTGATTAGGTCATGAGGGTATGATCCTCATGAATGAAATTGGTGCCCTTATAAAAGAGGCTCAAGGGTACTGCAGGCACCTTCCACCCTATGAGGACACAGGTGTGAACTATGAACCAGAAAGTGGAGTATATGTCTAATACTAATATCTTCACTCCAGCTTTCTTTTGGGTAGTACTAGCATGGCATTTTTTTAGATTATTTTGCTTTGCATCTATTATGTCTTTATATTTAAAGTAGGTGTTTTATAAGCTGCATATTAAACCCTCCATCAATTAATGATGGAGATACATTCTGAGAAATACATACTTAGGTAATTTTGTCATTCCACAAACATCATAGAGTGTACTTACACAAACCTAGATGGTATAGTCTATAACACAGCTAGGTTACATGATATAGCCTATTACTCAAATCATCATCATATATTTTGCCTGTTTTTAACCAAAATGTTATGCAGCACGTGGCTGAAATTGGGTCTTGCAATTTTATACAACTTTATAGTCTCTGCCTCTTAATTGTGATATTTATATCATTTATATGTAATGTAATTTTTGATTTAGAAAATTTAAAACTTACTCCATTTTTTATTGAAGTTTTACTTATTCCTTTAGATCTTTGTTCATATTTTGTTTTCTTTTTTTGCCTTCTTTTATATTAAGTACTCTTTATGATTGTGGTTTTTCTTTTCTATTGGTTATTAGCTACAATTTCTGATTAGTGTTATTTTACTTTTTCCTTTATGGTTTAGGGCAAACAACATTAGCCTACCTCAGTCTACCTTCAAGTGATATTACACAACTTTCTTTTTTGTTGTTTGTTTTTGTATTTAGATGGAGTCTTGTTTTGTTCCCTAGGCTGGAGTGCAATGGTGTGATCTTGGCTCACTGCAACCTCTGCCTCCTGGGTTCAAGTGATTCTCCCACCTCAGCCTCCCTAGTAGCTGGGAATACAGGCATGCACCACCATGCCTGGCTATTTTTTTTTCTTTTTTGTATTTTTAGTAGAGTCTTGGTTTCACCATGTTGGCCAGGCTGGTCTTAAACTCTTGACCTCAAGTGATCCACCAAACTTGGCCTCCCAAAGTGCTGGGATTACAGGTGTAAGCCCCCACTCTGGGCCCATATTACAAAACTTCTTATATAGTATAAGAACTTACTAACATTGGACTCCTAGTGTATTGACTAGGAGTCCTAGTGTACTTCTTCCCATTCCTTGTCTCTCTGTGCTATTGTTGCCATACATTTTATAACCCCCTTGAATAATATGTTCTTGTTTTGTGCTTTAAAGAGTAAATTCTCTTTTAAAGAAACAAATAATAATAATACATTTCTTCATATTTATTCAAGTAGTTACAATTTCTGTATTATTCATCTGTTTGTGTAGATCCAGATCTCCATCTGGTAGTATTTTTCTCTTTTTTTCTGTTTCTTTTTTTTTTTTAAGACAGGGTTTCACCATGTTGGCCAGGATGGTCTCGATCTCCTGACCTCGTGATCTGCCCACTTGGCCTCCCAAAGTGCTGGGATTACAGATGTTAGCCACCGTGCCCAGCCAGTATTTTTCTTCTGCTTGGAAACCTTCCTTTCGATATTTTCTTATAGTTCAGGTCTCCTAGTGTTAAATTATTTCAGCCTTTGCATGTCTAAAACTGTCTTTGTTTTACTTTTTTGTCTGTAAGTTGTTTTTTTCTGAGTTAAAAATTCTAGTTTGACAGTTTTAACCTTTCAGTACATTAAAGATATTGCTCCACTGCCTTCTGGCTTACATTATTTCCAAAAACAAAACAAAACAAAACGAAACAAAAAAACCTCTGTTATCATTACCTTTGTCCTCTTCATAATGTCTTTTTTTCCCTGTCTTCCAAGATTTCCTCTTTATTATTGTTATAAGCAATTTGATTATTGCATGCTTTCATGTTTTCTTCATGTTTCTTGTGCTTCTAGTAACTATACCTTTATAGCTTTCATCAGCTTTGGGAAATCCTTAGCCATTATCTTTTCACACATTTTTTTCTCAACCCTCCCTCTTGATTCAAAACTCCAATTGGATTCAGTACTCCTAGTGTATTGACTATTGTTTACAATAATCTCTTGTATATTTCAAAATAGCTCGAAGAGAATAATTTCAATATTTCTAGCATAAAGACAAATATTTAAGTTCATGGATATATATCCCAATTACATTGATTTGATGTTTTACAAAGTATATGAATATATTAAATTATCACATGTTCCCTGAAAAGATGTACACCTGTTATGTACAAATTAAAAAAAAAAAAGCTTAAAAGAATTTTTTTTAAAAAAGCTTAAATCTTCTTGGGCTTTGTACTGGATGCAGTTGTTACTTGCAAATTATTTAATCCTTTCAAGTCTTTATATTTTAAGCTTCATTAAATGGACCATATTACTGTTTATTCTTGGGTTAATTTCCCCCACTACTGAGCCAAGACCTTTGTTAGTGCTCTAATTGATGCCTCATGAATTGTGGTTTTCTACTTTGGGTGTTAGGAACAGACACTATTGTCAACCTTTTGGAACTTAGGACACTCTTCTTTCTAATTCCTTTGGATAGTTATTTTTTTTCTGTATTAGCTAGCTTTTTCACATGAGTGTGCAAATCAGTACTTAATTGAAACCTTCATGGGTACCTTCTTCAGGTCCTTAGAGTTCTTTTTCTGTGCATCTCTCTTTTCTCTAGCACTCTGCCCTGAGGGCTCTAGACAACTTTGCTTCCTCAGACTTCCAGCTCCATCTCAACTCAGGGAAAGCATCAGATTCAGCCTGGATTCCCTTTCTCTACACTGTGGCCCAGAATATTTCTCCATCTAGTAATCTGGATCAATAATAATGAATTCTTTATTTCTTTTCTTCTATAAAACATCACTACTCTTTATAGAATGATGTCCAATGTCTTGAGCATCATTGTTCTATGTATGCTCTTACTATTATTATTTTTTAGTTATTTCCATTACTGTATCTGAAACAGATGCATCCTGAACTGGAATTCTTAACTACTTCACCATACAACTTTTTTCTTCATTTACTATTTGCTAGTTTAGTAAGATAACACTCCCCTCTTTAAAGCACCCACTACTTTGATAGAAGACAGATAAATAATTTTTTCTCAGTTGGCATTGTAACAAGTCTAACTAGACTATTCCACATTTCTATAAAACCACAGATAAGTGATAAGCCCCATGAGTCTCATGGACATCAGACTACTTTGTTTTGCGGTAAATGAAGTTCCTTGGTTGAAATGGACAAGGACTGCCATATGCAGATTTATTAAATGGAAGTACCGGTGGGAAACAAGATCAACAAGGAAAGTAACTATAAATTTGAAATAAATGTCTATTTTAATGAAAAAACAATAAGTAGTTTTTCCCAAGCTTAATGGTGTTTCAGAAAATATGTTTTACACTAAGAATACTCTCTTTAATGAGACCACAATAGTGGCTTTGTATTGACGTAAATGGAGCATTACCTGTGGCATGCCACATTTGGCCTTGTTGAAGGGATATCTCTCTGCCAACATAGCCATATTGTTCTTGAGTTCTTTGAGCATATCATATGACAGTTGCAGAGGAAAGTGGCTGATAATTGCAAAACAACTAAATTATCAATATAGTTATTTAAATCCTCCTCTACAAGATCAACTTTTTGTTGCATATTTATGTGGTAATCTAATACTCTTATACTAGAAGCACATTTTGAATGGCCTAGACATGTGCAACCTTCTCTCATTATGACCTTCGAGCTATAACATAACACCACAGAATTTTAATTCCAAATGTGATCACTATATCATGAAGAATCACCTATAACTTAGGTTTCATTTTTTTTTCTCCTTAGCCAACTTCTCAAAAAAAAAAAACCAAACAAAAAAACTTACCGCAAAGCCACAAGTATGGGTTAAAGAAGAGCCATCATTATGCCTAGCATAGGCACACAATGTGTGTGGTGTGTGAACCACCCACTCATTCAACTCAAAGGTGTCTTCAGGAGCTCTTGATTTAGTTTTCATAAACTAGATTATTTATATTTGATGGTAGATTGCTGCTGGGCATGTGCCAAAGTAATTAACAACACATATTTTATTATTAAAACTTGGATTGCATAATCATTTGGTGAACCTATGATCAAATACCCATCAATGCCTCTTAAATAGTTGACCATATAATTTATTAACAAAATTAGGATGCAAGGGTAAAGCAGGACTGTGCCAGAAAGCAGAATGTATAACCACTTTATAATACTTTACAACTCTAAGCAAGCCAAGGTTAATTTTTTTTTTTGAGATGGAGTTTCACTCTTGTTGCCCAGGCTGGAGTGCAATGGCACGATCTCGGCTCACTGCAACCTCCACCTCCCGGGTTCAAGTGATTCTCCTGCCTCAGCCTCCCGAGTAGCTAGGCTTACAGGCACCCCCCACCACATCTGGCTAACTTTTGTATTTTTGGTAGAGATGGGGTTTTGCCATGTTGACCAGGCTGATCTTGGAACTCCTGACCTAAAGCGATCTGCCTGCCTTGGCCTCCCCAAGTGCTGGGATTCCAGGTGTGAGCCACTGTGCCCATCCACAAGAGTTAATTCTTCTTCTTTTTTTTTTTTTTTTTTAATTATACTTTAAGTTCTGGGATACATATGCAGAACATGCAGGTTTGTTGCATAGGTATACACGTGTCATGGTGGTTTGCTGAACCCATCAACCCCTCATCTACATTAGGTTATTTCTTCTAATGCTATCCCTCCCCAGCCCCCAATCCACTGACAGGCCCTGGTGTGTGATGTTCCCCTCTCTGTATCTATGTGTTCTCATTGTTCATCTCCCACTTATGAGTGAGGCCATGTGGTGTTTGGTCTTCTGTTCTTATGTTAGTTTGCTGAGAATGATGGTTTCTAGCTTCATCCATGTCCCTGCTCCTCTATGTGCTCTTCTGTGGCCCTACTACTATTCCCTCTCTAGAGTAAACTGGGCAGCTGGAAGCCCTAAATCCTGCATGTCTCCCTGGAACAAAAGCTGGTGTTCTATGTCTTGGACCCTTATCATGGTGTTCCTCAGTCTTGAGCCTCCTGTCTGCCAGGTTCCCATTGTTCTCAACCTGAAAGGGTCTTGAGACATTCATTGTGATTGCCATCCTCTGTCTTTCCTGTCAGACTCCCTTCCCCCGCCACCAAAAGAGGCAGAGATGTATGATCATTTTTCAATTTAAATAAAATACAATTTTAACATCAAAATGAAGAATGAAGGGAATATAATTCTTCCCTTCTCATTTCTTTCTTAGAAGCTGGACAACATCCAGTTCTTTTTCCACTCCCATTCCTCTACTCAGATGAGAGGATCCAGACATTACCTGGTTTAGTAACCAGGCATGCATTTGGAAGATCTGTGTTTTTATCCCAGCTTTGCACTAAAGGAAGTCATTTAATTTCCTTGAGCTTCATTTTTTACCTCTAAAACAGGAAGTCGAGCAACTTGATGCTTACTATCTCGCTGGCCCATAAGTAGAGTCATATCCTAAGGTCAATTAATCTAAGCTAGAAACAACAATCATTTTTAAAAATCATTAATTAACACTCGTAAGAATCTCCTCTGACCAGTGGCTCCAGGTGTTTATACAGATCTCTAGTTATTGTTTGAGTCGAAGCCAATGTCTAATAATCCCCTAGATGTCTGTCTAGATCCTTTTACCTAGTATTCACTTGCTGTCACAGGTGTTTCTACATTTCCTCAGGGAAGGCCACCTCCGCAGACATATTTACAGTGTTATTTTAAGGTTCTTCATAAAGGATGTCCACTAATACTTTGAGAGTCAGCTCTCAGATATGGGGAAAGGTCATAATTTTTTAAAGTGATGGGTGAAGTCAAGTCTCTCTTCAAGTCAGGGTGGCCGTCCATTTCACATGCTAAATAGGACCTTAGCAGGATGCCTATGTATGTAGCTCCCATACATGGGATTATGTTCTGATTAATGTCATAACCATTAATCACCAACAAATCTCTCTAATTACCATGTAGGCTCTGCTGGCTATTTTAGAAAACATGACTAATTTGCCTTAGCCAGTTAAATGCTACTTCACGGTCTTAGCTACCTCACAATCCTCTTTTCTTCAACAGTACTTGGGACCCTATTCTAATTACAGGATATTTCAACTCCCATCCGCATTGTGATGCTTCCTTTATTGATGTAGGTCTCTAGGTCATGGTGAAATGAGTGACCTGGATTCCTGAACAGAACATAAGTGGTGGGAACACGATGATTCAAGCATTAAAATTATACCCCAGCCTCTATCACTCAAAGCCCTTTTATTTCATCTAATATATTATAGCAGAGAAATTTCTGTAATTTCATCATCATTTAGGGTGGACCACCATTGAATCCCAGGTTTTGTTAGCCAAAGCACACAATTCAATTAAGAATCTTTGATAAATTCATCAGCTACCAATACTTTCATCCAGATTCTTTATCAAGGACCCTAGAAATTCATTCCCGCATCCTATACTGAAATTTTAACTAATAAAAATTAACACGTATATATCTTTCCTTCCTGGATTCAAATTCATAATGTCTCTCAGGTTGTGCTTGCATTTTTCTCCAACTAAAATATAAGCCACAGAAAAACAAGATTTGTTTAGTTTATTGCTATATAAAGTTGGCATCTAAGGAATATTTAATTAATAAAATAGTGAATTAGTTTTTTGAGTTTTAGATCTGGAAATAATACAAGCTGGTTATATAAGAGAAAAACTGACTCCTTCTCCAGGTGTGACTCCTTCAGTGAAGAGTAATCGCAATGTATTCGCACTTTGTACGAGTTATATACTGAATTGTCTCTGTGATGAATCCTAGTATGATACCCAGAACATGTACAACATGTTTTTTTCTTATTACTGTAGATTAGTCAGTCATTATATTTGGTAGTTTTGATCCCAGTGGCTTTTGCTCTCTGTGAGAAATAGATTAAGTGATAATTTTCTTAATAAAATGTAGCCTTATAAGTTTCCAAGTAAATGCAATATTAGTATTCAGAGCAATAGATCTAAAAATTAGAATGACTCTTTCTCAAAAAATAGCCTTTGTATTGAGACTCTCCTTAAACAAGCTTTGACGCACACTCCAAGATGATTAGTGGAGTACATTGAACTACTCCTTCATGTTATATATTAGGAGCACACTTTTGACTCTCCGCTGCCTTGCAAGATTCTGCAATGTTTTCCAGGGCTAAGATCTGCAGAAAGTAAATTTTTGACTTCATTAGTCAATTGCTATATTTAACAGAAGTTCTTAGATGAAAGAAGCGGCAAAATGTCTATTTTTCCTCATAGCTCTTTTACTAAATTAAATTAAAACTGAGCTGTAAAAACTAATGCTTTTACTGCTTCTTTTTCTACAAAATGGAAGCATACACTGGGAGAAAATTAACTAACAAATCAGAAGTAGGTCTTATCTCCTATACTATTGCTTGCCAAGTTGCCTAGGCTTGTCCCAGCTATTTAGTGGTAAAAGGGAATTACTCTTTAATTTCACCTCATCTAAAACCAAAAAAGCACTCTGGTTTCTTGGAATACCATTCCTTCTTACATCAAATAAATATGAACACCTTTATTATAAATTAACCAATGCTTCCCCTGAAGCCTCTCTCTGGAAACTCCCCTGTTTAGAAGATAATAGATAGTATCTTCAAAAGCATCATCTTCCGTGAAATTTCTTTTCCAATCCAGGCAATCTTTCTTGTGATTTCTTCTTGACTAAATTGGTTTTAATTACATTCCTGTTTGCTTTTAGTCTCATTGTCTAAATTAAATTTAGCATTAATATGATGTGTCCAAGACAGCCATGTAGTTTTATTACTTTTCCAATCTGGATTTTTTAACAGAGGTGAATTGTAATGGCTCATATCTCTTCTTACCTTTATCTCTATCAATGAACACTTCAAACCCTTTTTGAATATACAAAATAAAATAGTATATGAAGATTCAGAGATGTTTCCACCATTAGCTAAAAATTAAAACATTTAACACTGGTATTAAAACAAAAAAAAGTACTCCTTAAAATTAACAATAACTGAGAAAAAGATAATTTTTAAAATCCAAAATAAGAAGTTCATTTGGAATATTTAGTACAGATTAGTTTAAGCTTTCTTAGGGGAAAAGAGGAGCATTAGTTTCTATTGCTATGTACCAAAGCATCACACATTGAGCAGCTTCAAACACCACCTGTTTATTAGCTCACAGCTCATTGGGTAAAAAGCATGGCATACCATTGCTGGTTCTCTTTTCAGGCTATTGTAAAGCTAAGTAATGATGTAACACGGCTAATATCTTTTCTAGAGGCTCTGAGGGAAATTCTGCCGTCAAGTTCATTCTTGTCATTAGAAGAATTCAATTCCTTCCTTTTGCAAGACTGTCTGTCTTTTCCTGCTGGTCAGCCAAAGACCACTTTCAGCAACTAGAGGATCCCACCTTCATTATTTGGCATCTGGCCCCCTTCATCTTCAGGCCAGCAACAGCACCTTGAATCCTGTGCTCTTCTGACTTTCTCCATCTCTGTCCCTCTAGAATCAGATTTGGAAGGCCAGCATGATGAGGTCAGATCCACTTGCATGATCTCCCTATTTTAAGGTCAACTGATTTGGGAACTTAATTAAATCTACTTACATATGCAAAATGCCTTTGCCATAGAATGAAAAATAATCATGACAGTAATATCTCTCAATAATCACAGATTCCACCCATACTTGAAGAGAGATTATGCAAGAGCAAGGGTCTTTATAACTCATTTCAGAATTCTGCATCCCACAGGGAACAACGCATAATTTGGACAAAAACTACTGAGAATTTCCCCTATGAGAAAAAGAAAAAACTATTTTGTTTCTTTGTTAAGGCAATACTAAATTTACCATTTACTATAAACCATTACTGAATAATATCGATATTTACATGGCTATTAAATACTAAAGTAAAATTTTAGTTTTGGTTTTTATTGTGAAAGGAGTAAAAATCGAAATCATAAAAATATTCATAGATATGTAGCCACAAGGCCCTTCAGGAATCAATTTTTTTTAATTGTTTTCTTATAAAGTGTGTGAATCATACTGGCTTCAGTCAGCCTTGCAGAGAAATAAAGACCTTGACAGCCAAGTAGCTAATGAAGGCAGTAGAATTTTCAGCATCTTGTCATTTGCTGCCATCTCTGCCACCACCTCTGTGCCCCAGGGAATTAGCTATTTGAAGAAGGGTCAAAGGGCCTCAAATGGTGTTGGAGCTTGCATGTAAAATGACACCATCTTGACTCAATGCTAAATGTGCTTGAAGAGAGTAAATAGCCAGATATAATCAGCAGTTCAAAATAATAAATTTGAAAAATAAGGCAATATAAGTGCTGTTGTGTTAATAAAGATGAAAAAGCCCATCATTCCCAGCACCATAAGATTCATTTTAAAAAATAAAACAATTTACAGACAAGTAAGAAATGCCACTACGTAAATTTCAAATTTTATTTAATAAAAATTATTCTGCCATCTATATTTTTAATTTTTTTTTAAATTTTGACAATTAGTGAGGTATTTTAGTCCTTTCAGCACATCAGGTATTTTCTACGTGAATATTTTGAATCCATCCACCTATTTCCAAATTCATTTTAGTTACTGTATTATAAGAATCTGATATCAAAATGAAAATCCTCATTTGCCTAAAATGTTGCTTCAGAAATGAAACTAAAATAAATAATATTCATTACTTATCCTCTTACATTTTGTAGGGTGTGTCTGTAGAGAGATGTTAATGCAAAGATTTTCACTTTGCAAATTGTTAAGCATTTACAAAGCATTTACAAAGCAGCAGACAAATGTTTACAAATACTTTCTTGGATTTAAAAACATTTTCTCCTTTGCATCAGAAATTGAGTTCTTTCCAACCTCTTTCCAACCTCCTTGGACTCCTAGAAAACTGCTCAATAGCTTGAGATTGCAGGTACCTCGTTCTTAGTCCAGGCATTATAATATCTACTACTGACTGAATATAGATGGTCATCAATTTACCATGGTTCAACTTACAAGTTTTTTACTTTACATTGCTGCAAAAGCAATATGCATTCAGTAGAAACTGTATTTCGAGTACCCATACAACCATTGTTTTTCACTTTCAGGGAGGGGGATGAAAGGAGTGAGTAAATACGGCACCTTCAACCAAAACATCCAGGTACTTGCGTTGGGACTAATTAAGGAAATAACTTGACCCATGGAGAATGAGAAAAACAAGGCAGGACAACAGCCCACCCCAGAGCCACAGGAAGCCAAGGGAACCTCACCAGTCCAAGGAAGCAGTAATTGAATGTGCAACCTGGGAACCTACGCTTCTCCCACAGATCTTTGCAACCCTTGGGTGAGGAGATCCCCTCATCAACACACTTTACCAGGGCCTTCAGTCTGACACACAGAGCTAGGTGGAGGCTTGGCAGAGCAGCCGCTCAGGCACACACAGAGAACTGGGAGCTTTAGATACTCAAGCTTTCCAGGCTTCCTAGCAAAAGTAGCTGCAACTCCAGCAAAGCAGGAGGTTAGACCCCCATACATATCCCTTGGAAAGAGGCTGAATCCAGGGGGCTGAGCAGTGACAGTCTGCAGGCCCCACTTCCACAGTACCTCACAGGATAAGACCCACTGGCTTGGAATTCCAGCCAACCACTGGCGGCAGTGTTGCGCATCCCTGGGACAGGGAGGCTGCCATCACTGTTGTATGGGCAATTTAGCCATTAAGGCCTTCTGGCTTTGGAGAATTCAGACCAACTGGGGGCAGAAAGGTTCCCCCAGCACAGCACAGCTGCTTTACCAAAACATGGCCAGACTCCTTCTTTAAGTGGGTCCCCGATTCCATTGCTCCTCACTGGGTGGAACTTCCCAACTGGGTCCTCGAGCCACCCTTGCCCCTGTTCTCTGGCTGACAGCGATTTGAAAATTATCTGGGACAGAGTTACCAGAGGGAAGGGTGGGCCACCATCTTTGCTGTTTGCGGGACTTAGCGATTCCAGCTTTCAGGTTTTGGAGAGCCTAAACTGACCAGGGGCAGAAGCAGAACCCCAACACATCAGATCTGCCCTATGAGAGCATGGCCAAACTGCTCTTTTAAGTGGGTCCCCAATCCCATTTCTTATCACCAGGTGGAGCCTCCCAACTGGGGCCTCCAGCTTCCCCCACTGGTATTCTCCAGCTGACAGAGGTCTCAGTTCTCCCCAGGATGGAGTTCCCAAGGGAAAGGGTAGACCACCATCTTTGCTTTTTGGGAGACTTAGTTATTTCAGCTTTTGGGCTTCAGAGTGTCTGAGGCCACCAGGGGCAGAAGCAGACACCCAGCACAGCACAGCTGTTCTACAAAAATGTGGCCAGACTACTTTATAAAGTGGATTCCCAGTCCCATTCCTCATCACCGGGTAGAGCTTCCTAACTGGGGTCTTCAGCCACCTTCTACAGATGTCTGGGCCAGCAATAGGCCCATATCTCCCTGGGATGGAGCTCCCAGAGAGAGGGGAAGGCTGCCACCTTTGGTGTTTTGCAGCTTTCGCTGGTGATACTTCGAGTTACTGGAAAATTCAAGGTGACTAGGGACTGGAGTGGACCCCCAGCATACCACAGCAGCCCTATGGCAAAGTGGCCAGACTGTTACGTGGGTGCTTGTTCTCACATCTCCTCTCCAGGCAGGTCTTCCAGGTTTAGGCCTTTAGCCAGCCCCCACCAGAGTTATGAAGCCAGTAGCAACTTGCCACCCCCTGGACAGAGCCTGCAGGGGCAACTGAAAGCTTTTCTGCCACTGCCTCTGCAGTGGAACTGTCCTTGCTACCCTTGGACTAACAAAGGAACAAAGACCTTAAGTGTCTTATCCATATCTTCAACAAGCTGCAGTCGACCCAAGGAGAGGAGGCCAGTTTATCTCCTATGGGTCCCACACACTGTCCACTGCTTGTCACCAGAAAGGAAACTCCTGGCTTTGGCCCACAGCACAGACACTTCGTCCTGGGCTAATTGCACTGAGCAATTGTTAACCCACATCTCTCTGGGGAGAAGACCCCAGGAGACAAGCAAAGTGGTGGAGCAGTAAGCCAGCTGATGTGGAGCCCAGAAAGTTCGGTGCAGGAGCATCTATCGTGGAACATGGCCAGGGACGGCCATCCCTCTAGGCTTGACTTGCTTCCATAAGAGACCTTAGCCCTAAGAGAACTGTTGGATCTGATCTTTGCCAGGTGGTCTTGCACATCAGACAGGTCTGATCTGACTTGAGTACTCCTTGGTCTGCTCTCTCTCTCCATGGGCCCAAGTCTGGCCATGCCTACTTACAGGGCCCTGGTGAGCCAACACCATAGCTTCTGCAGTGTACTGTGCCTAACCAGTGGAGAAGCTCCAGTGATGTGGCCCTTATGGCCATGCACCAGCCTGCAAGTCCCATGCAGCTTCCCTCGAGCCCATGGAAACTCCCCACATCACTTTGCTAGCATGTGTCTGCAAGGTCAGGTTTTGCTTTATTTGCCCTGCCAGCATGCAGGAATGCACTACATCCCCCAGAACCCTGCTGACCACCTTTGCAGATGGAGCCTTGGCCAGCACAGAGCTAACAAGCCCCCATCCCTACCAGAATGCTTCTCTTGCACTAATGCCATGCAGAGAACAGATGATTCTCCTACACCCTGAGCCATCACTGCTGCTTTCAAGGTGCAGAGAAGGCACCCAGACCTGCACCGGCCAGCAACCATCCCCCAAACCATCACCACCTCCAGTGCAACAATGCAGTCTCTAGCAGGGGCCCCCTACTTTCCCCCCAACTGCCTTGTCTTTGCCGCTATGGTAAAAGCCCACAGAGAGGAAGGCATCCCTGGATCCACTAGTACTCTGCTGCAGCTGCCACATATTGGTCTTCCCAGCACAGTAGACTCCAAACCTTGAGGAGTCAGAGAACAAAATCGCAGCCCAATACAAGTCCCCCAGAGTCAGAGCATGCAGTCCATGAGTGGGGAGCTGAACATTGGTGCCCTAAAATCACCCAGAAACAAAGCCAGTTGGTTGAATCCACGTTATACCATAATCAAATCCTCAAGGTCATCACAAAGGATTAAAAAAAAAATCCCTACTTAAAAGTCAACAACCTCAAAGAATGAAGGTAGATAAGCCCAGAAAGATGAGAAAAAGAATCAGTGCAAGAATGCTAAAAACTCAAAAAGCCAGAATATCTTCTTTCCTCCAAATGACCGCGTAACCTCTCCAACAAGGGTTGGAAACCAGGCTGAGATGGCTGAAATGACAGAAATGGAATTCAGAATATGGATAAAAATGAAGTTCACTGAGCTACAGGAGGAGTGCATTGTAACTCAATGCAAGGAAGCTAAAAATCATGATAAAACATTGCAGGAGTGACAGACCAAGTAGCCAAGTATAGAGAAGAATAAAGAAGAAAAGGAATGAACAAAACCTCCAGGAAATATGGCATTATGTAAAGGGACTGAATCAATGACTCACTGGTGTACTGGAAAGGCATGGGGAGAATATAACCACCTTGGAAAACATATTTCAGAATATTATGCATGAGAACTTCCCCAACATAGCTAGAGGCCAACATTGAATTTTGGGAAATGCAGAGAACCTTAGTAAAATATTCCATTAGAAGATCATCCCCAAGACACATAATTGTCAGGTTCCCCAACGTCAAAAATGAAAGAAAAAATATTAAAGGCAGCTAGAGAGAAAGGCCAGGTCACCTACAAAGGGAAGCCCATCAGACTAACAGCAGACTTCTGTAAGTTTCAGCAGAAACCCTATAAGTCAGAAGAGATTGGGGGCCAATATTCAACATTCTTAAAGAAAGGAAATTCCAACCCAGAATTTTATATCCAGCCAAACTAAGAAATAAGATCCTTTTCCAGACAAGCAAATGCTGAGGTAATTTGTTACTACCAAACCTTTCTTACAAGAGCTCCTGAAGGAAGCACTAAATATGGAAAGTTTTTCCATATTTAGTATGAAAAGTTCATTACCAGCCACTACAAAAACATAATGAAGTACATGGACCAATGACACAATAAAGCAACCACATAAGCAAGTCTTCAAAATAACCAGTTAGCATCATGAATGCAGGATAAAATCCACACATATCAATATGAATCTTAAATGAGCAAAGGCCCCAATTAAAATACAGAGTGGCAAGATGGATAAAAAACCAAGATCCATTAGTATACTGTCTTCAAGAGACTTATCTCACATGCAGTGGCACATATACACTCAAAATAAAGGATGGAGAAAAATCTAAGCAAATGGAAAACAGAAAAAAGTAGGGGTTGCAATCCTAGTTTCTGACAAAATAGACTTTAAACCACCAATAATCAAAAAAGAAAAGAAGGGCATTACACAATGGTAAAAGGTTCAAATCAACAAAAAAACTAACTATTTTAAATATATGTACACCCAACACAGGAGCAACCAGATTCATAAAGTTCTTAGAGATTTTCAAAGAGACTTAGTCTCCCACACAATAATAGTGAAAAACTTTAACATCCCACTGACGATATTAGACATATTATCAAGACAGAAAATTAACAAAGATATTCAGGACCTGAACTCATCTCTGGACCACATGGACCTGATATGTATCTAAAGAACTCTTGACCTAAAAACAAAAGAATATCTATTCTTCTCATTGCCACATTGCATGCACTCTAAACTCGATCACAAAATCAGAGGTAAGACATTCTTCAGCAAATGCAAAAGAACTGAAATAGTAACAAACAACCTCTTAAACCACAACACAATCAGACTAGAAATCAAGACTAAGGGATTCACTTAAAATCATACAATTATATGGAGCTTGAATATTCTGCTCCTGAACGACTTTTGGGTGAATCATAAAATTAAGGCAGAAATTAAGCAGTTCTTTGAAACTAATGAAAACAAGGATACAACACACCAGAATCTCTGGAACACAGCTAAGGCAGTGTTAAGAGGGAAATATATAGCACTAAATGCCCACATCAAAAAGCTAGAAAGATCTCAAGTTAACAAACTAACATAACAACTAAAAAAACCTAAAGAACCAAGAGTAAACAAATCCTAAAGCTAGCAGGAGACAAGAAATAACAAAAATCAGAGTTGAACTGAAGGAGATTGAGGCACAAAAAATCATTCAAAAGATCAATGAATTCAGGAGGCATTTTTTTGAAAAAATTAATAGATACGTTTCTGGCTAGACTAATGAAGAAAAGAGAGAAGATTCAAGTTAACACAATCAGAAACAACAAGGGAGTAGTACTACCACTGACCCCACAGAACTGCAAAGAACCATCAGAGAACATTATGAATACCTCTATGCACATAAACTAGAAAATCTAGAGAAAATGAATTCACTACTGGACACATACGCTCTCCCAAGACTGAACCAGAAAAAAAAAATTGAATCCCTGAGGAGAACAATAATCAGCTCTGAAATTGAGGCAGTAATTAATAGCCTACCAACCAAAAAAAGCCCAGGACCAGATGGATTCACAGCTGAATTCTATCAGATGTACAAAGAAGAGCTGGTACCACTCCTACTAAAACTATTCCAAAAAACTGAGAAGTAGGGACTCCTCCCTAATTTATTCTATGAGGCCAGCATCATCCAGGTACCAAAATCTTGCAGAGCTACAACAAAAAAAGAAAACTTCAGGCCAATATCCTTGATGAACATTGATGCAAAAATCCTCTACAAAATACTGGCAAACTGAATGGAGCAGCACATCAAAAAGCTTATCCACAATGACAAAGTAGGCTTTATCCCTGGGAGGCAAGATTGGATCAACATATGCAAATCAATAAATGTGATTCATCACATAAACAAAAAAGATGAAAGCCACACAATTATCTCAATAGATGCAGAAAAGGCTTTCAATAAAATTCAACATCCATTCACATTAAAAACTCAACAAACTAGGTATTTAAGGAACATATCTCAAAATAATGAGAGCCATATA
The DNA here is from genome assembly GCF_000001405.40 of Homo sapiens. NCBI lineage: Eukaryota > Metazoa > Chordata > Mammalia > Primates > Hominidae > Homo > Homo sapiens. The sequence goes on from NC_000012.12 coordinate 91,549,070, forward strand.
TGACAAACCCAGAGCCAATATCATACTGAATGGGCAAAAGCTAGAAGCATTCCCCTTGAAAACCAGCACAAGACAAGGTTGCCCTCTCTCACCACTCCTATTCAAAATAGTATTGGAAGTCTGGCTAGGGCAACCAGGCAAGAGAAAGAAACAAAGGGCATCCAAATAGGAAGAGAGGGAGTCAAACTCATCCTGTTTGCATACTACATGACCCTATATTTAGAAAATCCCATAGTGTCAGCCCAAAAGCTTCTTAAGCTGATGAACAATTTCATCAAAGTCTCAGGATACAAAATCAATGTCAAAAAATCACTAGCATTGCTATACACCAATAACAGTCAATCTGAGAGCCAAATCATGAATGAGCTTCCATTCATAATTTGCCACAAAAAGACCAAAATACCTAGGAATCCAGCTAACTAGGGAGATGAAAGATCTCTACAAGGAGAACTACAAAATACTGCTCAAAGAAATCAGAGATGACACAAACAAATGAGAAAGCATTCCATGCTCATGGATAGGAGAATCGATATCATTAAAATGGCCATACTGCCCAAAGGAATTTATAGATTCAAAGCTATTCATATTATACTACCATTGACATTACTCAAAGAACTAGAAATAACTATTTTAAAATTCACATGAAATCAACAAAAGAGCCTGAACAGCTAGTACAATCATAAGCAAAAAGAACAAAGCTGGGGGCATCATGCTACCTAACTTCAAATTATATTACAAGGCTACAGTAACAAAAACAGCATGATACAGGTACCAAAACAGATACATAGACCAATGGAATAAAATAGAGAACCCAGAAATAAAACTGCACACCTACACCTAACTGATCTTTGACAAACCTGACAAAAACAAGCTATGGGCAAAGAATTCCCTACTCAATAAATGGTACTGGGATAACTGGCTAGCCATATGCAGGAGACTAAAACTGGACCCCTTCCTTACATCACATACAAAAATTAACTCAAGCAGAGTAAAGATTCAAATGTAAAACCCAAACCTATAAAAACCCTGGAGAACAATCTAGACAGTACTATTCAGAACACAGCCACAGGGCAAATATTTCGCTATTAAGACACCAAATACAATTGCAAGAAAAGCAAAAATTGGCAAATTTTTACAAATCTAAAATCTAACATATCTAAATCTAATTAAACTAAAGAGCTTCCACACAGTGAAACAAACTATCAACAGAGTAAACAGACGGCCTACAGAATAGGAGAAAATACTTGCAAACTAGGCATCCTACAAAGGTCTACTATCTAGCATTTATAAGAAACCTAAACAAATTTATAAGAAAAAACAACCCCATAAAAATGTGGGCAAAGGACATGATCAGACACTTCCCAAAAGAAGACGGCCAACAATCATATGAAAAAAAGCTCATCATTGATCATTAGAAAAATGAAAATCAAAACCATAGTGAGATACCATCTCACACCAGTCAGAATGGCTATTATTAAAAAGTAAGAAAATAACAGATGCTGGTGAGGTTGTGGAGAAAAAGAAATGCTTATATACTGTTGTTGGGAGTGTAAATTAATTTAACCTTTGTGGAAGACAGTGTGATGATTCCTCAAAGACCTAAAGACAAAAATACCATTCGAGCCAGCAATCTCATTACTGGGTATATACCCAAAGGTATGTCAATTGTTCTATTATAAAGTCAAATGTACATGTATGTTCACTGCAACATTATTCACGATAGTAAAGACATGGAATCAACCTAAATGTCCATCAATGATAGACTGGATAAAGAATATGTGGTGCATATACACCATGGAATACTGTGCCACCATACAAAAGAATGACATCATGTCTTTTGCAGGGACATGGATGGAGCTGGAGGCCATTATCCTTAGCAGCTAACACAGAAACAGAGTACCAAATACCACATGTTCTCACTTATAAGTGGGAGCTAAGTGATAAGAATACACGGACACACAGAGGGGAACAACACACACTAAGGGCTATCAGAGGGTGGAGGTTGGGAGGAGGGAAAGGATTAGGAAAAATAACTGATGGGTACTGCTAGGCTTAAGACCTGGGTGATGAAATAATCTGTACAACAAACCCCCATGACATAAGTTTACCTAGGTAATGACCCTGTACATGTACCCCTGAACTTAAAATAAAATATAAAAAAAAAAGTAAAGTAAATTACATGAGATATTCAGCACTTTATTTTAAAATAGTCTTTGTGCTAGATGATTTTGCCCAACTGTAGGCTAAGATAAGTGTTCTGAGCATGTTTAAAGTAGGCTGGGTGATGTTCAGTAGATTAGGGATATTAAATGCATTTTTGACTTAACGGTATTTTCAACTAGATATTAAAGGAGGATTATTGCATCACTGTTTGAAACTTATGAAGAGATACAAGGTAATAATTTATCAAAAGAACAAATATTTTTAAAGTTATCTTGTGCCTGTACAATTACATACTTTACAATAATAAACAAATAATTTGCAGTCATTTAAGAGAAAAGGTCTACCTATTGTTATTGACATGGGAAGTTTTTCAAGAATGTGTTGAGGAGTAAAAGTAAGATACAGAAAATAATGCATGGCATGATCTTATTTGCTTAAAAAATTGCAACTCCACTTATTTGCAATAGTAGAATATAAAAAACCAGCAATAATCACACTAACCACGTAACTGTAGTCAACTCTGGGTGGAATTTGGAAAGGAGAGAAAAGAAGATGAGAATTTCACTTTTTATCCTACACCATTTACTTCATTTACTATTCTACTGTTTGACTTCTTACAACTGGAAGTGTTAGCGATGGGAGTTATTTGAGTCACACGGCACCAAAATATGTTAGTGGTGGTGAATCCATACAAGTCTGCAACAACCTCAATTTGTGTCTCCTTAGAAGAAATAATTTGACTGAGGGGCGTAAGGCAGAAGGAGAGACCAAGGGAAGGATTAGAGAAGTGAAACTTTATTAAAAAAACTTTAGAGCAGGAACAAAAGGAAGCAAAGCACACTTGGAAGAGGGCCAAGTGGTCGACTTGAAAGACAAGTGCGCGGTTTGACTTTTTGACTTGGGGTTTTATATGTTGGCGTACTTCTGGGATCTTGTGTTCCCTCTTCCTGGCTTCTTTCTTGGGCTGGGCTGCATGAACAGTAGCGGGCTAGGCCTTGTGAGGGGAGCATGCGCAGTGTTTACTGGCATTGTACGCATGCTCCCCTGAGGTGTTCTTCCCTTACCAGCTGAGTGTCCCTGGGAGGTCATTTAGCAGTTAAACTCCACCATTTTGCCTCTTAGTGCGCATGTGTGAGACCACTTGCTCAACTCCTAAGATCTTATTGGGAAGTTGCCGATCACCAGTTTCAGGTTTTTTTTTTATCTATAGGGAGACTGACTATCCCTGGTGCTGGCTGTGAACAGTTATTATTTCAGAAAGACAGTGTAACAATTGCCTGACCATCACCTGATGGTCGTCTGACATTTCTGGTGGTGGCAGACACTCTTCTGTCCCTGCTCATGCCTGACTAGCTACCTACTGTAATAGAAGGTATGATTTTTGTAATTTAAAAAATATGTACTGTAAGTATTATATATATATATACACACACACATATATATAGAGAGAGAGAGATTCTATATGTAGTTTCTAATTGTAAAAGGTAAAGTTCATAGATTTAGTAGGGCCATGTAGTTGACTTCATCTGGCTTTGCAATTAAGTACTGATGTTTCAACATTGGCAATGTTGCCAAGATGTTTTATTCTCCACCCTCAGCCACAACTTGTTTATATAAAAAACTAATAATTAGATTAATCAATCATGTGATTTTTTTAAATGAAATGATAGTTGTACTAATGGATATTCCTGAAAACTCTTGTTAGAAGTCAAATAAGTAATATTGTTAGAGGAGGTAGCTAAGCAGACATGAGCAGGGCAAGAGGGGTTCCTCTCCTCCAGGATTATCAGGCTACCATCAAGTGATAGTCAGGTGGTTGTTAAACTGTCTCTCTAAAATAATAACTGGTGGTAGCAAGTGTCAGGGAAAGGCAGTCTCCCAATAAATAGAAAACACCTCAGGCTGGTGATCAGAAGCTTTCTGAAAAGATCTCAGGAGTTGGGCGAGTGGGCTCAAATATTGCATTAAGTGGCAAAATGGCAAAGTTTAACTGGCATATGACCTTCCTCTAGGAACACTGGACTGGTAAGGGAAAAATGCCTCAAATAAACATGCACACAACTTCAGTAAACACACTGTGCATGTGGCCCCTCCTAAGTGCTGGCAGACCACTGCACATGCAGGCAGCTCACCCCAAGAGAAAAATCAAGGAAGGAGAAATGGAAACCCTGGAACCATGTCAATAGATAAAACCCAAGTCAAAGTGGGACGGAACACTTGGATCTCTCAAGTCACCCACTTGGCCCTCTTCCAAGTTTACTTTACTTCCTTTCGTTCCTGCTCTAAAACTTAATAAGCTTTTACTCCTGCTGTAAAATTTGCCTTGGTCTCTCACTCTTCCTTATGCCCCTCAGCCGAATTCTTTCCTCCGAATAGGCAAGAATGGAATTTACTGAAGACTGGTATGGATTCGCCACTGGTAACAATATGCATAATTTGTGTGTTTTCAGGTTGCTATAGTCATTTCAAAATGAAAAATTTTAAGTACAAACTTAATACCTTTTGAACACATATCAAACTTACAATGTCTTCAGTAGGCTTAAAAATAAAATATGAAATTGCTCTTCACTAAAAGCAAGCAACTATTTAGTAAAATAAACCCCATGGGTTCAGGTTTTAGTTTTATCTTATGTAATGTTTGCATTGAGTTTTTAGTAACAGTTATTTCATGATATATTCACTGACATTAACCAGAAGAAAGCACAGTACCAGTCACATTATAAACTCTAATATTGCTTGATTTATCCACTTTTATTGGCCATCCATAGGGAACTGCCTTTAATATCCTTGGTATTAATGGAAAGTATACTTCATTAGAGAAGGAAAAATCATTATAAACAAAATAATAGAAGTAAAATGTTTGTCTAGAGTAAGATATAGGATCATGAAAATAATAACTTAGAGGATCTATTCTGCCTTCACCTAACCATAGCTCTCATACCCATGACTTAGAATTTAATAAGAATTAGGCTGAGTGTGGTGGCTTACTCAATCCCAGCACTTTGGGAAGCCAAGGTGGGAGGATTGCTTGAGCCTAGGAGTTGAAGACCAGCCTGAACAACATAGTGAGACCCTGTTTTCTCTTCAAGAGAAAACTGGACCATGCTGGATGTGGTGGCACCTGTAGTCCCAGCTACTTGGGAGACTGAAGCAGGAAAATGACTTGAGTCCTGTAGCTTGAGGTTACAGTGAGCTGTGATCATGCCACTGCATTCCAGCTAGGTGACAGAGTGAGACTCTGTTCCCAATAAATAAATACACAATTTTTTTAATTAAATAAGTAGTATGCCAGGACTTTATAGCAGTGTATCATGTCCCTTTTCTGTTTAAAATTTTTAAATTTTCCTTGACTTCCTACTGTCATCAATAAAGGTAAAACTTCTTGGCATATCAACCAGGGCAGATTCATGAACCTGCCAAACTCTTTAGCCTCACTTTACATCCAATCCACACCATGATAGCTGCCTTCTACCCTTGTGCATATTGCTGCCGTAGTTCCCTAGGTAAACTGAATGCCAAATGTAGGCATCTGGGAATAAAAGGAAACACACATCTATCTCATCTCACTTCCCCAAATGATAAAGATTAGTTTAGATGAATATATCTAGAATGTTGCCAATAGAAAATCTAGGAAAATAAAAGTATTTTAATTTCAGCATCTACAATATCTTGTGTCATTTCAAAAAATAGTGTTTCATTTTGAGTTTCCACCTAAAGGTCTTTCTCTAGCCCTACCTCACTGATTTCACACATGCTTTTCCTTCTTGAGATGTCCTTCACTCATCTCATCTCACTTCATTTCACCCAGGCTATCCTTCATCTTATCCTCCACCTGATTGACTTTAATTCATTTACCAGAAATAGCTGCTGACATCATCTCTGCCAGGAAGGTTTTCCCAATATCTTTCCCTTGGGTTAGGTATTCTTTCTTTGTGGTTCCCAATATGTACCATGAAAACACATCTACTGCAATATGGACTCATTTTATTATAATCATTTATTTATATGTCTCTTTCCTCTCTACATATAAGCTGGTTTATTGAATGAATGAATAAATAAATAAATGAGTGAATAAGTTTGTGGAAGAATATTTCTTTTTTTATATTTTACATTTTTAAAAAGAATTGTTTCTCAAATCCTCACATATATATGTTCATATAATTTATACTGTTCATAGAATATAGTGCTATCCAATGAACTGAAGAACAAAATAGAATAAATTATGATCACCCTTCTAGTAGAAAGCCATTAATTTATCTTTTAGAAAATGCCACTGACAAGGTCAAAATTGCCAAAAGAAAGAATGGCATTGAGCAATGTTCACCACTAAGCAGTCTTTATTTAATTGGCATTTAAGGGATTTTCAAAAGGTGCCTGGTCAAAGAGATGTATAGTAGCCTTATGCTGAGCACTATTTAATTATTTCAGTCCTCATCTGTCACATTCGCACTCTCCTGTCTCATTTTCAGTGTCCTCAAAGCAATGCAGTTGATAGATTATGGAAAATAAATCTAGTGTGGAAATACTCATAATTTCCTCTAGGTCAAAAGAAAAAAAAATCACCACATTGGCAAGAGTAATTTGCAACTACTAAATTGCTAGATATAAAGCTCTGGCTTGCTGCTCTGCAAAAGGTGGGAGGGGGCTTGACGAGAGTCAAGACTCTTTAGAGAAGTATGCAAATCAAAAATTTACCTCCTCTTTAAACCTTTTTAATTCTTCAATTAATCTCAACAATGACCCAGTTTTTAGAACACTGAATATGCGTGGCCACCTAATCACATTATCTCACTTCTCTTCAGCAAACTTTGAAGTGGGAAAGATACATGTATAAATGAAAACATTGATAAAGCACAGCTGCCTGTCACATTTCCAGTCTTCTCGGGAAAACAAGTGATTTACAGCATGATGAGATCAAATCTTCCTCTACGGCATGCCATTGCCTATATTTTAAAACTCAGTTAGGGGAACTCATGCAATAGCCCAGGCTGATGACATTAACGTCAGATCTTTGAGCAAATCTAGTTAACGTAAAAGCAAGAGAGAAAGATGATCTCATTTTGGAAACAACAATAAAAATGATGCTGTTCAGTAAGAATTGAGACCATGAGGGTTTAATGCTGTATCTTTGAGCTTGTCTTTTATTAGCCAACTTTCCACTATAAAATACATTAAAAATTCATTTATGGAGAATATAGCTCAGAACTGTTATAAAGTGGATGTTTTGTTAAAGAAAAAAGATCTGGGTGGGGTGGCTGGCAAGATGGCCAAATAGGAACAACTCCCGTCTGCAGCTCCCAGCAAGATCAACACAGAAGGTGGGTGATTTCTGCATTTCCAACTTAGGTACATGGCTCATCTCATTGGGACTGGTTAGATAGTGGATGCAGCCCACGGAGGGCGAGCCAAAGCACAGTGGGGCATCACCTCACCTAGGAAGCACAAGGGGTCAGAGAACTGCCTCCCCTAACCAAGGAAAGTTGTGAGGGACTGTGCCATGAGGAACGGTGTGTTCCATCCCCAGAAACTAGGTTTTTCCATGGTCTTTGCAACCCACAGACCAGGAGATTCCCTCGGTGCCTGTATCACTAGGGCCCTGGGTTTCAAGCACAAAATTGGGTGGCAGTTTGGGCAGACACGAAGCTGCTCCAGGAGTTTTTTTTGTACCCCAGTGGCGCCTGGAATGCCAGTGAGACAGAACCGTTCTCTCCCATGGAAAGGGGAGTGAAGCCAGAGAACCAAGTGGTTTAGCTCAGTGGATCACACCCCCATAGAGCCCAGCAAGCTAAGATCCAGTGGCTTGAAATGCTCGCTGCCAGCACAGCAGTCTGAAGTTGATCTGGGACTGTCCAGCTTGCTGGGAGGAGGGGCATCCGCCATTACTGAAGCTTGAGTAGGCAATATTCCCCTCACAGTGTAAACAAAGCTCCTGGGAAGTTTGAACTGGGCAGAGCCTGCTACAGCTTGGCAAAGCCGCTGTAGCCAGACTGCCTCTCTGGATTCTTCCTCTCTGGACAGGGCATTTCTGAAAGAAAGGCAGAAGCCCCAGTCAGGGGCTTATAGATAATACTCCCATCTCCCTGGGACAGAGCACCTGGGGGAAGGGGCGGTTGTGGGCACAGCTTCAGCAGACTTAAACGTTCCTGCCTGCCACCCCTGAAGAGAGCAGTGGATCTCCCAGCACAGCATTCAAGCTCTGCTAAGGGACAGATGGCCTCCTCAAGTAGGTCCCTGACCCCCATGCCTCCTGACTGGGAGACACCTCCCAACAGGTGTGAACAGACACCTTACACAAGAGAGCTCTGGCTGGCATCTGGCAGGTGCCCCTCTGGGACAAAGCTTCCAGTGGAAGGAACACACAGCAATCTTTGCTGTTCTGCAGCCTCCGCTGGTGATACCCAGGCAAACAGGGCCTGGAGTGGACCTCTAACAGACTCCAGCAGACCTGCAGCAGAGGGGCCTGACTCTTAGAAGGAAAACTAACAAACAGAAAGGAACAGCAACAACATCAACAAAAAGGATGTCCACACAAAAACCCCATACTAAGGTCACCAGCTTCAAAGACCAAAGGTAGATAAATCCACAAAGATAAGGAAAAACCAGCGCAAAAAGGCTGAAAATTCCAAAAACTAGAACATCTCTTCTCCTCCAAAAGATCACAACTTCTTGCCACCTAGGGAACAAAACTGGACAGAGAATGAGTTCGATGAATTGACAGAAGTAGGCTTCAAAAGGTGGGTAATAACAAACTCCTCCGAGCTAAAGGAGCATGTTCTAACCCAATGCAAGGAAGCTAAGAATCTTGAAAAAAGGTTAGAGGAATTGTTAACTAGAATAACCTGTTTAGAGAAGAACATAAATGACCTGATGGAGCTGAATAACACAACACAAGAACTTCATGAAGCATACGCAAGTATCGATAGCCAAATTGATCAAGCACAAGAAAGGATATCAGAGATTGAAGATCAACTTAATGAAATAAAGCATGAAGACAAGATTAGAGAAAAAAGAATGAAAAGGAATGAAAAAAGCCTCCAAGAAATATTGGACTATGTGAAAAGACCAAACCTACATTTGATTAGTGTACCTGAAAGTGACAGGGAGAATAGAACCAAGTTGGAAAACACTCTTCAGGATATTATACAGGAGAACTTCCCCCAACCTAGCAAGACAGGCCAACATTCAAATTCAGGAAATACAGAGATGACCACAAAGATACTTCTCAAGGAGAGCAACCCCAAGACACATAATTGTCAGGTTCACCAAGGTTGAAATGAAGGAAAAAATGTTAAGGGCAGCCAGAGAAAAAGGTGGAGTTACCCACAAAGGGAAGCCCATCAGACTAACAGTAGATCTCTCTGGAGAAACCCTACAAGCCAGAAGAGAGTGGGGGCCAATATTCAACATTCTTAAAGAAAAGAGTTTTTAACCCAGAGTTTCCTATCAGCCACACTAAGCTTCATAAGCTAAGGAGGAATAAAATTCTTTATAGAAAAGCGAATGCTGGGAGATTTGTCACCACCAGACCTGCCTTACAAGAGCTCCTGAAGGATGCTCTAAATATGGAAAGGAAAAACCAGTACCAGCCACTGCAAAAACATAACAAATTGTAAAGACAATCAACACTATGAAGAAACTGCATCAACTAACAGGCAAAATAACCAGCTAGCATTATAATGACCTGATCAAATTCACAGATAACAATATTAACCTTGAATGTAAATGGGCTAAATGCCCCAATTAAAAGACACAGACTAGCAAATTGGATAAAGAGTCAAGACCCATCAGTGTGCTGTATTCAGGAGACCCATCTCACGTGCAAAGACACATATAGGCTCAAAAATAAAGGGATGGAGGAATATTCACCGAGAAAATGGAAAGCAAAAAAAAGCAGGCGTTGCAATCTTAGTCTCTGATAAAACAGACTTTAAACCAACAAGGATAAAAAAAGACAAAGAAGAACATTACATAATGGTAAAGGGATCAATGCAACAAGTGGTAACTATCCTAAATATATATGCACCCAATAGAGGAGCATCCAGATTCATAAAGCAAGTTCTTAGAGATATACAAAGAGATTTAGACTCCCCTACAATAATAGTGGGAGTCTTTAACACTCCACTGTCATTAGACAGATCAACAAGACAGAAAATTAACAAGGATATCCAGGGCTTGAACTCAGCTTTGGACCAAGCAGACCTAATAGACATCTACAGAACTCTCCACCCCAAATCAACAGAATATACATTTTTCTCAGCAGCACATCTCACTTATTCTAAAATTGACCACATAATTGGAAGTAAAACACTCCTTAGCAAATGCAAAAGAATGGAAATCATAACAAACAGTCTCTCAGACAACAGTGCAATCAAATTAGAACTCAAGATTAAGAAACCCACTCAAAACCATGCAACTATGTGGATACTGAACTACCTGCTTCTGAATGACTACTGAGTAAATAAAGAAATTAAGGCAGAAATAAATAAGCTCTTTGAAACCAGTGAGAACAAAGACACAAATACCAGAATCTCTGGGAAACAGCAAAAGCAGCATTTAGAGGGAAATTTATAGCACTAAAATGCCCACAGGAGAAAGCAGGAAAGATCTAAAATTGACAACCTAACATCACAATTAAAAGAACTAGAGAAGCAAGAGCAAACAAATTCAAGAGCTGGCAGAAGAGAAGAAATAATTAAGATCAGAGCAGAACTGAAGGAGACAGAGACATGAAAAACCTTTCAAAAAATCAATGAATCCAGGAGCTGGTTTTTTTAAAAGATTAACAAAATAGACCACTAGCCAAACTAATAAAGAAGAAAAGTGAGACGAATCAAATAGGCACAATAAAAAATGATAAATGGACTATCACCACTGATCCCACAGAAATACTAATTACCATCAGAGAATACTATAAACACCTCTATGGAAATAAAATCTAGAAAATCTAGAAGAAATGGAGAAATTCCTGGACACATGCACCCTCCCAAGACTAAACCAGGAAAACAGTCAAATCCCTGAATAGAACAATAACAAGTTCTGAAATTGAGGCAGTAGTAGCCTACCAACCAGAAAAACAAAACAAAACAAAAAAAAACAAAAAACCCAAGACCAGACAGATTCACAGCTGAATTCTACCAGAGGTATAAAGAGAAGCTGGTAACGTGCCTTCTGAAACTATTCCAAACAATAGAAAAAGAGGGACTCCTCCCTAACTCATTTAATGAGGCCAGCATCATCCTGATAGCAAAACCTGGCAGAGACACAACAAAAAAAGAAAATTGCAGGCCAATATCCCTGATGAACATTGATGCGAAAATCCTCAATAAAAGAATGGCAAACCAAATCCAGCAGCACATCAAAAAGCTTATCCACCATGATCAAGTTGGCTTCATCTCTGGAATGCAAGACTGGTTCGACATACAGAAAGAAATAAATGTAATCCATCAAATAAACAGAAGCAATGACAAGAACCACATGATTATCTCAATAGATGCAGAAAAGGCCTTTGATAAAATTCAACAACCCTTCATGCTAAAACCGCTTAATAAACTACGTATTGATGGAACGTATCTCAAAATAATAAGAGCTATTTATGACAAACCCATAGTCAATATCATACTCACAAGGGGTTTATTGGGAGGTCACCCATCATAAGTTGTGGAGCATCTGTATTGTTCAGTGCCAGAGACTGCTCCAAGCTTTCCTCCCTTAAACTATAAAATTATTATAATTCTATGTAAAAGGTGAAAAACTAAAAATCAAAAACATTTGGCAATTTGCCTAGAGTAGTAAGTGGCAGAATGGAAATTAACTGAATTTGGGACTCCCTAAATCCTTAAGTAACCATTCATATAGAAAGCATGAAGGTCTAAAACAGAAGAATAAAAAGTAAAAATCAATTCATCTCTCTCAGTATGACAATCATCATTTTTAGTAAACATTTTAAGCATCAGAATCACCACTCATTGTCCATCTGTACATTTTTTTCTTCTTCAAAAATATTTTTGGTTTGTGTTGTAGCTGCTGCCTCACTAAGTACAGTATATTTATTTCAGATCTTAGAAAACTCTTTTTTTTTCTGGAATAATCAACAACGTGAAAATTCTTATTTAAAATAGAATTAAAGCACTCTAGAAGCAAGGGACACAACAATTAGTCTCTATAGCAACTGGATATTATACAAGGAAAACGGTGAGCATGAAGGAGAATTTGGGAAGAGGTAAGAACAATTCATGTGAATTGTGAAGAGTCCTACAAGAAAGCCAGATTGTTCCCTGGGGTCTCTTTGAGGGCAGGGAGAGAGAATGAAAATACAGATAATGAGGATGACTCTTGGCAGGTAAATGTTTGTAAAAGTAATGTCATTGTTTATAAAAGTAATGTCATAATGGAAAGGCTGCAGAGGTGAGGGGTTAAATCCAGGAAGGGAGGTGAATGGAAACTTGAAATTTGGAAATTTTGAATAGTTTGATCTTAGCACAAACCATTTACAATAACTTTCAATATAAAAATTGAAACATGATATATAAGTATATGACTATTTTTCAGCATATGCTATGCATTATAATTTGGAAGAAGGCCTAGATCTCTATGTAATAGTAGAATCTCGCCTATAACTATGTCTAACATGAGAGGCAGAAGGTTTAATAAAATATTTTTAAATTGCCATTAGTCCTGCCTTCACTCATTTAGTTTCAATGAATGACATTTCTAGTTTAAAAAAATAGCATATGAAAATTTCCTCCAATGAAATACCATATTTAGTCCATAATATAAGATAAAATTTAAAAGATTTATGAAACCCAATTTTGGCAATGATGCAGGGAAATGAGTACTCACATACATCATAAATTGTCGGTAGGAGTATCTTTCAGCTTAGCAACACTTAAATGGTGTATGGTTTTTAACTCAGCACTTTCATACCAGAGAAATATTTGCACTTATGTAGTACAAGGATCCTTAAAAGAGGAAAGAGAGAGGCAGAAGAGTGAGAGTCTGAGAAGAATATGTGACTGTGCAAGTAGATGATGGGATCACCGTTCACTTTGAAGTATGGGGCAAGGAATGCAGGCATTCTCTAGAAGCTGGAAAAGACAAGGAAAGGAAAACTCCCCTAGAGCCTCCAGAGGGCACAGCTCATTCTTTATTATTTCAGCCCAGTGAGATCTATGTTCAATTTCTGACCTCAATATTCTAAGAAAATAAATTTGTGCTGTTTTAAGCCTTACATTTGTGGTAATTTGTTATAGCAGAAATAGGAATGTTGTGATTTTTAGTGTGCAAGAGATGTGATGTAATCTAATTGCCAATATATGGTTGGCTGCTTTCCTCAAAGCATGTTACCCCATTTGGGGTTCAGTTTCACTTTCTGTTCCTGGAAGATCAGACCTGCACTGGAAGCAATAGTTAGGCCAGTGCTGGTGAGAGGGAGCCCAAGCTGTTGAGTCAACGAATAGCCTCTGTCTCTACCATAATGAGAACAATATTCATGAACCTATTTTGCTAGCATTAAGATGGCTGAGGACAGAATCCAGCTGACATCAGCTAGTGAAGTCATTCTCTCCACTTGGTTGCTTAGTGCCTCTTCTACAATGGCATTAAGAAGTAGTATAGTGATGCTAATACTTTCTGTTCATTTCCATAAGTCCATACACATTTTTCCCCTCCTTGAACTTCTGATTTCACTCATTATAGGCTCTTCAACAGGGAGCTAAGTTATTTATTGCTCATGAGTTTATGTATACCCTTACTTAAGGCTGCTTCTCTCTCCACATTAAGTGAATGACCAGATGTACTTTCCAATACTCTCCCAGTTGATAGGATTTTCCTCCATCACTATCTTCCAGGACCATCCTTGCCTGGAACTTTGTTGCAGAAAAACAAAATTCCATCTTACAAACATATTTTAAGTTGGCCCTTTCATGAGCTCAGTTTGGGCCTTTTCTTCCTCTCGCAGCTGATAGCTCATGAAGCCACAGGAATGAGTCGAAAGAGTGGTGTCATACAGTTGGCATAAATACGTGGGTCATCTTTTTGTGAAGATTACTGTAATCTCTAGCATGTTCAATTCCAATCCTTCATGTATAATAGCCATCTTATGATAAATTGCTGATTAGCCTACCTCACCTTGTATCTTGGTTGGTCTTATAGTAGTCAGTACATGAAGGTTACTTGAGTTTCCATAGTCAGACATTTTTTTTTTTATCATGGCATTGTAGCATGTCATGAGCTGCTTTTCAAATGATACATAAGTTCTTTTCTGCAGATGGCAAGGCCTAGTTCCATAATCTCAGAGGTCTGTGCTGTGATTCTCCTACTAGGCTTGCCAGGGGCTCCATTTGGTATTTTTGTTTCCCACAGATGCCGCTAACCATGGCACTGCCAGGTTATATGCCTTATGTGGCATAGCTCCTCATATCTGTTAAAGTGGTCTTTCTTCCCTGGCCTCACTCAAAGTGAGCAGTTCCACATCTTTCCCAATACATGTGTCAATGCAATATTTACAAGTTCAAAATATGCTATCCACCAATGGATGTCAATATCAAAGGGCAAAATTTTGAAGAGAAACAGTATGTTGGCATAACCTCGAAGTAGCTTTCCAAAGATATTTATCAATTATAAAGAGAATGTAGTAACTTTATAGTGGTGAAACTCAGCAGATACCACCTATACCAGATAATCAAGGTTAACACACTAGCAATGCGGCACATCAAAATATTGTGCTCCCTGGTATAGCGTACTGACAAAAAGACAACACTTCTGTGGTATCCTTGCCAAAAAATGCATAATCTCCGTATGATCATGACAAAACATCAGACAAATCCAAATATTCAACAAAATGACTTATTAGAGCTCATCAAAAGTGTCAAGGCCATGAAAGATAACAAAACATTTACAAACTATTAGTGATTGAAGGAGACAAAGGAGTCACAATAATTAAATGCATTATGAGCTCTTAAATTTGATTCTAAAAGGGTAAAAGAAACGTTAGGCAGAAAACTGATGAAATTCAAGTAAGGCTTATGGTTTACTAAATTTATTTAGCATTCTACCAATTTTCTGGTTTTGATAATTATACAATGGTTGTGTAAGTTAACATAAGGGTGTCAGGGTATAGGTTATATGTGAACTCTCTGTATGAGTGTTAACTTTTATGTAGATCTAAAAATATTTCAAAATACAATAGTGAAAATAAATTAAACATTAAAAATGTAATTGGATTAAATATTCTATTTTTTATTCCAAAATGGATGAAAGAATCAGACCCAATTTATGTCGCTTTCCAGAAACACATTTTAAATGTAAGCTAAAAATAGGTTGAAGTTAAAATGATGTAATACTAAGCACAAGAAAGCTGATATAGCTAAATTAACATCACACAAAGTAGACTTTATGACCAAAAAATATTATTACTAGAGACAAAAAGAGATATTTCATAATAATAAAAGTGTAAATTTTTCAAGAAGCTACAAAAACCTTAACTATGCAAGCACCTAATAAAAAAGCTTTAAAATAGGTAGAAAATCAAACAGAAAAAAGTCATAGTTGAAGATTTTAATAACCCTTTGTCAGTAATTTGTAGAAGAAATGGGTCAAAATACCAGTAAAGATACAACCCTATTAAACAATCGACCTAATTGACATTTTTAGAATACAATACCCAACAACTGAAGAATACATGCTTTGTTAAAATTAGGAAGAAAATCCTAAGATGGAGAAAATTTTAAGAGGCTGACAATGTAGAGCTTTCATATTAAGGTAACAAATTAATATTTAACGTGAAGGGCAATGAAAAGACAAAGAAGAATTTTAGCAGGGAAGTGGATGATATAAAACTGACAATAAATTTTATATTGTTGATTTGCCAAAATTTATACCAAATGTCATCAGGAGAGTGCTAAGCAAAACATTTAAATAGGTTTAGGCCATGAAGAAGAAATTTCTAAAAATAAAATGAAACATAAAGATTATCAGAGCAAATAATTTTTAACATATAAAAATAAAATTTACAGAATGAAGAAAGGGGATGTTTTATAATACTTAGATATGCATTAGGCCTAACTAAGAATAAGCAACAACAGAAAAAGGAATTCTATCATAATGCCATTCCCAAAGCATCCAAACACTCACACACACACAGTCACACCCACACACACCCCCACACACAGAGCTGAGTCAGCAGGAAGAATTTGTTCTGGTTCAGAATCTTTCAAGATATTCGTGTAGGATTAAAGCGATTTTCTAGTTTCCTTGGTCTCTCTTGACCACAAAGTCCACGATTCAGTCACTCTATGATTTCTATCAAACGTTAGTCTTTGATACAGGAAAGGAATGTAAAGATAGCATATTTTATTTTCAGCATTGTTATGTGCTTTGAGATTTCTCTTTTTAAGTACTAGATATTTCTACACCATCAGTCACAGGGAAAACCCTACAGGCTACTATGTAACCTAGAGGCACAGGTTTGGGCCAAGAACAGTTCAAAAATAAGAGCCGTTTGAACACAGAGATCTAACAATGACAAGTTAAAGTTAGTTTTTTCACCCTTTTGGTCTCATAAATTTAAGGAAAGACCTAGATCACAGGAAACATTACTTCTTTCCTATAATTTTTCTTGCCTCTATTTTAGTCTCACAGTTTCTTGGGGCTACCCAAAGAAATCCATTTTCTGTCTTGCTTATCATGTGTCTGAAATCATCTTTTAACCTTTAGATTTCCAGGCTAAGAAAACTGACAAAGCAAAATCTAACCTGACTTGAAATGTAAATGTTGACCCAGTTTTCTCTTTTATCTTGTTCCCTTAGTACTGATTTGTGTGAAATGGGAACAGATGGTAATGTGTTACTTTTGGGAAAAAAAACACAACAAAAAAACCTTACCTCTAAAATGCCCCCCTTCACTCAATAACATATTGCCATCAATAACTGTCTCATTTGCTTCATTTAATTACTTTGGTCCAGAATCCTTCGGCTATGCAAGTCAAATAAAAACTCAGAATAGATGGTATTATTCTGGAAGGAAAGTGAAGAAAGTTATGATAATATAAATTATTTTGATAGAAAAATTTAGAGACTGAAAGCTCTGTATCTCAGGCTGAAGGGCCGCTGAAGAGATGGTCTCAGGGGCAAGTTTCAAAATAAGCCATGAAATTAGTAACATATAACTTTGTATATTCAGCAGCCAACACAAAGCAGGCTTGAAGCAAATCGAGGACTGAAGAACAGATGAGAGCCTCAGTAGACTGAAGGTGTGCAAATGTTGGCTGACCAGCACAGACACCAGAGTGTGTTATTATGTGTATAAAACAGTTTACTGGAAAACAATCCTAACACTTCAAATTTGCAAATAGAACTGAAAAAAAAATAATTTTGAGCTGCAAAATAAAAGAGTTCTTTTGGAGTAAGAGATGAGTTCCCACAGGGACTGACTAAAGACAACAATCAGCTGCTTCTATTTAAAGTCTCCCTGTGTGTATGATTTTCCCTCTAGAGAAAGGGCATGAAGAAATGCTTTAAAACCTCCAGTTTCACAGTGATCACGCTGGGGTAGGAAATTGGGTTCTTTCCTTTATTTCCACTCTTCTTTCCTCCACCTTCTTTCCCTTCCTTTTTCCTTTCCTCCCTCTTTTTCTCCCTCCTCCCCTCCTTCACTTCTCTACTTTCTTTCTTCCTCCTTCCGTTCTTCCTTCCTTATCATCCCTCTTCCCCACCTTCTTCGTTCCCACCTCCCTTCCCTCCTTCCCTCCCACCTTCCTTCCTTCCCACCTTGAAGCTTATAAATAATCCCCTTGACAAAATATTAAACAGCAGTATCTCCCCCTGACCATTGGACATAATGGTCGTAAATTTTAGGTGATTTATGTCAATATGGATCATGGTGGAAACTGACTTCTCCCCAGCTGGTTCAGATGAAGTAGGTTTAAAGAAAGTACTACTCTCAAGAGTTCCTGAGGTTGGATCGCATGACAATGGTCCCAAGATTGAATTTTCAAAACTGTTTTTTTGCTGTAGAATGAACTGGCATTGTAGCAATGCAGTTGTATCAATCAGATCATCATTGACTCATCATTCTTCTGGCATAGTTTCAAAAACACCTTCTAACATAATGTGCTAATTTTATTTAAGCTACTGAGAAAACTCTTAATGAATTATTACAAAAGACACTGGTTACACAGAGCATAGCATGATGTTTTAGCTATCAGGAGACCTGGGCTTGATCGCTCTAACCCTTCACAAGATATTGAACCTCAGGAAGGTCATCTAAACTTCTATGAGCCACAGTTTCCTTATTTATAAAATAGTAATAGCATTAGTTTTTCCCCCAAAGGGTATGAGTATAAAATTAGACAAAATATGTGAAAGTGCTATGAAAGCCACAAGACACTTTGCCTATACTAAGTATTGTTACTGTTTGCCTAATGGAGACAGAATTAGAATATTGATCTTAATCTAGTGTTTAAAAGGCAGACTTCAGAATCTACCTGATACCTTTGATTTCTCAGTCTACCATCCAAGGGATTATTTTGATTCTTGACTGTTAACTAATTGTACTTACCCTTTCTATTCTCAGTATTTCCATCCACAAATGAAGGGTAGTTCTGTGAAGTTTTTTTTTTTTTTTTTTTCGAGACGGAGTCTCGCTCTGTCGCCCAGGCTGGAGTGCAGTGGCGCGATCTCGGCTCACTGCAACCTCCACCTCCTGGGTTCAAGCGATTCTCCTGCCTCAGCCTCCTGAGTAGCTGGGACCACAGGCATGTGCCACCACACCCAGCTAATTTTTGTATTTTTAGTAGAGATGGGGTTTCATCGTGTTAGCCAGGGTGGTCTCGATCTGCTGACTTCATGATCCCCCCACCTCGGCCTCCCAAAGTGCTGGGATTACAGGCGTGAGCCACCACACCAGGCTGGTTTCGTGAAGTTTTAATGAGATAATGCATTTAAAGCTTTTAGGACAGTAACTGGCACATATTTCTTCTATATACATGTCATATCTAGAAATCTATACCTAAAACAAATGACTCTTCTGCAAATATACGACAATACATTTTATATATGTTTTAAGTTCCCATTTTAGACTCTACCATAACTTACATTTTGTACTGCAAAATAAATATTTTCCAACAAATTCTTTTGCGAAACTACTCAGGGGATCTCAAAAATTTAGACCAGAGAATTGAAATTACACTGGGATGGAGCTAAGCATTGGTTATATAAATTCAGTTCAGCTGGTCAGGAGATGAAGGCCATGTATTTTTCTGCTGTGTCTGCATTCTCCATTCTCCAGCCATCATAGCTAAAAAATTCTCTCCTATGTTTTCACCTTTAAAAAAAATTATAGAAAGCTTTTCCTCTTAAGTTTTGTGTCTCTGATACATCACTTATTTGATATTTTTGAGAATCTGATTCTACTGTTTACGTTTCTAATGTTGATTTTAATCCTGCTGCTTTTAAAGGTTCTTATAACGTTTCTCTACCTCAAAAAATGTCAAGTTTTCTATCAGCATCTGCCAATTTTTCAGCTCCCTGTTCAGCTGACCCTTTTTATATTATCTCATTTTTATCTTTTGTAATCTACTATTTTAGAATGTTATTGAGAGCATATGGCCATTGTTTTAAATTCTGCTGAGAGGTCAGACTCAGACTACCTGGGCTTACACTCCATCTTTGTCATTTACAAAGTCATACAACTGTGAGCATGTTACTAACTTTTTGTTTCAGTTTCCTCATCTGTAAAATGGGAATAATCTCATAATTTATGTGAATTATAAGATACACTGTATATTAAATGTTTAGAACTCTGTTAAGCAATAGCTCTCAATAAGTAACTATTATTTTCTTAAACTATCATTTTTCTAAAAAATTATTTTCCCTATAGTAATTACCTATAGCTCTAGATCTAAATATAGATTTAGAGATCTAGATGTGATGATTAATACTGAGTGTCAACTTGATTGGATTGAAGGATACAAAACAGTGATCCTGGGTACGTCTGTGAGGGTGTTCCCATAGAAATTAACATTTGAGTCAATGGGCTGGGAAAGGCAGACCCACCCTTTATGTGGGTGGGCAACATCTAATCAGCCACCAGCACAGCTAGAATATAAAGCAGGCAGAAAAACATGAAAAGACTAGACTGGCCTAGCCTCCTACCCCCTACATCTTTCTCCCATGCTGGATGTCTTCTGCCTTCAAATATCAGACTCCAAGTTCTTCAGTTTTGGAACTCGGACTGGCTCTCCTTGCTCCTCAGCCTGCAGACGGCCTATTGTGGGACCTTGGGATCGTGTGAGTTAATACTTAATAAACTCTCCTTTATATGTGTGTGTGTGTATGTGTATTCCATTAGTTCTGTCCCTCTAGAGAACCCTGACTAATACACTAGATTTCTCTCTTTTTTATTTCACAGTAAGCTGTTGGCTTAACCTGCCCCTCTTCTATTTTAGAGGTATTAAGATATTAAGATTCAAAAGTGGGAGCTTATTCCTGCCCCTAAATTCTGAAATAAGTATGAATTTCAGTCCACAAATATAATTGTTGAAGTAATAAAACTTGGTTTACTTTCTATAATTCAACTTAAATTTCTTTTTTTTTTTTTTTTTTTTTTTTTTTTTTTTGAGACGGAGTCTCGCTCTGTCGCCCAGGCTGGAGTGCAGTGGCGGGATCTCGGCTCACTGCAAGCTCCGCCTCCCGGGTTCACGCCATTCTCCTGCCTCAGCCTCCCAAGTAGCTGGGACTACAGGCGCCCGCCACTACGCCCGGCTAATTTTTTGTATTTTTAGTAAAGACGGGGTTTCACCGTTTTAGCCGGGATGGTCTCAATCTCCTGACCTCGTGATCCGCCCGCCTCGGCCTCCCAAAGTGCTGGGATTACAGGCGTGAGCCACCGCGCCCGGCCTAATTCAACTTAAATTTCTAACTCTAGATCTAGAAAAGATTTAGATACCCAGATCTACAGATACAGATATAGACATATATACAAAAACAAAAAAAATATACATACACATATATTTCCTCTTCTGCATTGAGTATGTTATTTGTAGGCTTCTTCATATTGCAGATTAAATATGTAATTAAAAACTTTTCCACAGACATTATAAAAAAACTACAGATATTCCTCATGAAAATATATGCTGCATTTTAATAAAATATGCCAATAAAAACTCTATAAATGCTTGAATAGCTTTGTGTTAGAGATAGAGAAAAGAGTGGAACTATCATGTTAACATTGGTTTCTTCAGAGAGATTAAAGGTGGTAAGGAAATCTAGTTCTTCACCTGTGTATTGCTTGAAAACAAATACACATACATTCATTTTAAAAATTTAAATATTTTTAAATTAAATTTTTAAGTGATTCTACTTTATCATTTATGACAATAGGAAATTTTGAATTCAGCATACTTATTTAACACCTACTAAGTCTTAGGCCTTATATATGGTGCTTGGGACACAACAATGAATAAGATACAGTATCAGTCTTCAATGATCCTCAATGTAACTGAGTGAGAACACATACCTAAACTACAGCTGCAACTAGTATGCATGGCTGTGAAGAGCATAAACCTCCTTCCTCAGTATGACAGCACCTCACATAGCATCTGGCACACAGCAAATATTACTTAATAAGTGTTTGATGAATGAATAAATGAATAATGTGTATGGTGCGGTGGGACACAAAGGGAAAGTGGACCATTCTACCTGGCAGGTTGTGGGGAGTACAGTTTAAGGGATGCATAGAGGAGATGCTTTAATTCGCCTTTCTGAGTTGTCGGTGTTCATCAGAGCTGCTATGGAGTAGATGTAAAGAACTGCAGGTAAAGTGAGCTGCATATAAAAAGGTGAAATCACACAGCATGATTAGGGAATGGAAGTTCCTCACCACAATTGCAGCACACAGTAAAAAGAGATGGCTGGGTCTGAAAATCTGTCAGGAAAGGAGATAAGGGATGGCTTCATTTGCTATGATAAAGCATGTGTGTTAGAGTGAAGATCAGAGAAAGCACAGGAGGAGGATTGTTACAGGCAAAGGAGTATTCCTTCCTCTGATTACATATATATGGATATAAATTCATATGTCTATATTATATCTAATATTGTGTATATATGCATATTTGCGTATGTTAGGATCATGATTGTTCATCATACTCTTTCTCTATTAAATAAGAGACAGGAGGAGAGTAAATGTGAGGTTAGCTTCAGCTAAGGTGCTTGAAGACAACGTAGAGGATTTGTAATTTCTGTATTCATTGTATAAGTCTCTTGGGTCTTTAGGAAAAGGTACCAAAAAAGAAAATCAAAGCCAAATGGTGGTGCTTGTATTCTTATCCTGGTGTCTAGTTATGGAAGGAATGACAGAGCAGTTGCCTGAGAAAACAATGTCATGGCTGCCCCTTTGAACTTCAGGCTTTTATGATAATGGCCTCAACACTTGCATTGAAGTAGAAACTGTCTCCTACAAAATACCAACTCTCATAAGTAAATATGAATGTGCAAACTGGAGTATCCAGAATTCATTTTTATTTATCTTACACAATTTTACCTCATTCCAAATGGCACATATTTTGACACTGATAACGTAAATTCTATTGACTTGAGAGTTTCAGGAGGGGAAATGAGAACATGAGGTATTTTGCCAAATGATTTCTCTTTTTATTTCACAGTAAGCTGTTGGCCCAACTACCTCTGCCCCTCTTCTATTTTAGAGGTGTTGAGATTAAAGAGTGGGAGCTTATTTCCCCCTGAACTCTGAAATAAGTATGAATTTCAGTTCACAAATATAATTGTTGAAGTTATAAAATTTGGTTTATTTTCTGTAATTCAACTTAATTTCTTACACAGAGCCCTTACACCACCACTGATGGGAACCTTGATCACATAAGCTTTGAGGACTTCTTTCCTGTGGTTCAACTCCAGCTTCCCTTCCAGAATCTTACACAAGGCATGGTGGTTGGGGAATTCAAGTGGAGGAAGGGGAAGCAATCTGCTCTCTAGTCACTTGGATATGATGAACTTCTCTGGAACATCCATTATCTCCATCTGCCTGAAACCAGATTCAGATTCAGAGAATCTCCAGATTCAGAGATTCTCTGCTATTCTGAGCCACTATTCAGGCATAAAAATCCTTTCCCATACTGCATACAGGGGCCATTTTTTCCCTGGACCTTGTTGTTTTGTAATGTACAGTTTTTCCTCTGCATTTGGGACACAGACCGCTCTATTTCATTTCTCATTTCTCCCCCACCCCAACCCAGAGTTCTCTTTATAAGGATATTTGGTGTATGTGTGTTGGGGGGTGTTGTTTTGTGTACTAGTTTATTGCAAAAAAACCCATCTATGCTTTCAAATTCCTTCTTCCAAGTGTTGAGATATTTTTTTTTTAAACCAAAACTCAGAAAGACTCATGGTGAGTTAGGGGATAAGAAAAAGAGAGTACCTCAAAATGTTTACTCACCATGTTTTTGTCTATCATAGCCTTCCGTTTTGCTGGACTATAATAAAATTGGTAAAGAACTTTGGCATCCATAAATGTCCTTTTGTTGGGAGAAGGACTCCTATCATACACCTACTGGCTAAAGCTCAGTTTGATTTAACCAATGCTTACTGAACTTTTCCTGTTTGTAATATACTTTGCATAACACAAAGTTGAAGAAAAATAAGATGCTTGTCCTAGAGGAATTTGCAGTCTAGTGAAGAAGAAAGACGAGAACATAAATAACAGTAACGCAAAACCTGAAATGATTAATTGGCTCACAAGAGTCATAAACAAAGAGTTCTGACTGTACTGAGAAGGCAATTAATTTAAATCAGGTAATTGAAGAATACTTCAGACCAGCATTGAGTCATAGTCTACCAGAAAGAGAATATTAACAACTCTCTGGACATTTCTTCTGCTCTATGGGTAATTTGGAGCTGGGGTACAGAGGATTATTCTGGTTCTTCGACCCCTGCATAACAGCATTTGTGTGCTTTGGAGAGTCCAGAGCTTAAAGGTAGTTTTATGCTCAAGGATTCTTCTCATACATCTTCACTCACTGTTAGAGGTCCCTCTCGCTCCCACCTCACCCCATCCATCAGTCATTATCTGCTATTCTAAAGCTTATGCATTTCAGAATCTAGGTCAGTCCTTCTCTTGCCATCTTGTCTTTTGGTGGTGGTGGTAGTATGTGTTTGTTTCTCTCTGTATTTTTTGTGTGTGTGTTTCCATTAGCTCTTTTTTTCCCCACCTGAAAAATTGATTTCAAATTTTGAAGAAGTTGGTGCTTGGCATTTTCTGCTAACAACACTTTGGTCAGAAGCCTTTGGAAAATGAAATGTTCACATGACAGAAAAGGAACATGAGATTTCCTTTAAAAATATGAAAACCTTAAATGTATATTACAAAGTGAAAGAAGCCAATCTGAAAAGTCTACATACTGTATGATCCCAGCTCTGTGACATTCTGGAAAGACAAAACTATGGAGACAATAAAAAAAAAAAAAAAGAAAAAAAAATCAGTGCTTGCAGAGGTTAGGGTGGGAGGATGCAATGAATACACAGAGTATAGACAATGTTTAGGGCTGTGAGACTATTCTATATAACACTACAAAGATAGAAACGTCATTATACATTTGTCCAAACCCATAAAATATGCACCAAGCTTGAACCCTAATGTAAACTATGGACTTTGGGTGATCATGATGTATTAATGCAGGCTTACTAATTGTAGCAAATGTAATAATACTCTGGTGGGGGATGCTGATGGTTCGGGAGGCTGTAGCGGAAAGGGGTACAAGGGAACTCTGTACTTTCTACTTAATTTTGCTATGAAACTAAAACTTCTCTAAAAAATAAAGTCTGTTCAAGAAGCTAAAAAATTAGTATGCACTGTTCTCTCTGCCCCACTTCTCACAAATTAGTGATTGCTCTCACACTCACCTAGTCACAGTACTATCTTCTGATTGTGTATGAGTCTCTGTTGTCTGTCAACCTGGGTAAGTGAAATTGTCTTTCACTTGGCAGAACATAAGTGGTAAGGAAAATCTTTGACTATCTTGGTCCACATGAAAAAAAAAAAAGATTCACTTGATTTTGCTTCCTACAATAAGTATTGTGCCTTGATGTATACTTCAAAGAGACATGGCACAGATAGAGAAAGGGCAAAAAGAAAGAAAAAAAAATCAATATGGGAAAATATCATTTCTGATTGCTGTGAACCATTTCAATGTTCCCTATTTGTTTTATCAATCAAAGAAAGACTCTGATGGTATACAGGCTTATTCAGCACCATAGAAAATGTGTGTTTATGATGTCCAGAGAAGACAGTGTGTCCTGGCCAGTCACCATGGTAACCTCTAAAAGCAAAGATTATGTCTGATTAGGTTGCCCTTCTCAGGAGGAACTGACCAGAAAAAATCTTTTGAAAAGTTTAAAATGAAAGGTAGGAAGATACTGGTACTAATTTTGCACAGCTGTTCTCCTCCCTGACTCCCTTAATAAGAGTGACTCACGCTATTTTCTAGAACCTTTTTTCAATCCCATAGAGAGCTTCCAAAGACATCCTCCCCTTGTTGAAAATGTACCTCAGCTCAGTCCTTTGTGGTTATTGTCACCACAGCCCATAATCAGAATTCCTGATACCTTTGTGATTGCCTGTAAAGAGATTAATGAATGTTCCGAAAGAAACAATTAAGGAAATAAAAGAAGTGAAACATAATCTGCTCTGAAAAAGTTGTGAAAGGAAGCAAAAGCTCAATCATGCCTCTCCTTCAGTGATTTGGAAGGCGAGCAAACGCCAGCAAGGTGGAAATATTGAAGAAGCCGGAAGACTACTTAATGTCATAGTTAATTTGTGGAAGTTATTAGTGCTCTTTGTATTAAAAATAATCCTTTTTGAGCAAGATTTGTGTTTTTCTCAAGCTTCTACAGCTAATACTAGTGCCTTTAAAGCAGAGGGTATATCAGCTATTCTGCTTTCGATTTCATTTTTTACACAATGTAATAAGTGAAATTATTGGGGAGTTACTAACATAAAGAGAAGTATCAAGTAGAGGAAATGATAGGTGTACTCCTACTTAACTGAGATGGTATATTCTTACTGGACTGATAGAATATTCTAGACTGGCAATATAATTTATGTAAAGTCTGCAAAATATTTGCAAACTTTTTGGTGTTTAATAGACCTAAAAAATGGGTGGCATTAAATGTCACTGTAATCATTTACATGGTAAATGTGATTATTTATTCAATTTATTGCATTAAAAAATCTGCATTTGAGCAAAAGATAAAAGCTAAGAGTCATTCTTTTCTCTCTTTTTATTGAAAGTAAATAGCTTTTTAAATTATACATGATTATTATAATAAATCTGTGGGAAATGTGGTAATATATATACAATTAAAACTGCACAACCCCTTTGCCTACAGGTTGATTTCCACGTGTACATGAAAATGTGTTAGATGATTCTCATTGAAGCAAAAGATACAAAGCTATATAAATGCCCTCTGTGGGCACCAGGTTTAAAAATTATGATGTATCCATATGATGTAACACAATGTTGTTTTCAAAAAGAGTGAGAACCTGCTATATAGGTCAATAAGGAATATTATCCAAATATCTTAAATGATGATGCAGCAAATACATAATGTCTATGATGTGTCAGATATATTCTAAATGCTTTTTGTGTATCAAATAATTTGATCCTCACGACAACTCCATTAAGTAAATACCCTTATAAGTCCCATATTATAGAAGAGTAAAGAGAAGCACAGAAAAGTTAGGTAACCTGCCCAAGGTAACACAGCTAGCAAAGGGTAATGACAGGTTTTGATCCCACAGTCTGACTTCAGAGTCTGCTGAGTAATACTGTAAAGCAACTGTCAGAACAGTGCGTGTAATATATTGCTAGTGTATGATTAAAAGAATATACATATACATACACACATACATATAAATACATACATATATATACAGTTGATCCTCATTATTCATGGGTTCTTCTACTTGCTAAGATATATTTGTATTAATAACTCCAAAATCAATACTTGCAGAACTTTCTAGGTTAAAGAAGGCAATGCTCTGCCCTCTTATTTCAGCTTCCATACTATAAACAAGTGTCCTTTTCATGGTCTATTTAGTGCCAAATGTTTCTCATTTTTGTGCTTTTTTGCTGGTGATTTTACTGTTTAAAATTTCCCCCAAGCATAGTGTTGAAGTGCTGTCTACTGTTCCTAAGCACAAGAAGACTGTAATGTGCCTTATGGTGAAAATATATGTGATAAACTTTGTTTGGGTATGAGCTATAGTGGCTGTGAGTTTAATGTTAATGAATCATAAATAAGATGCCTTCATACACAAAAACACACAAAACAAAGTTACGTATAGATCAGATGATGACACTGTTGTGACCAAAGGCTTTCAGAAACCTAACTCTGTATTTCCCATAGGAGCAATGGTACAGTAGTGACTAATTCAGTGTTCACAAAGACTATAGAACACACCTACTGAAAACAAACATTTTATATTTTTATATATATATATATATGTATGTATATATTGCCTAGCAAAATCTTACAAAAATGATGAACTATAAACTGTGGGTGTCTTTGAGAGGGAAATTAAGGTACTGGAGTTCAGAAATGGAAGATTTACCTTTCACCTTAAGAAATTTTATCATGTATATTCTTCATGAAAATATTTTTATGTAAACCGTACAGAGAAAGAAAAAGTTTTCCAAACTTCTGCCTAATCCCAACTTCCTGCAAATAGTTTCATAAATAATTTTTAGGCTTTTAAAATACAAATAGAAATATATTATTATATTCTATAGCATCTTTCTTTTTGAAACTTTATATGCTGAACTTCTAAATCAAAACATAAATGACTACCTATTTCTCCCTTTCTATGTCCCACCAAAAAGAAATAAAGCCCCACAGTCTCACACTAAGAAACAGAATCATGGATTTCTTTTTCCAGACTGTCCACCTACGACTGGCATTTCTGCAAGAGTCCTGTAACAACATTTTGAAGATAAAATCATGCCATGACTCTGAAATTGGAAGTACAGAACATATAAGAAAATAAATCAAGAAATGAGGGGAATCTCCCGAAAGGTTTTGCTAATTTTTATATTTTCACTTCTTAGCTCCAACCAGAGAATTTTTATTACAATAGAAGAGAAAATAATTTACTCCAAGTCAGTCACATATTAAGCATTTTCTAGATTTTACTTGGTCTTCATACTACTAAAAGGTGATATAATTATTCCTATTTACTGATAGAGAAAATAGGCTCTGAATGATTAGGCAGCTTTCGCAAATCAAATCATTCATGTCTCTTGAAAGCAAGATAAGGAGCCCTTTCCTATGCTCATCTTCAGGTGAATGTCCATAAATATTTTTGTACCAATTCTAATATTTGACTGTCATATCTGCAGGTTACTGGACCACTTTTTATTGTGATACTTAATTTATACAACATTAAATGGCCTCCAGTGTCCTCAAAGACTGCCTAGCAGATGTAATGTGGATATCCCAGAACACAATAATTAGACTTTTAGAGTCACAAACACACACCGCTCATTATATTAGAAACTGAAACTCTAACCATTTCAGTACTGCTCTTCACGAGGGTTAAGATATTGATTTTGTTGTTTAAAAAAACAAAAACAAAACAAAGCAAAACAAAACAAAAATGACCTCCTTAAGATACTGACACCTAGGTTTAAAGGAAAAAAGTGCTGCAAACTTAGAGCTACTTAAGATAATGGCTTCTAGAACTGAGTTAAGTTGAATACAAATGAAGTCAAGGAACAGTTCTCAGGATCGTGCTGTATTTAAATTAGACCTACTGGCATATTTAATGTTTGAATTGTAATACGCACTGATATCCTCTAGAGGGAGAATGAAACAAGAATAGGCAAATTATTTATTTTAAAAAGTGGGTGAATTTGAATAATCCTGAAAATTGTCCCGTAACAGAAAGAAGTCATTTAACCAAATCTGTCATAAACAAACCACAGACTGGTTAATTTTATTGTGGTATATTTTCTAAGTAGCTGAATTAGCTTCTATAATAAAGACCCTATTTTTAGTTTTCTATTAATTTTGAATTAGAAAAAAAAGCTACATGCACACACCCACAAAATTTCACCCACTTTACTACTTATAAATTGCAAAAACGTCTATATTATAGCGTAGATAATGACCTGCTTAAAACACTTTCTAAAAACTGTGCATTTCATTCTTAGTATTCATAAAATAAACACAATGCCCATCTACCCAAATATAATGTGACACAGCCTAAGAAAAGGAGGCATTCTGCAAAGCAAATTACCAAAGGCTACATAAAATACTTCATAAGGTTAAATATCAGAATAATTATTCCTCTTCCCGTCACAATTTTCTTAGGATGGTCAATGTTCTGCTAAAATCATCCAATCTTTTAACGTTTGGAGACCCAGAGAAAAAGCACCAAAATAAGTGTTTATGTGCATTGTACAAGAACTGAAATCCAGGTAGCTTCACTGTTATTACAGAATCTGAAGAAATAAACATCCCACAGAGATGAGATCACTATCTCCAGAAATAAAGGTTTCCAAAAGAAAAACAATTGTGAAAGGAAATTATCCTCTTTACTAACAATATGGTGATCAGCCATTCCCGCTTTCTCCTGATGATGAGGTGATGTCACCGGTCAGAAGCACTGGCCTATTTTCTGTACTGCCTATGGTGGGTTGGATTGGATGAAAATAAACATCTTACATAACAGGCCGGCTGTGCTCTCTGTCTTTTTTTTTTTTTTTTTCCAAAGAGATTTTCCCAGCATGAATTCAGTGTGTACAATTAACATTGGCCAAATTTCAGCTGAAAAATCTGTTAGGTTTATAAGCAGATTCACAAATACAGCTTATGTATGCTGCCTCCCATTCCTCTACTAGCCTAGCTCCTTTTTACGCACACACACACACACACACACACACACACACACAGGCACACACACAACACCACCACCATCACCACTGACATCACCTCACCCCCACCACCTCCACCCCTCCTGTAATCAAAACAGCTTTCTACCAACAGAAAAGGGACAACAGGCAAGTTAAAATTGAAATTGGTCTTTGAACAGCAGAAACAAAATAGAAGATTGCAGATTAGAGCCATTGTCTTGTCCCAGTAATATAAACCAGACCCCCCTCAGTGCTTATTTTCTCAGAATTGAAGAAGATAAATCAAAGATTATGAGCCTAACCAAAAAGAGGCATCCTTATGCTAGTGGCTTTTACAGTCATAAAAAGAGCAAAGCCAGAAGTGAGTATTTTCAATTGTCATTTGTAATAATTAGTAAAAATACTGCAGTTTTCTGTCATAAATCCTGTTGTACGTGGAGGGATTTATTAATCTTTAAGCTTTGGTATTTATTGTAGACGCTACTTATACAGAGGAAACATAAAACTAAAGGACTCAGCTTGATTTTCCTAATTCCTGAAGGTAGAATAAAATCAGAGATGCCAAAGATCTGAAAGAAACATGTGCTTGAACAGCCTGGATAGAAGCTCATTTAAAATCAGCAATATAATTCACAGTGGGGTTTGGATGGAATACTTTAACTGACCTAGTGGTCTTAGTTTCAGAGAAAATCCGTCATACAGTCTAAACTTAGTAAATATCTGAATATCTATCATATGCCTAACAAATGGCAAATATTGATTAACTTAAATATTATAGAGTTGAACTTAGATGATGAGATAATTCTTTGCATTGTTAAGCAATAAAAAACATTACTAATTTGTAGGCCAAGACAGAAAAATGATTCAGAGTGAATGCAAAGGAGATGATGAATTAAGATGATCTGATCCTTCCTGTCATAAAAAATAATCACCATTTTTCTAACCCAAATAAGAGCCACACTGAAAAGGGCTGAAATGCAGCTCTCTTTTACTTGGTGCATATACTTAATGTCAAGTCAAGAAAGCCAGTCCTGTACCTGTATATGCCTTACTGTGTATCCATTTACAGTTGCTGATCTATGTTTACAGGCTACTCTATCTCTTAGAATGTGCTTCAGTATGTTATATATGTACTTAATATATACCAGTAATACCCATTTGTTTGAAGATAGAATATGCATGTGAAGAATTAGCTGTAATATTTTGGAAATATAATTAAATTTGCATTCTAAATACTTGCATTTAAATCTCAGCTTTGATTGTTACTGACAGTAAAACCTTAGACAATTAATTGTGCTTCTCTAATCTTCAGCTCCCTCATCTGTAATGTGAAGACAATTATGTTTTTAAGAGATGTTGGGAGGAAAGAAAGAAAACACGTACAATGGATCCAACACAGTGCACAGCAAATAGTTGAATATCCATGTATGTGTGTATATGTATGTGTATATATACATAACTTTGAATGATCAAAGCAATATATATTCATTGAGTAATTTTGCAAGGAAGCAATATTGAATTATTTAACATTTAACAATAAAGGAAAAATATAGCTTTTTAATTTCTTAGAACAATTACTTATTTACTTGACTTAAAGGATGATAATGACCCATAATTTTTGTATATGTATAGTTATTTGCATTGAATGGGTAGTATTCAAATTAATTTTCAATTGTTGAATCAAACAAATATGTTTGAATGCTTATTTTATGTTTAATAACAGAAGAGGGGAAAGAATTATTTCAGCAGTTTATTGTCTTCCAGGAGATTTCAAAGTTTTGGGAGAGATGATACATTAAAGAAACACTTATAAGACACTTAGTAATTATCTTATTATATCAGATGTAAGTGTTCTAGGAGGCAAAAAGAAATGTTGGTAAATTAAGAACAGTTACTGCTTTTATGTGCATTTATAAAATGGCAAAAATCTGTTTATTTTATGAAAGAAAATTCTTTATGAATATCTAATATGAAATTATGATCTCTTGAAATATCTTCTATACATTTAGGAGAATAATGTTTCTTGAAGTAAGTATTTTTTGACAGTGCTAAAAAACTCAAATCTCAGTAGGTTTACAGTTGAAAATAATTTAAAAGAAACAGCAAAAAAGATGAACATCTTCAGAGAAATATACTTGTAACAAGTTAATATCTTTAAAAACTACATATACAAAATAGTAATGTATAGAACATATTTTCAAGTTATAGTTCTGTGAGAAAATTAAAAATGTGGAATCACGGTCCTTTTTTTACAAGCTTTGAATTACCATTTTTAAAACTGGTGGTGAAAGCTGATTGATTTTACTAGAGTTTTAGTTTGCTATTTTTGAGAAAATTCTGACTGAAGGAAATATAGGTTTTATATACTCTGGACAAGAAGGAAGAAACCCAGCTTTTTCTTTGTGTAGAATCTCAAGTCCAGATGCTGTTTTTTTTCTTCATGAAAATTCATAGTGTATCTATTATAGCTTCCTAATTAAAGTCACACATGTATGAATAATGTTTTGAAAATCAGTCACTATCCACTTTACATATGTTAACATATATTATGTTTTAGAGTCATTTTTTGCCAAAGAGCTCAGGGTGCTACATAACTTACATGAAGTAGCAGTACTACTAATGTTTTGCTCATTGATTAGCTTCAGGAATTTTATAATGATGAAAAGTGAAAAAGCTAGAGTTTAATATTTTCTAAAACCCAATTAAATTCTGTGACTATAAAAGTGTTGTTTCATTTTCTTATGCTTCCAAAAAGCTGTACCTTTTAATTAATTCAACAAATATAATTTTTAAATATCTAGTTAATGCCAGTCACTCTTGAAAACATCTGGACTATATCTGTGAAGAAAGCTGACAAAAACGGCCGAGCGCAGTGGCTCACTCCTATAATACAGGCACTTTGGGAGGCCGAGGCAGACAGATCACCTGAGGTCAAGAGTTCAAGACCCGTCTGGCCAACATGGCGAAACCCCGTCTCTACTAAAAATACAAAAATTAACTGGGGGTGGTGGTGAGTGCCTGTAATCCCAGTTACTCAGGAGGCTGAGGCTGAGGCAGGAGAATCGCTTGAACTCGGGAGGTGGAGGTTGCAGTGAGCCGAGACTGGCCACTGCACTCCAGCCTGGGTGACAGAGCTAGACTCTGTCTCAAAAAAAAAAAAAAAAGAAAAAAGAAAAAAGAAAAGAAAGAAAGCTGACAAAAATATTTCTACTCTAGCTTCCATCCTGGATCAATGGTAAGTTAGAAATACAACAAATAAGTTAATTGTATAACATATTCGAAATTGTATAACATATTCGAAATTGTATAACATATGTAACAAAACTGCACATTCTACACATGTATCCCAGAACTTAAAGTATAATAAAAAAAAAAAGAAAAGAAAAGAAAAGAAAGAATTGTGGTGAAGAGCCGTAGAATAGGGTGAATGGTTGGAGAAGGAAGTGTTATTTTAAATGAAATCTTCAGGGTTCGCCTGATTGAGAAATTAACATTTGAACAAAGATGTAAAGGAAGTGAGAGAGGTGAGATTTGAATGTTTTACTGCTATTAAACAGCGCGGTATCAATTATCAGGAGTCTGGCTCAGTCACTAACTGAAATTGGTGATTCTGGCCAAGTATTTTACT
This sequence comes from Homo sapiens, assembly GCF_000001405.40. Lineage (NCBI taxonomy): Eukaryota > Metazoa > Chordata > Mammalia > Primates > Hominidae > Homo > Homo sapiens. The sequence continues at coordinate 91,582,780 of NC_000012.12, forward strand.
TCTTTACCTGTAAAACAAACACAATAAAAATATCTACTCAAGATTGAGGAGAGGGAATATAAGACCATTTATTGCACAAATACATTGCTCATTGCCAATGGGGGCTAGGCACGCAAAATGAACAGTACACAATCTCGTCCCTTCAGGAACTCATGTTCATTTCAATAATGATTACACGCCAGCAATGAACAATGACAGTGTATTGCAAGGCTTTTTGGAGACTGTCATGTATTTTGCAATTGAATGGATATTGGAATGCAAAATTGCCTTTCTGATTTGTCCTTCTCTTAGAGCTGTGTATCACTGAATCTGACTGACTGGATCTTCTTAAAGCTTCTCATTGGCTGTCTCTCTCTTTCTGTAGCTTCTCCTACCTCTCAGTCACTCATTCTCTATTTAATTCACTGACTCTTCTTATTCTTTCAGATCCTTTATAAATAATATACCTTAAGAATTCTTTCTCAGTCCTCTTTGTATTTATTTGTGCATGCTCTCTGTGGATAATTGAAATGTTATTGATTTTAAATATCAGCTCTAAAGACACAGCTACCTCTCCATCTTACCCAAATTCTTAATTGAGATGTAAGACAAGTCTGCAGATAGAGAATAAAATAACTTTTATATTGCTACAGTTAAGAAGGAGGACTCAGCTTTATATGGGGAGCAAATGAGTCAGCTAAATGGCCCTCGCAATTCCCTGCCCACTTACCACAGTTGGGGACCATGTCAAGTCTCTCCATTTTGAGTATCCTCCTGGGACCCCAGCAGGTAGTGTCAATTTGATCTGTAGCCTCTGTACCAACAGCAAAAATTTTGCTCTGTATTCCTTTGTCCATCCCAAATTATGTTCAGCCATGTTGTGCAACCTAGCATGTTGGGGATTCTCCAGTAAAATTAAAGAACCACGTTAGGATACCCATATGATAAAAAAAAAATAAAGATTATCTAGTAAAAAATTTAACCCCAATAGATAATCAAAATGTGAATATAAGCTCCCTGACATTATAAAATTACCAGAGAGAGGCTGAAGATTCAATAAAATTTCAATTTCAATAGAATTAAAATCAAAATCAAATTCCACATGAATTAAAAGTTCACAGAAAAGAGTCAAAAATTCATCTCTGTATGACCTACTATTCATGGTTGTGGTTGGAGATGTTCTCGATGCCTGGGTAGATTTCAGGCTCCTTTAGAAGTTCAAGCCTAGGGTGGCATGGATATGGTTCTTTCATATATCAGAATTTTATGCCTCATTTTTTAATGTAGAGATTATTTATTATTTATGTTTCCACTGAGGAGTGATTTACAAATAGTGTCATGTGCAGATGTTAAGTGTACAATTCAAGCAGTTTTGACAAATATATACACCCACACTTGCATTAAGTAGTAGAATGTTTCTGTCACTCCAGAAAATTCCCTTGAGCCACTTGCCAAGAAATTCCTGTCCATCAAGAAGGGGCCATTGTTCTGATTTCTCTTACCAAAGATCAATTTTGCCTGATCCAGAAATATGTATACACAGAATCATAAAGTGTGTACTCTGAGGTGTCTTCTTTCACTCAGCATATTTTTTGAAATTCATTTATGTTGTTATATGTATTGATAGTTCATTCCTTTTTATTACAGAGTGATATTCTACTGCATAAATATACCACAGTGTAATGGTTTTTTTAAATTAATTCTCCTGTTGATGGATGTCTGAGCTGATTCCAGCTTCTTGGAGTTTATGATATGTACATAATGTACTTTTGATCTAAATACTTTCTGTTGGTATAGAGCCTATATATATATATATATATATATATATATATATATATATACACACACCCACACTTGCATACATATATATATGGCAGTGTTGTACAAGGATTCTAGTGAGTAAATTTTCATTTTTCTTGGATGAATACTTAGGAGTAGAATTCCTGAGTAATATGGTAGAAACATATTTAATTTTACAATAAACTATCAAATAGATGTATAATTTTATACTCCTATGGTAATACTGAGAGTTTTGGTTATTAATTGTCTTTTTAATTTTATCCACTTGTAGGTGTGTAGCAGTATCTTATTGTGAGTTTAATATTTTTACCTCACAGTAATGGCGTCCAAACTTCCAAGATTATTACAGCACTGGCCTCAAGTCAGTTAGTTTTTTTCAGACAGTACAGTCCCCAGCTCCTAGAATAGCTTTTCTCTTATGTAAAATTAGAAATTCAGTACTCAATGATATATTAAAGAAATAGCAAATCTCTTTCACATTATTTGAGTGAAGGAAAGCGTGGAAGGGGACATTCTGCTTGTTTCTAGTGTCATTAGGATGTCAGTCTAATCGATCCATTATCTATAACCAATGGACTTAATCTCAACTGATAGAAACCTACCAGCAAGATGATAAATTAAATCCTAAGCATTTACTCTTCAGGGGGAAGCAAGATCTACTATGTTTGATACTTCTGAATTTTCTCCTTAGTTCCACCATCTTCCCCAGGTGGCTTTCAAGGTCACCTTGTTCAGCTGACTAAGCTGATGGAGAGGACTAAAGCAGAGAGGAAGGTACCAGGAAGGTTTATATGAGGCAGGGCTGAAAATGGTACACCACCATTACCACTCAAATTCCATCAGCGAAAACTCAATCATATGGACCCAGCTAACTGCAAGAGAGACTGGAAATGGGATCTAGATGCAACCTGTAAGAAGAGAAAACAGGTCAAAACTAGCTAGTAGTCTCTGCACACCTCATTCTAGCCTGCAGTGCCAAGCCTTATGGTGACTGTAATAGTGCTCTACACCAGCCCACACATTGAAATTGCCTGTTAATTGCTAAAACCATCATCGGTTTGCCAAAATCTGCTTGGCTGAAGTCCTTTGACACAATCTAAAAAGTGTTCAGACCTTTACTGAACCTCCTTTATGCACCTTCACCACCTGAGCACTTTTGGCAAGCCCAAGTATCTTTGCTGTGGTCTGAAAGCCTTTCTTGAGGTCTGTGTGTACTCAGGTTGCTGCCTCTATAGAAAGACCCCACTTGGGTGTGACAAACCTATTATAGTCTGAGGTCACTCACCTAAGTAAAAAACCTTTGACCCAAAGTTTTAAGCCTTCATTCAGGCTGCAGCAGTTTAAAGTGGATCCATATAACATTTCAAAAGCCACCAACATCAAAACATCCTGCCCGCATATAAAATTTAAAGCCCTAAGCCATATACTCTGGCAACACCAGATGCTTCATCACTCGCTATGTATATTTTGCCCCCCCAAATTATTCATTTCGTTTTTCAATGTTCCCAGCCAACATATATATATTTTTAAAAATGCTGGATCTTGATATCGCTTTTTCCAAAAGCCACAATTCTCAAATCCTCACCCTCAGCAGCAGAGGCTGTCTCAGCACAAGGATTAGTAGAGGGGAAAGTGACTGAAAGCACATACTGACTTCCAAGGATGGAAAAGGGCCAAGCATGCCGAGTTTCTTCTCACATTTAACAACCATGCCTCCATTCCCTGGTGCTGAGTACATGGAGAGATAGGAGACCTTACGAGTTCTTGTAGTTGAGCTTCCGTAAAATGGGAGTTAACACCAATGAAGAAGTGGTTCCCTGGCCCTTACAAACAAGAGCAGTGTCTATTTATCTGGCCCTTATCTCTTTCCTAAACTGGTCTAGAACCCTTTTTAGAAATCACTCAGTGACTTCCCATTGCTTTTAAAGGTCAAAATGCTTTAACTAGGCCGCAGGCCCTGCATAAACTTTCCCCAATCTGGCTCAACTTCATTCCTTCCTCATCTTCCCTGTCGCTACCACACACCAGCCAAATTGACTTTCTTTCATATCCTTGAGCTAAGCAAGCTTATTTCTGCTTATTTCAGGACTTTTGAATGTGCCTAGAACAATCCCTGTGTCCCACTTCCCTTCACCCATTGTCCAAACTTTTTATCTAATTAATGTCCACATATCTTTCAAGTCTCAGCTTGAATGTCACTTATTCAGATGAGTCTTTATTGACTCCTTAGAGAGTATCAGGCTTCCCTTCATATTTAAATATCATCGTTAATTTCCTGAAAGAACTTAACACAGTTGAAACTACTTAATTCTTTAATGATTTGTGTTTACTGTGTCTTTCTCCCATAAAATCTAAGCTTCACAGTGGAAAACATGTCTGTCTTAGTCATTCCTGTTTAAGACAATACTTGGCATTTAGTGGATGTTCAATAATTATTTGTTGAATTAATATATCTAAACTTAACGGGACTCTCATGATACGACCCTCAACATAGATCATCAGTTAAAACTTACAAAAAAGACTAAGTTTTCCCAAACACACTACGCTGTCCCACAGTGATAACGTTACTTACAATTAATCTAGTACTGGAATATTCTTGTTGTCTTACCTATGTCTGAAAGTGCCTTAACAAGCCTTCTATGCCAGCCTGTAGGATTATTATTTTCTCCATAAATCCATTCTGACATCTTTCATAGGTTGTCATCTCTTTCTTGCTTCTTTAGGCTAAAACAAAACAATGTACTTTGATACATTTTTCATTACAGTACAATTATGCGTGTCCCCTTTTTTAAGCCCCGATAAGACTATAGACTTCCTTAGAGGGGAGACTTATTCTCTCTAGCTACATCAGTGCCTGCTACAGTGCCTCATAAAGATGTTGTTCAATAAACAGTACTGAATTTAATACCACAGGATATAAGTCTAAATCTCACTGCCATAGATCTAAAAAAGAACGGATGAAGATCATGATATAAAAGCCACAGTCTCAAAAATTTATTTATATCAGTCCATTGATATAAGCTTGCTATGAGCTGAGCCTCTCTCCCTTGTAAGGCTGTCTTTTCTTTTTTTTTTTCTTTATTTTTTTCATGTTCTTTTAGAGCATAGATAACAATGGTGCACTTAAGCAATCTCCCTGAAGTAAGGAAAATCTGTACTGAAATGTTAGTTCTGCCCCTTACAAGCTTTAACCATGAATTGTCTCCTAGACAGTGTCAAACCGATACTTTAAATTCCATATCTCTTGCATTTGTAAAGCACTCTAAAGTGGATACACTGCTTTTATTGACATTTAATGGATTCTCCCCTAGATGCTATGCAAATGCTTTAAAAAGATCAAATTGTCTTTACCTAAAAACCAGCTGGCTATACTTACTAATCTATTTTTTTCAATTATTTTATTGTCCCTCAGGTACTAAAGAAAGAAAACTAGTGTCTTACATCTAGTAAGTACTCAAGCTCGATAAACTGTTTTTAAGACCTCCATGTCGTTATTTGATCAGTTGTGTGATATCACAGAAAAAGCATAGAATTTTCATTCAGAAGATAAACTTTTATGTATCTTAGCTCTACCACTTTCTAAAAACCACGTAGTTTTGAGCAAATCACTCTAGTTTTTGCTTTTGTAAAATGGAATTAAAAATAACACCCACCCTATTTCTTTCACTGAAAACTTTTTCCTAAAGTTTAATTGCATGTATCTACGAATACTGTAAAACCCAATTCAAATAATCATGATAGAAGTCGTAAGTATTGCTGTTGTTCTCAGTATATAACTTGCTTATCATTTTTGATAATAAATTTATGTCAGATTGTACATTCTACCACCAACAGTGCTATACAGAAAGCAAATTCTCAATATTATAAATACTGTTTGAATTTAAACATAAATGTATTTCTGATGGAAAAATATTAAATACATATATTTGTATTTATAAATGTAATAGTAGGTATTATGTGTATATTTATCCCTTTTTCTCAACTAAAATTAAGAATGTAAATATTTCAAGTATAAATTTTTGAGAAGCAAATGTCTATATTTAGAGTAGTGGATTTTAAACAAAACATGAGTTTTTGTCTTTTAGTGATTAGAAAAAGTAAACATAACTTATCCAGATAATTCTATCAATTCTCTCCACTCTGTCCTTATTCCAAAATTTCTAAACTAACTAGATGTGAGGAAAAATTGCATCCAAAATAGTTTTAGGTGGAGATAACCAAATATTCAATTCCAGGTGTTTTTATGTTCATTGACAGTCATTCTATTCACTAATCTGAAATGGTAATGATTATTACAGATTTTTTTCTTTCCTGAATTTTGAAATATTAGATTTAAAGTTGATGGTTTAAAAATCCTCATAGGTCCTTTTCCAGCAGTTCATTCTCAGTTGTAGGGAATTTGCAGAATCTGCACTAGTAAAAGTGCTGAAATTGACTCTCTCAGGGTCACAGGAGAAGGCTGCATGTGTGCATTCAGGTGCTCAAGGAAGTATGCATTCTACTCCAGCAAGATGACTTGGCTTAATGCAACTTGCCTCGTTAATAACAGAGCCCACAAACACACAAGTCAGGGCTGAAGGCTTGCAATTGGGAGCAATATTCAGATTAAGTAAACACCGTCTCCTGGAAAAGATAGGAGTTGAAATCAACTCTGAGAGAACTCTCAGAGGATTCCAAAAAAATTCACCTCACTTCCTCTTTTGGCTCAGAGGGTTCAGAAAAGCAAAGGAAGTAAGATATGACTCTATGTTCCAGAGCAGAGAAAAAAATATGCACTTGGCACCTTTTACCTTCAAAGTGCTGCACATGGCTTAGAATCAGGAATTGGGCCATTGTTTTATCTTTTTTCTACCTTAGCACAAAACAAAAGATTTGAGAATAACAGTAAATCAAGATCCTAAGGGTAGTTCAGTAGGCTGGAGAAGATTTTATGAGATGAGAGAAGAGGTAAGTAAAATTATTCCCAGAAGTAGAGCGAAGAAATGAAATCATCTCTCCTTGTCTCTTGTGGGAAATGTGCCTTTTAATTCCTGAGAATAAGTGCACACAAAAGCTAAAATAGAGTTTGGTTTCTCTGAAATAGCAATCTTCAAAATATGTTCAGACTGCTTGACATACTAGTAAATGAATAACTGTGAAGAAAATTAACTAGAACATGTAGATATGTCTAGTAGATTCTTAACAATCTGCTTAGCTCCAGGTAAACATTTTGTTCAGAGTGGCATTGAGAGGGTGAGTTAGTCAAGCAATGGTTTGCAAATGCTTCCCATGTGGAAAAGAAACAACAGACATTTGCCCCTGGTATAATATGGCTCCACACACACGCACACACACACACACACGCATGCATATATGCATAAAGATACACACAAACATATACATGCAGTTGTGTTTGAATATAGCACATATTTAGGTGTATACCATGTACATTATTTGTAAGCACAGATTACATAAATGATAAAAACGCTTCTGTAGCTGGTGATTACTTCTCAGACTGAGTGAAAAAATATTTCATGTGACACCTGAGTTATATCAATACATTAAAATTTGAAAAATATACAAGTCCTACAATAGAGGAATGAGGTTCAAGAAGAGTTAATTAAATAAGCCATACATATCATATGTGTGTCTATGTGCACATATAACCTACATGTACATATAATATTTGTATGTATGTATGTGTTTATGTACGTTGGTTTTATATATATACTTACTTACATGCATATACATACAGATATATTATCAGTAAAGACAACTTTAACCATTAAGATAAACAATGTTTCTGAGGATAAACATCCTCAGATTTTCAAATTTGAGGCATTAAAAACATATTTTCCACTAAAACAAAGAATTAGCCCCAATTCTCCCCCAAAACACAGACATTTATATACAACTGAATTTTGTTGTTGTTATTGTTTGCCTAGTCTCTATTTCCCATATTCCCACTCAATTTATGTGATTTGAATTGAGCTGGCCCTAATCCCAACCCCTTAGGAAGATAAAGTGATACAGAGCTGAACCATAATCTTTGTCATTGACAACAGTGATTGGTTCAGAAATGGTCCATGACCCTATATGGGAAAATTAGTTTCAAGCCCAAGGCTGGAGTCAAACTGTTACTATCAGAGAAACTGCCTGGAAATGGCATCAGCACAGAGGAAAGTAGAGCGGAGACCTAGAGAGAGCAAGGGAGTCAGTGTGTAGGTTTTAGAGTGGGTACCACAAATAAGGGAGAAGCTGCCATCTGAAATGGATACTTAGCAAACCAATATAATGTGAATAATCTAGGCCATGTCAATGCTATAGACTGAGAGGAGGCTTAGAATTGTGTTATTGACTGGGCTGGGATCGATATATATCTTAACGACTCAGTGCTATTGCATGTCAGACATACTATAATGATAAGGTGACTGATTTTTTTTCAAGGGATTGGGGAATAATTGAATAATATTGTCCATACTCTTTTATCCTTAAACCTTCCTCCAAAAGAAGGGCCCCATTTAATGTCATATAATGAAGCTGTCAAGGAAATGGAAAGACTTGGAAGGGATAATAAAGTTTCACCATCTGTTTTCCTCTCTAAGCTGTAGCAGAGCCTGAGGGAGCTGAGCCTCCTATGAATGAGCAGGGAAGGATTATAAAAGCCTCTTCTTGCCCTAGGTCCTTTCCAGTTGTGGGCAATATTAAAGAGGTAGCACCATCCTTATTGGGGTTTGGAGTGTTGTCCTTGGGAAGGGCACTTGGTATTTAAGTCACAACAAGGCATGGAACTAGAGGCTTAGGACTAATTCTGGACTCTGGGTTTTAAGGGGTGGATGAGTAAAAGGATAGGGGCTTTCCTCTCTGTTGTTTGGCTTCATTTAGCAGCCTAGGAAATCATATCAAGAATTTGTGGCTGTATTATTTTATATGTACAATTATGCATTGCTAAGTCATGGGGATAAATTCTGAGAAATGCATCATTAGATGATTTCATCATTGTGCAAACATCGAAGAATGAACTTAAACCAATATGGTCTAGCCTACTACACACCTAGGCTACAGCCATGTACAGCATGTTACTGTACATGAATACTGTAGGCAATTGTTAACACAATGGTATCTGTGTATCTAAACATATCTAGACACAGAAAAGCTATAGTAAAATACAGCATAAAAGAATTTAGAAAGGTACAACTGCATAGGGTACTTAGCAGGAGTGCAGCTTGCAAGACTGAAGGTTGCTCTGGGTGAGTCAATGAGTGAGTGGTGAGTAAATGTGAAAACCTAGGACATTACTATTCAGTACTTCAGATGTTATAAACTGTGTATCTAGGCTACACTAAATTTATATTGAATATATTTATATTTCTTCGATAATACATTCATCTTAGCTTACTGTAACTTTTTTACTTTATAAACTCTTAAATTTTTCAGACTTGACTCTGACAATAACACTTGGCTTTAAACACAAACCCATTTTACAGCTGTACAAAAGTATTTTCTTTATATCTTTTTTCTATAAGCTTTTTTTCTCAATTTTATTAAAAAATTTTTTTTTTTACTTAGAAAAAAATTGTTGACAACTAACACACAAACATCCATATTAGCATAGGTCTACACAAGGTCAGGATCATCAAGACATCACGAGAAGATAGGAATTTTCCAGCACCATTTTAATTTTATGGGACTATCATTACATACGCAGTTCATTGTTGACTTCATGTTGTTATGCAGCACATGACTGTATTTGGCTGCATGTCATACAAATAGATAATGGCCAACTTAAACCGCAAGGGGATATATTACAAGTATGCTTGGATAACTCATAGAATTCAACCAAATACAATGCTAAATCTCTGGAAGAGTATAAACTAGTTTAGGTCAGGGAGTCTCAGCAATAGAAATTTGTAAAACTTTTCTTTAGACAGCTGGCATTAAGGTGAATTAGTGTTGCATTTTCATTCAAGATTCTCAATTTGAGGGAGAAAGTTTTTTATTAAATCTTAAAGCTATAGAAGGAGGTCAAAGTCACCTTCGGCCCACCTTTGGGTATCAGAAATGGTTGCATAGGTGAGAAATTATAAATAGGGCAAAAATGGCTTAGATTATAAAAGAGAATATTTGACCAAGAAGAAAAAAAAGTGTACATTTGGCCAGAAAAATCCAACATTATATTTGGGAAACCCAACTGAAGTGATAGATAACTGGATGGGTTGCAAAACTAATAGATAAGAAGGGAACAACCCACCCTTTCCCACTGAAAATAAAAATTTAAATTCTCATGTGCTGATCTTCAGGGATACACATGAATGGGAAGATCTTTGAGTTGAATTTAACTCACTTCATAAGTGTTCTTGAGTGGAGGGAGCCTACAAAAGATAGAAAAGTGTTTAAAGAGAAAGCAACCTTAGCCCTTGAGTGTAGCAGAAATGAAGACAGAAAGGTACAAAATATGTCAGGAGCTTGGTATTAACTTGGGATTTAATAGATTAAGGGCTCCTGATTCAATTATGATTATGTTGATTGAAACAGCTTAGGATATAGTGCAAACCACTGGGATTTTTCAGACCCTGTTTGAATCATCCTTCAAGATTATCTGAATCCCTTTGCTCAATCTGTATATTTACCCCAAACCTTCAGATGGCTATTTTTCTCCTGAGATAATAGTAGAATAGAAGCAATACAGGCCTTTTAACATACACTAACTGAATTCTGCTCTGAACTGTATTAATTGCTTGAGGATTTAATGAGATAACACACGTAAAATTCTGGAAATACACTAGGTTCTCAGCAAATATAATTTTCTTTTCCTTGACTTTCCCCTTGATACTGTGAAAGAGATACTCAGGATGTTAGATATTTGCATTCTAATCTCTGCAAAGGTACATTCTTATTGTATATAGAAAATTTGGGGATAAATTTGTTGAGAAATCCCTCCTGAATTTGCTTACCATTCATCAATCTTGCAGAATATCTGAGTATCTAACGGAACTGGGAGCATCTAGTTTCTGTATGCAAACCAAGATCATTCCTTATCCTTTGTGGCTGCAAAAAGGCTTTGCTCATAAAGCAAGCAGCAAAGCAATATTCTTCTTTAAACATCTTTTAATACAACACTGTCCAAGAGGCATGTATACTCCTGGATTGTTCATTCATTTCAATCACTGATGTGATCATTTGAAACTGGAGGAAGGTAGCTCTTTAGCATATGGTCTCATTTTTCTTCTTAGCTTAAGTCAGAAACAACTTGGCTTCTCCTAGCAAATGGTTACTTGTGAATGATACTGGAGCATTTCCTAGGTTCTAGAAGTAGTTAAATATACCTATGTGTGTACCATATAGTATACAGTTGATGTATACCTAAATTTTCGCTAAGAAAAATTTTGGGGGGGAGATAAATCAACTCATTTGAAATGCATGGGCAAGTTTGTTCTTTGAAGACACCCACAAATAAATCCCTTTCCTAAATGATAATTTTAAATACAGATTTTTCATATATTGGATTTTCTAAAATATATAATTCATTCTTTATGTGAATCTATAAAATGTAACTTCAAAGGCAGAGTGACTCCGTAGTGACCATCAGCACACACATGCACACACACTCTCAGAGACATACACACACTCATTCACTCTCTAAAAATATCCATATGTAATTGACTAACAAATAAGTTGAAAGCTTTGGTAGTTTGTATGGCCACTGGTGAAGAAGCTTTGTTCTGCTACTTCAAATAAATATAACTAAACTCCTGCCGGGGATTGTATCAGACAAACAATAGTAACACTGTCTCTTTACTATAAACTCTGCCAGGGTAGACACAGGTCTTTGAGCTTTTAGGAGCTGAGCAGAAGGAACTCTTCACCATGTCTGCCCCCAGAAAGCATCTTTTTTATGACAAATGGCAACTTGTATTTATCGTTCCCCACTATTGGTGGTAAGGGAAACAGTTCAGCCTCCATTATCAAAAGAAAAATTAAAATTTAAACTGGAAAGAAATCCATGGTTTATCTCACACAGTGCTTTTCAGACTGTCGAATTTCATGGACTAGCAGCATTTGAAAATATAACCCAAAATTCTAAAAAGTAAAATAACCAGAAGGAGGAAAGATACTGATATAGAACTTTTATACAGTGAAAAAAGTATTAAAAAATACCACTGCCAGTTTGAAAATGGCAGCTTAGATTCAACATCTTTTTCTCTTTTTTTCTTAGAAAGCATTCAAAGCAGAAAGAAGACCATGAAAAAAACGTACAAAATACACTTTCAGTAAAATTGGGTGGTATCTGTATCCTCAAATTGTAGAATAGGAAGGCATTTTCAAGGGCAGTGGCAATAGAAGAGGAGTGTCACAAAGAACAGGAAAGCCACAAATGTCAGAATAGCAGAGTACTTTTCTAGAGCTACTTTCTGAAAAGTAAAACCTTAACCACCTGTTAGCAGCATCAAAAATGGGTGTACACATTAAGAACACACACTTCAAATTCATATATCTATATATATGAATGCCACAGCTACTATTGCCATTGGTTCAAGAAAAGTATAAACTTTTCACCCCAAATATTGAGTCTAAGGAAAGTTTAGAAAAACTCTAGTTTCTCCTACTCATGAGCCCCTACAAATAAATGATAAAGTACACACTAACTTCAAAAATAAGTATTCTACATATAACCCAAAAATGATGGACACAAATATTCTACAATAATCAAAATAAAGTAACAGAAATGCAGACATTAAACCTTTATAAGAAAATTATGTTCACGGAGTATCTTCAAATTGAGACCATATATTTTGTCATCATTAAAAATATATTAAAATTTTTCTTTATGAAATATAAATACAAAGAAGAGATGTAGTAGTTCAAGGAGGATATAACAATAAAACAGGAGGATATAAAACAGGAATTAATATAGCTTGGGAACAAAGTGGAATAAAAAAATGGAAACAAAAAAAAGGCTGGGTGCAGTGGCTCATGCCTGTAATACCAGCTCTTTGGGTGGCTGAGGCGGGTGGATCACTTGAGGTCAGGAGTTTGGACCATCCTGGCCAACATGGTGAAACCCCATCTCTACTAAAAATACAAAAATTAGCCAGGTGTGGTGGCAGATGCCTGTAATTCCAGCTACTTGGGAGGCCGATGCAGGAGAATCATTTGAACCTAGGAAGCAGAGGTTGTAGTGAGCTGCAATCGTACCACTGCACTCCAGCCTGGGCAACTAGAGCGAGGCTCTATCTCAAAAAATAATTAAAAAAAATAAGTGAATAAAAATGAATTTCGAAGGTCTTATATATATTATATAAATATATAATTTATATTTAATAAATTTAATATATATTATATAAATATACAAATATAAATATATGAATTTATATTATATGTATATGATTAAAGCACCAAAGAAAAATGTAGTTGCACACTGACTAAATATGTAAAAAAACTTTAATCTAGCACATGAATAGGTGCTCAGACTTATTAATTATTAAGAAAATATAAATTAAGACTTCAATCAAATACCACTACACAGATACTAGAATGGTTAAAATTAAAAGACTGACAGCCCCAAATATTGGGAGGACATGGGGTACCCACACTTACTGGTTACTGGTTGGATCTAAGGTGATCCAACCACTTTTGGAAAAGGTTTAGTAGTCCTTTACAAAGATAAACATATATGTGCCTTAGACACAGAAATTCTAATTCTTGGTATTTATTCAGTAAAAATAAAAAACATTCACTATAATAACCATGTATAGAAGAATATTTATACTAGTTTCATTAATAATTCACAGAGGAAAAGATATACAAAGAATATAGTGTGGAATGATACTAAGCTATCAAAAGGAACAAATTACTAACATACCCAATATCTAAATGAATATCAGAGACAATATGCTGGGTGAAAGAAGCTGGATTCAAAATATCATATACTGTTTGATTCCATTTATGTGAAGTTCTAGAACAGGCAAACATAACTATATTTTTAAAAAATTTGGGCTAGGCACGGTAACACATGACTGTAATCCCAGCACTTTGGGAGGTTGAGGCAAGAGGAATGCTTGAGCACAGGAGTTTGAGACCAGCCTGGGCAGCATAGAAAGACCCCTTCTCTAAAAAAAAAAAAAAATCAAAAAATTAGGTAGGCATGGTGGCACACACCTGTGGTCCCAGCTACTCAGAAGGCTGAGGTGGGAGGATTGCTTGAGCCTAGGAGGTTGAGGCTGCAGTGAGCTGTGATCACACTACTGCAGTTTAGCTTGGGCAACAAAGCAAGGCCCTGTCTCAAACAAACAAACAAAAAATTGAAATAGCTGTTGTCTTTTGTAGGGAGACTAATTGAAAGGGGGCATAAGATAACTTTCTGGAGTGATAGAAACATATTTTATCTTGATGGGATTTGGGTTAAGAAGTGTATACATTTGTCAAAATTATGCAGTTAAGATAAGTAAATTTAAATGTCTGTACATTTAACTAAAAAAAAAAAAGACAGCCAATACTAATGAATAATCAAATGAGAGTTACAGAGTAGGTGGAAGCACAGATAGAGCAAAAATGGCAAAATTTTGTTTCTGTTTTTGTGGCTTTTTTTCTTTTTTAATTAGTCATTTTTAATTTTAATAGGTTTTTGGGGAACAGGTGGTGTTTGGTTACATGGATAAGTTCTTTAGTGGTAATTTCTGAGATATTGGTGCACCCACCACCTGAGCCGTATACCTTGTACCCAGTGTGTAGTCTCTTATTCCTCACTCCCCTCCCACCCTTTCACCCAAGTCCCCAAAGTCCATTGTATCATTCTTATGCTTTTGCGTTCTCATAGCTTAGCTCCCACTTATGAGCGACAACATACAGTGTTTGGTTTTCCATTCCTGAGTTATTTCACTTAGAATAATGGTCTCCAATTCCATCCAGGTTGCTGAAAATGCCATTATTTTGTTCTTTTTTATGGCTGAGTAGTATCCCATGAGATATATATATATATATATATATATAATATATATATATATATCTCATATTTTTTTTATACACAACACATATATATATAACATATATATATATGTATGTTATATATATATAACATACATATATATATATAACATACATATATATATCTCACATTTTTGTTATCCACTCATTGATTGAGCTGGTCCATATTTTTGCAATTGTGAATCATGCTGCTATAAACATGTGTGTGCTGGTATCTTTCTCATATAATGACTTCTTCTCCTCTGGGTAGCCACCCAGTAGTGGGATTGTTGGATCAAATGGTAGATCTACTTTTATTTCTTTAAGGAATCTCCACACTGTTTTCCATAGTGGTTGTACTAGTTTACATCCCCACCAATAGCGTAAAAGTGTTCCAGTTTCACCATATTCAAGCCAATGTCTATTACTTTTTGATTTTTTGATTATGGCCATTCTTGCAGGAGTGAGGAGGTATCGCATTGTGGTTTTGATTTGCATTTCCCTGATAATTAGTGATATTGATCATTTTTTCATGTTTGTTGGCCATTTGTATAACTTCTTTTAAGAATTGTCTATTCATGTTCTTAGCCCAGTTTTGGATAGGATTGTTTGTTTTGTTCTTGCTGATTTGTTTGAGTTCCTTGTAGATTTTGGATATTAGTCCTTTGTCAGATATATAGATTGCAAAGATTTTCTCCCACTCTGGGTTATCTGTTAACTCTGCTGATAATTTACTTTTGCTGTGCAGAGGCTTTTTAATCTAATTGAGTCCCATCTATTTATCTTTGTTTTTGTTGCATTTACTTTTGGGTTCTTGATCATGAAGTCTTTGCCTAAGCCAATATCTAGAAGGAGTTTTTTAATGTTATCTTCTAGAATTTTTATGGTTTCAGGTCTTAGATATAAGTCTTTGATTCATCTCAAGTTGATTTTTGTATAAGATGAGAGATGAGGATCCAGTTTCACTCTTCCACATGTGGCTTGTCAATTATCCCAGCACCAAACATGGCAGAATTTTGATCACTGTTAAAGCTGAGAGATGGCTTGATGGGGATTTATTTAGTCATTCTTTCTTTCTCTGTATAGGTTTGAATTGCCCCCAAATAACAGTTAAAATTTCTGAAATAAGAGAAAACTTCATTCTACTTGTAGAATTGGTATAATGATGAAAGGAAAACAGGTTTTGTTTTTTGTGTTTTTTTTGGCCTGAATTTCATTCGTCTGTTATTAACATTATGGCTGATGTATTTTTTATGCGCATTTGCCTATTAATTCTTCGCCAATCCTTTTCATTGTAACAATCTAAATTTCTTTATTTTAATTTTCATACAGCCTTGAGCTGCATTTTGTTTTGTTAGCCAAACTGAATTTTTTTTTCTTTTAGTGTGTGCAATAAGCTCACATTGATATGAGTGATTGGTTTAGTCTTAGTTCTATGACATTGTTTCATATTATCTTTTCAATGTCTTTCATATTGTGGTTTGAGTTCTCTGGTTTTAATATTTCTTTTGATATTTAGAAAGTATATCTTTTTTCTCTAGTTGTTACATTTATATTAATAATTGTACATAACACACTTAAGTCACCTCTCTTTGGAAGCTGAGTTTTTACTATTAGCAATATTGAAATTAGGCAATATCTATTTATTTTCTTCTTTCCTCTTTCTCATTTTCCAATTTTAACCATTGATTTTAATTTTAATGTTTTTATTCCTAAATATACTAAACTACTCCATTTGTGAATTTTAGCTAATACCCTTACACTCCCTATTAAAATCTATGAAAATATCAGAGAGCTAATTTGACTTTACATTAGTTCTCCTCGTTTCATATTTTTGTTAGTTTTATAATGCCTTTTGATACAGTTTAGTTATGTGCCCCCTCTAAATCTCATGTTGAATTGTAATCCCCAATGTTGGAGGTGGGGCCTGGTGGGAGGCGATTGAATCATGGGGGCAGGTTTTTCATGAATAGTTTAGCACCATCCCCCAGGTGCTGTCTTATGACAGTGAGTGAGTTCTCATGAGATCTGGTCGTTCAAAAGTGTGTGGCACCTTCCTTCCCCCCAACTCTCTCTCACTCCTGCTCTCTCCCTGTGACGTGTCTGCTCCCACTTTGCCTTCCACCATGAGTAAAAGCTCCTTGAGGCCTCCCCAGAAGCCAAGCAGATGCTGGCGCTATACTTCCCTTACAGCCTGCAGAACCATGAGCCAATTAAACCTTTCTTCATAAATTACCCAGTCTCAAGTATTTCTTTATAGCAATGCAAGAATGCACTAAATACACCTTTTATTCTTAAAGCATATTATATTTATATACTATTCTGCCAAGGTTTATCTTCCTCTTTTTGTCTCAGTTCTACAGTTAAATATGTTCAGTTTACACCTCACAGACCTTATAAATGAAGTTTCTCCAGTCATTTTGTAGTGGCAGAAGTTTATTCTCTACTACATTCCTGAGCAAATACTCATGCGAATGATATTCCCAGGTAGCTCGCCTGTTCAAAACTTCCTTTGATTGGTTGTCAATGGCCTTACACTTGAAGGATATAAAAATTCATGTCTCATATTTCTTTCCTGAGTGTTGAAAAATATGTTTTATCACTTCCTAACCTAAAAAAATGCATTTTACTGTTTTCCTTTTTTTCTTGATTGAGGTAAAATTTATAAACATTGAAATTTACCCGTTTTATTTTATATTTCTGAAGCTTCTAACTATGTTTATTAATGGGTTGTAAGAATTCTGTTCCAAGTAGACTAAAGTCCCCATTTCCTTACTTGCTGTGAGCAAAGGGTTGTTTTTAGTTTCAACAGGCTCCTATATTCCTTGGCTCAGGGACCCTTTCTCTGTCTTTGAAGCCAGCAATGACCAACTGAGTCCTTCTCGTGCTTCAAATCTCATTGACCTCTCCTTCTGCCTCCTCTCTCTTGCCTTCCTCTATTACTACACATCTGACTGACTCTTCCATTTTCTGTTCTGCTTTTAAGGACTTTGTGATTAGACTGGGCCCATCCAGGTGTTCCAGGATAATCTCCCTATTTTAATGTCAGGTGATTAGTAACTTTAATGGCATCTGCAAAGTCATTTTACAACAGTATGTGAAGTCATGTTTGATTATATTTTCTTTACAACAGGAATGAGAATCTTAGGGGGACACCTTTAGAATTCTGCTTACCACATACAGACATGAAAAAACTCACTTGATGTTACTTACAAGGAAAGTATAAACTAAGCATACAATGAGATACCATTGTTCACCTTTCATTTAGGCTAAGATCAGCCAGTATGATAACATACTGATGAAGGATAGGAGTAACAAGAACTTGGGTATATTGCTACTACAAGTTTTAACTGTCATAACATTGATAGAGGGTAATGTGGCAAAATCGTAACTACAAACATAAATTTGTTTGTCCAGAAATTCTACTTCTAGAAGCTTTTCTACAGATGTTACATATGTATGAAATGAACAAGGTTGTTTACTGCATGTTGATTTTTGTAGCAAAATATTGAAAGCAAACTAAATACCCAGGGGACTAGTTAACAAGGTAGCGTCACTTGATATCAATAGAACACAATACATAGACTGCAATAGAATACATAAAAACAATGATGAGCTTCTTTATATACTGTTAGAAATGATATGTAAGATATATTATTTTTAAAAGTTATAGAACAGCAAATATTATACGCAACCAGTTGAGCAAAAAAAAGGAGTAGTAGAATATATACACCTATGTGTATTTGCTTACATCGGCATAAAATATCTCTGAAAGTATATGAGAGAAACACAATAATAATTGATGCCTTCAGGGAAGAGGAATTGGTGGTACCTGGTGGAAACTTTTGGGACTGTTTGCATCTTGAATCATGTAAACGTATAACCCAGATAATAAGCTAAATGAGTAAAACAAACTATGTAAAGTTATTTCTACCAACACCACCGTTTCTTGAAAGTAAATATTTTTACAGGAGAGGCAGGCATCTAATGAGTATCAGTCAACCAGCCAGCAGAGCAACTTCTGAATATCATGTTTTTCCATCTTTAGTATAGTTCGTATGATTAATGGTAGTCTCCCCATTTTACAGTTGAAAAGACTGAAGCCCAGAAAGACGTGCAATTACCCAAGACTGCAGAAGTGCTAAGACATTTGTCTAGGGTTCAACCCGGGGCAATTTTCTATCACAATTTTAACCACTGCATGATAAGACCATATTTTTTTTTAAAAAAAAAGAATATTATCTTAGAACAAAGAATATCCTTTTTTAAAAAAATTTATCTTTACATAAAATTAAACCCATTGCCTATTTTCCATTTTGTGTGTACAGTGGCACTGGTCTCCAAATTAAAGTTTAAGAAATACTGATGGAGGCCAGGCATGGTGGCTCACGCCTGTAATCCCAGCACTTTGGGAGGCTGAGGCGGGTGGATCACCTGAGGTCAGGAGTTCCAGAACAGCCTGGCCAACATGGTGAAACTCCGTCTCTACTAAAAATACAAAATTAACCAGGTGTGATGGTGCATGCCTGTAATCCCAGCTACTTGGGAGGCTGTGGCAGGGGAATCGCTTGAACCTGGGAGGCGGAGGTTGCAGCTAGCCAAGATTGTGCCATTGCACTCCAGCCTGGGCAACAAGAGTAAAACTCCATCTCAAAAAAACAAAACAAAACAAAACACTAATGGATTTCAGTCTGCAGCTGGATACTGCAGTCCCTACTATAACACCTTCTACAGGAAGACCCAACGCCTCTCTTTGAAAAACTTTATTGACAGTGAACTTTCCCATAAGGTAACTTTCTCACAAAGCAGTCTATTCCTTGTGTTGAAGCAAGTTTCAGTGCTACAAAGTTTGTGCTACATCAGTCTGAAATAGGCTTTCCTTGCAACCTTGGTGTCTTTGTCCTAAATTTCCCCTGTGGAGCCACCATGAAAGATTGAATTGATTCTCTTCCTTAACATAGCTCTTCAAGCATTCAAAACATTTCCATTTCAAGTTCAAACCTTCCAAGCTTCTCTATGTCACATAAAACAGGATTTTTTAAAGTCTCCTAATCTGCATAAACAAATAATTATCCTCTGAGGCCACTCCAGTTTATCAATGTTTTTGATAGAATATTTTACCAGGGAAAATTGGCCAGCATTAAAGCAGGCAGGGGTTATTGCCACCAGTTTCTATATACCATCCTGTTAACACAGGCAAAAATAGATTATCTTTACGACAGGAAGATCAGCCTGTTACCTGTTATATCAGCCTGTAAAGCAAGCAGACATATACAACTTTTAATTATTTTTCACATTTGCAACTTAGGTTTCCCAACACACACACACACACACACACACACACACACACACACACAGAGAGAGAGAGAGACACAGACAGAGACAGAGAGGGATAAAGAGAGAGAGAAAGAATGTATTCCTTGCCTTAAGGGCAAGATTTTCATATTTCCATTTAATGTTTTTCAGAGTCAGGTTGTTGAAAAACAAGAAAGCTAAATTCAGGGGAATAAAATGGAGAAAGTAGAGAAAAGTTAAAAATGGAAAAAAAAGAACTTGAAATATATACCAGTATGACTTGGTGTATTATTTTTTCATTAGATTTATCTACTGAAGCTCCTGGCTTTTTTTGCACAAAATATTTAAGATGCTTTGTTAGCATCTAAATTTCAGACCATTAATAAAATTACATCATTACATGTTATAAATAGCTAACATTTACTGAAGCACTTGTGTACCAGGAACTATTACAAGGGCTTTCAATGAAAGACATGTTTTTATTTCACAACCCTATGACGCAGATATTATATTCTATTTTTAAAGATGAGAAAACCGAGGTCTGGAGGAGTTAGCTTATTTGCCCAAGCTCATAGAACAAATGATCAATAAAGCTGCTATTCAAAGCTAAGAAGTTCAGTTTTGAAACAAATGACATGCTGTTAATTATATAATAGTTCTGGAAAGGGCCATGCTTGCTTGAGTTCCTTCTTGAAAAGGGGAAAAATATTGAAATTCAGAATATGCAGAATCAGTAATGGCTATAGACCAGGGGAAAGCTGCAGTCAGATTAGCCAAAAATTCACTCATAGAAGGAAAGCAATAGGTTTAGTGGTTAGGTGCAACACATATGCTTTGAAATCACATAGACTGAACTTGAATTCAACTCTGCTGTTTACCAAGGTAAGGAGATGGACAAATAGCCTAACCTGAAGCCCCAGCTTCCTCGTCTACAAAATGAAGCCAGAATCTCCTTCAAAGGGCTCTTACCAAGAACAAATGTGATAATGCATGTAAATCACTTCACAATACTGGACACATAGTATGCACTTAATAAATGATGGCTATTATATTATTATTATAGTCAAGTTTGAGTCATGACGCCGGAGGGAGCTTATGCCTGGTAAATTCAATTTTCTCCCTCAGTGAAGTTGCTAGTGTCCCTAACCTCTAGTAGTGCCTAATTCAGGAATGTGTGCTCAATAATTAATCATAGATTATATTTTATTGCATTAGCTGATGTTGCTTTCCACTTTTAGCTGTTTCATAACTTAATCATGGGGAATTTGTCGTTTCTTTCATTAACAAAAAGAAGACGTAAAAAGAGAAATCTGGAGAATATTCTCATTTCTACTATTTCTAAATTGTATTTTTCCTTCCATGATATCATTTATTGTTTACTATAAAAGACTATTAAAATGTCAGTAACAATGGCAGTTTCTGTGGCTGGAGAACACATATTGTTTAGAATAAAAATTCAACAGAGTATGTAGCTGAGAGCCTGGGATAGTCATAGATTTTTATCAGAATCATCATAAGTGGAAAAAGTGGAAAGAAAAGAACCATTTGTTTAAAATAAAAATGTTATTTTTATTATTTATCTTGGGTATCAGTACTTTCACACTATTCGCAGTTTTGTTTTGTTTTTTTTTTTTGAGACAGGGCTTTGCTCTGTTGCCCAGTTTGGGGTGCAGTGGCGCGATCCCAGCTCACTGCAACCTCCACCTCCTGGTTCAAGAAATTCTCATGTTTTAGCTGGGACTACAAGTGCGTGTCACTATGCCTGGCTAATTTTTTGTATTTTTAGTAGAGATGGGTTTTCGCCATGTTGTCCAGGCTGGTCTCGAACTCTTGACCTCAAGTGAGCTGCCCTCCTCAGCCTCCCAAAGTGCTGGGATTACAGGGTTGAGCCACCTGGCCTTTTCAGGTTTCCAAGGACTTGTGTCTCCCAGGAAAAGTCCCTCCAGGCACAAATGACTGAAAGCCCTGGAAATGACCAATTCTAGCCAATTTTACTTCTCTTCGAATAGCAGATTGATATAATTATATTCAGTACTTTTCAACACAACACAATTTTACTAATGGAGACTATATTATTGAAAAGTGAAGTTGAAATTGAAGTCAGATCCTCTGATTTTTTTTGTCTTAAACTGGATTATCTTCCTATCGAATTCAGAATATAATCTACACTCCTTACCAAGTTCTTTAAGGTCTTCTGTAGATTTGTTGTTGCCTCTTTCTCTGACCACGTCTCTTTTGCATCTTTCCCTGTGCCCTGTCCTCTAACCACACTGACATTCCTTCACGACTCGAGCTTTCCTGGCTTTCTGGCTTTTTGCCAGGACTCTTCCTGAAAAATTCACTTCTTCCAGACATTTACTTAAAAGGCCCCTCATCATTTAAGTCTCACCTCAAAGCCCTGCTCTGAGATATCCCTACCTTGATTATCCAATCTAAACTTGATCCCGCATTCCTACCTTGATTATCCAATCTAAACTTGATCCCGCATTCCAGTCATACACTGGGCAAACTGTTACATTTTATTTTTAAAGATCGTTATCTGAAGCTATCATTGTTATTTTCATGTTAATTGTCTGCCTCTACTAGAATGTAGGAATTGTGAGAGCAATAATTATCTGTTTTGATCACAGCTGAATCCTCAGTGCTCTAGAGGAGTGCCTGGTACATGATAGATACTCAAGACATATTTGCTCAATTAAATTATAGGGACTTAAAATATATACAAATTAGAACAATAGCATAGTGGCTACACCTACTCTGGAATTAGTCTGCTTGGGTTTTCATACCCCATTTCTGCCACTTGCAGCTTTTTATTATTCTATCTGTCAGACTGTATCTATTAGATTGGGGCAAGAGTTATTACAGTTTTTACCATTACCTAATGGCAAGAACCACAATTACTTTTCCACCAACACACTATCTTATGGGATCACTGAAAGGATGCCTACAATAATGAATGAATGTATTCAGTACAGTAAGTTCTCAGTAAATATTAACTATAACTATGCATTTCTTTTGTATTTTGAAAGCCTTGTTTTCTTAGAGGTTTTACCATATACACATTTAAAGTAGAACTGTTAAGAATCTCCTGACTAATGTGGGTAATTCTTCATATTATTAAATCATATGTGCATTATTCTAGGATTAGCAAATGCAAGATAGCATCCCCTTCTCTCTTTGAAATTGTTGTGTTATAGAGGCTCTTACCCACTCTATGCATGTAACTTTCAATTTCTGTGCCAACAACTTTCACAGCTTCATACATGCATCAAGTAAATGAATTTATCTAAAGAAGAGCTTTATGCTAGAAACTAGAGATATTCTCAAGCTATATGGGAGGGCAGGTAACTATAAAACACATTAAAAATTATATAATTACAATCTGAGATAAGTCCTATGAAGGAATTACAGAGGGTGCTGTGAAAGTGTATCATAACAAGACTCAATTAGATTTAGAAGTGGGAACAGTAAGGGAAGGCATCTTGCAAGAAATTATATTTGAGCTGAAATTAAAGGCTGAGTGCAAGTGAACCAGGCAGAATCCAGAAGACACAGAGTTCTAAGGAGAGGAAACCAAATTTGCAAAGTTCCTGAGAAATAAGGCAGTTAAAAATTTAAAGGAAACAGAAAAGGCTTGATATAAGGTGATGAGTGGAGAGCAAACTGTTACAGATGAATCTGTAGCGGAGACTGAGGCCAAGTCCTAAGTACCTTAAAGATGACATCAGGAATTAAGGATTTTCTCTTTCATGCAGCTGAAACCCATGAAGATTTAATGGAGATGAGTCAAGACAACATGTGCATGTTTAGAAACTCACTTTGACTGCATTGTTGAAGATGGATAGGAAGGCAGGCAGAGGTTATCTCATTCAGGTAGAGAGGTGTTGGCTTAGAATAGAGGAGAGATGGTGAGAGAGAGAAGCGAATAAATTCCAGAAATATTCCACTTTTAGTCGTGAAGCATCAGAAATTAGAAGTATGTTGAGTATCAGAAGTCTTTAATTAAGTAATGATGACAATGAAAAATCATCTAGCTGAGGTCACTGACCAGTCTATCAACAGGTCCTTGTTTCAGCTATCAGCTGTTATCTTAGGTATGCACATGACAATGGTATCCTTCATTAACTCCAGTAAAACAGATATGGAAAGGAATCATATTAAATAGCTGACCTCTTTGAAAAAGTTTAAATTTAAATATAAAATATGAGTTTTGATTGGTACATTTTCCTAGATACACAGTTGTATCTGAAACCTGTTTCTTTCCCATTTATCTACAAATAAATTGCCACCACTGTTGGATGTGTATTCTCCAGCTATAAGAAATAGGATGACAGTTCATTTTAACAAACATGTATTCAATATTGTCTGTATGCCAGCCACTGTGATATGTAGTGGCAACATGAAGATCAAAAGACATGTCTCTACTAAAGAATACAACAGATGCGCCTTCATTCTAGTACTTGTAATTTTTTATTATCATAAACTGGTTTTAAGGAACAGCTAAACCCACCAGCTAACTATGGTCAGAATGGCATTTTTACAGCTAGTGTGCTATAAATAAAAGCACTACATTTGTTGAATGTTCTCCAACACTTACGTGAACAAAATAAAAGATAAGTAGGTATTTAGATCCAATATCATCAGTTCCATGACAATAGGTGCTATATCCATTTTGTTCAATATTGTATTTTCAATATTTAGCTCATTATCTAGGACATGGTAGGTATCTGTCACGGTAATAAATGACAAAATTAAAATGCTTGAATTCTGCTACATGGAGTAGAATTGAAAACCTCTACATTTAGAAGGGCCCATCAGATACATAAATATTCAAAATCAGGTATTACACAGGGACTAAATAATTAGTAAGAGTTGTCCTTTGGCTTTTTCCAGATAAAATTGCTTTCCATCCTTTGCAGCCAAAAACTCTAGGGTTTCTCCTGAGAGTTCATTGAAACAATCAGCAAATACAAAATTTGTATTTCTGATTATTTCAATGAACTCTCAGGAGAAACCCTATTTGTATATATATTTGTATATGTATATGTATATATTTCTACATATGTATTACACATACATATATGTATACATGTATGTATAATACATATGTATAATACATATATATGTATGTATAATACATATGTATAATACATATAATACATATATATGTATGTATATAATTTTCACTCAACTTACTTATACATGTCTCTCATATATACAGTAGTCTCATACCTGTACACACTCATATATATACACACTATATAGTGTATATATATATAGTGTGTATATATATATACACACTACATATACTACATATGTAGTATATATACACACACTACATGTATAGTATATATATGTGTGTGTATATATATATAGAAGTATATATAGAACTCTCAGGCAAAACTATTTGTATATATATATTTGTATATATGTGTATTATACACATATATGTATATATACTTGTATGTATATATGTATGTATAATTTTCACTCAATTTACTTATACGTCTCTCATATATATAGTAGTCTCATACCTGTACACACTCATATATAAATATGCTATATATATCATATATACTCATATATATACTGGAATATATATGAGTGTGTATAGATATATGAGACTACTATACATATGAGAGAAATGTATTTATAGATTGAGTGAAAATTATACAAACATATTATATATAGTGATATATAATACATATTTACTATACAGAGAGTGAAATGTCCTGCTCATTGGTTTTGCTAAGGTCTACTTCTATGTAGAAATCAACTAATCTGTCTGGGAAAGAAGTTAGAACCTAAGCTTTCACAGAACTTCCCTTCCTTGATGTCTGGTAATCAATTCAAATCAGTTGCAAAATTCTTTCTTAACATCTACTATGCCTTGGGTACTTGCAGGTTGTTGGGAAATAAAAATAAACAAAATAAGGCCTGCACTCAAATATTTTCCATTTGGGGAGAAAGAGAAGTAAGCAAACAATTATAATGCAGTATGCTATGTGCTATAAAAGAATGACATCAGAGCCTTGAAAAAACATGTCCCAGTCAGCTTGGGCTGCCATAGCAAAATGCCATAGATTGGGTGGCTTAAATAACAGACATTAGTTTTCTCAGTTCAATTTCTAGTGAGAGCTATCTTCCTGCTGGCAGACACCTGCCTTTTAGCTGTGTCTTCACATGACAGAGAGAGGTAACAAGCCCTGGTCTCTCTTTCAGTTCTTATAAGGACACCAATCTTATGAAGTTAGATCCCCACCCTTATGACATTATTTAACCTTTATTATTTCCTTAAAGGCCCTTTCTCCATACACAGTTGCATTGGGGGTTAGGGCTTCAACATAAGCGAATTCTGAGGGATACAATTCAGTCCATAGTAAGGCATTGAAGGCAGAGTGGGGGCTGACAGACATCACAGAGAAAGAGCAGCCAGGAAGCAGTCCTGTTAGGAAAATTATTACGACTTTCTATTAACATGAGGAGGGGACAGTGTGAGCATATATGAAGGCAAGAACTTGAAGAATGATATACAGTGTGAATGAGAGTGAGGCCATTGTTGGAGGCTAGAAATACACATTCGGGAGTCATCAGCATGTTAGACTGAATGAAACCACCAAGGCAGATAGATGAAAGTCCTGGTGATTAATCTCTGGCATGGCACATCCACAAGTAGAGTTTGCTGAAAGGAGGGGGATCCTGCAGAGGAATCTGAGAAGGAGTTACCAGCAAAGTAGGTGGGGGGGAGATCCAGCAGAGTGTGTGTTTCAGATACCAAGAGAAGCCTGAGTTTCAAAGACAAGGGTCAAAGATCAAGGGTGGTAAAACTACTGATGAGTCTAGGAAGATACACACTGAGATTGACATTAGATTAGCAAAGGGAGAGATTATTATTTGTAACTTGAACCAGAGCAATTTGCCTGCAGTTGTAAAGACTGGGCTGACACAGGTTCAAGAAAGAAGGGCATGAGCCCCAGAGAAAGCAAATATCAAGGCTTCAAGGAATTTTGCTGTAAAGGGAAACAGAGGAGGAGTATATAATATGGGATAGCTCCAAACAGAAATAGAGCCCCCGGCACCCCAATACATCTACCTGCTCCAAAACCCACATTATTCAAGTGTAAGTTTACATTTATGTGTAATACCACCTGGAAAAGGTTTGACTATGATAAAAACAAAAGATTAACTGAGAACAACTGAACAAGCCCACATTTTGAAATATGAACTATAGTTTACTAAACAGCTTTCTAAAGCTTATATATTTAACAAACAGGAAATTACATGTCTTTGGTTTTAATTTTGACTTCCAATTCCTTCTTTAGATAAAAGTATGTAAACTTCTCAGCCATATTAAGTTAAAGGAAGTGTCTCTGCTCTAGCTATATTGAAATCCACTTCTTTTCATATTCAGTGGCTTCATCACCTACTTTTTATTTGTTTTTACTATTTATTCCCTTCACTTTATGAATGAGAATGGTAATTGTTTATAATAGTGACCTCCTTTTCTCTGTTATTTGTTTGTTGTTTTATGTTGGCTCTGGAAAATTTGTATCACTCTGAGTATTATGCAAAAGTTTAACTAAATATGTACTATCAAGGGTATTTTTAAGGTTTATTTTCCATCTGTCTGCTCTTTGATAAACCTCTAGGTTCCCTGGCCGTGGCTTCTTCTGATCTGCTTTAATTCTTGTGGCTTTATGAATTTTTATTTTACTCTCAAGTGTGACAGAGATATCCTATGGTAACACCCCTACTGATCCACACCTTTGTGTAATCACCTCCCTTCAATTGTGAGTAGACCTCTAACTTGCTTCCGTCCAGTTGAATATAAAAAAGGTGATGAGATATCTCTCCTATGATTATGTTACATTATATAAGACTCAGACTGGAGAGACAGACTCCCCTGCTGGCCTTGAATAAGCCAGCAGACACACTACGGTCTGCCCCTGGAGAAGCACACGTGACCCAGTTCTTGGGTGAGCCCTAGGACCTGTATGACTGAGGCAGCTTCTTACTGGCCATGGCTCCAAAACTGAATGAGCTTGCAAGTGGATTCCTCCCTAGTCCAACATTCAGATGTGAACAAAGCCACTTTCACCTTGATTGCAGGTTTGTGAGATTTATCAATGGACCCAGTCAAACCATGCCCAAACTACAGACTCAAAGAACCTGTCAGATAATAAATGTTTGTTGTTTTAAGCCACTAAATTTGTGATGATTTGTTGTGATGCAATATAAAATGAATACACAATGCTTTCTTTGTTCTCTAAGACTATGTCTCTTTTTATGTACATATCACTGGATGTTTTTAGACCCAATTTAATAGTCTCTATCATTAAGAGATAGTTTTGACAAATTTCAATGTATTATATTTATAGTCATCTCAAATTATTTTTATCATATTTCATATTGTTTATTTGTAATGCTTTCTTTTTCTTTTTTTCCCCTCACTCCTGGTTCTTGGTTAGATAGCTTGAGTACCCTTCAAGTCTCTTAAAAATTACATATTCTATTTTTGTTTATGGCTGGGTTTCTTGTATATACTTAAAATTATTTAATCCTATTTATTCTTAAAACGATTAATATGTATATCTTTCCCCTAGTAAAATAAGTATTTTAGCATATTGCCATGCCAATATTGTCTCCCCTTCCTATTATATTAGTAATGTCTCAAATTTTAATTAGCAATAAGCTATACCACCTCAACTTCACACAGCATCTTCTGGACCGATTAACTAATGAGAATTTCCTTTGAATATGTTTTGATTTGGGTCTTTGGCAAAGCCTGTGATGTTTCATATGCCTGAGAATATTTTTACATTATGCCTTAATTTTGGAATGACAAGTTTGTAGGCTATAAATTTGGTTCACAGCTTCTTTTAAAAACTTAAAGATGTTGTTCCATTATTGTCTAGGTTGCAATGTTTCTATTAAGAAGTCTGAATCTAATTTTTTTGTCTCCCCTAGGTAATCTGCTTTTTCCCCTCTGGAAGCTGTTAGAATTTTCTTTTGGCCTTTGGTATTCTTAAATGTCACTCTCAGATATCTAGATATAGGTTTTCCCCTTGTCCTGCCTACTTAACACTTCAGTTCCTCTTTTAATCTAATGTGTTTATCAGTTCTGGAAATTTGTCTCCAGTATTTCTCAAAATATATCCTTATTTTCATTTTTATTTTTCTCTCCTTCTTAAACTCCTGTCATTTTCTCTGTACCTGTTAGGTTTCTTTTATCCTTTCCTTCTGTCCTCTGATCTTCCAGCTCACCATTTTTTTCTCTACTTAAGTTCACTCTTTAAAAAAATCTTATCTACTGTTTTCTCAATTTCAACTATTACAATATTCATACCTAATGTTTGCAATTGCTTCTTTTTTATGATTTTTGTACTTGCTTGAAGATGCTAATATCATTCTCCATATTTCTCCATGTTCTTTCTCATATTTGTCATGACAACTTTTAATTGTTGGTCCATGTGTATCAATAGCTCTGCTTCAGGTGGGATGCTAATTCTATTGTAGCTAGTGTAGGTAGTATATGTTGTTCAGCTTTTGCCTTTCTTTTACAATATTATATAATATTATTTCTCAAATGTCAATTTATTTTGTCTTGTAACTTCACATTTAGCTTCTCTCTTCGGCTCCTGTATGTTAGGAAGGGGCCTAAGCCTAGGCCCTAGATTATGACAGCAGCACTAAATTCAGAGAGAGGGAAGATAAAGCCCAATGTAGAGAGCTCCTAGTACCACAAAGCCACTCCCCTGGGGGAAATCCTCCAACCTGACTTTAATTCTAAACACTTTAGGAGAAGCAGGATGGGGAGATGAAACCTCCCTAGGCTATAATCCATCAGACTTGGAGGTTTAGAAGGGAAGGAGAGGATGCTCAGGGGAGTTACTTATTCTGTATCTGTTTTTATCAACTCCTTGCCCCAGAAAGGCTTTGCATTGCTTTGAAATTACCCCATGGACACCAGGAGCAACAGCTTGATCTACATAGGTTTAAGAATACATGGTAGTCAATGACTGCCAGCCGCCATGTGCCAGCCACCAAGAAGCAAGAGCAGATCCTCCAACCAACGTTCTGTCTACAGCGTGCAGCATCCTTCTCTTCCTCCTCTCTCCACATTGCCCCTCCCTCACACTTTCCAAAAGCACCAGTTCCAACAGCTTTCAGAGCTGGCTTTCAGGAAGAGTCAGCAGCTTATGCTAGCTCACTGTCTTCATTGTATGTTTTTTCTCTACTTGGTCTCAGGCCTGTCCATATACCATCTCTAAGCTTCAGCAAAGAGAGGACATTTTTAGGAAAAAAAGGAAGAAATTTTCCAGGTTCAGTAAAACAGAAAAGTACTGCCAATCCCACTAAGCACATACATTCTAATATTTCTGGTACTACAACATCAAACCCTTTTTGGTAGCTGTAGCTACCTGTGATGTTATTGTTTAACCAGTTAGTTCATTTGTGTAATGATTTAATACAATTGAACATTCATATCCACCTTTATCAACCTATAGAAAAAACACGAAGTCCTAGAAAACAGTGGTACAATTCATCCATTCAGTTAGTCAAAAACCATTTAAGGAGCATTTTCTATGTGCCAGCCTCTAGGCTATAGCAACAAATGTGACTAGAATGAAGTACTTGTCTTCAAGAGACCCTCACTAAATGAATCCTAATTGAGATAAACAGTCTTTTAAAAATAAAATTAAATATATTCATAGACTTTGTACAAAGTCCCAGTGGAGTCCAGAGAAGGGAGCTCGTAACTTACTAGGTAGGAGTACAAAGATTTCCTGGAGATGAGTCAGCTGAGGATGTGCCACAAAATCAAGGTCATGGTGTTCTGGACTCTCAGAAACTTTTAATTTACAAGATCTACCCTTAACTACTCCAAAATCTCTAAGCACGGACTTTGCCTGCCATTGCAAAAAAGTAAAAATAAAACTGGTCTGACGGTTGCTGCCTGAGCCTAAAAGTTGTTTGCTAATAGTTTGTATTGATTACAATTATTATAATATATACAGTTTAGTATATACTGATTCTGAATGCGAGTGTGGTTATGTGTAAGCCAGTGTCTCCCTATCTAGATGTGGGCTTGCATGTATACCAACGGGTAAGCACCAGGGCTTTTGAAACCCTGACATGTGGTCATGTACATATTCAAGATGAGGATGTGAAGCCATGAAAAGTTTATCTCCTGCCTTGTTGCTACTTACTTTTCACCATTTCCTCTACCTAGGACCAATGAACAAATCAGTTCTGGGAGCAAAGTTAGAAGTTTCAGCTCTTAAGCCTCCAGTAGGTACCTTATTACCAAATCTACATGAGCTCTATCATGATGGAGCAAGGACTATCTCACTTACATCATTTCTTACGCTAAGTCTTCATGAAAAGATTTTACAAACAAAAGGCATCAAAGGCTTATTTAGCAAATATGCATTTGGCATTGCTGTGTTCCAGGTATTGGTGTAGGTGCTAGGGATATAGAAGTAACCAACACAGAATTTCTACTTCATAAAATTTATACTCTGATGAGGCAGGGAGACATTGAATAAGTAATTACAAATATGGTGAATGCTATAAAAGAGAAGTATGGGGTGCTGTGGAAGCATAGAGCAGGGTGCTTTAACTTGTCACTTCTAAAGAACTACTGTGGTAAATTGAGATTTCACATTAAAACCAATAGGACTAGAATTGTATGCCTCATTTTTCAGAGGTTGTATTGTGAATGGTTTGTGCTTTTTATACGTGATACTCACGGAGGAATCTTGAGGCCACAGGATAAACACAATGCATATTTCTAGGGTTTCAGTTTTATTTGAAGACTTCAGAAAACAAACATTTTATATGAAAACAAATATAGATATACTATGGAGTAGACTGTATGCATGTTAAAGATAAAAGATGAAACTTCAAAGAAATTTCACACTTGCTGTGCTTCCCTTTGAACTATACCCCCATACTCCCTAGGGGTGTATATTCATTCTCGTCTGCCTTTAGGGGTACTTTATAAAAAATAATGTTTAGCAAGCGACGGATGGAAAGAGCATGGAGTCAAAGAGATTTGGATTTGGGGTCTGGCGCCATTCAGAATAAGTGGGTAGCCCTCATCAAGCTAGGTAACCTCTGTGACTCAGTTTCATCGGGGATAACATAGAAATAATCTCGTACTTCTCTACATTGCTGTGAAGATTTAGTTGTAGCAAATAGAAAAATTTCAGGACAGTGTTTGCTTCAAAACAGGCACTTAAAATATTAGTTACGTCTTCCCAATAACAGTGAAATAAATGATTGTCTAACAATCTTATTGCTTAAACTCAGCACGGCTAGAACTATAGAAGGAACAACTCAAGAAAGCAGGTTTTAGAAAGCCCCGTGTTATGTTACCATCTGTTTATCCATTCGCATAATAGCTACTGTAATAACAGCTAACAAATGTGAGTGTATGTGTGGGGAATCTGAAATGTTGTAAACTGTAATTTAAGGAAACAAAACAAACAAACCTATCCATGTTCCATATGTTGATATATTTTTATTCTACTGCTATTTTTAACCATTTCATATATAAAGGGAAAAAATAACAACAACCAAAATTATATTCATCCCTGTTATGAATGAAATACAGGATTAAAGAGTATAAGAGTCTTTGGTAAACCCTCTATCAATATAAAACTGTAATATGTGGTTCTATAATTACAAAGATAGGCTAATAAAGGGCTTCGTGATTCTTGATACTAGGTACTCTCAAATCCAGGCAGTTGTCATATTCATTTTTTAAAAATTCAGTCTCAACTGAATTTTGTTCTCTCCTTTAACATCCTAAGCCCCAGTGAATGAGGCAAACTGAAAAATTAGCTGATTATATCTTGATATTTTTCATATATAGAAATAAATATATATAAGAATGATATATATGTTAAAATTCATTTTAATTTTTCCAATTTTGTATCTAAAATAGAATTCAGTGTCTTAAGATTGCAATAGACTAATTAAATAAAGAATTTCTACTTGCCTTACCTAATGGAACCAAGAAAAAAGAAAACATATCAGGGTTGTGTTTAGTCTCAAACTTTGTTACTTAAAATATTTTATAATAAAAGTGCTGTGACATAAACCTGAGTTGCTGATTAAAGGCTTCTTTATCAGTAGCCGCAGTGAAGCAAAAAGCAGCTTCATAGGGAGCATGGTGGGCCTGAGCCACGCCGCCATGGAGAAGGTCGCAACAGTTCAGCAGGTATAGATCAGGCAGCGCTCCTGGCCTCACTCAGAGGAGGCCCAGAGAAGTGATTCCCAGTGAGGAGGAGCATGTGTATGTCCTTGACTGACTGCCAGGTTCTAAAAGGTACAAAGGGAGGCTTCAGCTCCTAGCAGTCCTCAAGACTGGAGTGATGGAATGATGGTTTTAATGTCAAAAAATCCAGGAATTCTAGTTGCCTCAAGGTAAGACAATGTCTTTGGACTACTGTAAATGGGTAAGTGTCTGGCATTTTTTTAAGGTTCCTGGTGGCTATTTCACATTATTGCTTAAAGACAAGACTGAATTACTCTTACCAACAACTAAGTGTAGGGTAGAAATCTTTGCCTGCATTGGACATGCACAATCATACCAAATACATTAGCTTATGACTCTAATTTAGCAATGTAAACAGAAGCTACTGCCAGCATCATTCTAAGGCTATATGGCCAGCCCCAATTTTTTTTTTTTTTCTTTAAGTTTGGGGCTCATGGAAAAGTGGCATCTCACCACATGTCCCACCAACTTCCCTGTTGCGGTGGATCCTGCTAATCCCTGCAACAGACAGATCTGGATCCTCCCCTGACGGGAAGCTTCCTGAGAAAGCCTCAGGCCCACAGAAAATGGCACAGCTCCTCCTATTAAAAGTGAAGAGAAAGAAATCTGACACTTCAAGCTTCTGCAGCTGCTTTCTCTATCAATTTATTTTCATGGATATGTGAAACACCAAGTTCTTTAACATGACTTTTCAGATTTCTAGCAGCTCTTGAATTTATTTGACAACTTTAATTGTCTAAAATTAAGACTGATTTTTTTTGTTGTTGTTTCTAAGATTCATCCTAGTATCTGGTAGACAGTACATGTCTTTAGTAATGCTAAGATTCTTGGTGAATGTGCCTTTCTTCTCTAAATAAAAATATCTAAGAGGGCTTCATGTTATTCTCTACCTCTATGCATCTCTTACAGTCAAATTGGTCCCCTTGGATAAAAGATCAGCTCGCTCTCATTCTGAAGCCCCAAAATACTAAATCCACATTTTTCAGAGAGATTTAGCATAAAAATTAGTTAGGGTTCTCTAGTTGCAAAAAACAGAAACCAACTCTAGGTAACTTAAGCTAAAGAGAACATCAGGGGCAGGGCACAGTGGCTCACGCCTGTAATCCCAGCACTTTGGGAGGCCGAGGCCGGTGGATCACCTGAGGTCAAGAGTTTGAGACCAGGCAGGCCAACATGCCAACATGGTGAAACGCCGCCTCTACTAAACATATAAGAAATAAAATAAAAAAAAAG
The DNA here is from genome assembly GCF_000001405.40 of Homo sapiens. NCBI lineage: Eukaryota > Metazoa > Chordata > Mammalia > Primates > Hominidae > Homo > Homo sapiens. The sequence continues at coordinate 91,617,314 of NC_000012.12, forward strand.
GTAACCGGGTGTGGTGGTGGGAGCCTGAGGCAGGAGAATCGCTTGAACTCAGGAGGTGGAGGATGCAGTGAGCCCAGATCGCACCACTGTACTCCAGCCTGGGCAACAAGAGTGAAATTCTTAAGAAGCAAAAATGGATAATAGGTTACTCATACATATTATTTTTCTTTATGAATTGCAATATTCCTGACAGACTGTACAATAGATTTATTTGTACCCTCAGTTCTTCCACAAAACTGGTGCTGGATACAGTTATTGATATTAATAGTGATCAAGGTTTCTTAAGCATTAACCTTTAACTGCTGTCTTTTAACCAGAACTGGTATCTTTGATGTCTATGGTTTGCCATAGCACTCCCTGTTTTCTGAAGTCCCTATTATCCTCACCAGAGTAATATTTCCAAGTAAAAATTATTGTGAAAAACACCAGGAGTTCTTGCTTTCCTATAACCACAGGCATAGACCCAGGACTTTATTTAAAGCCCAAAATTTTTATCACAAATATTCATTAGTGAATTAAACAAATGCCTGCCTGTGGTATTACCTTTTAGACTTGATCTAAAGTTTCAGAAAGATATCTAAATTGAATAAACTGCAACAAGTGTAAACCCAAAAGCTGCAGCAACATCCTTTTTTTTTTTTTACCTACTGCATTTCTCTGTTCTTGAAGTAATGACTCATTTCTTGAGAACCTCTGGTCTCCAAGCTCTGAAATTCTCCAAAAGTGATTGGCACATGCCTAAGTTTCCAATTACACTTTCTATGTGTCCCAGATGAAAGCTTCTCCTTTTCATTTACATTTTTCCTCAATTATTTTCTCATTCAGGGAAGGGCTCTAGAGAACGACACAACCAAAATTATGTCCAGTTAATTTGCAGTTCTTGGGTTGTTCTCATGCTGTATTGGCAGTAATAAATCTTTGTGTCTTTGTCCTGACATAATTTGGTCCTTAAGGTATGTGGAAAGTTGACTTCTTTTTAAGGTGAGATGGAAATATACTGAGTAATGTAGTTTAATTTGAACATTAATCTAAATATCTGTTCACTGTGGGGAAACATTTGAGAGGAACCATCATTGACGGAGATGAAACTAGAAATTGTGTGAAGAGGCCTGAGTCTGACCAGGTGTGATTTTAGAAAGCTAATTTTACTGCCTTGAAATTCCAGTGATGATGTCACTCATCTTACAAGGTGGTTATGTAAATTATCTGATATGATCTATTTACTCAATGATTCAGCAAATATTATTTGTGCTCCAACTACATGGCAATCCCCATGCTAGGCACTGGAAACACAGAAGTTAATAAAACAGACAAGGACCCTGCCACGTGAAGCTTGCATTTTATTGGAAGAAGAAAAATATTAAACAAATAAATACAATAAAGACGTATATAATAGCATAGTATCAGATAATGATAGTTGATTTTAAGAAAATGAAACAGGATAACAGAATGGACAGTGAGGGCAGGTATTTGATTAGGATGGTTGAAGAAGACCTCTCTGAGAAGATAACATTTGAATAGAGGTGTGGATGATAGAAAGAAGCTGGCCAGGAAAAAGGGATGGAAGAACAGCTTTCTGGACAGAGAGACCAGCTAGTGACGAGGCTTAATAGAAAGAGTTTGACATGGAGCAGGACGGGCAAGGAAATTAACGGTAAGAGATCACCCAGGAGAGGTATGCAGGGATCAGACACTGGTGGATCATTTAGGCCATAAGAAGAAATCTTAATTTTATTCTAATTGCAATAGGAAACCATTGAAGAGTTTCCACCAGGGAATAATAGATTAACATATTAATATCTTATTTTCTGCTATTTTAGAATTGGTTGTAGAAGGGAACTGTAGAAATTGAGAAAAAATTAGGATGCTATTGCCCAGAGATTTGAATAAACGGTCATGAAAATAGAAGTGTTGGGATTTGGGATATATTAGAGCTGACAGGATTTGCTGATAGATTGGATGTAGGGAGATGATGCTGAAGAAAGGAAACCTGGATGATATATTTTGGGGCTGGGAAACTAATGGAATGAATGGTGGTACAACGAACTGTTTTGTGGAATATTGGGGAAAAAGTAGGGTTGGAGGGTTGTGGGAGTGAAGAGACGCAGGTGAGCAGGGTAAGAAATTAAGACAGTTTGGATGTGTTAAGTTTGAAACACTTATTAAGCATCAAGTAGAAACACCTATATGACTCTAGTGCACAGGGTAAAATGAGAGCTGAAGGAATAATAAATCATCATCACTCTGTATGTAAAGTGAGTGTTGAATTCATCCATCCATCCATCCATCCATTCATCCATCCATCCACCTATCCATCCATCCATCTATCCACCCATCCATTTATCCACCTATCCAATATTTTCTAAATGTTTACCTTCTTATTACTTACAAATTATAATTGCTTGTTATTACAGATGCTCATTAAATGTGAGTGGGGCCTGAATCATAAACTTTTATGAGATATAGTTTCCATCATGTTTCTTATATATAATCCCTCTTTGTGAAATCTGTAGCCAACAATGTAAGATACAATTTCATATTCAGGAAAATTTAATTTGGTGAAGGACACCACTGAGTACTACTTAAGTTTTTTTCCCCATTCAAGTAACTCCAGAGAATCTCTAATTTTTCTTAATATTTCCAAGAGAATCCATATATAAACAATTGACAAATAGTCCTAAACTGGACTCCAGTCTAAAAAACTAATTTACCTGAAAAATATGTAGAGTTGCTAAGTCTTATAATCAGTTTCCATTTGTTTCTTTTTGTCGAGATTCCTTTAGTTTATTAATAGAATTAACAGATTAGAAAATGACCTGGGAAAGTTGCTCAGGAAAGAGGAGAGAAAACTGAAAATAGCTGTCACTTACAAGAAAGAAAATACTACATTTGAAAAACCTTAAGATTTGCCATCAGCTTAACATTATAGATATTCTAAGGAATTAGAAATTCTTGGTACTATACAATAAAAAATTTGCAATGTTTTGGAGAACGTTTTATTTCTGAGACAGAGAACTAGAGACTGGGAAAGAATAAGGGTTGCATGACTGAAAAGTATCCAGAATAACAGGAAGAAAGAAAGAAAGAAAAAAAGAAAGGAAGGAAGGAAGGAAGGAAGGAAGGAAGGGAGGGAGGGAGGGAGGGAGAGAGAGAGAAAGAAAAGAAAAAGAAAGAAAGAAAGAGAAAGGAAGGAAGGAAGGGAAAGAGGGAGGGAGGGAGGGAAAGGCAGGAAGGAAGGGAAAGAGGGAGGGAGGGAGGGAAAGGAAGGAAGGAAGGAAGAAACTAATTTTATGTGGTAAGCTAAGGAGATTTTTTTGTTAACAAAACATGTAGTAGTTACTGGAATTTTCTTCTGCTACAAAATTTCAGCTTTCTTGGATTCAGAGAAGATAGTATTTGCTAATCATTTGAACCATAAGATAACATTTTAATGAGAATTATATAATTTCACTGGAAGGGAAAATGTTCTAAAGCCTCCCAGTAGAAATTGACGGCGTGTATTTAAAACTGTCTGACACGTTCTACAGTCAAACATGGATTCAATACTGGGAAAGAAAGGCTGGGGCCTCCTTTGTCAGAATTTTTGTCTTTTGGAATTGCATTCTTTGATGTTAGAAGTCTAGATTTTTGGTGTAGTTCTACTTCCTCACACTATGGCAAGGGAGTCTAAATAATTGAAAGTAATGGAATCAGAAATAATCTTTCACACTTTGTTCACAGTCTGAGCCCCATGGGCAATAATTGTTCCTGTACCGTCTGCACAGTGTTTCTCAGGCTGCCTATCAGACTGTGAAACGCTTTTACGGGAGAGGGCGCCTGAGTGAAGAGCTCGCAGGCTGAGAATGCATAGGACAAAGCACATCATGGGCGAAGTGTAGAAAAGCATACAGCTGCAGAAACAAATGAAGTGTGATTAGAGGAGCCACAGTCACTGCTGAGGGGGCGAATATGAAAAACAAGGGATGAATATTCAGAGACAGTAAGTCCTCGTGGTTGAGAGCTCAGGCTTGAATCAGACTGACCCATCCCATGCCAGCTCTTCCCCTGAATAGCCGTGTGACCTAGGACAAGTGGCTTAACACCTCTATGTCTTGTTTCTCCATTGATATAATGAAGATAACCATAGCACCTAATGCATAAGCTGCTGTGAGGTTTGGTTGTTGCTTATTGTTGTTTGAGACAGGGTATTGCTCTGTTTCCCAGGCTGGAGCGCAGCGGGACGATATCGGCTCACTGCAACTTCCACCTCCTGAGTTCAAGTGATTCTCCTGACTCAGCCTCCAGAGTAGCTGAGACCACAGGCGCTCGCCACCATGCCCGGCTAATTTTTGTATTTTTTGTAGAGATTGGTTTCACAGTGTTTCCCAGGCTGGTCTCAAACTCCTGACCTCAAGTGATCCACCAGCTTCAGCCTCCCAAAATGCTGGGATTACAGACATAAGCCATTGTGCCCAGCCTATTGTAAGGTTTAAATGAGTTGGTGTGTTAAAAAAAATAATAATAATAGAATAGTATCAGGCAAGTAATAATCTCTTGGTAAATATTTAGCTTTATTTCCAAGCCTTAGGAGAGTTTAAGAATGAGTTCAAAAATCACACGAAGTGAAGCATGGGCTAATATTCACAACTACTCTTTATCCTTACCCAAGGACATTTTTAGTAGACACACACACACACACACACACACACACACACACACACAGTGTCAATCCAATCATGGACCTGGCTGGGGTAGGGTTAGGAATACATTTCAGGAGAAGCCTAGTACGTTTCAACTGAAAAATAATAACCAGAGATTAAAGAACTGTGTTATGGCTCCAGAGGGGAAAAAGTAGAAAATTCTTCAGGGCACGTTATTGATATTTTATGAGAATTTGATAAAGCAGAGCATTAGAGAGTGAGTGCTAAATTTGTGCAGGGTAATAAAGGCTTCAGTAGGTAATAAGAATCTTGGACCCTGCACACATAAGTTGCTCTAAGAGGCTTAGTAATTGCCTAAATGAAAGGACATTGCCATTTCTGCAATCACAATTCAAATCCAGGGGTCACTTATGGTTGACAATGTTATTGATGCTGTTCCTTCTTCTGTGGCACAGGAAGCTTTTAGCATGAAGCAGTTTTCAGCTGTTTCCTGTATATTGTTCATTTCACCATCATTTCAATGAGATATTTTACCTTTGTTTAGAAAACATTTTGAATACTAGAGCCTTCTCATATAAAGCTTTGTGGTCTGAATATAACATCAATGATATGAATGTGAGCAACAAAGAAAATTTGATGAAAACGAAGTCCAAAGTACTTACATCAGTGACATTTTTGTTTTTATACTCCTGGAGATTATCACATGCAGAATTATAATTCTAATCATACTTTCATCTTCTTCAGGTGAATCAAACAAATTCAAGATATATTAAAGGGATGCACTCACATTTGAAATTGTCCTAAATAATCTTGACCCAAAGTACATGACAAGCTCATTACTCTCTTGAATTATAATATTGATAATCCATGTCCAATGCCTTGTTAGAGGAATAACTCGGGTGACAGCAAGATAATGTTCCCCAGTAATTTACTGTGTTGGGGATCCCCAAGACCACCCCCTGGTTTGATACTTCCCTATAAGGACTCACAGGACTCAACTTATAATCATGTTCATGGCAAAGATTGGTTACAGGGAAAAGGAACAAATCAAAATCAAGAAAGGGAGAAAGCACATGGGGCAGACGTCAGAGGAAACCAGGCATAAGCTATCAAGAGTTGTCTTCCAGGGGAGTCACACAGAACGTTCTTTATTCCCCCAGCCAGTGATTTGTAACAACATGTGTGAAATTTTATCTGCCAGGGAAGCTTGTTAGAGACTCAGCACCCTGGGTTTTTATTGGGGGCTGGTCACATGGGCACTCTCTATGTAGCTTGTACCAAAATGTCAGGTTTCCAAAAGGAAAGCAGATGTCTAGCATAAACCATATTGTTTATGTAATTTAGGCACAGTGAGCCACTCTTATTATTTAGGGAGAGTTTTATATTAGTGCAGGGAACCATTTGCCACACAAGCTCATAGACACCAGCCAAGAGACAACCTTGCAAGCAGATGTCTCCAAAGATAGCAGTTCCAGGCTCTTTTCTGCAAATATGCCAAGGTAAATTTCTGGACTATTTTTTAAGACTGAAGAGAAGAGATCTTAGCTTTTCTGGACAACCCTGAACTTGACTTATCTAATGAAACTGTCAGAAATGGTAGCAAGGCTCCATAATATAGGTCACTGCCAAGTGACAAGTGAATAGGCTCTTTGAACATATTTCATCACTGCCACCCATCCACTGCTTTTTCATTTCTTTTCCGAAGAAACCCTCATCCCCACTTCCCATTTTAAAGAAAAGAATCTGATAAAGCATTCAGAAAGGTCAGAATCCCGTCTACCAAAAGTATGTTTAATTCTACAAAAGGGCATCTTCACAAATATCAAAAAAGAGGCAAATATTTTCTGTTAGAGATTCAAGAGTCTTGAAGCAATTAAAGTCAATTCTTTTTTCTTTCAAAACTATAAGTTTGAAAATGAGACACAAAAACATGGAAGTCATTTTAGACATCACCCCCTTTTCAGCCATTATATTGTCAATTACTAAACTTATAGTGTCAATGTTAGTTCCTAAAATATTTCCCAAATCTGTCTACCTTTCTCTATGTCCACTCTGTGACTCTAGTCCAAGCAACCATTATAAAATGATGATATAACAATATAGACCCCTAATTGGCCTTCTTGCTTTCCATGTTGATCTTGCTTTATCCATTCTCTATTTTACAGAATGATCTTTCGATAACACTGATCATTTCAGGATACGCTTAATGTCTTTCCATATATTGAACACCCAAATTATTTGTAGGTCTTATCTGGTTATGCATCATCTCAACATTAGCACCTTCACTTTATGCCTTTTGTTTTCTAAATTCCAGTCATACAGACTTTTATACAATGTTGTTTCTGCCTATCAGCTGCTCTTGCCAACACCCTCTGTTCTTACTTGGTTAATTTCTCATCATCCTTTTGGTCTTGACTTAAAATGTTACCTCCTTTGAAAAGCCTTTCCTCATTGCTGTTTTCTTTCAAAGTACACATGCCTTGCTCCTTTCTTTCAAAATGTACCTTTCAAAGTGCACACGTGCACGCACACACACAAACACACACACACACACACACACACTCTTGGTTGTATTTCCCACTGGGTATTCTTTAGCATGTCATAATTCTCCTTTAAAGATATATTGGAATTAAATCTAATTATGTGCATACTAAGTTGTATGTTGGATGTCTCTACCTTTACAGTATAAGCCACCTGAGGGCCGCGACTCCTTTTATTTTGTTTATTTCTCTATCCCCAGTATCTAGCACAGTACCTTGCAGACACTAGATGCTAAATATAAATGGAATGAATCATCAATCAATATATCATTATTTCTATGCCTCACAGGATGTGTTTTCCCACTTTTTTTTTAACTAGATGCTTAGATGAAATTCATCTCTCTTTCTCAAAGAGCTTTTCCTGCATCTGAATCAGACATCTAGTATGCACCTGTGGCTTCTTCTCAGTTTCCATCTAAAAGAAAAAAAAGGAAGAGTTCTTGCCTTTGATTATCAATCACATTTCATTTACTCACAGATGTTGAACTTTGAATGTTGTTCTTATTTCCCTGTCTATGACATCTTCCTGTTTATTCAGTCTTAAAATCAAGACATTCAGAAATTTTCTTCCCATTAGCTCGGGTAGAGTTGGATTAAAAACTTTTGAGTTTAGCTTTCATACAAATGTAATTCATAAAACAAACCATTACTAACTATAAAGCAATGAACTGTGTTGGACTTAAAATAGCATCTTCCTAGATGTTCTAGTTGCAAAAATATAGACAAAATTTCTCCATCCTGTTTCTCTCTCCTTCTCTTTGGTAGTTAAATAGGAAGTACATAAGACACAATTTGTTTGTTTAGTTGGATAATACAGCACTGGATGTAGCCCTGAAAATATGCCATACCCATTACCCAAACTTCCCTCCCAAGGACTTTTTCTACCTGACTTATATGGAATCCAATCACACGCCATGCTGACACAGAATTTTTCAAGGTTTTGAGGTTTATCTAGCGCTTTAGTTTTTATTTTATGTAAACACAATTCACTAAACACCACTGCCACTTTTTTTTAATGCCTGATAACCTTTTGATAAGTGATATAACTGACCCATTTTCCAGCTGTAAAAACACTGGATCCAGGTGACTGACAGAAATTACTCACCAGCCAAGGCCAGGCGCGGTGGCTCGTGCCTGTAATCCCAGCACTTTGGGAGACCGAGGCGGGCGGATCACGAGGTCAGGAGATCGAGACCATCCTGGCGAACACGGTGAAACCCCGTCTCTACTAAAAATACAAAAAAATTAGCCAGGCGTGGTGGCGGGCACCTGTAATCCCAGCTACTCGAGAGGCTGAGGCATGAGAATGGCATGAACCCCGGGGGCGGAGCTTGCAGTGAGCAGAGATCGCGACACTGCACTCCAGCCTGGGTGACAGAGCGAGACTCTGTATCCAAAAAAAAAGAAAAGAAAAAAGAAAGAAGTTACCAGCCACAACATAGCAATAACTGGATGTGAGCATCTATACTGATTCTCCTAATTTTGTAGTTTGTTGCTGTGCTTAATTGCCTGGGAGTGCGTTTGTTATTCATGGTGGACCCCTCTTACCACACCTAATAGTTGATGCTAACAAGGTGACTCATGGCGTGCTCCTCTTGCCACATGGTATCAGCTAGACCTCTTCAATACCGGCAGAATGTGGCTGGAGACTGAGTTCAATCATGTGGGCAACCAGTCAATCAATTAAGCTTATATAATGAAGCCCCAACAAAAACTCTGGACACCAAAGCTAGGGTGAGGTTCCCAGGTTGGCAATTCTCTTTGCATATTGTCATATATCTATGCTGAGAGGATAGAACATCTTGAGAAATCAGGAGCTTCATCTTTAGAAACCTCCTATACTCTGGCTTATACACGTTTTATTTTCACTGGTTCTAATTTATATCCTTTCCCTGTAGTAAACCATAACTGTGAAATAACAGCTTTTTGTGAGCTCTGTAAGTCCTTCTAGTGAATTATCCAGCCTGAGGGTGGTTTTAAAACCCCTCCAACACAAACTTGCAGTTGTTATTAGAAGTGAGGGCAGTCTTGGGAACTTTTCCACTTTTCCATTTTTCTAACTCCAGGTATCATCTAAAATCAAAGTAAAACAGAAAACACGAACCTACACAAATAGTATAAATATGAGAAAGCCTGTATTAAGATTCACACACCAAAGAATGAAAAACTTTGATACTGCAAATTAGTAAGTGTAATAGCCACAGGATGCCCCACAAATAATTCCATACTATGTAGCCTTTTTCAATATACTATTTAAGTTGGCAATGTGTTAATTTGTTTCACTTGTCATTGATACTTGTTAAACACAATCCACTAATGCTGACAGCTTAGAACCAAATATTTATTGCCTGGACGCTTGAAGAAAACATTTTCTTATCTATTAGCATCTTCACCCCAGTACCTTTCTTACATCCATTACCTATTTCTTAACAATGTTCTTTACCTTACTATGGATATCACGCTTTCTTAGTCACATACTTATCTTTCTTCCTGGAATAATTGTCTTTCCCACTCTTTGTCAAATAGCTACTCATCTTTAAGTTTAAATTAACTTAAGTTTCACTTGTTATATGCTCTACTTTTCCTCCATTAGGTTTCTTATAATTTGTAGTTATATTTGTATAAATGCAAATATATTTACTCACATATTTTAATATAATTGACTATAAGCTTTGGTCTGTTTTGTTTACAAATATAATAATAATTATTAACAAACTTTATTTTCAGAGCAATTTTAGTTTCACAGCAAAATTAAGTGGAAGATACAGAGATTTCTCATATACCCCCCGCCCTCCACCAACACATGCATAGCATCCCCCATTGTCAACATCCCTCACCAGAGAAGTACATTTGTCACAATCCAAGAACCTACACTGACACACCCACAGAGGCTGTAGTTCATGTTAGGGCTCGTTCTTGGTGTTCTGCATTCTATGGGTTTGGACAAAGGTATGATGACATATATCTACCACTGTAGTATCACAGAGAGTAGCTTCACTGCCCTAAAGATCCTGTTTGCTCTGCATATTCTTCCCTCCCCACTAACCTCTGGCAACCACTTATCTTTTACTGTCTACATAGCTTTGCATTTTCCAGAATGTCATATAGTTAGAACCACACAGTATGTAACCTTATTAGATTGGATTCTTTCACTTAGCAATATACATTGAAGTTATTGCCATGTCTTTTCATAGTTTGATAGCTATTTTTTTAGCAGTAAATTATAGTCCATTGTCTGGATGTACCGCAGTTGATTTATCCACTTACCCACTGATGGACATCTTGGTTGCTCCCAAGTTTTGACAATTATAAATGAAGCCAGCATAAACATTACTATGCAGGTTTTTGTGTGGACATAAGTTTTCAATTCATTTGGGTAAATACTAAGGAGTATTGTTGGATTTCATGATAATAAGAGTATGTTTAGTTTTGAAAGAAACTGCTGAACTGTCTTCCAAAGTAGGTATACCATTTTGCTTTCCCACCAGCAGTAAATGAGAGTTTCTATTGCTCTCCATCTTTACCAGCATTTGGTGGTGTCAGTGTTTTGGATTTTGAGCATTAATAGGTGTGTAGTGGTATAGCATTGTTTTAATTTGCAATTTGCTAATGACATATGATGTTGAACATCTTTTCATATGTTTGCTTTCCATCTGTATATCTTCTTGGGTGAGATATCTGTTCAGGTATTTTGCCCATTTTTAAAATCAGGTAGTTTGTTTCCTTATTACTGAATTTTAAGAGTTCTTCATAATTTCATAATTTTTGGATGATATTCCTTTATCAGACGTGTCTTTTGCAAATATTTTCCCTCTGTCTGTGGCTTGTCTTCCCATTCTCTTGATTTCCATTATAGCTTAATGTCTTTTATGTGATAATATGGGTGATAAGAGATGCTATTTTTAAAAAAAGCAACTTACTTGTCTTAACTGTGATCTTTGCAAATTGGTTTTAGGTATGTGAGATATTTGATTGGCAGAAGATAAAGGAATAACAAATTAGGAAGCTTAGTATTTGATTAGCCCCAAAGGTGAACAGATGGAGGGTAGGGAACAAGAAGAAAACGTCTGCAGAAGATGATGAGGAAAAAGATTTGGAGATACAAACATTCTTTTGTGGTAAGATGACCAGAAATCCAATAGTAGGGTGAATTTGACCGAGACAGAGAGAGGATGTCTAACGAGCTTCTAGGCAACAGATTCATGATAAAGCAATAAACAGCTCAATGCAATGCAATTGCTGGTGGAATTTATCCATTTAGATCCAGACTCTGTGGGTGGATTGAACATCATTCTTTCCCAGGGCCTGGAGCTTCTGAGAAGAGCCTGACTTGGGCACAAATCCAGCCAAAACTATGAAAAAATACTTCTGTTAAGCCAGAACAAATTAAATTCTGTGACACAATACGTGCACTTATCCTTTACCACCTGTTGATAATTTGTGCCCCAAGATTAATCATGCAAAAGACACTTGAAAAAAAAAAAAAAAAACTCACTCAGTCCTTCTTTCAGTTTCCTGATGTCACCAAGCTCATTACCATCCAAGAAACTTGCATATGCTCTTCCTTGTGATCTGAAAGATCTCCCCTGCTCTGTCTTCTAAATTCCTGTGATTTGATGTACTCCTTTTAAAAGGCTTTCTCCATTTCACCCAATTTAAATCCGTATACTGATGGCTTTATAAAATAAATTCCTAATTAGACATTTATATAAATTGTTCTTATATAAATTCATAATAATTTATGTTTTTTTGTGTTTATATTTGTTGAACAACCTACCTCCTCTACAAGAATATTAAGGTTAGAAATGTAAGATTAGAGTTTGTCTATTTTGTTATAACTGTTTCTCTCTTAGTACATTGACCAGTACGGTGATTAATAAATACCGATTGAACAAATGAATGCCAGTTTATGAATATGCACTGGGCTAATAATCCCATATGGAAGAGGAATAGGAAATTGGTAAAGGCTGTGAGCACAAAGTCTCAAACTTATATGGAAAATTCCTACTAAATTGAAACATAGTCAAGCATGGGTACCTTTCTGCTGTGGGTGCCTTGATGGTTTTATTATAACTTATCTATGCACTTTTTTTTTTAACTTAACAATATCTTTCAGGGCTGCAGACACTAGGTTCACCTTAATTGGTCTGGTTGTAAATTAGTAAGTGCATTAGGTCATTTTTATAATGTACTATCCGAAAGAAGACAGTCTATCTGGTGAAAATAAATTTAATTAATCCCACTAAACAAAATCAGATGATCTCAAAAATAATCATATTTTGAAAGAGGCTTCGTTTATACTGAATACATAAATTGCCCTATAAATATCCACTAATTTTCAAAAAAGAATAAAAAGAAAAAACATGAGTACATATTAAGTTAGATGATTTTTTAATCATGTTTTTTAAAAGAAATAACTGAAGATGTGGAATAAACTTGATCCTTTTTTTTCTTAAATAACCATATACCAAAAATCTGCTTTGAGCACCCTATTGTCATAAGACCCACATTAATTTCTACTAACATTGATGAACAGCCAATAGTGGGTGGGACTAATGGAGCCCTACCTTCTGTAATTAGGGATGCCATCTAACTTTGTTACCGCTTTAGATTAGTTCTTAACTGAAATTGCTTATATGTGACTGTTATCGTTAATGAGAAAGGATATTAAATATGGATTATGGCTTTCATAGTCTAGCTAGCTGGGCATCTTGGACTTAATTCTCCCCATCTGTGACCCTTTACAATACATTAAGCACACCTTTTCAGCAGCAGCCCTATTACAGTTAATCATGCTGAGGAAGAGATTGCACTAAACGTATTATCAAGACACCGACATTAACCAAATGCTAGTCAGATGGGTTAGGGAACAAAGAGCTAAATCTGGGCTCTCGTTTTCAGTGGACTTTGAGCTTTTAAATCAATGGTATCTGAGTCTTTCCATCCATGAATATGGGGATTTCTGGCCTCTCAGATGACACTGACATGTGGCCACAGGTTTTGTTACTAAAACTACAATATTCAACTCATTTGCTTGTTTAGCAAATTAGATGCAAATTTTGCATTTATTTCTCTGTAATATGTATATTATTTTAGTAAAAAGCAATATGTAGTAAGTACATGGAGTTCCAAGAAAGAACATAAGGGTTTTAGATTCTTCAGGAAAAAAAAAAAAAGTCAAATAGTAAGTATAATGATACTCTTAACAACATATGGACTGTGCTGTAGTGGCATTTTTTATTTTTGGAAACTTCATTGCCTCATGTAAACATTATATAGGCGATACAGCCTTATGGTAAGAAAAATGTAAATGTTGATGGGATGTATTAAATGTCTGGAGGAGAATATGCTGCTGAGAGCCTTGAAACATGGAGAGGAAACATGGAACTGGTTCCTGCATCTATCAAAGATGTTTGTTAAGTTGAATTGTTCTTGCTTGCCTTTTATAAAGGAAAGCGGCTAAAGGTCTGAAGGGTGGGCCTGACAGATGGGCTTGCCTTACATCAGAGAGAGCCTGAGATCCAGAAATAAGCTTTTTAACAAAGAACAAATATTCCTACAGTTCTGTGTGGGTCATAGGCCAGAGTGTAAAGAGGAAGTTGATTAAAGGACACTGCAGATCTGGTCTTATTTAGGACGAAAATAGTACTGAAAAAATGCTGAGCTGTCCACATGTGACTGAGGGCTTCATCAGTTCCTTACTCTTCATTAGAAAATGGTGCATGATCTACTCTATAGAGTAATTTTAGCTCCTCTCAGGGAATCAATTTAAAAATACATTTCAATTTTGCTTTGTGTATTAAAAGCCTTAATATTTGTACAACCTCTCACTTGAAAATTCTACTCCCAGAAATTTTTATGTTTTTAATCATGAATTATTAACCTATATATATATACGCACTCACCATGAGCCAGCCATAGTCTACACATTTTGCATGCATCTAAAGCCTCAATTAATCCACACAGTTACCCTGTAAGATAGTTACAATTACATTTCACACAGGAGGACACTGAGATCCAAGATGTTTAAGTAGCTTCCCTAATGTCATACAGCTTTTGGCACACATGGCAGTAAATCCATAGGGTCTGGATAGGGTCTGGTTCTTGACGACTGTACTTTTTTTTTTTTTTTTTTTTTTGTAGATGTTGTCTCACTCTGTCACCCAGGCTGGATTGCGGTGGCGCGATCTCGGCTCACTGAAACCTCCGCCTCCTGGGCTCAAGCAATTCTCTTGCCTCAGCCTCCCAAGTAGCTGGGATTACAGGTGCGCCACCACACCCCACTAATTCTTGTAGAGACAGGGTTTCACCATGTTGGCCAGGCTGGTCTCAAACTCCTGACCTCAAGTGAACCGCTCACCTCGACCTACCAAAGTGCTGGGATTACAGGCCTGAGCCACTGCACCTGGCCGAGGACTGTGCTCTTTAACACTAGGGAATATATCTTCTCACAGGAATGGGAATATCAGGTAACTAATATTGTGAAACCATCTAGATGCAATAATTGGGGATTTGTTAAGAAAGTTAGGGTGTATCTACATAATGGATGACATAAAATATTATTTTATGAAAAAGAAAACAATCATGTTATATTGATTAACCAGAAGAGTTGCCTTAGCCATGGAGCATGGATGCTGAGGACCAGAATCCCCAACTGACCAGCAAAGGATATGTAACACAAACAAGAATTAGACCTGTGCTGCTTTAAGCTATTGAGATTGTGGGCTGCTTGTTATTGCAGCATAATATCACCCATCCTAATTAATACAATTAATGCTCTAAATACAAGGACAGAGTCTGAAGAAACAAGCAAAGCATAGTGGTGATGATGAATTCTAATCACACAGAGGATTACACTAGGACAGAATAAGGCACAGAAGGACTTCAATTCATTTATCATGACCTCTGAAATGAGACACATACATTTTTAAACACCACCTTTTAACTGTTGCCAATACTTAAGCCTCAATCCCCTTGTCTCAAAATGTGAATAATTTGCTGTGAAAATCAGATAAAACAAAAAACTTCAGGCACTTAGCACAGAGCCTAGCACACAATCATAACTCAAACCGCAGTAGCTTTCATCCATCATTCGTGGGATGTCCATCTTAACAACATAACAGAGACACAGGTTGGAGCTAGAGCTGCCATAAGAAGGGATCAAATTTCTATTGTCAGACAAGGACTCATTTGTCTTTATCTTTTAGCCACTTTTAGAGTCTAGGCAGAAGTGGGACGTTGTGGGAGGGCTTGCTCCATACCCCATTTGTTATTTCCGATAAAATGATTATAACCTTTCATATGATCCACATTTCACAAGTAAGGAAGCCAAAGTTTCTTAGACAAAGTCAAAAGCCAGTAATCCACAACTATCAATTTCTTTTTTAAAAAATACAACATGGTGGAACATTTTTATTTGATGTCCGATCTCATCAGCTCAGAGGGAGAGTCATGATAACCTGCCTGAGAGGCTGGGACCCCTAAGAACTCACTGAAAAATCATGAGAAACATCTCTAGTCCACAGAGCTCCACCAGGGTGGCCACAGTTGTTTTTGGCCATGAGGAAAGAGAACATGTTGAAGAATAGCCTATCTTTATTTGACTGAATACTCCTACTGTTTGTGTGACATAAGAAAAGATTAAGTTTGCTCTGAGCAATGGGAAATTCTTAGATTCTTGTTGACTTCACTGCTCCATATGACTTGAAACAAACAGAACACCCTATACTAATCATAACAGACTCAGGAAGCCTGAGGAGGGGTGAATATTTTATATTTATATAACAAAAAACAAAGCAGTGGCAAATGGAAACCTACGTTAATAATAAGATAAAATGAATGTCATAATATTAGAATATACCACCTTCTACTAAGTTTAACAAGTGTCACGTGACTTCGAAGAGAAGATAGTAAGGAACAAAATGCTGTTGACAAATTCTGCTATATTACCATCATGCTTCATGAAAGCTGTTTTATAGAGTTTTCATTTTTTGCTGAATATTAATGAGACAAATATTTTTGGAATAGATTTGCTCCAGAAATATTGGGATAGATTCCTTAGATATCTAGGAGAAGAAATAAGAGATCAATATCAATTCATTCCCATCTACTAAAAAACATGTTTTCTTACTTCTCAAGGGGTCCTCTTAACAACTGTTTTGAACTTAGTAGCTTGAGCCTCTTTAAAACAGAATGAACTCTGCTACTGAGAATTTAAGATTATATCCCTACCTTGTTTATTTATAAAGCAGATCCCAGACAGTCATAGTGAGAGGTGACAGCATGCTGGCAGTCGTCGCAGCCCTCGCTCGCTCTTGGCGCCTCCTCGGCCTGGGCGCCCACTCTGGCCGCGCCTGAGGAGCCCTTCAGCCCGTCGCTGCACTGTGGGAGCCTCTTCCTGGGATGGCCGAGGCAGGAGCCAGCTCCCTCAGCCTGAGGGGAAGTGCGGAGGGAGAGGCACGGGCAGGAACCGGGGCTGCGCGTAGCCCTTGCGGGCCAGCTAGAGTTCCGGGTTGGCGTGGGTTTGGCGGGCCCCGCCTCCCTGGGCAATGAGGAGCTTAGCACCCGGACCAGCAGGGTTTAGCAACCGGGCCAGCAGCTGAGGAGGGTGCGCTGGGTCCCCCAGCAGTGCCAGCCTACCGGCGCTGCGCTCGATTTCTCGCGGGGCCTTAGGTGCCTCCCCGCGGGGCAGGGCTCCGGACCTGCAGCCCGCCATGCCTGAGCCTCTTCTCCCCTACCCCCACCCCGCCGTGGGCGCCTGCGCGCCAGAGCCTCCCCAGGATCGCCGCCCCCTGCTCCAGGGCGACTGGTCCCATCGACCGCCCAAGGGCTGAGGAGTGCAGGGGCACAGCGCAGGACTGGCGGCAGCTCCATCTGCCGCCCCAGGTGCGGGATCCACTGGGTGAAGCTATCTGGGCTCCTGAGTCTAATGGGGACTTGGAGAACGTTTATGTCTAGCTAAGGGATTGTAAATACACCAATCAGCACTCTGCATCTAGCTCAAGGTTTGTAAACACACCAGTCAGCACCCTGTGTCTAGCTCAGGGTTTGTGGATGCCCCAATCCGCACTCTGTATCTAGCTAATCTAGTGGGGACTTGGGGAATCTTTATGTCTAGCTAAGGGGTTGTGAATACACCAATCCGCACTCTGTATCTAGCTCAAGGTTTGTAAATGCACCAATCAGCACTCTGTGTCTAGCTCAGGGTTTGTAAATACACTAATCAGCACTCTGTATCTAGCTAATCTAGTGGGGACATGGAGAACTTTTGTGTCTAGCTCAGGGATTGTAAACGCACCAATCAGCACCCTGTCAAAACGGACCAATCATTTCTCTGTAAAATAGACCAATTGGCTCTGTAAAATGGACCAATCAGCAGGATGTGGGTGGGGCCAGATAACAGAATAAAAGCAGGCGGCCAGAGCCAGCAGTGCCAACCAGCTGGGGTCCCCTTCTGCCATGTAGAGGCTTTGTTCTTTCAGTCTTTGCAATAAATCTTTCTGCTGCTTGCTCTTTGGGTTCACACTGCCTTTCTGAGCTGTAAGGCAGTGAAGGTCTCATCACGAAAGTCTACAATTTCACTCCTGAAGTCATGGAGACCACGAACCTACAGGGAGGAACGAACAACTCCAGACAGGCCGCCTTAAGAGCTATAATTCTCACCGCGAAGGTCTGCAGCTTCACTCCTGAGACAGTGAGACCACAAACCCACTGGGAGGAACCAACAACTCCAGACGGGCCACCTTAAAAGCTGTAACACTCACTGCGAAGGTCCGCAGCTTCACTCCTGAGCCAGTGAGACAACGAACCCACCGGGAGGAACGAACAACTCCAGACGGGCCACCTTAAAAGCTGTAACACTCACCGCCAAGGTCCGCAGCTTCACTCCTGAGCCAGCGAGACCACGAACCAACCAGAAGGAAGAAACTCCGAACACATCCAAACATCAGAAGGAACAAACTCCAGACACGCCGCCTTTAAGAATTGTAACACTTACTGCGAGGGTCCGCGGCTTCATTCTTGAAGTCAGTGAGATCAAGTACCCACCAATTCCGGACACAATAGTACGTTTTTTTAAAAGTTTATATACAAAGAAATAAAATTATTTGTAAAAAAATAAAAACTTAGATATTGAAGTTATTGTGAAAGATGACACGTTACTTGTTATTGTGTATTTTTACACTAAAATTGAATTTAATTTTTATTTCTAATTTCGATATTACTGCAGATCTAGCGCTTATTTACTACAGAAAACAGACATTTGAATTCAAACGTGCTTTCTGAATTTAAGTATTTTTACACTAAAATTGAATTAAATTTTTATTTCTAATTCCGATATTACTACAGATCTAGCGCTTATTTACTACAGAAAACAGACATTTGAATTCAAACGTGCTTTCTGAATTTAAGTGTGTTTATGAGCAGCACATTTAGAGTCTCATTGGCATATTTAAAAGTATAGATTCTTTCCATCTAGAATTTAAAATAATTCAATATTTTTCTATGTCCCGAAAATTCCAAACTTTACTCCTTAAAACCCTTGAAATCCAAAAAATTACAAGTTGCTGAAAAAGGGGTGTCTTAAAATATTATAGTGTTGCCTAATTCTTATTTTTATCTCTTTTATGCTATGGGGTAGATTTTCTCCTATGAATTTGATCCTTAAGTTAATCAACCTACTATATACATACATATGCACACACATATATACTTACAATGTAGACATATTGTATGTATCACCTAGCTGTAATTATTCTATTTCAATAATATTTTTTAGGAAGCAGAACAAAAAGTTAATCATTACTCCCAGGTATTACTTGTTTCTGCATGCCACTGTTTTCTAATCTTTGAGAGTGCCTCAAATTTAAGTATATCATTCTGTCCAGTTTCTGTTTGCAATATTAACAAGAATTCTTTCTCTTTCTACTTAATGTATATATTTTAAAAAAAAAAATCCATGCAGATTTTGGTTAAAATGCCATTTTAGCAATGGAAGTCCTTCCTTTATTTTACTCATATCGTTCTAAAAAGGTTAGCAAAGTAATTACTTAAAAGAACTTGCAAACTTTAAGCTTTCTTAAAACTTAAAGCAAACTTTAATTTTGAGTTCACGGATTATATTGTGAACCACTTATTTAAATAAAAGTGTTTATATTTTTCCTAATAGAGTATCGCTTCTGACACTGAAAATGTTAATAATTGGTACACAGCTTTTAAAGCTTATTTGAAACAAAACACACTGATATAGTTTGCATGTGTGTGCCTGCCCACATCTTATGTCAAAATGTAATCCCTGATGTTGGAGGTGTGGCCTGGTGGGAGGTGATTGGCTCATGGAGGTGGTTTCTCATGAATGGTTTAGCACCATCCTCTTGGGTGCCCTCCTCTCAATAGTGAGTTCTCGAGAGACTTGTTATTTAAAAGTGTGTGGCACTTCCCCTCTCTCTCTCTTGCTCCTGCTCTGGCCATGTGATGTGACTGTTGCCCCTTCGCCTTCCACCATGATTGTGTCTTGAGGCATCCCCAGAAGCTAAGCTGATGCCAGCATCGTGTTTTCTGTGCAGCCTGTAGAACGATGAGCCAATTAAACCTCTTTTCTTCATAAATTACCCAGTCTCAGGTATTTCTTTACAGCAATTTGATAATAGACTAATAGATGCACAAATGTGTGTATGAACCATAGGCAAACACAAGATTTCCATGAAGTAAATATTTTCAAATGAACAATTATGCCTAGCGTTTTTTATTTGCACCCATATATTTTATGTCGTATAGAAAGTATGAAAGATAACACAGAGATGAAACTGCAATCACACAGTTAAAAACATGTAATTCTAGTCTGAAAAATTTTCCTCTTGGTCACAGTATATTCAAAAATAATACCAAAAAGATTAAAACTATTTTCAAGATGGCCCATTTCCAAGGGATTTTTTTTTTGAGAATTTTGGGGTTCTTGTCAATTGATCTGAAATAATTCTAAAGGCCCTCTATATTCCTATTTCTCCTTTCCCTGTTCCAACAGGGTGCTATGTACATAATTATGCAGTATTGCAATTACCCATTCTAATATCGATTTGATGTACTATATTGAAAACTTCATAAGCCTAGAAATATATTTTAATTGTGCTTTTACTCAGTGGTGTATTTATAATAAATGGGTTGCTATAGTAACATTATTTGATAGCTGGAGCAGATAATTTTTTAACAACCTCCCATTTGACCAAATTATTTTCAGTAATAGTGTAACAAATATATTTTATCTGTAAACTAAAATTTGTGCTTACCAACCAAAAATACTACACCTCAAAGTTTGCACTCTACTTTAAGAACAAATACAAATTCCAAGTGGCCCCATAGGATAAGAAGATTGTGGCAACTCAAGTTCCGTTTTTCATCTATATAATATGCTACCTTTGTTTGCTTAGAAACAGCTGTTTAAATGAAGGAATATTTATATATTATAAAAGCTGGACAGTAGTTGCAACACTGGTTTCAAATATTTATACTAACAAGATATTGGGGTAGGTAGAGTACTTTATGACTAATTTTGCTTACAATTGCCAGTATATAGCGATAATAAAAAAGAAGACTGACTTTTGGTTGCGTTTATGATTGTCTTCAAATTCTCTATGAACAACACACCCCCTAATTGCCTGCACCTGGGACAGACCATTCCTTACACCCTGACCTTGGCACACCTTGTATTGCTTTTATTCCCAGTGTCTAGACTGTGTCTTCTATATCATATAGGCTAAAAAATTTTTTTATGAATGGGTTATTAAGAAGTACGCTTATGCTTGTTATTTTATTTTTTCATAGACTTTTGGGAAATACTATTCGGCACAAGAATAACTAGAATATGGCTCTGGTTCTTGATATGATTGTTCTCTGTTACAACTAAAAGCCACAAAACCACGCGCTTTACTTCTCATAGTTTAAGAATCAAAAGGGCATCTAACACCAAGTGAGAATCACTTCTTACTGTAGTTTGTACAGCAGGCTTGGGCATCCCCCCAAATATATTTCAAAATGAAAACAAATATGATACTTATATTATACCATTAGTAGACTATCCAAAATGCTGTGCACATGGAATACATGTGAATTCCCTTCTGCTTGATTTATGATGCCGGCCACTTGGAAGAGCAAAGAGAGATAAAGGAGGTAAGAAGCCATCACATTACTATTACCAGACTTAACTAGTATTAGACTTAACCAGTCTAACCAAAATTAAAATAGTTTTTATTCATGTCATTGGAATAGTGAAGACTCATAAAAAAATGTATTGCTATCTATATTCTCTTGTTGACTGCAGAAAAAAAATTAAAAAAAACTTTAAGTATTTACTGCCAGATTGGTAACATAATATGTTTTACTGCATATTTCTTCATACCTGTTTTATAATATAAAAGCAAAACTGCTATTTTGAGCTTTCCCATGTCAGTTTGAACATTCTCTATTCCTTATAGTATTTAAGGTTTAAATCAAGAATAAGAAGTGTAGTCCGAAATTTTTTCAGGATTTAAGATGATAATGAAAAGTATATTTGGATGCTGTCTATTTTTTTCTCAGCAGAATACTCTGCCTCAATTTGATTTGTATATCATAGAGTGTATTCAGCAGAAAAAGAGAGGGTTACCAACAGACAGTTAATATTGCAGAATTTTTTAAATAAACATTAAGGTGGCTGCAATTATTTACTCTTTCAAGCAGCTGTCTTTTAACTAATGTTAATTAAATATTGATTAATAAACACAGCATGTACGTTTCTAGCAGAATCTCTGCAGACAGCTTAAATCATTCCCATTCATTTTTCCAGGGCCCTGGATAGGCATTGGCCTTCCACATTGAGTCTGGGCTTGGCCATGTGACTAGGTTTGGTCAATGGGATAGTAGCAAATGTGTCACAAGCTAAAAATTGCAAACTTTTTGTGTGTGCATTGACTATTGCTCTCCCTTGCTGCTTTGGTAAAACTGTCATCATCACTATATCAAGAAGCCCAGGCAAGCATGCTGGCTAATGAGAGATCAAGACCCTGTCATCCCAGACACTTCTGCTGCCGTGATCAACAGCCTGCTAACTGCCAGTATACGAGCTACCACCTGACTCCCCAGCTAGACACAGGTACATAACAGAGCGTGGCAGAGACCAGCCAGGCCTGCTTAGACCAGAAAAACTGTCTAGCTGACCCACAGAACTGTGGGCTAAATAAAATGATTGTTGTTGTTTTATTTGACTAAGTTTGGAAGTAGTTTGTTCCACAGTAAATATAACAAATACATTTTTAGAAAATTTCCAAACACACAGCCAATACTGCTGGAGCTAGCAATTTCATTCAAAGAGGAATTTGTTTCAAACTTAAGAATATTGACTATATAGGCACAAGATGTCTTTGTACAAGCACCTCTAATTGCTGTCCTTTTTCTAGTAAAACTACAGATACCACACCCTTTTTGGCAATATGATGAATGCAATGATGGTCAAAAGCTACCAACAGTCTTTGGGAAAATGAGCAGCATGAAACACGGATGTAATAGGAAACATCTATTGAATATTTATTAAGTGCTGGGCATTGAACTAAGTACTTCTCATTCATTATTACCTAATTTATCTTTTTAAATATGTTGTATTTTTAATCTCCATTTTAAAGACAAAAAATATACAGAATGACTAACTTATTAGCCCAAGGTTACCCAACTAATAAGTTGATGAATCAGGCTTCAAAAGCATGTTTGACTCAAAAGGCGTTTAAATATTTCTCAATCTGCAAAACATCTCACAGGTGTTACAAAGACTTAAGACTACTAGAGTTTAAAGATACTTTAGAAATATCTAACACTGCTTTTAAAAACGAGGAAGCAATGATCTAAAGAAAATAAATTCAAGATTTCACAGCAAGAGAGAGGCATAGTGGGAAGAATCTGCATTACAGGAAATTAGAGTCTTTAATTCTAACATGGTTAAGTATAATTCCTGGAGAGTGATAGTGGATTGATGGCAGGTGAGGATGGCAAGGATATAGAAACTATCCCATCGAAATTTTTGAGGCTGGCAGGTGAGTGTGGCAAGGATATAGAAACTATCCCATCGAAATTTTTGAGGCTGGCAGCTGCCAATTTCCCTGTTAATACGCCAGCATCACATGATTGTTTAGCTATGGAAAGCTCAAATTTCTTGGTTTTCTAACTTAAGAAATTTTCAAGGAGACAATTACATGAGCAGTTCCCTAAATATAGCAATATACTTTCTCTCATTTCCTTATTTGGGATAAAAACACCACTGGTATTTTGACTTGCAAGGCTAAGGCAAATTCAAACAAGATTCTCTTTAATCAATTCAATAAGACCTAGAGCCAGAATTAACTATTTTTAAAGGAAACACCTGAAAAGACTCTTTTAGTATTCAGGAAAATGAAATGTCAGTAACAATGTTTCGGCACAAGAATGTCTCCTATTAAAGAGTGTATGTAAGCTGTTCCTTATCTGACTTTCAATCACCTATCCTAGATTTCTGCCTTACCTCTGATTTTGTGTGTCCTTAACTTTTTTTATAATTGCATGGTCCCTATTTACACTATTATGTTGGGTAGTATAATTTCATTCAAACAGGTAGAAGAATTGCGTGATTTAGGAATTTCAACATTTAAAATGGAATTTTATTTCTGATCTTACCCACGACTTATATTATTTTGCATGCTGTGTTGAATATACCACGACTAAGGCATTGCTGGAATCAGAAGGTTACATTGTCTTTGGAACCATAAATATGTGACAACACCTTATGCTTAGGCACTGGGGAATCAAGTGTTAACCAACCACATTTATTCAGACTTTGGTTTGCTAACCTTATCAATCCCTTTAACAGTGAGGACTTCCATTATATAAAATAATGTGGCTTGCCCCACCCTGCCCTCTCCATTCTCTATTCCTCCAACTTTGTTCCATTTTTCTCTGTAGTACTATCGCCATCAGATATAAAACATACTTATTTAGTTGCTAATTGTTATCTCATGTAAATTCCATGAGGTCAGTGACACTTTCTATCACTGTTTTATCCTCAATGCCCAAAATGGTGCCTGACACATAGTAAGTGCTCAACAAATATTATTTGAATGGGTGCATTAATCCTCTTTCCACCTTTTCTATTTATAGAAAATATTGCAAAATTAGCCTTTTAAACTTCAGTTTCTGGAATAATCTGTTAAAAGTGTGAACTGTATTCTTCAGCTACCACTGGGTAGTCAAATTATCATCTTCTTATCTCTCGCCCCTCCACACTTATTTCTGGGGTTTCCCATGATATATGTTATGTGCAGTGTCTACTATATATATTTTCTACTATATGTATCTACTACGTATATGTCTACCATATGTATCTTCTATTGTTTTTTCTTTCCTATTTCCTTCCCTTTCCTTCCTTCCTTTTATTTTTCCCTCGCTCCCACCTTTCTTTCTCCTTCCCTCTAGTCTCCCTCTAATCTCAGCTATTGCCTTTGGTACCCACAGACAAGCTGCTACTACTAGGTGTTGCTATTTCTCCAGGTTCCTGCAATTCTCAGAATGGCCCTAGGTTCTTAAGACACACAACTTAGGCTTTATCTGGGCTTTTGGATGACTTCTCTACTTGAAGACATCTAGTGCACCAATTCAAATAGAATCCTTGTAGTTTTGATTGATGTTCTTATCATGTATCTTCAATCTAAGCAAGGGACACAATATAGGCTGACAAACTCCCACTGAATTTTCTCCTAAACTCCTGGGAGACAGTAGGCAGCAAATGAATATTAGTTTCTGTCCAGAATCTAGAATGGAATTACAGTTTATTATTGTGGATCTAAAAGGGATTTAATTATTATTCATTACAGTTTCCTAATTTAATGTATGAGAAAACTAACCCATAAGAGGCCAAGAGAGAAGCTTAAAGTCAGTGAGTAGTAGGAACAATGGTAGTTGAGACTAAATAAGGCAAAGTAAGCATGAAGGGGCAGCGATTTTGAAATATTAATCAATGTATGTCTGCATGTGTGTGTTTCTGTTTCTTGGAGTTTTCTTCTACCCTAGGCTCTTCCTCTATTTAGACAACACATACGTTCAACAATTATTTGACACAGAAAGGAAATTACATAGCAGAAACAAAAATGGAAAAAATTTATAGCTTTTGTGTTTTAAAAGCATAAAGTCTAGGCTTGGAAAATGGAAGATGTGTGTTCTTAGGCAAGATGTATGGGGGAATGTGCAAAGAATAAGAGAACAGGTCACCTCTCCTAAAACTAGGAAGATATCTTTGGTTACACAAGAAAGTTGAGAGACAGAAGAGAACTGGCCTAAGGGGAGGTCAGTGGGGCCTGAAATGAAGGAATAAGAGCTGGTGGGACCACACAAACAGGAGGAAAGTGAGTGTCCAGAGATGTAGGAGCACTGTTTGCCCCTCCTACCTTAGCACCTCCATGAGAAGAAATGCTTCCAATTCTCAATAGACACTAAAAGTGTTTGGGCTCAGAAACCACTTTGTCTGTCCTTTCTATTGACATCTAGATTTAACTGTAGACTTTGACCACTGACCACTAGGAGTTATGGTCATCCTTGATTCTTTTCTTCACCTGAATATCTACATGAAACCTTTTGGCAAACGTATCAGGTCTCTTTCATAAGCTCACCTCCACACCTGTCTACTTCCCTCCACTTTGTGCTTCAATTACTTTGGTGCAATCCACCCTCATATCTTACCTGGAATCCTATAATAGCCTCCTCACTAGTTTCCCAGTGGCCTACTTTTTCTTCTGTTCTTCTAAAATCTATGCTTTATGTAGCAGCCACAGTGATTGAAAAAATCAAAATGTAAAGCAGATTACTTCACTGCCTCCCATGGCTTTTCCTATCCTCACAGTAACATCTAACTGTGGGATCCTGGCTTATCAAGCTCTCTTTAGTCTAGCCCAATTTCCTTATCCCATACTCCCTGTCATCCTGGACTTTTCGATTCTTCAAAAATTTCAAGCTCTTCACATGTTGGGTGGTTTTTGTCTAACTCTTCCGTCTCAAAATGCACTTTCCTCTAATCTTTCCATAGCTACTTCCTTTTTATCATTCAGATCTCAGCTCAAATGTTCAGAATGGCCTTTCCTGATCACTAGATTTAAAGTAGTCAGTCATCCTCCATCACACAGTTCAGTCCTTTATACTGATACATATTATGGTTTATTGTTCGCTTGTGGTCTTTCTTCTTCATTCATGGAGTTGTAAAGTCCATGAGAGCAGATAACCTTTTTTTTTTTCTTTTTCAGTGCTAAGTCTTCATGCCTGGAATAATGTCTTGTAGACATAGAAGACAGAAGACAGTCAATTTGAGAGTGGATGGTGAAGGAATAGGTGGCTGAATCTTTGCACATTGTTAGGATATCATCTGGCTCATTATTTTCAGTGTCTCTGGACACTGATAAGCACTTTCTAAGAACGCTGCTGGAAGGGTAGGAGAGGTTTGGAGGGGATCTCCTCTCATTACACCATTCGCCCATACACAGTACACACATGTATTAACTGATATCAGAAGAAAGCAGCTGAAGATCTGCTTCCAGATGTCTCAGTGGGGAAACACAGTCCCAATGCAGAATAAAAACCCCATTGAGCATAGGTACAGCCCAATAAATGGTAGTTACTTTTCCCCCCAAAGACTTTTTTTTAAAATCAGTTGTAGGGTCACAAGAAATGAGCAGGAAGTATAGAGTTTCCATATACCCCTTCCCCTGCCAACCTCCTCCACTACCAACATCCTCATTAGAGAGGTACATTTGTTACAACTGACGAACCTACATTGACACATCATTACCACCCAAAGTCCATAGTTTACATTACAGCTCACTCTTAGGGTTGTACATTCTATGGGTTTGGACAAATATATGACTACATGTATCCACCATTGCAGTATCACACAGGATAGTTTCACTGCCCTAAAAATCTCCCTTGCTCCACTTTTTTTGCCTTTCCTCCTAACCTCAGGTAACCACTGATCCTTTTACTATCTCCACAGTTTTGCCTTTCCCAGAATGTCATATAGTTGGAATCATACAGTATGTAGACATTTTCAGATTGGCTTCTTTCATTTAGCAATAATGCATTGAAGTTTCTTCCTTGTCTTTTCATGGCTTTATAAAGTTATAGAGTTATAACTCATTTATTTTTAGTACTGAATAACAGCTCCTTGTTTTGATGTACCACAGTTTATGTATCCATTCCTCTTCTGAAGGACATCTTGCTTGCTTCCAGCAATTATAAATAAACATCCATATGCAGGTTTTTATGTGTATAGTTGCCTTTTTAAATTTGTTTTTGAATTATTTGCTTAAACTCAGAGGCAAAAACATATAATCCCTCACATTTTGGAGTTAGACAACTTCTGCCCAGTGCTGCCAATTATTGGTCATATAATCTCAAGCAATTTATTTTTTCTTTCTTGACTTTGCATGATCAAGCATCTGCATAAGGAAGAAACTAGAACCATGGTTAAGAAGGTTTTTCTGAAATTAGAAGAAGTAATGCTTAAAAAGTAATGACAGGTGTCATGTATGATCACTGGCTAGAACAGTTATAAGAAGTTATCATGAATGATAAAAATTACCACTGAAAATAGTTATCGGTAATGCTAACATTAGCATTGTTATTAATTACTAATATTAAAATTATTATTTTAATGCTAATAGTTGTTACAAGTGATAATAGCTATTAATTGTTATAGTTAACATTAATGATAATATTTGTAAGTCCTTAAGATGTACTAGTCAACATTCTCAGTGCTGTCCATGTAGTAACTCTTCACTCTTACTGTAAGTGGTTGGTTCTATGTATTATACAGGTGAGGAAATTAAGACCCAAAGAGTCTAAGTAACTTCTCTAAAGTTCTAAAACTAGTAATTTGCCAGAGCTGGAATTTGAATCTGCCTCTAAAATCTGTGCTTTTAGTAGAGAATATAATTCATAATAAATATTAAATTAGTTTTAAACCCTATTGTATCATTTACTTATTTATTTATTCCTTTGGACATTTTTAAGTGTATGTATAACCTTTTTATATAGCTTTTGTCATATTTAGTACCAGGAAATATCTTTTTAATATCACAACAAAATATCAAGTATAAAATGGCAGTGTCTATTTGAAGTCTTTAGTTACTTAAAACTAGAAAGAAGTAAGGCTTTTTTGGGGGAGTGGGGAGTAGCTTAAATCTAAACCCTTGATAATCATGTGAGCAATGTAAGCTACATAAGTAGCTAGGCTCCCTCAGTTCTGCCATCCAAGAACAAAGCTCAATGTCACTGGCAATTGTAAAACTGCCATTTTCATTTTAGGGTATAATTTTTGATCTGTGCATTGGTATCTTCTAAATCTGAGAATCCCAACGATCACAGAAGTGAGAGAAGTTAAGCTGCAGCTGCAATATCTCACCAAATTAATTCTCTTTCACAGATTTAGACTCAGTGGCCTCTGTTAAGAGCATGTTGTGTCCGGTATTTGTCTCATTATTTTCAAATTGTGCTTTAGAAAATGCATCTGGGCATTTTGTGGCTCCTCACGAAGGGAAAAGATATAATTTGCTGGGCTGATGTGACACAGTGGGAAGATGGACCACATTCTCTACCAATTTCAAAGGATGATGGCAATAAAGCTTTTTATGAGCTTTAGCTATCCTGCACTGCAATGATCAGCTTCCGTCCTAGTAAAGAATATTGTTACACATGGTTCTAATAAAAAATAAAGCTACAGGCAGTTCAAGGTCGGAGTGGAGATGGGGTTTACAGAAGAGAAGAGAGACATCTTTCTGAATTTCATAACATTTAAAATATAAAACCCTAGAAATTAGAAAACCAAGAGCCTTTTCTTATTCTTTATTCAATAGAGTAATCAGGCATACAGACATTTAATGTACCTCCAGATTTTGGCTGATTTTCCAGGATATGCTGGCTTCAAATAGTCAAATATTCTTTCTAGTTGTCTCCATCCATTTTAACCACATGTTGATTTTTTGTTCCAAAAATATGCTGTATACCTCGTACGCACAGTTAAAAAAGATTAAGATGTATTTGGTTTATAATCATCACTATTTTGTATCTAACAGAAGATCAAGCATATATATATATATATATATATATATGCCCATCTTTATAATGTGAAACTGAAGACTCAGAATGTGAATAGTATTTGCCTTCTTGAATATGGTTCTTTGAAAATACAGACAGGCCTCAAAGACACTGGACAGTGGGAGGGATAAAGCTATTTCAGTCTGCAACACATTGGAAGAAGTAAAAATATGATTCTTAAATTATGCATTATTTCTTTTAATGCAGTGAAAGATAACATGTGGTACGCAGAAATTAACAAAACAGGAAAGAAAACGGCATTTTACATGATGATTATTCCTTTACAAATATGGAAAATATTTTTCAACATTTGAGACACATGAAAATATACTTTATCTCTAAGGAAATTTTTGTGTAGTTACCTATCTTTTGGTTTTCAGACATTAGTGTGCTAATAACAACTTGAGATGTTGGTTTAAAATGTAGATTTCTGAGTTTGGTTCTAGGATATCTGACCTGCTAGGTCTGGGGAAGGGCCTTAGGATCGTGCCTTTTTAGCAAGTACCCTTGACCCTGCTTAGGGAAATACTACCCATATCTATATTTTCCACCTGTGGAAAGAAATCTCACTGTCACAGAACACCCATTGTGTGTCACTTTTACAAATGATCTGTATTTTTACTCTTTACGCCAGTCTTTTGAGTTAAGTATTATTACACACATTTTATTGACAAGCTAATTGAGGTGGAAGGAAGATGTTTCTCATGATTACAACTTACAACAATTACAGAGTGGACTTCAAGTTCAAACAGAGTTTGATGAGTCCAAAGACCCTGATCTTTCCTATGTACTATCTATCATGATAAAGACACATTTAAAATCAAAACTAAAATTAAAGCTTTTTTCCTACTTTGGAGAGAAAAACATTAAAGAATAAAACAAAATGTGAAGAGAATTACAATATTTTTAAAGATTTCTTCTAAATTCTCATCAGAAAATCACAAACCATTGCAAGGAAAAGATTAAGCATTACATTAAGAGAGTAGTTTAAAATGAGAAAACAAATTACATTTTCTGTAAGTTGGTGCAGAAGTAATTGCAGTTTTTGCCATTAGTTTTAACGGCAAAAGAAAAGAAGGAAAAGAAAACCAGGAAAAGAAGAGTAAACTCAATGCCACAACCACTTGGAACTTAATTCTTCCAATAGCTATATGAAGTTAAAACAGGATCCCAAGCTCCAGAAAATAGCACAGCCCAGCAGATATTTTGATTTCAGCCTGATGAGACACTGAGCAGAGAATCTGCCTCAGCCATTGGCTAGACTTCTGACCTGTGAAACCATGAGAGAATATGTCTGAATTGTTTCAAACCTCTATGTCTTCTTTGTAATTTGTAACACATGAAAT
Source organism: Homo sapiens (assembly GCF_000001405.40). Classification (NCBI taxonomy): domain Eukaryota; kingdom Metazoa; phylum Chordata; class Mammalia; order Primates; family Hominidae; genus Homo; species Homo sapiens. Next base: position 91,647,968 of record NC_000012.12, read on the forward strand.
AAAAAAAAAAACTAATACAAGTACCTACTATATGCCAATGCTAATATAAGCACAAGAGCACAGCAATGAATGTGATAGACCAAAATCTTTGCTGTAGTGGACCTAAGATTGTAATGGAGTGAAGGTAACAATACAATTGTGAGACAGAATAAAGGTATACATAGGTATTCAAGAGTGGCAAGAAGTGCTACAAAGAAAGTAAAACAGGATGAGCTGGATATTGGCTTGGTGGGGACTGGGAACTTTATCACAATAAGAGCAGGAGGAGGCCAAGAAGTGGAAAGGAAGAGGAAGGTGGAAATTTTGTAACTAGTTAGAAAGCCAAAAAAATCGACCTGATGTTTTTAATAAATTAGTAGAACAGAGGAAATTGAACTTTAAAGCTTTAGCCAAAGTGATCAGAGAACAACTGTCTGAAGAGATAAGAGATGTACCAAGGACAAAATGATGAAAAGAAAGCAGCACATAAAGACTGGAGTTTGGATCTTATTATAAACCCTTTGAAGAGTTGTAGACTGGAGGAACGGTGTTTATCTGAGTTACACTTTGAAACGATGTCTCAGTGGAGAATGAATTGAAGGGGTCAGGTGTCAGGGGCAAGTGTGGAATCATCCAAGTGGAATACTGTTCATTGCAAAGATTTTGCCATCACTCAGAAAAGATCGCAAAGGATTAGATTGAAGAGATAATCACCAGGCTTGGAAGAGGGATTCCACCTAATGTTGTCATAAATCACATATCATAGACTCTTTCTTTCATAATTTATAGTACAGAAATTTTTCTGTAGGGTATTTCCAAATCCAAATAATGCAGAATTTTATCACAGTAACAGCAGGAGGAGGGCAAGATGGGGAAAGGAAGAGGAAGGTGGAAATTTCGGTAACTGGTTAGAAAGCCAAAAAAATTGACCTGATGTTTTTAATAAATTAGTAGATCACAGGAAATTGGGCTTTAAAGTTTTACGTGCTTAAAATATTTCTAAAGATTATCCAAAGCCACGTTCAAAGCCTGGTAATCATTTTTTTTTTCCTAACGATAGATCACAAGAATTCAGTTAACGTTTTTTGTTTTGCCAAGGACATAAATGTTGAAACTATACTGTGAATCCTGCTTAGTTCAAAATTAACTTATTACAATCAGTATAAGTGTTAGACTCTAACAATTGGGGGCTCATTAACATATATTCTTCTTTATTACATGGACAGTGTTCTACAATGAAAAAAATGTAGATATGGCATATATTTAAATGTGAGCATTTTCCTCTACATATCAACCTCTCAGACTAATAGTAAAAAATAACAATTTGCACAGAAAAGTAAACCTAAGAAATTTTCTTCAGAATTAATTAACTCCAACATGCAAAATTTAATACATGCTTTCAAATAAAATTCCCAGCTCTAATTAGTCCCACAGAGAGAGAGACAGAGAGATTATAATGGAGTAGAATAAAATTTTCTTCTCTCACTCATTGTTTTCGTCTATCTTTCTATTTTCATCCTCTGGGAAAGCTGAATTTAACAATTAGAAAAAAAAATATAATCGCACATTTAGAACACCAGTGATATCATGAACTTTAAAAGAATTTGAGTTTTACACAATCAAATCAACATTCTTAATCTTCCAGCTAGTTAGTCTGCTTTCCATTAGACCACAAATATGGGGATCCCTAATCTTTGAGAGTATTAATGTTACATTGGCCATTGACGAGAACTTTTGTTTTTAATGCCTAAGATTCTGACCAGTTTTAGTGAAATTCTTAACAAAGTTAAATTTGCCCTGTTCTGAATTGAAGATTAGTTTAGGCAAACGTATTATTCATGGAAAGCAATTTTTGTATTAAGATAGTAGGCATTGACTAAAATGACTAAATTCCCTTTACTCCTTCCAGAAGGAATTGTCTTATCTCCATATTTAATTGACAACAACAGCGAACAAACAAACAAACAAAAATTATGGCCATATTACTCTTCTCAGGAATAATGGCTGAGTGGCAGGAGTAGTAATAAGAGTGGTAGTAATAGCTTAGGGTTTTTCTCCCTCAGCCCAAATGACATTTTGGGCCAGATACTTCTTTGTTGTGAGAGATGCCTTGTGCATTGTAGGATATTTAGCAGAATCTATGGCCCATATCCAGTAGATTCCCCCCAAGTTGTGACAATCAAAAATGACTCCAGAAATGAACCAATTTTGCTCCCCTGGTAAAGCAAAATTAATGCCTCATTGAGAACCACTAGTCCTAGCTCATATTTGTTCAGAACTGACTATGTCCTAAGTGAAGTGTGGCAGTATATGCAATCCCCAAAATATTGTTTTGATCTAAAGGCACTTAAAAAACAGCAGGTATAAGAAGGGCCCCTATGACCTCCCCTGCTTTTCCTGAAAACAAACAAACAAGCAAAAAACACATATGGAAGATGTTCTCCTTATACCAGGAGGAGAGTCACATTCTTGTCATCCAAGGACTAGAAACTGAGGCTGAGAGAAGTCTGTGCAAACCAGCCTTGCAAACTAACCCACTCCTTTCCAGTCACTTCTCCACAATTAACTGCCCTAGTCCAAGTCCCCTTGCCTTGCAAAATTTTCATAACTTACTGCACTTTGTCCAACTCAGTATATAAGTGTTCAACTGTAACTGCTTATTTGGGTCTTCATTTTCTTATGGGGGCTCCTGTGCCATGTAAAACTTTTATTAAATAATTCTGCATGCTCTTCTCTTGTTAATAGGTCTCAGGTCACTTTAACTTACAGGCCTACCAAAAACCCTAGGAGGATAGAGGTAAAATTTTGCCTACGCTACATAAGTAAAGTTTAAGCACGTTTACAAGTATAAATTAACTTAATCCTCAAAATCTTTTTATAATGGAAATATTTTTATTAACTCCATTTTAAAAATTGCGGAAATTGGGGCACAGGAGTTAGCTTCTTGTGGCTACACAGCTGACATGCATTTAGTAGAGCTGGGATTTAGACCCAGACAATCTGGTACACTTTGTAGAGGGAAGCTATAATCACTCATTCATTTAATACATGGAATTGATTGAGTTTAACATGTAGAATATGAAGAAGGAAAATAAGTTAGAAAAAAGTGAATAAGTCTTGATTCTTGTCTTCAACTTACTCATAGTTTAATAGCAAATGCTAGGAAGGGCTGTTGGTGTTTAAGTATGTAACAATGGGGTGTTAAGTCTTCCTCACTCTTCTGGCTCTTCATCCAACATAATTCCCTTCTTGGTCATTTTCCAGCCCCAGCTAAACTATCTGGCAGTAAATCCCTGAATAGATGCTACCTGATGGTTAAAACATTAGCTAAATGGCAGTCAAGAATACCATTCCTTGCTAGTAGTATTTGCCATTCAGTAAGAAAAGTATATGGAATCGATGACTTTCACATTCTACAAGAATCAATCTTATATCTGTGGAATGAAGGGTAAATCTTTGCAAAGAGAAATACTGAGATTTGTGAAATGAACTTTATAAATCTTTAGACTGAGTTTCACTTGTAGCACTACCCAAGCTAACTAGATAACTGGGAGCATTTAGGCATCTGTCTCAGGATGTAAATTTAGAGGATAGGATTAAATAATATGTAAAATCAAGTCCAGTTCAAATACTCTGTGGATCTCTGGATTATACAAGTAAAAGACATACTTACCTGGATTATCCCACATTTATCTGGGAATAAGTAGTTACATAAATGTTGGAGTTGGTTTTAGAATTTACAGATTGTGGAGAATTTGTTTTATGATTTAAAGATTCGAAAAGGCTGTATGGCTATTTTTCAGTCTTCTTCTGTAGGCCAATAAGATGAATATAATTTGAGGACACTTAGTTAATGACAGCTCAATGTTAATTTTAACAGCTTCTGAGGGCATGTTACATAGTCTGTGAAGCAGTTTATATGCTTGGTATATTTTAGTACAGTACTTTAGAGCTATTTTTACAAGCAATTTGATATCTCCCTTATGTTTTGAATGAGGAAACAACAGAGGAACAACAACTCCAGTGTCTAGCTTGAGGTCAACTAGCAAAGGAGAGAGAAGAATGCAATCAAACTTACAGACCAAGCACATTTCAAGAGTCATTTTTTTCAAAAACAATAGGACAAAAAATTATTCTCTGGGCTTTATTTTATCAAACTTATGAAGCAATTGATTTGCCAATTTACATTCATTTTGTTAAGCCCATTAAAATTTATTATAACCATAATCAAAATAAGAAAAGACAATAATAAACCAGTCCATTTACTTTTTAATCAATTCTGTAGACAAATTAAATTTAAAATTCTCCATGAACTGCCATTTTAAGAGACATATCCAAAGAACACGAAGAATAAAGACAATCCTCTAATTCATTTCATTTCTCTTTCATGCACTGAAAACTTATATTTGAATAAAGGCAGACAAACAAAATATATCATGGTTCAGCAGGACATCTAATCTGTGGAAAATGCTATAGGAAAAAATACTTTCTTTTTAAATGTGTAGAACTCAGTTTCTCAAATATATTTAGATTGTGGCCAAAGTTATTGAATACCCTGTAATAATGGTTTTGAAAAAAGAAAAAGAGACTCTTTTTATTTAAAGTTTGGGTAATGCTACCATTTCTATTTTATTGTTTTCTAAGATAATTTTATCCTCAATTTGATATATTGCTTGTTAAAGTAAAATAGTATGTAATATTATTATGACTTATACCTCTTGATGTATCTATATTTGTGTACAAATATATATTTGTGTGTATATACACGTTTTATGACAAAATGTTTTAGTCTTGATAATAACTTTTCAGAACTCCAATATAATAGCTACTTAATATGAAAAAGACATGCATATTAGTTTCCTGTGCTTGCTGTAACAAATTACCACAAATTTCATGAATTAAACCAGCATGAGATTATTACCTTAACTTTCTGGAGGTCAGAAGTCCAAAAGTGGGTCCTACAGGAATAAAAGCAAGGAGTCAGGGGACTGTGTTTATTCTGGAGACTCTAGAGGTCCCAGCCCTTATCTTTTCCAGCTTCTAGAAACATCCTCTACTTTTTGGCTCCTGGCCCCTTGCAGGAATGCCACCTCTCTCTCCTCTGCTTCCCTTGTCACATTTCCTTTTCTGACTCTGACCCTTCCACCTTGCTCTTACAAAAAACCTCATGTATACCTACCTAACAAACCTGCAGGTTCTGCACATGTATCCTGGAACTTAAAGTAAAATACAAAAAGTTAAAAAAAAAAAAAAAAAAAAACGTTGGCCAGGCGCAGCGGCCTCACGCCTGTAATCCCAGTATTTGGGGAGGCTGAGGCGGGTGGATCATCTGAGGTCAGGAGTTTGAGACTAGCCTGGCCAACATGGCGAAACCCTGTCTGTGCTAATAATACAAAATAATAAGTTGGGCTTGGTGGCACACGCCTGTAATCCCAGCTACTCAGGAGGCTGAGGCAGGAGAATTGCTTGAACCTGGGAGGCAGAGGTGAGAACCGAGGTCGCACCACTGCACTCCAGCCTGGGCGATAAGACCAAAACTCCATCTCCAAACAAAACAAAACAAAACAAAACAAACAAACAAACAAAAAGAGTTAGAAAAAAAAAAAACCCTCATCTGATTCCATTGGCCTACCCAGATATTCTAAAATAATCTTCCCATCTGAAGATCCTTAATCACATCTGCAGTGCCATGTACAGTAACATAGTGACAAGTTTGGGGGATTAGGACCTGAACACCTTGGGGGAGATGTATTATTTTGCCTACCACAAAACCTCTGCCATACTATTTTCTATTTATTATGTGTGTTGGTGTGTAGGATTTGAAGACATATTTAACTGTGTATAGTTCATGCTGGAGAAGACAATATAAAACATAAAGTATGGCAATGAAAAGAATGTGTAAATTTTCAATTAAGATTGGTTTATTTTTTCTAAATTTCTTCTGTGAAAAATGTTATATTGATCTAGAAAAGATATCATCTCACACAGGATATACTGCAACCCTAAAATCTTCAAAGGCCATTATAAAAGTACCTTGCCAAATCTTACACCTGGAAAAAAGTTATTCAAAGACTGGTATGAGATGTGTTGACAAATAATTAAAATAATTAAGGGGGAAGATTCTTTCTATTTGGGACACTTGCAATTGTGCTCTAAGCTATATTATCGATATTGTGAGAGCTACTATGTTAATAATAAAGATCAATGATGAATTCTTACTATGTGTTAACAGCCATACTACACCCTTTACATGCATATGCTTATTTTGTGCGATGTGCATTTTTATGATCCCACTTTGTAGATGAAGAAACTGAGGTTTCAGTTGCCTCAGCTATTACACAACTTTCTTGTTATTACATAAGTTGTGCTAGTATTCCAAGTCAGTTCTGTTTATAAGCATATGATAAAACAAAATGGCTTCAGTTAGTACAAAATGCTCATCATAAAAAGTACTGATATTTCCCAGTTGGGCGTGGTGGCTTATGTCTGTAATTCCAGCACTTTGGGAGGCTGAGGTGGGTGGATCACTTGAGGTCAGGAGTTCGAGACTAGCCTGGCCAACATGGTGAAACCCCCTCTCCACTAAAAATACAAGAATTAGCCCAGCATGGTGGCGGGCACCTGTAATCCCACCTACTCAAGAGGCTGAGGCAGGAGAATTGCTTGAACCCGGGAGGCGGAGGTTGCAGTGAGCTGAGATCATGCCACTACACTCCAGCCTGGGCGATAGAGGGAGACTCCCTCTCAAAAAAAAAAAAAAAAAGAAAGGAAAAAAAGTAACGATATTTCCCAACTGCTCAGTAACTATTGTTTTTCATGTACCTTTCATAATATCCCTGGGAAATTTAGATTATACTTTTCATCTTTTAAAGTAGAAACTTGTGATCTAGCAATTTTATTTCAATCATTCTCCCATTTTTTAACTTTCTAAGTAGTAGCATATAATGTATGAAAATAATGAACTAAACTTCAAGTCAGATCCTAATAATAAAAAATGTGTTTTTTCTTTGAACCTATGGTAGATATTTTGATCTCTTCTTAAATTTTGAAACTGGTCACATGTTCAGGAAAGACCATTGATTTTGGAGAAAGTACAGATTATATTTGTATCTGTATTTTGCAAATTACTCTCTGTGGGAAATAATTAACTTCCCAGAGCCTTGGATTCCTTATCTTTAAAATGGGGAAAACAACACTGGCACCATGGATTGTTATAAACTCTCAAAAAAGCTAGATCCATTCTCTAATGGAGTATTATTTTTACAACATTCTCAAAAGGTAGAACTCTCCTCTTTTCCTTGATTATTTTGCTATTTATAAAGATATTCTGAAGCCTGTGGGGCTGAGTATGGAGGAAAGCTACATTTTCTTTTATTGTGTTGAGCAAATAGTTTCCCAACTCCTGTTTTTTTTTCTGTTTCTTTTTTTTTAAACAAACAAAAACACTACATTCTTGGTTGCTTTGAGCAGGGCTGGTTATTATTTCATTATAAATCAATCGAACATTTTCACAATGACCAAATTACAATGGGATTCATTAGGAATTTTCAAGTTTGCCACTGTTCTTTGCATTCTCTCTTTCTCCCTTCCAAGAGATGCCAACATACTTACTGCGAATAAAAAGCCAACATGTCTCTGATTAGTCGAGTCCAATACTATGAAGAACATATAAAAGACCAATAATAAATAACCTTTTTAAAATGCTGCTTTTTTGAGATAATGCAGCTTCATGTTTTAACAAACCCAACCTGGAGTAATAAAGGTCTCTTCTGACACCCAAGACTAGCAGTAACTTGATTCCATCGAGGTCCAACTCTAAGTGGGTGTCAAGGCAGGAAGGACAACATTCATAGCAGTAATTTTAGAAATATTTTATTTAATTTCGAAACCCTTCTAGACACATTTACTTCATCTCCCATTTGCTTGGTGTGGAAAACCAATTACTTCGTGGTGATGATGCAGTCAAATCTGTAAACAGTTATTACATTTCAATTAGAGCTGCATGAAGCTATATATTTGGCTCGCAAGAAATTAATGCAAATCTTTTTTGATATTTCAATACACAAGGGGTCATACCCCTACACATTTGGCTTTCAGTGTAACATTCAGAGCCATTCAAATATCAAAGACTATTTTCCCAGCATAAAACATCTGGCCTGGAGTTAAAATCTCCTATAGCATTCATCTGTATTTAAACTCCCACCTACAAACTACACCAGAAACTTTGCCAAAAGACGTCAACTTAGACCGGCTTTTTACTATAAAAGAAAATTTCTGGTGAATCTTTTACTATAAAACATAAACTTGATCACATTTGTGGTCTTGGTTGAACACTCATAAATCATTGAAACACAAACAAGAGTTTTTCATCATTGATAACAGGAATTACAGTGAGATGGAAGGATGAGAATAAGGAAACAAATACTTACTGAACACTTTCTATGTTCTAGTTACTGTTCTTGTATTATCTTACTAAATTCTTTCATTAGCACTGTGAGGCTATTTACCACCATTCTCCATCTAAGAACATTCAGATTCAGATTAAGAAACTTGTCTCGATCACATAGGTAGGTGGTGGTACTGGGAATGAAGCCAGATCTCTCTACTTCCAAAGCCTATGATGATTATCCTGTCTCCCATTGTGCATAGATTTGAGGAATATAGTTAATGTTTATAATTACAGTTGACCACTGAACAACATGGGTTTGAACTGTGTTGGTCCAATTATATGTGGATTTTCTTCAGCCTCTGCCATCTCTGAAACAGCAGGACCAACCCCTCCTCCTCATTCCCAGGCTACTGAACATGACGACCATAAGGATAAAGACCTTTATGATGATTCATTTCCACTTAATGAATAGTAAACATATTATCTCTTCCTTATGATTTTCCTAAGAAAATTTTATTTTCTCTAGCTTACTTCATTGTGAGAATACAATATATAATACATACAACATACAAAATATGTATTGACTGCTTATGTTATAGGTAAGGCTTCTGGTCAACAATAGGCTATTAGTAGCTAAGTTTAAGGGGAAGCAAAAGGTATACATAGGTTTTCTTGATTTTTCCATTGACCATTGCTTATCATAAATGCCTTTCAGAAGAACTGGGTTGGCCTGTCAACTCTTTACACAAGTACCTCTGATCCTCTTTAAAATCTCCATGTTACTTGAGGAAAAACGGAAGCTACAAAAGTCAAACGATAAAGGAATTATTCTCTTCATTCCCAAGATGTGTTACATATGGTGGCAGTGGGGGGTGGGGAAGTGGGGAAGGAGAGAAAGCGTGCAGGCTGAATTTATTGAGGAGGACTTCACACTTCCATCAGTTACCATGAAAAATAACATATGGACTGAACATTTATTCCAAGGAACAGATTTGTTTCTAGTTACTCTCCAGCAGTTGAAAGAGAAAGAAAAAAAAAAACATTTTAAAAGCCATCTGAAAATACTCACCAAATGAGAGAAATAAGGTTGATCCCTTTTCAGACTGCAGAATTAACATTAAGAAAAATGAGTCATAACAATTCAATTTAAATGTATTGACTGAGCTACTATTATCATGAATCGACTTCTCCACTAGGGATGATGTGGTGCCTGTTCGCAAAAGTTTAAGTTCTAATTTTTTGGAGAAAAAGTGTCTTGCTGTATTTTTTTTCTGTTTTCAAATTATTTCCTTTCATTTATTTTCATCATTATCTTATACTTCGTCAGCCTTTTCAGTACCATGACAAAAATACCCCCAAAATTTATATCAGCAAATGGGGACACCTTCCTGTACCCCATCATTTGTATACAATCAATCATTTGCTTCATGTCACCCCAGCTACTGGTTTGAGTCTGGAACTATTCATAACTTTTGGCATTGTGAAATTCCTCAGGCTCAGTAAAAAAGCTTTGTCAAGAAACCAAAATTAAAAAGTTAAGTTTAAAATTGTTTCTACCCTTCAGGCTCCTGACATACAAAAGTATTAACAGCATATGTCTACGTTAGATTTTTAAACCACAGGAGAGTTAAATAGGATGAGCTTTTTCAAAATACAGGGGTTTTTGAAAATAGAAAGCAAAAGAGGATAAGAGAGAAAGCCTCTAATTGCCTTCAAAAAAATACATGAACTTTTCTCATGCACCCAGGCAAACTAATCTTATAAATGGGCCTTCCTTTTATGTGAGCTGTCACTTCTTTTAAAGCCAAGCTGAAGATTCTTCACCTACAAGAAGCAGTCTCTGACAAACTCACTCCTTCTCCCCATTAAGACTTTCTCTTTTTTCCAATCATTGTCAGTGTGTGTAGTTGAGGTTATGTCTTGCTTTGTAATTGCTCCTTTAAATAGCTATTTATCTGACCTTCTGGGGGGGGGAAAAAAAGTATCTTTTGGAAATTCTTTTCAGTGAGGGTTGGTCATAGAAAAAGAGGTTGCAAAATTTAGACCTCCATAGTCTGAAAAGACAAATGCTCATCAAAACATAAAGTAGGTTTAGAATGAAAGTGAAATTATCATCAAATCCTGTTGTTAAGAAAAATAAAGGAAGTATTCTTTTAAATTACAGTAATGAGGAGACATAAAAATTACATTTTTAAGATACAAATAAATTTAGACTTGGGTGATCCAATATGCACTTTCATGTGCTGGTGGATATTTTGAAAACATTCCCTCATCTTGAGATTGCTTTTTTCCCAAGTACGCCAACCTTCCCAGTCAAATTTTATTCCTTACACCACCTTAAGATGGATCATGGCTCTGATAGGCTGAGGTTGCATTCCTATCTTCAGTCTTAGAGAGACATCTGTTTACTAGAGCCTCATATTTTCTCCAGTTTCATTAAATCTTACATCATGCAAATCATATATAGACATCCCAAACCTAACATGTAAAAAATTGAAGTATTTATCCTCCACCCCAAATCTTTTTCTACCATAATGGCAACTTCCTCTTTCCAGTTGCTTATACTAAAATGTTGGAAGTCTTGATTGACTTCTGTCTTTCTCTCAGACCACTTATTCCATGGCTAAGAGAATCCTCTTGGCTCAACTTATAAATGTTTCTAATATCTGATAACCTTTCCCTATGGCCAGACTTACTATGAAGGTCCAAGCCACCACTGAATCTCACTGAGCCACCTTCTAACTGTGCTTTCAGCTTCAACCCTGGGCCTTTCTATTTCCATATGGTGGGCAGAGTGGTCCTTTAGAAATGTAAGCTATATCAGGTCACTCCTCTGCTCAAAACATTCTACTGCATCCCTCCCCACTAGCAGAAAAAGCCAAACCCCTTAGAATCGCCTAACAGTTCCACATGATCTATGCTCCCATCCATAACTCTCCACTCCTCATCGTCTCCTGCTTTCACAGGCTCACTTGGCTCTGGTTCACTGGTCTTCTATTTGTTCTTCAAATACAACATGTACAGTCCTGGCTCAGAATTTTTGAATTGGCTTTTCTTCATTCTCCTTAATGGGCCTCACCCATAAATGCATGTAGACCCTTTCCAAATCTCCTATACATATTTGATCAATTGTCACCCTACCAGACAGGACCATCTCCACTACTCTGTTGAAAATTATAATTTCTCCGTCTCTTTTCATCCCCTTCCTTGCTTTATTTTTCCACATCACCTTCTAATAAACCACAGAATTATTGTATTTTATTTTTTGTTTTTCTTCCACACTAGATAATAAACTCCACAAAAATAGGACTTTTGTCTATTTTTTTCCACCACTGTATCCAAGCATCTAGAATTGGGCCTACTACATCATAATGATAAATATTAGTAGAGTGATGGATTGCAATGCTATATACTTGCTTAGGAAAATCTTTCGAAGGGTCTCATTACAAATATAAAAATCCTGCCAAAAACAAGAACTTAAGATAAAAACATACATAAAAGGTCATAGTAATTCTACTGCCTAGACACAGCTCATTAAATATGCACCTAATTTATCTATTGCCATGATGGAATTAATATAAGAGGAGGATAAAAATGAGAAGAAATATATGGAAGGAAAGATAAAAAGAGGGTCCCAGAAAGAGGAAGAGTCCATAGCTACTTAAACTAATTTAAATAAATTAGGATATGATTTAAAGTCTACTGACCTAATTTCTCATATTAGCTCTTCTTTGTTGCGTGACATATAATTTGCAATTTTATTACTTTCTCTGTAAAATGAGGCTCATAAAACCTAACTCTATAAAGCTTCCGTGAGAACAAGATGAAATGAGAAATAATAAGTGTCTAATATGGTGTCTGACATATAGAAGACACTCAAAAATAGAAGTTGTACCTGGTTTCCTATATGTGTTTATGTTTCCCAGGTCTCTCTGCAGAGAGGGCCTAGAAGCTGCGACACTCCAGGGCCAATGAATACAACTAATGCTCGGATCTTGATTTCCAATATCATTCTCCAAACAAACAAACATGTAAACAGCTCCTTGAAAAAAAATACTAATTCTAGACTTGGGCAAAAAAAAAAAAAAAAAAAAAAAAAATCAAGATAAGCTTAGAATATTTTGTGGGGTCAGAAAGCAAGAAGTTGTTAAAATAAAAAAAAATGAAAAAAAGCAGCAGCAACAGAGGTAGATGAGGGGAGGGGGGATGGTCATAAGAAAATAGGCAGCAACCTGAAAGACTTTTCATTAGCTACCTGGATCAATTTGAATATTAACATAAATAATGACAGTATTGATTATAACCAAAAATATAAAACACATACTCATGAGCCTATGTTGATATATAAACAAATGATTGACTGAGTAACTAAACAGAGGAGAATGGAGAGACTTTTCTAACAGACCAATTCCTGTGAATAAATGTAGAAGGAATGAGGGGACTAGAAACTCACTGTTAGGATACCACAGCAAGATCCACTGATGGATGTTAAAATTAGTGGGCAAACCTTTAAAAAGAAACAGGATATTTGCATAGCTTCAAGATACCTCACCCAAAATGTTTACTAATGACTATGATGGCTTTAACTTACATTTACAAAGTCTTTGGAGCTTCTCCTTCCAGCAGGTAGAGTTTAATTCTTCTCCCACTTGAGTGGGATTTAATGACTCACTTTAAAAATATAATTTTGAAATGAAAAACCAGTGACTTTACAGCAGAGAAACCTGCCAGCACCATTACCAAGTAATCATGGTTAACATTACTAGTAACAATAATGCATATTGCTATCATAAAAAGGGCACATCAATTCTACGGTTTTGTTCCCCAAAGTCCAATACCCTAAGTCTAATTAAGAGAAAATATCAGACTAACTCAAATTGAGGAGCTTTCTACAAAATATCTGACCAGTACTCTTCATAAGACTCAGGTCATGAGTGACAAGAAAAGACTGAAGAATAGTCACAGATCAGAAGAAATTAAGGAGATATGGTGACAAAATGCAATGTGGTATCTCAGATTGGAATCTAGAACAGGAAAAGGATGTTAATGAAAACACTGGGGAAATCTGAATAAAGCCTATAGTTTAGTTCATTGTATTGTATCAATGTTATTTTCTTGGTTTTGACAACTCTAGTAAGGTTATGTAAGATGTAAACAACAGGAAAATCTGGGTAAAGCCATAAGAGAATTATTTTTATTATCTTTGTAATTCTTATTTAAAGTTAATGCCATTTAAATTATTTTAAGAAGTTAGAAAAAAATAAAGTTGTGATCAAATGAGATAATGCCTGTGAAAATATTTATAAATACTATAATGTTATTATTATAAGCTAGGCACTATTATTATGTAAATAGTGGAAAGCAGTGTTTGAGAAAGTGATAGTGTGCTTAAACTAGTCAACAACTGTATAATTTGAATTGACCAGTCCATTTAGCCAAATCAAACAATTATCCTAAATGTAGACATGGCATAAGTTTAAGTGACAACAATTGTGAGGCCAACTTCCAAGATAGTTCTGGAGGATCCTCAACTCTTGGTCGTTACACCTTGTAGAATCTTCCCTCACATTTAGCAGGGTCAACCTCTATAATTAATAGAACAATGAGGAAATGACTTACTTACTATTGAGTGACTTCCAAGGCTAGGTCATTAAGGACATTCTAATTTCCATTTTGCAGTCCTGGATTGATCATTCTGGAATAAGTCAGCCACCATATTGTGAGGACATACAAGCAGTCCATAGAGGGGTCTACTGGGGAGAAATTGAAGCCTCCTGCCAACTACCAGCATCACGTGAGTAAGCTTTCTGGGAAGCAGATCCTCCAGGCCAAGCCAAGTCATGAGGAGATGTAGCCTCAGCTGACATCTTGACTGTAACCTCATGAGAGATCCTGAGCCAGAATCATCCAGCTATACCACAACCAAATTCTTGACCCAAAGAAAATGTGAAACAAATTCTTACTGTTTTAAGCCACAAAGCTATTGGGTAATTCTTATGTTCCAGTAGATAACAAATACAACAGTCTTTGAAAAATAAGCAATAAACATTTGTGTAGGAGACCAGGGCCTAAAGCCATTAGTCTCAAAATAGAAGCAAATGATATTCTGTCATGAGCCTGATGAGAAATGTAGTAGACTCTTTGTTTTCTTTCTTTCCTATTCTTTGTTTTATTTTTATAATAGTCCAGGTTTACATATATTTAGAAAGTAGGTTTTTGCTACTTTTCTGATGCAGCATTATGCCACAAAACAGAAGGAAGCATGGCAAACTACAAGGAGGAGATTAGAATTGATGTTATTTGAATACAACAAAGACAGCTTGCATAGGACATGCCAGTAACAGGAAAGACTAGCACTTGAAGGATTTGTTTCTCTGTGTGGGAGATCTTTTTATTGCTGTTGTTTTGTTTGTTGGTTATTTGTAATCATCAAAATATCAAGGGTCCCTTTCTGGAAATATTAGTCAGAAACCACCAACTTGATATTTTTCCACTGAGAATTTGAGTGGAAAAAGGATAGGGTTAGGATTTAAAATTCTGGCTGCTGCTTTACCACCTCTAGACATGTGGCTTGAGGGAGTCTCAAATTCTTCTATCCTAAATGCTTTCACTGGTAAAATGAGGATGTATAAGTCAAAGGCTAAGTTTTCTGGAGCTTTCTAAGTTCTCAGAACTATTTTAGAAAATTAAAAGTGTCATATATGTTGCTTCTTTTGAATGAAATAATTTAGCTGCAATGCCTCCCTTAATTCAGATAAAATATGGTAATGTTCCAGAATAATCATTTATTGAACACAGTTCCCAAGGAAACAGGCACCACCACAGTATTACCAAATATGTAAATGTTATAAAGCTATATCTGGTGGCTGCAAAAACAAACCTTTGTCTCACTGAACAACCACTATTTTGTGATGCCGAGGTTCTACATTTTATCCTACATAATTCTTCCTGGAATTGATATTTTAAAATTGAGAAGCAATTTATTGTGCTGCATAGCCCTGCTCTATTGGCCCAGGCCAACATTAATGACACATTTTAATAGAAAAATGGGCAGTTGGGCACCTACACTTTACCCGGTCGTGGATCATTTTTGGCAGCTGTGCTTTTTATTCATCAGTCTGATTGAAACTCCCTTCCTGACTGAAGCAAATATATTCTCCTTTGTTCAGGATTTCCATAAAAGGCGAAATGGAAGTCTTTGCACACAGGCTGTCGTGCCTGAATAAATTTATTTTCCTAGGCTTCCAGCCATAACAGTGAGCAAACAAATGCCACTTACCTACATCTTTATGTACACCATAGGATAGCAAATTTATAGAGTTAAATAATGCTCATTTATTTTGGCTTCTTTCTTCTCTGTTTTAAATTACTGCCCAAACTTGCGTTTTTAAATCTTTCTCTCATAATTTTAACCTTTACCCTTGGGCTAGTTGGGCAATATATGGCAGTGTGTGTGTTTGTCTCTGTGTGTACACATACATTGTCTATGATGTTATGGGGTGGGAGGACCGGGCTTTCTTTTTAATCCTCTTTCTTTATAGAGAACAGACCTCAAAGGGTTTCCTTTCCTAGCTTCTTCACTTCTCTTCCAAGCATAATGATTCTAGACAGACTGAACAACTGACCAGTGATCCATCGTGTTTTTAATCATTTACAGTCTGATTCCTGCACAGCCGTGCCTGATATTTGGTTTTGAAGAATGCTTTCCTGGGGAACACATTCAATCCAGTATTTCTGAGCAATAAATTACTCATGTTTGGGGGCCCTCGACAGCCTATATTACTTTGCCCTGGTTGAAAATAATAGACAATTTGGAACAATGTTCCCTTTTGAATTAAAATACAAAGGGTTAGATTCTTAGGGTTCAAGATGATGCGTAGGCTCTCAACAGACTGGATACAAATCTCCCCAAGAGAGGAAAGATTTGGAGGGTGAGGAGGCGAAGACATAGGGTAGAGGAGACAAAAGCATGAGCATTTGTACAGACACATTACTTGTTTTTTCAGGGTTGAAAAACTCATTTCGCATCCCTCACTGTCCCAGATGTTCAGTCATCTATATAGTTATAGTTATACTAACAGGAGGCAGAACAGAGCTCTGTGCAATGATTATGATCATCCTGAATCATCTGGAAGAACTCTGTGGTCTATCTAATTGGTGAGCTAACCTCTATCTATCCCCAACTGGGAGGTTAGGGTAAGGGAGTTGTAATGGTTGGCATTATGGATAGATCTTAGGAGAAACTGATTTTTAGCTGAAAATGGATCTGTTTGCACATTGGTACAAATTAATCAACATTGATTAAATTGTCACGCTATAGTTTAAATACTTATAAAAGAAAGAAACATGTGTTTTCATATGTGAGCGTGTATTTACACATAGGTAGTCCCCAGAACAGAAAATAATCCCAAGGTGAGGATGAGGTTTAGAAATGGGAATATCTTTTGCCATATAAATAGTGCATTTTTAATAAATAGTGATTAGCTTTCCATGCTAAACAAAGGTGACCTCAGTTAAACTAGAGTTTAAGATTTAGATAAGATAACTGTCCAAGAGGCAATATACTATAAGAGTTAAAAATCAGAGGTGTTTACTTTTGAGTCCTGGCTCCCCTAGTTGTTGGGGCAATTGCTTTGGAAACGTTCTGTGTTCTCTCTGAACCCCAGTCTCCTAGACTGTATTCTACTGGGGTCAGCAAACTATGGCCTATGGGCCAAATCTGGCCTGTTCACTGCTTTGGTACTACTTGTAAGCTTAGAATGATTTTTGTATTTTTAAGTGTTAAAAAGGTCAAAGAAAGAATAATGTTTCATGACCTGTGAACAGTATATGAAATTTAAATTTCATGGTGGATAAATAAAGTTTTATTGGAACATGGCCATGCTCACTTGTTTGCATACTATCTGTCTGGTTTTTATGTTGCTTTCATACTACAACAGCAGAAAGTTACAATAGCGACCATATGGCCCACAGAGCCCAAGCTACTTAATCTAGGGTACCTTACAGAAAAAAGTTTGTCTACCTTGTTGTGATGCTTACCTTGCAGCATTGTCATAGGGACTGAATGTTATATAAAGTGCTTGTCACAGGGAATTGCAGTGAGGAAACAGAGATAATGCTACTTGTGAAAATGAGTGTGGCTGTGTGGGAAGACTTCAAAAAAAGACAGACAAAAAGACAAAGCAGAGAAATAATTTCAGCATACTAGAGTCTTTCTTCAGTTTACAAGAGTGCATGATAATGTCAAACGGTATTTATAGAAAAAATGGAAATGTTCCAATTTTGTCAATCTATTTTAATCTACTAGCAACTGGACTATAATTGCTGATAGCGAATTCAGCATCCATTTCAGTAAGAAGTAAAATTGTGCCATAGATAATACTTCCTTACTAGTTATTGTTGTTCTTATTATTTAATATTTTATAATGACAATCTATTTAAATAAATAGAGGCACATCAATATGTCTAACAATTAAAATATACATTCTAAGGATAGTTTTCATGGTCAGATGCTTCATTACTAAAGTAAGGATGATGAATGAAATGTAAGAATACTTTCCATGACAGAGGTTCTTTTCCTGTGTTCTTAACAATAATGAAAGCTACCCTACATTTAGTGCTTCCTCTGTTAAGTGCTATGTGAACATTTATTTTTAGTTTTAAACTGGGACTAAGGATAGCTAATTCCACGGATTTGGAAATTTCATACATATAGCGACCAAGAGAGAGCATGATGGAACCCTGTGGAATGTATCCTCCTCACTCCTCAGCACTTTGGTGGGGCCACAAGGGGCCTACAATCAAGCCAGAAACTCACCTCTAATGGAAGCATCTAGCTTTGCTTCGAAATAAATTTCTATTGTAATTGTAATGTTATTATTAAATCAATACCCATAGCAATATTGGTAAGAATACCACTACTAACAGTAATGCTCACTTATTGGTTCATACACAAATAATTATGGCCCACAATGTAGCAGACACTGGATTAGGCTCTGGGTACACAGTGGGAAATAAAACAATGTCTCCGCCTCATGCATCTTACATTTAATAAGTGGAGGCAAAGAGAAATCTAATAAAAACAAACTAGAAAATATCAGAAAATACTAACTCCTATGATTGACTATGTCATCAGGAAGTGGAGAGCAACATTTTGATTGGTGGTCAGGGAAGACCTCTCCAAGAGGTGATATTTAGGCTGAGATTTGAGTAACCAGGCTTCCTCCATATAAATATTTGTGAGAAGAGCATTCCAGGGCGAGGAAATGGCTAACGCAATGGCCTTAAAGTAGGAATGAGTTAGATATATTCAAGGAAATGAAAGCAGGCCAGCATGCCTAGAGCCTAGGGATTAGTGAGAAGAGACAGGATGTCAGAATGGGAGGCAGAAGAAACATTATGTAAAGTCTTGTAAGACATTTTAAAAATGTGATAGAAAACCATTGGAGAATTGTAAGCAGGAAAGTTGCATTATCTAATCTGTACTTTTTAAAGACATTCTGGCTACTGGATGGAGAATGGATTAGAGGAATTCAAGAACATAGAGACACTAGAGTCTCCAGATATGCTGTTGGATTAAATAGAGAATATAGGGAATGTGGGAGTCTTTAGTGTCACTGGTCTCCAGCTGGTCAAGTTTCCTGGTATCGATGCCCCTTGTATGGTGTCTTCCCTTTAAATCTGGCCTGTCCCTAGCTATGACTCACTGGAACCAAAATAAAGTGATCACTTTTGATGGCAAACGTGATGTTATACCACTTGCAGGCCTAAGCCATAAAGGGACCTGGTAGTGTCTACTTCTGTGCTGTTGGGATCCATGAGCTGCTTTGTAAGAAGGAGAGGTCACACGGAGAGGGAGAGAGTCATTGGAGTGAGAGAATATGAAACCTCCCCGACATCCTGCCTAAGCCAACCCCAGAAGGTCTTTCAGTGAAATGGAAACATATAATAAGTACCTGTTTGCAAGACTATCACAATAACCTCCAAATGGAGATGATTCTTTGCTGAAGAACTTTGAACAAATAAAATGATTGTGGGTTTAAGCCATGAGGTGTTGAGTTGTTTGCTGTGCAGCAAGAGATTACAAAAAAATTGAAATAAAATAAAATTTTGGCTCAAAGTCAATCACGTGCCACTGAAAATAAGTGAAATTTATTTGTTTTGGAATTAGGTGGTTCTTTCATAATTCTTTCACTTTTCAGAATATAGTGATTACTGAAAAGGTGGTAAAAAACTTGCTGTTGGGGACTACAGATAAGAGGATGTGAATTGTGTACTGGTAAAATCATTAGGGAAACTGCCACCTGCAATAATGTGAAAGAAAGAAGATGTGCCTAAGGAACTTGTGGATATGGCGAAGGAAATTCCTCAGCAGAACATCGAAAATACCATCTGGGTTCATTTAGCTGCTTATGATAATGTATAGGAGGACTGAGATGAGCAAAAAAAGGGGCTGTTCCATTTTCAAGCAGAATTTAAAAGAAATACAAATGAACCAGGAAATGATGGGTTGAAAATGAAAATTGTTTCTCATCTCCGTCTTTCCTGTGAAAGACTATAAAAGTAATAAATAGTCTCAGGGCAAAGATCAAAGCTAGGACTCTGCCAATAAAATATAGCCTCAGGGTAAAGGTCATATGAAAAGGGACTATAAGACCTCTTGCTGTGACCTCAAAGAAATTTAAGATTGCATCTCAGAGATCATCTCATGTAGATAAAGGGCTTTAAGAATCTTAAAGGTCTTGTCCAGAAGACCCTTATTTCTGCTTAGCCCCCAGTAAAGTGAAACCTGTCTCAAAGAAAGAGTTCTGTGGGTGTGGCTTGGTCTAATGGCATAAACTACAATAAGAATTTATAAGAAACTCAGAAAGCTTTTAAGAGAATTGTATTTGTGGAAGTGTTTCCAGCTTTGATTGAATTAAACACAAGTCATTTACCTTGAAAAAAAAGTGCCCGGCTCCCAAACTTTTATGAGCAGAAAACAGACTGAGAAAACTACTTAGCTGCAAACACAGGCCATTTCTAAAGAAAAGGAGGGTGACTTACGAAAATACATGGAAAACCACTTGCAAAAGGTAGAATGGAGCCCTAATCGAGGGCTGGAAAACAGGGGCTTGATTGGAATTTTTAATTGTAATTGATTAGTGACTTCTTTGGGCCTTCTATTTGCTGGTTTTGAATTGCAATTATCCAATCACAGTGTGTGTGTGTGTGGAAGGGGTAAAATGGGGGAGCTGAGGGAAGTCAAATAACAGGTCTCTTAGTTCACGAATCTTCAAATCAAGAGAAGCCATTCTCAAAAAGCTGCAACTGAGAAACTTTTTCTGAGAAGCTTCTTCTGATCCCATTCCACCTCAAACAAATTTACGTGATGAAATATTCTGGACTTGAACCTAAACCTTACCTTATAATGGGATAAGATTGGGAAAGCATAAGTTCAATCTGAATGTGGGAGAATTGTCAATCATTAGGGCCTAGAAATTCCTTTTTAGCTCATTCCTCCTCCCCTCCCCCAAATTTCTGACAACCATCAATCTTTCTACTATCTCTCTAGTTTTGCCTCTTCCAAATGTCATATAGTCGGAATCATACGGTATGCAGGGTTTTCAGACTGACTTCTTTCACTAAGTAATATGCACTTAAGTTTCCTCCAAATCTTTTCGTGGCTTGATAGCTCATTTATTTTTATTGCTTAATGGTAGTCTGTTCTATGGATGTATCATGGTTTATTTATCCATTCACCTTTCGAATGACATCTTTGTTGCTTCTAGCTTTATGGCAATTATGAATGAAGCTCTTCTAAGCATTCATGTTTAGGTTTTTGTAAGGACAAAAGTTTTCAACTCATTTGAGAAAACACCTAGCAGCACATGGCTGGATCATATTGTAAGACCAAGTTTAGCTTTGTAAGAAACTGCCAAACTACTTCCCAAAGTGTCTGCACCATTCATTGTTCCCAACATCAATGAATAAAATTCCTGTTGTTCCACATCCTCACCAACGTTTGATATCGTCAGTTTTGTTTTTGTGATTGTCAATTCTTTGGGATGTTCTACGGAGGTCATGTAACCTGTGGACAATGACAGTTTTATTTTTTCCTTCCCAATCTATTTACCTTTCATTTCCTTTTCTTGTCTCATTGCATAAGCTAGGATTTATATTATGATGTTGAATAGGAGTCATGAAAGGGGCAACCTTGCCTTGTTCCTAATCATAAGGGGAAAGCAT
This sequence comes from Homo sapiens, assembly GCF_000001405.40. Lineage (NCBI taxonomy): Eukaryota > Metazoa > Chordata > Mammalia > Primates > Hominidae > Homo > Homo sapiens. The sequence goes on from NC_000012.12 coordinate 91,669,563, forward strand.
CTAGTCTCTCACTATTAAGTATAATGTTAGGTGTGGGTTTTTTGTTAATTTTCTATATCGAGTTGAGAAAGTCTTTCTCTATACCTAGTTTCCTGAGAGTTTTGTTTGTTTTGTTTTAAATCATGAATGGGTACTTTTCTGTATCTATTGATATAATCATATAAATTTTATTATTTGGCTTGTTGATTTGAGAGATTACATTAATTGTTGAGCCAGCCTTGAATATCTGAGAAAAATCCCACTTAATTACATTGCATAATTCTTCTTCTTCTTTTTATTTACTTATTTATTTTTATTTTTGACACAGGGTCTTGCTCTATCACCCAGACTGGAGTGTAATGGCATAACCATGGCTCATTGCAGCCTCAATTTTCCAGGCTCTAATGATCCTCCCACCTCAGTCTCCTGACTAGCTGGGACCATAGGCATGCACCACTATGCCTGGCTAATTGTTTAAATTTTTCTAGGGATGAGATCTCATCATGTGGCCCAGTCTGGTCTCCAACTCATGGGATCAAGCAGTCCTGCCACTTTAGCCTCCCAAACTGCTGAGGTTCATAGTGTAAGCCACCGTGCCCAGACAATTCTTCTTATATATTGTTGGATTTGAGTTGCTAATATGTTGTTGATGAATTTTGCATCTTTATGAGAGATATTAGTCTCTAGTTTTCCTTTTTTGTACTGTCATTTTCTGGTTTTAGAGGGTCTGGAATTTATCCCGAATTCTTCTTGGCATTCTAGCTTTGAGTATTCCTCTTGAAAAGTCTATTTGGATCCTAAATTATTTTCTTTTGTATGTGAACTTTTAAACTTTTTTATTCGAAAATTTTTACATCTGCTTATGATTGTCAGTATTTTAAAGTTTCATGCTGATGAGCATAGTGTGTTAATTTTTAAAAATCATTAAGCTGGACATTTGCTAGGCTTTTCTTGTTTGGAAACTTGGGGGCTTATGTTTGGGAACTTTTTCTTCCTTATTTGTTTACTAATTCCCTACCTTCTCTTAGCTTTATAAAAAAGACAAAATCTCTTTTTGATCAGTGTTTGGACCTCCTGAACTGATCTACTAATATTCTTACCTATGGCAGTTTCCATTTCATTTTGTTCTGCTATATGTGAGGATGCTTTAATTTTATTATTTAGCTCTTCCAATAAATCTTTTACTTCATCTTAATATTTTTAGTTTTCAAGAACTCCATCTGGCTAAACTGACACTCCGTTTTTATGGTAGCCTATTCAATACAATGACTTTTCATTCATCTGAGAATAAAAATTATAATTTTAATTTTAGAGAGCAGAATGAATCTACTTTCTGCATTCCCTGTTTTCTATGAGTTCCGTTTTTTCTCTTTGGTCTTTGGTGTTTTTAATCTCTGGTGGGGCTTTCCTCAATAGCCAGTGATTTTTATTGTCCATTTATTTTTAAAATTAAGGCATTAAAATCCGGAATGGATGCCCTGTATGAGGAGATGGGGCCTTCCCGCTTAGGGGCTTCTACATGATGGTGATCTATTGGGAACCTTTTCATTTCATATTGGGAATTTCACCCTACTCCTTATCCACAGGCTTGCCATTTTCTCCAAAAACGAACCCTCTAAGGATATGCCAAGTAACAGTAGGGGCTAGTGGCTGCACAGTTTGGTATGTAGACTTTTACTTAACTCTCTGTGTTCAGTTTAGCTCCTTTCTTATGCCTTCTGCTTTACCTCCTGAACCTGAGCCCAGAGCCTGTTGTTCTGATTCAAAATAACAGTTTTGAACTCAGTTCAAAACAACCGAGTCAATTGGCTATCCACACGAGGAGAAGAGATCTCATCTCACTGTCTCTAAAGAAACTTAACCAACACCTTCTTGATTGTAGCCCCACCCCTTCCCCTGCTTTTTGTGATACTCAATTCCAGAGCCTGTACAGGGTCTGGAGAAGGAATCAAGTACAGGTATCCTTGCCTTTCTGCCCATCCAGTGTTGTTATGCATCTTTCTGTGCTCTGCTAACTCCTCCATCCTCTTAATAGTGCCATTTCAGTCTACTATTGTCTCCTCTTGCATTCTTTGTGTGTATTTACTATTTTTATTTTTTTTATTGTTTACTTTCATTTTAATGAGGTTTTGGGAGGAGCAGAAATGAGAAGCATGTGTTTAAGCTATGTTTAATCAGAAAGCTACTGAATCATTACAAACATACCAAAAACATTTTTAAAGGACGTTTTGCTACTTTATACTAGCTATACCAAGAATATATTATTACTAATCTAGACATGCAATTAATTTAAACAAACAAAATCTTGGTCTAAACATTCATGTTATTAAATACCAGATTCCTAAACTGTATAATTTTATAATCCTCACTTCCTAAAAATGCTATAATCACTATAGGAAAAATGTTTTCCTGGGTGTTAACACTGACAATTTTAATTTTTTTCCTTCATATCACTTATATGAGATCTTGTGAAAGTCTATTGGAACTGAACTTAGGAATATTAGAGCCAATACAAACCATAAAGTAGGGAAATTCTTTTCATCCCCAGCCTCATCCCAAGCTTGTGTTTTCATTCTAGGGGAAAATGAAAGCACAAGTAAACAGCAAATGTCATCTTTCTTTTTCTGGGCATGCAATGAATCTTTTTCAATATTTAAAATCACTTCTAATTACCCTGCCCCCATTTTCCCTTCTGGATTATTCCCCACTGTGTGTAGTACACGCCTTCCAATTGCAGAATCTATTCATGAATAGAGACTAAAATTTATCTGGGATCTGCATGCAAAGCCTGGCTCCTATAAGGCTGCCTCTCCCCAGATGAGATGTCATGTTCTAATTAACATAAGGACTCCAACTCTTTTCTGACTAGCAATAGTTGTGGTCACTCAGATCTTGCTTCTGGGGTTTTGCATAAAAGGTGCCCTCATATGCATCTCAGTTATAGTAGCTTGTGGACCAGATAGATTCTGCAGCATCACTTTTAATGTGGTTTCTGATGTCCAGCCCTTAGGTGTTTCCAAGTTTTATCATCTTTCTACACTTGATCTCCCATTAATATTGTGAACCCCATAACAGCTCAGTAAATTTCACTTTAGCTGAAGATAGCCAGTGTTGATGTCTACTGTTTGAAATCAGAATTGATAGAGTGTATAAATGCATCAGTGGAATACCATCGCCTATCTTTGGGGTGGGTATGGGGGTGTGGAATAGAAAGGGTGGTTGATAAATTATTGAAAAAATGCGAGCTCTGATTCTTTGTAATATTCTATATCAAATACTTCCCCTCCACTACCATCTCTCTACCTTGTCTGCCCACCCCCACCCCAACTCCTTGACCTGCAGCCTCGTGACAAAGATGTGAAGTGTCCAGCACTTTAGACCTAGGGGCAATTGCTTTGGTAGGCTTTATTCTAGGGACGACTGTCGACACCAATAAGAACAGACAACAGTAATAGGAGTGAATAAGATGGTGGGAATGTGAACATCAAAGCAAAGAACAATATTCAGCTTGAAACAAGGTCACTAGCTCTTGATGTAAGGTGAGAGTGGGAGGAGGATCTCAGACCACAGATTTTTAAGTTAGCAAGAAACCAAATAGCAATGCTTAAAAAAAAAATTCCTTCTTGGCAGAAGTCAGTGAAATGTAAGTTTGCAAAGTGAAATAAAAGAATCAAGAGTCTAAGTTTTTTTCTTAAATCTGAGGCACCAAAGGAATAGAAGAGGCTAATTAAAATGAGCTACTTTATCAGATACACACATTATTTTATTAATTCCAGTGCAAACTATTCAAAAAGGAGAAAAACAAAGCTCAGATGAACACTCTTAAAAGCAGTGTGAGCTTGGTTTTCTGGGTAATGTAACCCATAAAGGGAAGTATAGATAAGCAATTCAATTTGGAAAATAATGACCCATACTATGAACTGGGCCCCATGTGACAAGCTGTTGCTACAAAATACAGCAAAAGTCTGTCATAAAGGCTTATGGAACTGGAACCTCTCAAAATGGTAGAGTACTTACTGTTTACTTTTGTTAGCTTTCCCCCCCTAGTCCATAAGCCTCACTGAACAATAACATACACCAAGAAACTTATTAAGAAATGTAATATTTCAAAGTAGATTTAACAGCTGCCTTTGCAGTGTTTGAGAAGATGAAAACATAATGAAGGGGACGGAGGTGAGGTGTGCACACAGTTGAGTGTACAAGGGGGTCTCCCTGGTTTTACTCTATTAATTGCACTAAGGAGATCCCGTGGTAATTCACACAGAAGCTGGATTGAAATGTTCTCTACATTATTTATTTCACTTAAAAGCTATTTGTGATCCTACTAATGGATTTGATGATGTTTGCTAAGTAAATCAATTCAGAAGATGCTTGAAAAATGTGCAGGTGAACCATGCAAGAATGAAATTGAAGACCTGTATATAACATATTGTGATTTATTTTGCTGAGACACAAATTTGAAATATGGACTCTACAAAGCTGGAGATCCTAAGCAATCACTCGATATGATATATTTTTGTTGTTGACTACATATCTGTAAATAAACAGTACCTCTTGCCTTTACATAAAAATCAAGATTTTGTTTCACTCCAGGAAAACTTGCCTTTTACATAAAAATCTTGCCTTTACATAAAAATCAAGATTTGGTTTCATTCCAGGAAAACAGCTGGATGTTAATTGCCTACATCTAGGGAATACATTGGAATAATGGAATTTCACTTTGGGATGCTTTGGCGGTAATTCAAAGAGGTAAGGTATTATCTTCTAGACCAGGTGAAACTGAGGACAGATTTTTGTACCAAATTGTAAGAGTAAGCCTATCCTGATCTGCCATAAAGAGCTGGGTTTCAAGTACACACAAAAAGCATTTGATGGGGTGAGAATACCAACACATAAGCATGGTTCTCCAGGGGAGCTGGAGTAGGAGCTCCTGTAGGGAGCTGACTAGAAGACCAGCCATACGTACTGAGCCCCACATTGAGACTCACAAGAACAGATCCTCTTATTTCCAGGTTTAATTTGCAGGGTAGCTGCTGCTCACATGAGAAGCTTCTAGTAGGCATGTTCCAATGTTGAACAGCTCCAAGTAGTTCATTATTTAACAGTGATTAATAACTTGTCAGAACAATTCCATATATGTCATCTTTGAAAGTGATAAAAAAATTGGTCCTTTATTAGAAATGGTCAAGAAAATAGAAGACAGTAGTTCATTTTGTTGGTAGTAGTGACAGAAGATGAAACAAAAAAAGTTTTTTTCAACTTTTAAGTTCAGGGATGCATGTGCAGGATGTGCAGGTTTGGTACACAGGTAACCATGGTGGTTACAGGTGCCATGGTGGTTTGTTGCACAGATCAACCCATCACCCAGGTATTAAGCCCAGCACCCTTTAGCTATTCTTCCTGGTGCTCTCCCTTCCCACTCCCCTTCCCACAGGCCCCAGTGTGTGTTGTTCCCCTGCCCTGTGTCCATGTGTTCTCACCATTCAGCTCCCACTTATACATTTAATATTTAGTGCAATAGTTGCTCACCGGTGTGATGTGATGAATTACATTAAAGGCACTAATAGAAATTAGAAATATAAAAAATATGTTATTTGTGAACTTAAAGATTTTTCTGTAGTCTTAGGGTATGACTGTCAGAATGTCAAGCAACTACCATAGTGTAAACAAGACTTGATAGGAGGTGTTTCAGCTACTTATGGGATTAAATGGATTTCAGGTAGCCTTTGGCATTAGAGTTCACACACTTGACATTTGCCTCTCAGGCCTTCAGCGAGCATTCTAGCCTGCAATCCTGAGCTAGTTGTTTAATATCTCTCAGCTTCACTGCTTCATCAGTAACATAGAGTTCAAAATGCATTCCTCATCTACCATATAGGGGTACTCAGAGTATTAAAAAGAAAATAATATTCGAGAAACTTTTTGTGTGATCTCTAAATTACCAAAAAAAAAAAAAAAATTATCATTACTTCACCATGGAACCATGTGCTAATTTCTTACTATTCCTATCTGTTCCCTGAAACAAAACAACAGTGCTGCTTAGGACTATTTCCAGCTGTCTTAGTTCTAGTTACCCCTTCATACCCAATGCCAAAATACTGCTTTTGTAAACAAAATTCTGTAATTCACACTTTCCGCTAATGTTTGGCTCCTTTCTTCAATTCATCCTAATGGAATTTGATCATATTTGTTGAAAGATAGTATCACATTTCTTCATTGCCTGTGCTTGGTTTATTTTCTGCCATCCTAACTAATTTCTAAAAAATGAAACATGTTTCAGATTTATTTTTATCTTCCTATGATATTTTGGTAGGCAAAATAATGGCCTCCCAAAGATGTCTATCTGCTAGTTCCTGGAACCTGTGGATATGTTCTTTTACAATGCAAAAAAAATAAAACAAAATTTTTGTCTATGAGATTAAGGACCTTGAGATGTGAGTACCTTGGGTTTTCCTAGTAGGCCTATTAGAATCACAGGATTCTAGTAATGAGAGGCAGGAGAATCAGAGTCATAAAAGGCCATGTGAAGCCAACATACATGGGGGGCCTCTAGAACCTGGAAAAGGCAGGGAAATGGACTCTCCCCTAGAGCCTCCAGAATGAACACATCCCTGCTGGCCTATTTTAGACTTCTGACCTCCAGAACAGTATGTGAATAAATTGGTGCCAATTTAAGCCACTAAGCTTATGGTAATTTGTGACAACAGCATCAGGAAACTAGTACAGCTATTTTTGTGGGTTATTTATTATTTGTTGGAGGAGGAATATTTGTGTTGGTGATATATGTTTTATAATTGAGTCAAGAAATCAAAGATGAAGGAAATGCCAGGATGGGAAGTCTACCAAACCAAGAGCGCTATTACAGCTTCCCAGTTTCTCACATAAGTTAATAACAATAGACAGGAATGTAGCAATTTTAGAGACTCAAAGAACTTGAGAAATAATAAAAATTAATACTTAGTTACTAAGATATTATCAGCTGAGAAATTTGAGGAAGTGCAAAAATGGTGTTGAAATATTGCAAACTCCAAATTATTTAAAACTTTAATTTTTTTAGGTCATTATTGTCTGTTTTCTTGTTTGTTTTTTCACTATATAGAGTTTCCATTTGTACCAGGCAGTCATATCTCATTTGCCTCTTCAAACAACTCTGGAGGTGTATATTGTTAATATCCTCCATCTTAATAGGGAAATTGAGGCAGGGACAGAATGAGTAACTTATGTAGTCCACATAGCCAATAAGCATTATATCTCCTCTATAGCCCTAATTACAGCAAGTTGAAATTACTCAATTTGTTGGTTGAATAAATAGATGCCATTACTATGCTGTGGCTAATTCTTAGGTTGGAGAGTGAGCAATTTATTTGATCTTTGGACCCCTGTTACAGCATGATATGGTTAGACTTTGTATCCCCACCCAAATCTCATTTTGAATTGTAATCCCCATAATCCCCACATGTTAAGGGAGAGACCAGGTGGAAGTAGTGCAATCATAGGGGCAGTTTCCCCCATGATGTTCTTGGGATAGTGAGTGAGTTCTCACGAGATCTGATGGTTTTATAAGGGGCTCTTTCCCCTTCACTGGGCACTTCTCCTTCCTCCTGCCTTATGAAGAGGGTACCTTGCTTCGCCTTCACCTTCCGCCATGATTGTAAGTTTCCTGAGGCCTCCCCGGCCATGCTGAACTGTGAGTCAATTAAACCTTTTTCCTCTATAAATTACCCAGTCTCGGGCAGTTCTTTATAGCAGTATGAAAATGGACTAATACATAGCATCTCATCCAATAATTATTAAACAATCTTTTGACCTTCACTTCATGAGACCTGTGAAAATATAAAAAGACCTTACTGAGATTTTTTAATGAATCACCTAATATACAATAAAACATATGGCTATTTAATTTTAAATGGGTTTGTGAAGGTCAATATTATGTTAAATAATGCAATAATAATGATTCCAAAAAGAAACTAACAAAGATTCTTCAACAATGTGGTAAGTAATTCCCAAGAATTAAATATTTAATCAAAAACATTTAATAAAAGTGAAATTGCTTCTGAAAGCCAGGCTGCATTTTTGGTAGATTAACTGGACAGATTCCACAAACATTTGTCTAAGCCATTTGGAAAATCACTTTCAACCCTAATACAATGAAAATATATTATCCATGTTAGTAACAATGTCCCATCTGTTTAAGCATTTTACAACCAACTGAAAGCCATACCTGCAGAGAGCCTTATGGCTCTGAATTCAAAAACAGTTGCAAGTTGAATGCATGTGACAATATTACCTGGTAAACAGGCCCTATGAACTTCCTTTTAAAGGACTTCAATGATACTGTGAACCAGCCTTTCAAAATAAACCCACTGAATCAACCAATTTTACGGAGAAATAGAATCTCTCCAGTCAATGATAAGTGACTTCTCAGTTTTGAAGATACTTTAATGGAACTGCTTCTTTAAAATTGAAGCCTATCTAGTATGAACACCAAAAGGGTAGGCAAGCCACACAACCGCAAATGAAATGCATTTATAAGCCATCAGTGTTTAAATGTCCAATATATTTAGAATATCTATCAACCCATATAATTAATGATATAAAAACTTGAAGGTAAAGATAAATGTTTCATCCATTATTTCAGCTTTAAAATTAAAGAAGGAAGGTTGACATTTCTGTCTTCATTGAATAGAGAGACTAGAACTAAAATATTCCATTCCGGAAGCAAATTGGGGATTAAAAAAACAGAAATATTCAAGAGATAAATTAACCAAATGAGGGGTTCGTGTGTAGATATTAGATAACCAGTAAATATAGCTAGATTTTTTAAATAATAGTTTCATTTACAAAGCACTTTGAATATGGTATATGATTTTTATGATATCCATGTGTAATAGGTAGGTTTAGAATCATCTTCATTTTACAGAAGATTAAGGCTCAAGGTGACTTATTTATTGCCTAATGCCACACAAATTTTAAGAGGCAAAGTGGAGGCTTTTGGCTCTAATCCAAGTATACATTTTTCAATATTTGCCTCTTCTTTGCCATCTCCACCAATTCAACTATATTTATCACTAGAAATTTTAAAGAGATTACCTACATATTACATCTGAGAATAAAAGCCTTAATATTAAGGCTGTAAATTCTAGAAACATTACATACATCAAACTCAAAAACATTCTAGGATCATTTAGACATAAAAAGCTACTTGCTATGTTAGATGGCAGTGTTCCTTGTGGTAGACTCAAATTTTCTAAAGCCTGAGTAATTTTCCAAAGCCAACTCAAAGAAAGCAGTATAAAGGTGATATATCAGGCTGTTTAATCAGTGTCCAATTTACTAACTATAGGGCTACAAATCGCACCACCACACCCAGCTAAATTTTTTGTATTTTTAGTAGAGATGAAATTTTGCCATGTTGCCCAGGCTGGTTTCGAACTCCTGGCCTCAAGTGATCTGCCCACCTCAGCCTCCCAAACCGCTGGGATTACAGGCATGAGCCACTGTGCGTGGTCACAAATTGCAATAAATTCTGATGGTGTGTATGTACAATCAAACAAACCCAAGCAAAAATTTTGGCAAAATGCTGAAGGACAGGAAAAGTAAGAAATCAAAGGAAGAAGTTTCAGAGTAAGTAAATAATAATTTGGCTGTGTCAAGAGGCATTCCAATGGAAAGAAATTAGAGCTGAAGGGGATATTCTAAGCACTGATCCAGAGACATCTAACTATCTCCAGAAATGTGAACTTCTCTCCACAATATTTAAGATTGATGAATCAGACAGCAGATAATTGTTCATGAAAACAAAAACCTTGTGGAAAGTGTCCTGATCCTGGTTTACCATCCAAAGACCTTGATAAGCCTACTTGCAAATCAAATCTTCAGTGAAAATTTTGGACAGATGATAGTCTCTTTAAGTGCAGTTCTAAGAGCTTTGGAGCTCTGAAAACTCAGTTTTTACTTCGGGGGAGATTCTGACCAATTTTTTTGTTTGTTTGTTTTTGTTTTTTTGAGATGGAGTCTCGCTCTGTCGCCCAGGCTGGAGTGCAGTGGCGCCATCTCGGCTCACTGCAAGCTCCGCCTCTTCGGTTCCCGCCATTCTCCTGCCTCAGCCTCCCGAGTAGCTGGGACTACAGGATTCTGACCAATTTGGTGTGTTCAGCTAAACTTCACTAGATTCATATTTTAAGAAGCTATGGCTGATCCATCTCAGGCGGAATTTTTTTTAAAGTGAACATTCAAAATATAGTTTTTAAATTGTTTAGTTTTATTTAACTTATTTATTTGTAACATCAGTTGTTTATATTTTCATAATATAAAACATGTTATTAGGAAAAGAATAGCCAAAGTACAACATTTTGTTATTAAAAAATACGATTACTATATGGCAACATGGAAAAGCTGGTCAATTAGTTGAAAAATACCCATATGAGATGATCCAACAGTGAACTTTCTTTCTTTTCTTTTTTTTTTTTTTTGAGATGGAGTCTCCCTTTATTGCCCAGGCTGGACTGCAGTGGCGTGATCTCGGCTCACTGCAAGCTCCGCCTCCCGGATTCAAGCGATTCTTCTGCCTCAGCCTGCGATTCTTCTGCCTCAGCCTCCCGAGTAGCTGGGACTACAGGCACGTGCTACCACACCTGGCTAAGTTTTTGTATTTTTAGTAGAGATGGGGTTTCACCAGATTAGCCAGGATGGTCTCCAGCTCCTGACCTCGTGAACCGCCCGCCTTCGTCTTACAAAGTGCTGGGATTACAGGCATGAGCTTCCGCGCCCGGCCCCGAAACTTTCTTTCAACAAGAGTTAGAGGAGTACAGAGAAGAGAATAAATTGGTGAGGAATTTCATGGAAGAGGTGAAATTTAAGAAGAATTTTAAAGAATAGGTAGAATTTGGTTATGTGGAAAGGAGTCAAAAAGTTTTTCCAGGCAGAAGGAAAATTGAGTAAAAACTTTGAGTCAGAAAAAAGCATGATCCAGAAATGTGAGAAAACTAGTCTGGGACACTGAGTTGTTTTTTTCTTTGCATGTATTCAACAAATATTTATTGAATAACTACCAAGTTTCCAGCGCCATACTAGGTGAGCAAGAAACAAGATAAATAATGCGTAGTTTTGCTCTCAATAATCTCATTGTCTGGCTAGAGAAACTCTATTAGTAAGAAATTATGTTCAGCTGCCTGAAAAGGCAATCTTAGCCAAGATTCCAAACAGGTGTGCTATATAATTGCATTCTTGTTTTGCCAATGTGTTACAGGTGCGACAAGATAATGAACCTCCATTCCTCTGAGAGAAGAGTATTTTGAATATTCGACTTTGCCCATGAATTTCCCTTTCCATGCAAGTATTAAATATTTCAATTTTTTATGTATTTTGTGATGTTAAAAGAAAATAGAAACACTGGCTTCATCAAACAGGTTGATATTTTATTGTATTTAAAAAATCTGTAATACATACCCAGGCATGGTACAGAGTTTCATAATGTCACTATAGCTTCCTTTTTATCTTGTTTCGTCATCCTTCATACATGGCTTTTATTTTCATGGTTACCACATGGCTCCAAAATGCATGCTCTGTGTCTAGCCTCTCATCAAAATTCCAGTTATGAAGAAGGAGGCTATGCCTATATTAGGAAGCCAAAATTTATCTTAAAACCACCAGCAATATTCTAGTTGTTCTCATTGATTAGAACTGTGTCGAGTGGGTAGCCTAGCAGCAAGAGGGTCAGAGGGAATACAGGTTTTTAGCTGGATAGAAAGCTATTCAAAATAAAATTATAGTTCTTTTACTAAGAACAAAGTAGAGGATGGCAATTGGGTCTCTTGGTTCTGTTCCAGGTGCAAATACATAAGCAAACAATTATAGTGTAATATATTAACTAAAGCAATGCATAAAAGATCTTGAAGGAAGAGAAGAAATACAGGGAATCTGAGATGACAGAGTAGGAAACACCAAACATCTGTCTTCCCACCTATCCAGCAACTGCATTTGCAGGATCTGTCTAATGTAACTGTTTTGGAACTCTGAAGTCTATTGTACATTTGCAGCTTCCAGCGGGGAAGGCCTGGATGGTAAATTGCAGTTAATTTTGGTCTATTTTAGCTCTTGGCAAAGGAGCAGCTACCCATTCCCCACTCTTCAGCCAATGGCAGACAGCTGTGCATTTGCTCTAGGAGCGGCTTGCACACAGCTTGAGGAGGCCAAGGTAGGAAAAGTGGACTCAGTCTTCCAAATATCAGGGATTTCTGCTCTGATTGCTGATCATTGCTTCTGATCACAGAGGTGCAGATAGAGAGGTAGTGGTCATTGTTGCATCTCTTACCTTTGCTGTAGGCCCCTCCTACTTCGGTTGACATATTCCCCAGGGAATTTAAAGGGTCAGCATCTTTTTCCCCTTTTATTTCGCACCCCCTCCGCCCCGCCCCACCCCGCCCCACCCCACCCCACCCCGCCCCGCCCCGCCCCGCCCTGCCTTTTGAGAGTGAGACATTGAAGAATAAAACATTCAAAAGCAACCGCATATATGGGAGTAAGTAAAAAGTTACTGTGCGTGCCTAGGTAAAGGAGCAGGCTCAGAAAAATACCTGAGAAGACCTAAAGTTTATATCTCAGGCTGGTGCTGGGCAAAGAACAATAAAATACAAAGATGAAAACAAAACAAACAAACAAACAAGAAACCCTGGGGAAAGGGAAGAATCTGCTATTCAGAGTTACCATATTATTCAAGTCAAATGTTAACACTTTAGAATATAACTTTAGGATATTTTGCATGATGCAAAAATGGTAATCACAAGAAAAATTACACAAAAGGAAATGAGAAAGGAATTTAAAGTTTCACTACAATAAATTGGAGAAACACAAAAGAAAACAGTAATTCAATAAATGAAGATGAAAAACCTATAGGCATATAGAAAAAAAATCTAAACACGACAAAAGCAAATTCCACCATATCAGTAATCACTCTAAGTGTAAATTGCTTAAACTATCCAATCAATAAACAGACTGGCAGAATGGATTTTTTTAAAAAATGAGCCAACTATATGCTGTCTACTCACATGAGATCCAAAGACACAAACAGGTTGATAGTGAAAAAATGGAAAGGGATATTCCATGCCAGTAGTAATCACAAGAAAGCAGGGTGGCTATAGTATGTCAAACAAAATGGACTTTAAATATAAAAAGCTTATGGTTTGTATAATTTGAGGTCTTACATTTAAATCTTCAATCCATTTTGAGTTAACTTTTGTATATGATAAAAGGTAGGGGGTCCAGCTTCAATAATTTTCATATGGCTAGCCAGTTATCCCAGCACCATTTATTGAATAGGGAGTTCTTTCCCATCACTCGTTTTGTTGGCCTTGTTGAATATCAGATGGTTGTAGGCTGTGGCTTTATTTCTGAGTTTTCTCATCTGTTCCATTAGTCTGTGTGTCTGTTTTTGTACCAGTACCAAGCAGTTTTTGTTACTGCAGCTTTACAGTATAGTTTGAAGTTGGGCAATGTGATGCCTCTGGCTTTGCTCTTTTTATTTAGGATTGCTTTAGCTATTTGGGCTTTTTTGGTTCCATGTGAATTTTAGAATTTTTTTTTATAATTCTGTAAAACATGATGTTGGTAGCTTGATAGAAATAGCATTTAATCTGCAAGTTGCTTTGGGCAGTATAGCCATTTTTACAATATTGATTCTTGCAATCTATGAGCATGAAATGTTTTTCCATTTCTTTGTATTGTCTCTGATTTCTTTCAGCAGTGTTTTGTAGTTCTCCTTTGTAGAGATATTTTACCTCCTTGGTTAGCTATATTCCTAGGTATTTCATTTTCTTTGTGGCTGTTGTAAGTGGAATTGTGTCATTGATCTCAGCCTGGACTTTGTTGGTGAATAGAAATGCTACTGATTTTTGTACATTTATTTTTAGATCCTGAGGCCTTACTAAACTCATTTATCAATCTAGGAGGCTTTAGGCAGAGTCTTCAAGATTTTCTAGGTTTAGAATCACATCATTGGCAAAGAGAGATAGTTTGACTTCTTTTCCTATCTGTATATCTTTTATTTCTTTCTCTTCCCTGATTGCTCTTTCTAGGACTCCCAGTATTATGTTGACTAGGAGTGGTGGGAATGGGCATCCTTGTCTTGTTCTAGTTCTCCAGGAACATGGTTCGAGCTTTTGCCATTCAGTATGGTGTTGGCTGTGGGTTTGTCATTGATGGCTCTTATTATTTTGAGGTATGTTCCTTCAATGCCTAGTCTGTTGCCAGTTTCTGTCATAAATGGGTGTTGAATTGTATTAAAAGCTTTATCTGTGTCTATAGAGATAATCATATGGTTTCTGCTTTTGGTTCCATTTATGTGGTAAATCACATTTATTAATTTGTGTATGTTGAATGAGCCTTGCATCCCAGGAATAAAGCCTGGTTGATTGTGATATATTAACTTTTTGATGTGCTGCTGGATTTAGTTTGCTAGTATTTCATTAAGAATTTTTGCATCTATGTTCATGAAAGATACTGGTCTGAAGTTTTCTTTTTTCATTGTGTTTCTGCCAAATTTTGGTATCAGGCTGAGGCTGTCTTCATAGAATCATCTGAGGAAGAGCCTCACCTCCTGATTTTTTTGGAAATAGTTTCAGTAGGATTGATATCAGTTCCTTATACATCTGGTAGAATTCATCTGTGAATCTGTCTGTTTCAGGGCTTTTTCGGTTGGTAGGTTCTTTATTAGTGATTCAATTTCAGAAATTGATATCAGTCTATTTAGGGTTTCAATGTCTTCCTGATTCAATCTTGGGAAATTGTGTGTTTCCAGGAATGTATCCCAGGAAATACGCTTCTCGACATCAATCTTAGTAAAGAATTTTTGGCTAAGTCTGCAAAAACAAGTGCAACAAAAACAAAAATAGACAAGTGATACCTAATTAAACTAAAGAACTTCCACACAACAAAAGAAACTATCAACAGAGCAAACAAACAACATACAGAATGGGAGAAGGTATTCACAAACTATACATCCAATAAACAACTAATATCCAGGATTTATAAGGAACTTAATCAACAAGCAAAAAACAACCCTTTTAAAAATGGGCAAAGGACATGAATAGACATTTCTCTAAAGAAGTCATATAAGTGGCCAAAAAACATGAAATAATACTCAGCATCACTAATCATCAGAGAAATGTAAATCAAAACCGCAATGAGATACATCTCACAGCAGTCAGAATGGCCATTATTAAAAGTCAAAAAACAATAGATGCTGGTGAGGTTGTGGATAAAAGGGAATGCTTATACCCTGTTGTGGGAGTGCAAATTAGTTCAGTCACTGTGAAAAGCAGTCTGGAGATTTCTGAAAGAACTTTTGACAGAGCTACCATTTGACCCAGCAATTCCATTACTGGGTATATCCCCAAAAGAAAACAAATTATTCTACCAAAAAGGCGCATGCACTTGTATGTTCATTGCTGCATTATTTAAAATAGCAAAGATATGGAGATTGGATAAAGAAAATGTGTGAGATATATATAATATATATCATGTGCTATGTAATATATATAATATATTATATATAATGCATATAATGATATATAATGTGATATATAATATATATAATGTGATATATAATATATATAATGTATATAATGATATATATGATAGATCTCTCATGTCTTTATCCAATCTGTCATTGATGGGCTCTTGGGTTGATTCCATATCTTTGCTACCATATATATATATATATATATATATATATATATATATATATATACACACACACACACACACACACACACACACACACACACATACATATATACACCATGATATATCACCACCGTTTTTTTATATATGTATATACATACACACAAAATTCTCAGGACGCAGCATTTTTTAGCAATAAAATATTTTTAAGGTATGACCACTTTTTAAGACATAATATACATAACTTTTATATGCACTGGGGAAACAAAACATTTGTGTGGCTCACTTTATTGAGACGTTTGCTTTATTGTGGTGCTCTGGAATCCAACTTCCAATATCTCTGAGGTATTGCCTGTATGGTCTCAATTAATCCTTACAACTCTTCCTTGAGGTAGGTACCTACTCTTAACGTCCCACTTTTACAGATGAACAAAGTAAAACTTGGAAAGATAAAGTAATAGTTAATATTGTAAGAATAATTTTGTTCAGGCAGCATAGGATTGACCTGCATGTTCCCTGAGGGTACTGTCTTTTAGGTAAGACTATTGAGCTTCCTGTGAGGTTCACTTCAATTTAGCCATAGATAATGCATATTTATTGGGTGCATGGTAATCTAAATAATCCTTTACATATGTAGAAAAGTTACTAATCACAAATGACTTTCCAGCACTAAAAAACAGATAGGTAGGTGAAATTCTTCCCAACCTATAGGGTCCCATTTAAAGAGGTTAAGTGAGTTATCAGAGAGCTATCAGTGCTGCAGGTATAATTTGAATCTAAGTCTTTTATATTTTTCTACTAAACCTTATTTCTCTCTCTCTTCTCTCTCTCTCTCTGTGTGTGTGTGTGTGCGTGTGTATATGTGTTTCCTTTTATGTATTCATCATCACTTTACATGAGTCAGAGGGCATGGGACATTGTTGTTTGGTCTCCTTAGCAATCTTTTCAAATGCTTTCAAGGTAGATCCTGTCTCTGACATGAAAACTAAATCTACAAACGCTCCACATGGTGATTTCTATTGCTAATGTGCCTTTTAGACTAACTAAATGCCCAACCAAAGCAAATATGTGAGTCCATTTCATCTCATCTCAGCAGTATCTTTAACTTTACAATATTAATCTATGTATAACTCCTCTATATAATTATATTAATGTTTTAATTAAATAAGAAATTATCAAAAGGCTTTACTGGAACTCTGATGAAATATATAAAGAGCTATTGATCCAAATCCAATTTAATATAGAAGAAAGAAGAAAGAAGCAACATAGGATAACTAATGGATAGTTGCAATTTGAATAAATTGAATTGTTTTAAAGATGGGGAAGCATTATTGAGAATTAATGGCAAAATCAAATTATAGAAAAATTTAAAATATGTATGTTAGATCACTTAAATCCATCCATAATGAGCAGATTTTAATTAAGCACTTACTATGCATACACCAAGTAATAAGTTAAGCACTTTCTATCTCCAAGCCTGGCTACAGAATTGCAGGGAAAATGGGAACAGAGGGAGTATACTAGACAACACAGAAGGCAGAGGAGAGGAGCCAGTGTTACGGAGCCATGTGCTGTTTGACTCAAAACATATGCCTCCCCTCACCTCTAACCAGGCAAGCATAGGAGACAGAGTCCCTGGAGTAAACTGAAATGCAACAATCTGAGAGGTAAGAAAAAAAGTTAAAACAAGAGAAAACAGTATTTTGGATTATAGTAGTCTCCAATTATCCACAGGGTAATGTTCCAAGACCCCCAGTGGATACCAAACCCAATATATTCTATGTACTATTTTTTTTCTATACATACATACCTAGGATAAATTTTAACTTATGAGTTAGGCACAATAAGATATTAACAGTAACTAATAACATAGAACAATTATAACAATATAATGTAATAAAGGTTATATGAATGTGGTTTGTCTGTCTCTCTCTCTCAAATACCTTATTCTACTGTACTTACCCTTCTTCTTGTTGTGATTTGTCAATCTGATAATGAGATGGCTCCTGAGTGAGTGTCTGGCCAGTAGTGTACACAGGGTAGATACATAGGACAAAGGAATGATTCTTGTCCAGAGGTGGGATGGAGCAGGAGGGAGAATGACAGTGCAGGAATGCAATATAAAACATGACTTATTTCTGGAATTTACAATTTAATATTTTAGGGTGACAGTTGACCTCAGATAACTAAAATCATGGAAAGCAAAACAATACATAAGGCAGAGACTACTGTAGAAGGAAGAAGAGAGATAATGAGTAATGTTGACTGCCACCGAGATCAAAGGATGGTGGTTGAATTTGCCAGTTGGAAAGTCGTCATTGTTTTAATGAGAACCTTTTCTAGTAGTGCAGTGTGGCTAGAAGCTGGTTTGCAGTAGGTGGAGAACAAACAGGGAATGAGGAAGTGGACTGTGGTATGGTTTCCTTTACAAAAAAATTTTTTAACAGTGAGAGAGAACATTTGTGAGGGTTTCTGCTTATTATGACCTTTTATCTTTTCATACCATAGGGAAAATGTTATCTGTTGAGAGTAAGGATCATGGAGGTGGGACAGGCAAGCCAGATAATGATTGGGAACCAGAGAGGAGATATGAGCTATGCATTGGGGGTGAGTTAGATGTACATCAAGATGACAAGAGAATTGCTCTGTGTTCATTCCTTAAAAACAAGATTTGCGGTTGCAAAGTGTGCCTATGCTGCAATGTATTTTAATGTGCTCTCTAGTACACACTTTCTAGAGGCAGGAGATTCATTGTTCTATGTGCCACATAGATTCCTGTTCCATTAAAGCTATTTTATCTCCAGTATTAAAGCAAATAGTCTGAGATGCACAATTCCCAGAGACGAAGAGCACACTTTGACAGACACATGTAAGCTTGTGTAGCAGAGGGCAGTGCCTACTCTATATTATCAAAAGTATATGTCCACACTGGTCTCTCCAGAAGGAGGAAAGAACTTTTCAATGCAAATTGATGAGGTTACAGACACTTCTTTTAAATGACAGGAAGAATCCATTTAAAACAATTTTATTAAACCTGTTTGATCTCAGAACCCTCCCAGAGCAAATGCATTGATTCATTCATACCAATTACCAGGTCCTAACGTGGGTAACTGTGATGCATTCCACATCCCATGAATTGTCTTTAATCTGACCTTGGAAATGCACCAAAGTGCAACAATGACTCAAAATGGAAAAAAATTGTCTTCAAGTTGCACAGCAGACCAAAGTATGACCTGGGAAATGCCATGTTAGCACAAGCCCATTCTTTTAGATACTAACCTGGGCTAGAATTGCATATTGTGAATTTTCTTACCATTTTTAAAAATGATCTCCATGCCATGTAAACGCAACCTTATTTTATGAATAAATACTTTTCTATTTGAGTATTTCATGCCATCACTGTGGGCTACAAACCTCTGTCAATCAGGGCATCGTACCAGATAATCTGCCTTTCCCACTCCCTCTTGTAAAACTGTCTTGAATTACGTAAAGTTGCAATTCTCCTCTGTCCACAAGATAATGATCTGGCACACATGGCGGAAGGATCAATGTCAAACAGAAGGGGAAGATAGTTTTGTAGCTATCACTTTCAGTTGCCATGTGATTCCATTTGCAGAAATCAATCTCCTCCTCCTTGACAACTCTGAGTATGCTATCACTGCAGCTCCAGTTCATCGGACAACCAAGTGCTCCCTTTAACTCAGGAGAACATTTTCTATCAGAGCCAAATGGAAATGCAATATTTTTTTGCAGCAGTGGAGAGAGAAGGAGAAAAAATAAGAATTCTATTGTATGTATGACAATGGAGTGTGTTCGAGTGTGTATGTGTAGGTGCCATATGTGACTAGAGTGGCTACTCCTGTGTATGAATATAGCTACAAAGTTGATGCCATCAACCATTACGCACTTAGAAACCAAAGATACCCGCAGCTGGGTCACAGCCTATTGTGGAAATATTCACAAACATACCCACGTGGATAACGGATGTAAGTCAACTTTTGACTCACTGTGCTAGTTCGAGGGGCAGAAATAATCTAATACCTATCACTTATGCTTGGATTTATAGTAAAGTTTTAATATTTTCAAAAGAAAAGCCTGGTGATCTAAAAATGTGTAATACTGCAAACAAAATAATGACCCCACATGCAAGCATTCTAACTACTGAATTTGGCAGGAGCTGATACACAAAGAATAGGCTCCAATCAAAACTTGGAGGATCACAGCATTCCCACTACCGGGTATTTATCCAAAGGAAAGAAAATCAGCACATCAAAGAGATACCTGGTCTGCTCCCCCATGTTCATTACAGCCCCATTCACAATAGCCCAGATATGGAATCAATGTAAGTGTACATCCACAGGTGAATGGATTTTAAAAATGGTGTACATATACAATATAATACTATTCAGCCATAAAAAAGAATGAAATCCTGTCTTTCAAGGCAAGATGGATGAACCTGAAGAACATTATGTTAAGTGAAATAAGTCAGGCACAGAAAGATGGACACAACATGTTCTCACTCAAATGTGGGAGCTTCAAAAGTTGAGCACATTGTAGAGGGTAGAATTATGGTTATTAGATGCTGGGAAATGTATAGGGGAGAAGAAGATGGAGAGAGGTTGGTTAACAAATACAAAATTACAGCTAGATAGGAGGAATGAGTCCTAGTGTTTTATAGCACTGTTGGGTGACTACAGTTAACAATAAATTATTGCATATTTTCACATAGCTAGAAGAGAGGATTCTGAATGTCCCCAACACAGAGAGATGACAAGTGTTTGAGGAAATGGATATATGCTAATAACCCCGATCTGATCACTATACATTGCATACCTGTCACAACATCACTATGTACCCCATAAATATGTATAATTATTATGTATCAACTAAACATAAAAGAAAAACTTGAAGCATCATAATTGCAGAAGCCAAGGGCCAAAAGAAGATGTAAAGGATTTCCTCTGGCAGAAGCCCTGCTCCCGAACACCTTTGGTAGCACAGTGTGAGAAGAATTAATGTGTCTATTGGAAAGGCCCTGAAAAGGAAAGTATAATTAGGAGAGGAACTAATCCATGCAGAATTGAGAATTAAGACATTGATATGGGTAGACGATCAGACCACAATGGTGTAATGAAGAATGAAAGCACGAAGGCAGGAACAGAGCATGAGCCTTGGATGTGTAACATCAAGTTTCACAAAAATTCAAGAAAGGTTAGGATGGCAAAGAAGGTAAATTCTTTCTTGTGGTCACTTTCAAAATTAGGTGCCATCCATCCACCTTTCCTGGGGTAAAGGATACACTTCCAGTTCTTAAAGTGATCTGAAACTGGCTAGGGAAAGAGCTATGTGCCTGTTAGTGCCAGCTTGTTTTAATCACCCCACTATTCACTTCCATTGGTGATGGAGAAATTTCTACCTCAGAGCTATGAGGATTTCTGAACACAGCACACCCAACACTGGACAGGTGATATAACAGCAGTTTATTAGTCACATATTCCCACAGTCCAGGGAGAAGGACACAGCACACATGCAGAGCCACGCATGGGTGACTCTTAACAGAGTGAATAACCAGGGCCTGTGGGAGGCAGGTTTTGTAGTACCAAGGAAATGCGGTGGTCCCTGGTTCTACGGCAGTATGTGATTGGCTGTGTGGATATTCCATGAGCTGGCGGGGAACTGAAATCCACCACTCAGGGATAAGCAGGCACTGTGCTTAGTCCCCATGATAAGCAGGGTTGTTTGGTGAGAGGACCTGATTTATGGGAGAAGAGAGCTGTGGTTAGGCCATTTGACATTCTCCTTGCTTCACCCAATGTCAAGGCAGCACACAATATTGGGCCTTCATTGTAGGTCTTACACCACACATCGGAGGAGGGACAAGAAAGCTGGCAAATGGACCATCCCCTAGTTATAGCTGTTTTAGAATTTGCCTTGCAGATCTGGTTTTTGCGGGAACACCCACCTCCAAAACTAAATGGAGCCCTCCTGCTTCCTCCATTTAGGGCTTCTTTCTTTCTTAACTGTGTGCTAAGAATCTGTAACCTGTCCGACTGAGGAAAACTTTCTACCTAATCACTCGTCTCTCCCCCTAGACTCACAGCTTCCAGAAGGGCACAAGAAGCAATTAAACTTTTGGTTTCAAGCAGTTTGCCTGCTGCTTTCAAGGCTATATGTGAAGCAGAAACAGACAGAGGTAGAACAAGAAGTGAACAGAATCCTTAATTAAGTAGAGTAGGTAGTAACAGCAGTAAGCATTTGGAAATAAGATTTGGTATATATGAGTTGCCAAGACACTACCTGGAGGATGTAGGTGCTTATTACTATTTTAAAAAATATACTTTGAAAAATTCTCACTTGCCTAGACAATAATAAAGGAGATGGAAAGGAAATTGGCATCCCTTCAATTACTCATTGGAAAATGTTATCCCCCAAAACGGTGCTAAAACTAATCAGACAAAATACAACATGTGAAAAATGTTTTTACTTTCCGCACATGCAGTGCATCGATTCTTCGATTTGTCTCTATTTGTATTTGAGGTAATTTGTATTTGGGATGATTCCCCATGGTCTTTCTGAAGATATTACACTTAGCTTTCAAAGACCACATGCGCATTTACAAGATTATTTTCAGAAATTTTACTCTAGTAACTTGGCATCATATTTGCACTAAAGATAAAATACTATCAACGTCAAAATTTTAGCAACTCTGAAAATGTCATTCCTCACTATGTCCTTTACCAATTCCTTTAAGCAGAAATGGTCATGCCATTGCTTTTTATTTAAAGTGCTCTGTTTCTTTCTTTATTATAGTACTTATTGCACTATATATTGATAGTAATTATGCATCTATATGTCTGCTTTCCCCATTAAAAAAAGAACTTTTTTTTTTTTTTTTTGAGACAGAGTCTTGCCCTGTTGTCCATGCTGGAGTGCTGTGGTATGATCTTGGCTCACTGCAACCTCTGCCTCCCGGGTTCAAGTGATTCTCCTGCCTTAGCCTCCTGAGTAGCTGGCATTACAGTCCCGTGCCACCACGCCCGGCTAATCTTTTGTATCTTTAGTAGAGATGGGGTTTCACCATGTTGGCCAGGCTGGTCTCAAGCTCCTGACCTCATGATCCACCCACCTCGGCCTCCCAAAGTGCTGGGATTACAGGTGTGAGCCACCGTGCTGGGCCAAAAAAATGATAGTAACACCCCCATCGCTAGCAGAGTTAGCTAACATACAATAGTTTTCTACAGGTTTTTGTGAAATGAGTGAATGAGTTAATGAATGGCATCCTTGTAAACACTACATTTAGATACACAAATGTCTATTTGATATTTCCACTGGAATAACCATTAGCTACTTCAAACGTAAAATATCCAAAAGGACATCTTGATTTCTATTCCCTCAAATTATCTTCTTACTCAGAACTTTCTATCTCAGGAAATGACAGCACTATACACAGTTGTTGAGCCCAAAAATGCACAAGTCAGCAGGAGGAAAACATTCCTTAACTTCTTAATCCAATCCAACAGCATGTTCCACGTCCAAAGCATAACAGGTACCCACTCACATATCTCCACTTCTGTTACTATTGCCCTAATCTAAACCACCACCATCTTTCACCTGACTACCTGCTTCTTCTCTTGCCCTAGCCTAGTATCTGGGATAACCTTTTAAACATATAAATCATATCATATCACTATTTTGCTTGACACCTGCCAGGAGATTCCCATTTCTCCTACATTAAAGTACCTGGGCCTAAGGTGACTGATATGTGTAATCTTTCTACTCCTCTGACTTCATCTTCCACTGACTTCATTTCCCTTCATCTTTACCAGCCTCACTGGCTTCAGAAATCCTCAGACAGCCCAAGCTCATTCACTCATGTAGTTTTATTTAGAAGTTGTTTCCTTTGCACAAATTATTTGTCCCCTAAATGTGTTTGTGGCAAATTCCTTTTGGTCACTGAGGTTTTAACTTAAATGTCATCTTCTTTTTAATAACTTTCTGACCTCCCAACCTAAAGCAAACCCTATGGCATTGTCTTTCACATCATCTGGCTGTATGTTTATCACAATATCAAAGGACCACATATTTATAGTGCTCTGATATTTTCTTATTTGTTTTCTCATGCCAGTGTTTATTGTTCAGGCTAATTTTCCAGGGCCTTGAACAGTGCCTGACACATAAAAGATCTTTATTAAACAGTGGTTGAGAATAAATAATTTCATAAGTACATTAAGAAACTGAATCAATGAGTATATTAGTTTGTGAACAAATATATGAATAAAGGAGTTTTATTTCTTTATATTTGTTATTTATATTATCTTGATTGTATCAATACAAATATGAAATATTATATATTATTAACCATAAGCTATCCATATTATAAACTTTATACATGATATACATATATTAATAAAGTCTAATAAAAACCAACCTTATAAAACTAGGAGTACAATCAGCCCTCTATACCTGTTGGTTCCACATCTGCGCATTCAACCAACCACAGATCAAAAATATTCAAAAAATAAAAGATAATACAAATTTTTAAATGCAGTATAACAACTATTTATATAGCAACCTAATGAAGAGAATCTGTAATAAACCTACAACTAACATCATTCTCTCTTTTTTTTCTTTTTTCAAGACAGGTCTTGCTCTGTTGCCCAGGTTGGAGTAAAATGGTACAATCACAGTTCACTGCAGCCTCGACCTCTCCAGTTCAAGTGATCCTCCTGACTCTGCCTTCTGAGTGGCTGAGACTATAGGCATGCATCATTATGCCTGGCTTTTTAAAAAACTTTTTGTAAAGATGGGGTCTCCCTATGTTGCCCAGGCTGATCTTGAACACCTGGGCTCAAGGGATCCTCCTGCCTTGGCATCCCAAAGTATTGAGATTACAGGCATGAGCCACCATGCCTGGTCCTAACATCATTTTTTGGATACTGCGCTTACTTCCTAAGATCAAGAACAAGGTAAGGACATCACCCTACTCACTTCTATTTAACATTGTACTGGATGTTCTGTCCAGGACAATAAGGTAAGAAAAAGGAACAAAAACCATAGAAATTAGAAAAAAATAGGTAAATTCTCCTTATTTTTAAGCAACATGACTGTCTGGTGTAAATCCCCATGGATTTTACAAAAAAGTTATTAAAACTAATAAGAGAGTTTATCAATTTGAAAAGTTACAAGATCAATATAGAAAAATAAATTTTATCTCTATATACTTTGCACTGAGTAATCTGAAATAGAAAATTTAAAAATATTAATTACAATAATATCAAAAACATGAAACACTTAAGAATGGATCTACCAAGACATATATAATATCTGTCCACTGAAAATTACAAAGCATTGCTGAGAGAAACTAAGGAAGACTTAAATAAGTGAACATATTCATGGATTGAAAGTGTCAATATTGTTCAGATGTCAAATATCTCCAATTGATATATATGCTCAATGCAATTCCAATCAAAATCCTAAGTTTTTTGCAGGAATTGACAAATTTTACATTTAGTATGAGAATGCAAAGGACTTAGAATAATCAAAACAAATTCGAAGATTATGAAAGTTGGAGAGCTTATACATCTCTATTTCAATATTTACTTATAAAGCTATAGCTGTCAAACACTATGGTATTGACATAAACAAATCAATGTGACAAAATAGAGTTGAGAAATGGACCATCACATATGTAGTCACTTGATTTTCAACAAAGGAGAGATGATTTAGTGGAAAAAAAATGATTATCTTTTCAACGACTGGTGATGGAATCATTGTATTTCCGTAAGACAAAAAATGAAATTTAATTCATACTTCACACCACATACAAAAGTTAACTCAAAATAAACCATGGACCTGAATATGAAACCAAAACCTATAAAACCTCAAGAAGAAAATACAAAAGAAAGTCTTTGTGACTTTGGATTGCAAAAGAATAAGAAGAAAAATATCACAGAACCTATGGTTCTTATTTAGAGGGGAGTTAAAAATGGGGTCAATTAATTCTTCCCTAATGGAATAAATTTGCAGATTTTAATGATTCATAGTAATAATAAATCACTTGAATCTTTTATTATTATTATACTTGAAGTTCTGGGATATATGTGCAGAAAGTGCAGATTTATTACATAGGTATACATGTGCCATAGTGGTTTGCTGCACCTATCAACCCATCATCTACATTAGGTATTTCTCCTAATGCTATCCCTCACCTTGCCCCAACCCCCTGACAGGCCCCAATGTGTGATGTTCCCCTCTCTGTGCCCATATGTTCTCATTGTTCAACTCCCACTTATGAGTGAGAACATGTGGTGTTTGGTTTTCTGTTCCTGTGTTAATTTGATGAGAATGATGATTTCCAGCTTTATCCATATCCCTGCAAAGGACATGAACTCATTCTTTTTTATGGCTGCATAGTATTCCACGGTGTATATGTGCCACATTTTCTTTATCTAGTCTAACATTGATGGGAATTTTGTTGGGTTTAGTATTAATAAAAACTCTGCTGTAAGGTTGATTCGTAAGGAATTTCTAATTCTTCCAATTTGTTATTGGAATTATTAACTGAACGTATATTCAATAAGGGAAAGAAAGACCTTTAACATATGTATTGAGCAGGATAAATTCTATTTTTTTCCAATAGATTCTACCTGGATTATTTTGTTCATGTTTACTTTTTGTACTCACTAGAAATTGCCTAGCTCTTTCTTGAGATATATCCATGACACGTCTTCTTCAACTTACAGCTTCTCTTAATGACAACCAGGACAGGTAGGATACCTACCATCCAGCAATGTTTCATGATGAAAACCCAGAGACAGTTGATTTTCCAAAGCTATAAAGAATATGGCATTGAGTAGGGCATCGACATTGCTGAGAAGCTCACCATCTGGTGGTGGAAGGTGCTGTTACAGAACTGATATGAATGAGACATGATAAGAACTCAAAATAATAGAGGCCAGCTGGTTGTGTTTAACTGTGAGAAGGCAGGTGGCTGCAATTATAGAAATAAGCAGCAAGGTCTGAGTGGGGCAGCAAGCCAGAAAATGGTGGTGGTGCTGACCTTCAGAGAGATATAGGGATGGTCATATAGAACACAGTGCCTTAGAGACAGGATGGATGGGCAACCTACAAGGATTCTTGCTCAATCTATACAATCAAAATAATTCAAGGATGGATGATCAGGAAGCTAGGGCATCCATTTCAATAAAAATCATGACCCCTTCCCACTTTCTAGATCTAAATCAGATTTTAGACCCACAACAGAATGGCGGAAAGAGAGGCCAGGTCCTCAGGAGGAAGAACTCTGCAACACCACTACAGGTGTGCATTCTCAGTCCTTCCTCCGTGGGATTTGTGACCATTGATACAACTAACTGTGCACCGGGGAAAGGAGAATACTCAGACTGCTAAGACATATAAAAATATGTTGGACATAGGATATGAACTGATACTGATTCTTGGAGACGTGAAGGATAATCATGATGCCCCTTTTAGAATAACGATGTATGGGGGCCAACCTTACGTAGTTCTGGTCTAGGTTCAGCTTACAGTAGGTCCATTGAGTTCATGGATCCACTCAGTGGTCATTTTTCCAACTAAAAAGTGAATAATTTGAACATACTCGCTGGTTGGCAGAACTGCTATATTAATTCCTTGGTCTATAGGGTAAGAGCTGTAAGACTGAGGAAAGCCAAGAGGAAGACACACAGCCTCAGTACATGGTATGCAGACATCTATTTGGCAAATACATTATTTTCCATTCTTATTAGGAAGCATGACCAGAAGAAGGATCAGAAGCAGATTATGGTTCACATGGGATGGGCAACATTGTGTCAACTCTCTCATCCTCTGTTATAATTGAAGCTGAAGTGACTTGAACCATGTGTACATTTTACAAAATTTTTTAATAGTACATTCTATTGATGCTATAATGTTAATCAAACTGGATGTGCTAGAAATGGCAAGTACATTCGAGGTCTTGGTAAGATACATGTGCTGTAGAAGATGCAGGGGCTCACTACGTCAGTGAAGATTTTAGGAGCATGCTGGTTTGGAGAATGCTGGAGCATCCCTTCCAAAGTAAAGAACTTATTCAATCTCATATCTCCTGTCACTAAGAAAGACACACAAAGATCTACCAAGTGACACTGCAGTCAAGTTTGAATTAGGCCTAGAGTAGGAATAAACTTTGCAGCAAGTCTTTATTGGCCCGTTCTTATGCTGTTAATGAAGACATACCCAGGATTGGGTAATTTATAGAAGAAAGAGGATTAATTGACTCACAGTTTAGCATGGCTGGGAAGACCTAAGGAAACTTACAATTATGGTAGAAGGGGAAGAAAACACATTATTTTTCACATGGTGGGGAGCAAGGAGAAGTACCCAGCAAAAAGCAGGAAAAACCCCTTATAAAACCATCAGATCTTGTAAGAACTCACTATCATGAGAACAGCATGAAGGCAACTGCCCCCATGATTAAATTACCTCCCACTGGGTCCCTCCCATGACACATGGCCATTATGGGAACTATAATTCAAGATGAGATTTAAATAGAAACATAGCCAAACCATATTATTTCTCCCTTGGCCCTTCCCAAATCTCATGTCCTCACATTTCAAAACACAATCAAGCCCTTCCAACAGTCCCCAAAAGTCTTAACTCCGTCTAGCATCAACTCAAAAGTCCAAGTCCAAAGTCTCTTCTGAGACAAGGGAAGTCCCTTCCACCTATGAGCCTGTAAAATCAAAAGCAAGTTAGTTACTTCCTAGATACAACGGGGGTACAGGCGTTGCATAAATACACTCATTCCAAATGGGAGAAATTGGCCAAAACAAAGTGGCCACAGGATCCACCCAAGTCCAAAATTCAATAGGGCAGTCATTAAAGCTTAAAGTTCCAAAATGATCTACTTTGACTCCAGGTCTCACATCCAGGTCATGCTGATGCAAGAGGTGGGCTCCCATAGTCTGGCTGCTTTCACAGTCTGGTGTTGAGTGTCTGTGGCTTTTCCAGGCACACGGTGCAAACTGTTGGTGGATCTACCATTCTGGAGTCTGGAGGATGGTGGCCCTCTTCTCACAGCTCCACTATGCAGTGCCCCAGTGGGGAATCTGTGTGGGAGCTCACACCCCACATTTCCCTTCTGCACTGCCCTAGCAGAGGTTCTCCATGAGGGCTCCATCCATGCAGCAAATTTCTGTCTGAGCATCTAGGCATTTTCATACATTCCCTGAAATCTAGGCGGAGGTTCCCAAACCTCAATTCTTGACTTCTGTGCACCTGCAGGCTTGACACCAGTGGAAGCTGCTAAGGCTTGAGTCTTGCACCCTCTAAAGCCATGGCCCGAGCTGTACCCTGGTGTCTTTCAGCCATGACTGGAGCAGATGGGAGGTGGGGCACCAAGTCCCTAGGCTGCACACACCACGGGGGCCCTGGGCTTGGCCCACAAAACCATTTTTTTTTTTTTGTAAGCCTCCTGGCCTATCATGGGAGGGGCTGCCATTGAAGGTCTCTGACATGCCCTGAAGACATTTTCCTGATTGTCTTGGTGATTAACATTCTTCTCCTTGTTACTTACTCAAATTTCTGCATCAGGCTTGAATTTCTCCTCAGAAAATGAATTTTTCTATTCTATTACATTGTCAGGCTGCAAATTTTCTGAACTGTTATATTCTGCTTCCCTTTTAAACGTAAGTTCCAACTCTGAACCATATCTTTGTGAATACATAAAAACTGAATGCTTTTAACAGCACCCACGTTACACCCTGAATGCTTTTCTGCTTAGAAGTTTCTTCCAGATACCCTAAATCATCTCTTTCAAGTTCAAAGTTCCACAGATCTCTAGGGCTAGGGCAAAAATGGCACCAGTTTCTTTGCCAAAACATAGCAAGAGTAACATTTACTCTAGTTCCCAATAAGTTTCTCATCTCCATAGCCTGGACTTCATTGTCCATATCAGCATGTTAGTTAAAGACATTCACCAAGTCTCTAGGAAGTTCCAAACTTTCCCATATCTTCCATGAGCCCTCCAAAGGGTTCCAACCTCTGCCTCTTACCCAGTTCCGAAGTCACTTCCACATTTTCAAGTATCCTTACAGCAGCACTCCACTCTACCAGTAACAATTTACTATATTAGTCTGTTCTCACACTGCTAATAAAGACATACACAGGACAGGGTAATTTGTGGAGGAAAGTGGTTTAATTTACTCACAGTTTAGCATGGTTGGGGAGGCCTCAGGAAACATACAATCATGGCGAAAGGGGAAGCAAACGCGTACTTCTTCACAAGGTGGTAGCAAGGAAAAGTGCCCATCAAAAAGGGGGAAAAGCCCTTTATAAAACCATCAGATCTCATGAGAACTCACTCATTATCGTGAGAACAGCATGAGGGTAACTGCCCCCATGATTAAATTACCTTCCACCAGGTGCCTCCCACAACACATGGGGATTATGGGAACTACAGTTCAAAATGAGATTTGGGTGGGGACAGAGCCAAACCGTATCAAAGTGCAAGCTACAGAACAAACATCCCTGCCATTTGGGCCATGTAAACTGGCAGAATCTATAGTATTAAAGGTATCCGTGATGAAAAGAGAAAAATGCCTTGTAGTGTTTATGAAAAGCAGCAGTTGGAAAATCATAAAGTAGATCTTTAGAATTCTGAAGCAAGGCCATGTCATCTGTAGCAGAAAATTACAAACCATCTGAAAAAACAGCTCTTGGAGTGCTTTCTTGCTCCAGTAGACATGGAGCATCAGAGACCTTCCAACCTCCTTCAGTTCAAAGTACTCAGCATGCCAAGATACCAGACTTTGCGGTGTCCATGTCCTGAGCCTCATCAATACACATTTAGGGTATATGTATTTAAAGAAAATATTAAATTCTACTAAATTATTTACTCATCCTTGATTCCCAAAGTTCTTGTAATATCCTCCTGGAATTCTTATCCTTTATAATGAAATATTTTTTCTAATACTTTTTCTAAGATTCCTCTTAAAATTAGTCTTCCTGTGGTAAAACTGCTGGGGTCTTATATGCCTGGGAATATTTATATTTTACTCTTACATACTCTTACAGAGGTAAACAAATATAAAATTTGACATTAGGGTTTCTATTCTTGTTATTTCACTGTATTCTTTTTTAAAGTTTTCGAGAAGTCTGAAACCAAGCTGTTTCTTATTCCTAATGAAGTAATCTATTTTTTCTCTATAAGCTTTTATACTCCCCTCACCACTTCTTTTACTGATATTTTTAAAATTCAGCTTAATGTTTTTAGAGGGTTTTTTTTTTTTTTTACTTTGTTCAATTTGTTTATTTTTGTTTGGCATTCTATGGGCTTCTTCAAAATTAGGGTTTCTTTCCTTGAATCTGAGAAAGTAAGGTAAATTATTTCTTCAACTATTGTCTCATTTATTTACTCTTTAGTTTTTTTCTCTCTTATGGAAAATCCATTATATAGCTGTTGAGACTTCTAGCTTCCATGTGTCTTAACTCTCCATTTTGATTTTCAATCTCTCTAGTTTTTACTAATCCCTTCCTGAGAATTATTTTAAAAGTTTCTAAACATGATCTTTAAATTCACTAATTTATTCTTTGGTTGCTTTCAACCCATTCACTGAGTTGTTTATTTGAATTATTTTATATTTCATACCCAGTATTTCAAATTAGTTCTTCTTTATAACTGCTTACTCCTGCTACACCAATGTCTTTATCTCTTTGAAAATGATTTTTCTTTGTTTTATTCCTTTTTCCATATGGTCAAGTACTTCTGCTTCTTCTGGTATAAGCTGTGGAATGTGTTTTTCTGTAGTGATAATCTTTCTCAGATAAGTTATTGTGGTTCCCTGTGGTCCCCTTTTTCCTGGACAAGTCAGCATCTGGGCTGATAAGGACAATAGGAAGGGGAGCAGCTGAAACAGCCCCATCCTGTTTTAGCAATCTCATATACGTTTAGGGCTTGGAAAGAGATAAACCTCAAAATAGCCTCTTGTTTTACAAACTTTTCCACACTGGGCATATCCGTCTTACAAGGAATCTTCTTGCACCCCTACCAACATTATGTTACCTGGATTTAACTTTCTTACTTTTAGGTTTTGAGAAAGGGGTGGGGAGAAGAAGTAACAAATGCTTCATGGCCAGCCAGTCTACCTGTACTTATTATGTGCAGCTCACCCTAGCTAGATGACATTACCTTACAAGCCCACCCCTGAAACTGAACTGAAACTGCTATTTTTCTATCTTGCATTAATACTGGCTGCGTTGGCCTGTTGCGGTGGCTCACGCTTGTAATCCCAGCACTTTGGGAGGCCAAGGTGGGTGGATCACTTGAGGTCATGAGTTCAAGACGAGCCTGGCCAACATGGTGAAACCCTGTCTCTACTAAAAGTACAAAAATGTAGCCAGGCATTGTGGCATGCACCTGTAATCCCAGCTACTCGGGAGGCTGAGGCAGGAGAATCACTTGAACCTGGGAGGCGGAGGTTGCAGTGAGCCGAGATTGTGCCCTTGCACTCCAGCCTGGACAACAAGAGTGAAATTCTATCTCAAAATAAATAAATAAATAAATAAATAAATAAATAAATAAATAAATAACTGGCTGTATGATGATCTTCATGAGACAATACTAGTGGAAAGCAAGGGGAGGAGGGGATGAGGGAATATCACAACTAAAAGCCTGTCTATCTACCTCTCTCTCACTCATTGTACCTGATGCTCTCTGGCTTTGGGAAACTATTCTCCTCTCATACTAGACATAGCCAATTTCTAATTCCTAAGGCTTTTTCATAGTATGTGTATATCACATCTAAATAATGAAAAGTACTGAATATTTAATTAATGTATACCCACACCAAAAATCAAAAAGTATTTAATATTTTATAAGTCCTGTAATGCAAATATCCTACTTATACCCATCAACCTTCTTGCTTCTGTGCATCTCCAGGGCTAGAGAAGAAAGGCGTAGCAGCCTGTTCTAGTTTGTCTCCCTGTCCCTCATCACTCAATCTGTGTCATTTAGACACTGTATTAGTCAGGGTTCTCTGAAGGGAAAGATCTAATAGGATAGATGCATATATGAAGGAGAGTTTATTAAGGAGAATTGACTCACATTATCACAAAGTGAAGTCCCACAATAGGCCATCTGCAAGCTGAGGAGTCAGGAAGCCAGTCTGAGTCCCAGAATCTCTAAAGTAGGGAACTCAACAGTGTAGCCTTCAGTCTGTGGCTGAAGGCCTGAGAACCCCTGGCAAATCACTGGTATAAGTCCAAGAGTCCAAAAGCTGAAGAGGAGTCTGATGTTCAAGGGCAGGAAGCAACCAGCACGGGAGAAAGATGAAGGCCAGAAGACTCAGCAAGTCTGCTCTTTCTATGCCTGCTTTTATACTGGCAGCTGATTAGATAGTGCCCACCTAGACTGAGGATGGGTATGGCTCTCCCAGTCCACTGACTCAAATGTTAATCTCTTTTGGCAACACCCTCACAGACACACCCAGGAACAGTACTTTGCATCCTTCAATCCAATCAAGTTGACACTCAGTATTAACCATCACAGACACATTTCTTAAAAATCAGATTTCTGAAAGCTCTTTCAATTTCTGAAAATACATAAAGAGCTGCCTTATATATGAAATTTCAGTTTTCTAACTGAAGATGCCATAACATTCATTTCTGTACCTTATTTAGTAGGAGTAAGAACCAAAAACAATAGCAGCAAAACAACCTGAGGCTCATTAACCATAGGGTATCTCAGGCTTTCATTCTGGCATCATTTCAGCTTTCAGTTCTTTGTTTATAATTCATATAATATTTTGCTTTAGACAAATCAATTAGTTGTACGTGTCAAGCTAGTTAAATGCATGCTAAATATTTTCCCAAGAGAACTCAGTTGAAACTGGGTGCTATTAAAACCTTCAAATGAACAAAATCTGTTTTTAACAAGTCACACATTATTAATTGGAACTGGATAGTGAGGCATATTTTTGAATGCTTGCCGAGAATAATTATGAAACTTCTTTTTTTTTATTGGAACAAGATGAGTTAATCAAGAAAAATATTCCAGCTCATGATGGCCAAACTTAAAAGCATGGCTGTAAACTAATTCAGCTTATCGGTTTGGTATAGGGTTAAGTGGAGGTCCAAGGATCATTCTTATGCTGTAGTTGGTACCTTAAAGAGATCTTTGCCCAATTTCCTCATTTTAAATATTCACAAAATCGGATACAGAAAGGTAATATTATCAACCTAAAGTCACATAGCTGGTTGGTGGCAGAATCAGAATCAGGAACTAAATTTATATTCCTACTATAGCTAAAAATGGCTAAAGACATTGCTTATTATGTACATTTTATTATATGTCATTCCACTTTAAATTTAATGGTACATTATCTTTTTGAAAAATTATTACAAAATCTGTATAAAAATTTGCATGGAATGTGTTTGTAAATAATTGAGTCATTGCCAGAAAGAACTCATTGCCTTCCATAATGAATATTTGTTTTTTCCTGATTTGTGCTTGCTTAGCATCCACTTACTCTTTTTTTTTTTCTTGGTTTGGCAAGTTAAGAAATTGTCTTGCTTCCATGATTCACAGTGACAGTGGGACTTTAATTTGATGTGCCCTGCCCACTCCCTGCCCTCTAACCCAAGTTAGTTCAATCAGATTCTCTTTTTCAAGACTTTAAGTCTTTAGAATTATGATGTAGTGGCAGGAAAAATGATCAACTGAAGCATATTCATCCTGAGTAGTTTTTATTATTTACAGCCATGGATCTTCCCTGACTCTTATCTTTTTAGGAGCTTGGTTCACTAGTCTTCTCATCACCTATCGAATTAGCCTGCCTGTTGCTCTTCTCATCACTGCTCTTTTCATCACTCTGTACTCTGTGTCTGAGGGAGGATACAACCTTGACGAGGTTGTGTGCATGGCCAGGAGTAGGGTTGTTCCCAATAAGAATTGAGTTTGCATTCTTCATTTTCCCACTGTTTCATTTAATTACATTTTTGTAAAAAACATAAAAGTTTACATAAACTGTCACTTGTTAGCAGAAATTATCTAAGATTACTGGACCTATCTAGCCCTAATACCCACTGTAATTCACTAACCAAGTGAAAAGAATCAAACGCCCTCGTACTTGAGGCTTAAGAGAAAGATAAATGTCTTAATAGGACTCTCTAAAGAACACTACTAAGAATAAAAGTATTGGGCTTGGAGGACTTTAATACATTCTACTTCTACAACTGAGGCTTTAAATTTGGTGTCCATGATGATATATATTTTGAAGAAAAATAAAACTGAATACATGTGTTACCAGGGGATTATTTTATTACAACTAAGCTGACCGAGGAGCAACAGAAAGACCATACTAAGCCTATAAGAGCACTCAATGATTATTTTAGGTGCTGGGAGTAGTTTATTTGGGAGGTATGGATGGCAGCATGCCAATGTCAGCAGATGAATAATGCTTTTGGAAACTCCCAGACATCCTGCTCTTTCCATTCTAATTGAAAAAAAAAAAAGAATGAAAAAAGAGTCGGGAAAATAGAAGAAATGAACATTACTGATGTTAAGGACCTATTATTATATGTCAGGTGTATTCTAGGTGATTATATTAATCATCTCACTTATTCCTAACCATTCTGTAAGGCAGACACTCTCATGCTTATTTTTTAGTTAAAAAAATTAGGGCTAGAGGGGATTAATTAACTTCCACAAGGTCACACAACTAGTGAGCAGATGATCCAGTCTTGGAGTCAGATTTACCTGATTCTGAATTCCATGCTTACACTGCTACTATTGCTACAGCTGCTGCTAACCTAGTACTGTCACTATTACTGTTAGAACTATCATTATTATTAGGGCATAACCTAGAAAGACTCCATAAAGAGAAAAGTTGATTAGAAAGCTTTACTAAAAGAAATTTGTCTTCCTTTAGTGTGTCTTAGTTGTTCATTAAGTTTCATTCATGTGTGGGAATCTGAGATACTCTGGTTGAATTCCTAAGTATTCTTCCTTCTTTCCCTTGTTACTCTCTTTATCAAATGAAAAAAAATCATTTTATTTATAATTAGTTGA
The DNA here is from genome assembly GCF_000001405.40 of Homo sapiens. Classification (NCBI taxonomy): domain Eukaryota; kingdom Metazoa; phylum Chordata; class Mammalia; order Primates; family Hominidae; genus Homo; species Homo sapiens. The sequence continues at coordinate 91,705,288 of NC_000012.12, forward strand.
TTACAGCCAATTTCTGCAAGGTAATATTTGCTACAGAACCATAATCAGACTCCATTATGGATTCTATTGATGCATTTGCTCGTTTTTATTACACTGAAATCAACATAGAACAGAGCAGAGTTTCAAGGCCAGCATAAGGATACTGGGGAGGATGGAAAGCAGATAAATCCTTAATTGCATTTGTCTCCTAAAAACGTGGTCAAAAATGGAAGTTTAGTTTTACTTAAACTTCCTTTTCTCTACAGTATGGTTAACAGAGATGAAACAAACTACTTGATTTACATCCATTTGATCTTAGCCTGTCTATGCCTCAGGTTTGTTTGTTTTTTTAATCTGCAAAGTAAGATACATAAAATAAAATAGATTAACACAAACAAAATGTTTGGAGCTTTCATACGTGTATTCATACATGTATTCAGTTTTATTTTTCTTCCAAGCATATATCATCATGGACACCAAATAAAACCTCAGGAGTAGAAGCAGAATGTATTAAAACAGAATGTATTAAACCCCAGACACTTTGGGCTGGCATATGGAAACCTCTTAATAAGTTAGCCATTATTTAAATTGTGTTAGAAAATAAAGCCTGTGATTCTTCTACTTTTTGAGGGGCCTTAGCAGACCTCTAGGGGAAAGTAAGAATAGCTGGCCTCCACCTTTCTATGTCTTCTGGGTCATAGAAGGTGACCCAGAAGTTGAGCTGAGAGTGAAATCTAATTCTTTATTTGAGTCTTTATTTGAGTCTACATGTTTACTGCGCATCAAAAGATGGTGAGCGGAATTAAAATGTGAATGCATAGAATAGATTAAAAGGGGAGGCAAGATTTGAATTAATCTAATTTTTAAAAAAGCATCTGAGTAAAAGAAATATAAATAAAATCTGCATCTGCATAGATGAAATTTTAAATGCGTCTTTAAAAATGGTTCCAAACTTTTATCCATTCTCCACATCAGAAGATCTCAAAGATAAAAGGACACACTAGCAATTTACAAGTACGCCTGTACTGGAGGGCCTTGATGATTCTACCAACGCAGCCTTTGAAGTAGCTTAATATAAAGCATGTACACTGTCTATAGACACAGCTTATGGTTGGCAAATATTCTAATAAAATTGATTTGCTCATACCAAGGGAAATAGCCTAGCAATGAATCAAAAGGCCTTTAAAAACACAGCAAGATATTTTAGTTTCTATATCTGCTCTCCCAAATTTGAAAACATCAACCCAAAGAAATAAGGTTTTGTATAACCAAATCTCTTTATGAAGTGTGACAGGAAAAATATGCTATTTTTGTGTGTCATCTTGCTCAAATAGAGCAATATTGTTGGCACCACAACATCCATTTGCAATGGTTTTTAAATATCTATGTTTACTTTCAGGACAAAAAGTCAAATAATAGAAGAGTATTGGTCACCGTGGATTGAATAAATTATGAACAAAGACTCTTCCAGGAAAAAACATTTAGCTGTGTCTGACAACTTTTTGCTCTATGATAATAAAAATCTAACAAATATGAAAAGAAATTATGATAGTCAACATTATCTAGGGTATGGGGAAACAAAACTCTTGGTGGAAACTAAATAAACAAAAATCTTTTTGGAAGAAACTCAACATTTTCAATGTGCCAGTCCTTTGACTTAGCAATTTCATTTCTGGGAATTTATTCCTACAGGAAACATTTGTACTGGATAAAGTGCTCATGTGAGACCCCCTGATTCAATCTTAGATCTGTAACTTAAAAGTTAGGGAGACTCTCAGGGCCACCCCTGGCCCATAAAATGCCTTGGTGCAATTTAGAAAAAGTTAAAAGAACAGGAGATAAAGAGAGAGAGGGACAGAGAATCTACAGGATTATCCTCTCAGCATCGGTTTTCTGGAAATCCCCTCTGTTCTCTTGCATTGGTTAGTGTAGAAGTTTCCTGGTTAGAACAATGTGGCATGGTGCAGTAATAGTTGCTACCTCATTATTATGCTAATTAAATAAATTAATGTTTGCATAGTTAGAACACTGCTGGGCACTTATTAAGTGCCACAGAGATGTTTTCTCTCCTTGATAAAATGAATTCTGAGAAAGATCTTCCCAATAGGTGTTCTTTAAGATAGATAATGTGAGGTCAGGCAAAGGCAGCTCACGCCTGTGATCCCAGCACTTTGGGTGGCTAAGACAGGAGAATCGCTTGAGACCAGGAGTTTGAGACTAGCCTGGGCAACATGGCAAAACCCTGTCTCTCTAAAAATTTTTTTAAAGAATTAGCAAGGCATCGTGGTACACACCTGTGGTCCTGGCTACTCTAGGAGGCTGAGGCAGGAGGATCCCCTGAGCCCAGGAATTTGAGGCTGCAGTGAGCCATGATAGTGCCATTACAGTCCAGCATAGGTGACAGAGTGAGACCTTGTTTCTAAAAAAAAAAAAAAAAAAAAAGAAAAATAGATATGTGAATAATAGCTACTTAGGACCATCCTTTTAGTTGTCTTGGTATTATAAAACTGCACTTATACTGCTAGTAATAAGGATAAAGAATGAAAACAATGACAAAAACAATAAAAGTAACAACTAATATTTCTGGAACATCCCCTCTGTGGCAGGTACTGGGTCAATGCTTACCCAGCATTATCTTCTGTAATTTTCACAAGGCAATGAGATAGATACTAATATCCCTGTTTTGTATGTGAAGAAATTAAAACTCAGAGGTTAAGTAATTTACCCAATATCACATGACTAATAAGTTTTAGCACCAGGATTCAGAACCAAATGTGTCCTTTTCCTAGAGGGGCTTTTAAAGTTATCATTAGACATCATGAACACAATAATATATTGTATATAAATGTACACACACTTGCACAGGTTGATCTCAAGCTCCTGGACTCAAGCCTTGGCCTCCCAAAGTGCTAGGATTACAGGCGTGAGCCATTGCACCTGGCTTGTGTAATTGTATGTACACTGTAATGTAATAAAGTGTTAGAAACAGGTTTATGCCAAGTTTTATTTATTTTTTTTTATTATTATACTGTAAGTTTTAGGGTACATGTGCACAATGTGCAGGTTAGTTACATATGTATGCATGTGCCATGCTGGTTCACTGCACCCACTAACTCGTCATCTAGCATTAGGTATATCTCCCAATGCTATCCCTCCCTCCTCCCCCCACCCCACAACAGGCCCCAGAGTATGATGTTCCCCTTCCTGTGTCCATGTGTTCTCATTGTTCAATTCCCACCTATGAGTGAGAACATGCGGTGTTTGGTTTTTTGTTCTTGGGATACTTTACTGAGAATGATGATTTCCAATTTCATCCATGTCCCTACAAAGGACGTGAACTCATCATTTTTTATGGCTGCATAGTATTCCATGGTGTATATGCGCCACATTTTCTTAATCCAGTCTATCATTGTTGGACATGTGGGTTGGTTTCAAGTCTTTGCTATTGTGAATAATGCCGCAGTAAACATACGTGTGCATGTGTCTTTATAGCAGCATGATTTATAGTCCTTTGGGTATATACCCAGTAATGGGATGGCTGGGTCAAATGGTATTTCTAGTTCTAGATCCCTGAGGAATCGCCACACTGACTTCCACAATGGTTGAACTAGTTTACAGTCCCACCAACAGTGTAAAAGTGTTCCTATTTCTCCACATCCTCTCCAGCACCTGTTGTTTCCTGACTTTTTAATGATTGCCATTCTAACTGGTGTGAGATGGTATCTCATTGTGGTTTTGATTTGCATTTCTCTGATGGCCAGTGATGATGAGCATTTTTTCATGTGTTTTTTGGCTGCATGAATGTCTTCTTTTGAGAAGTGTCTGTTCATGTCCTTCACCCACTTTTTGATGGGGTTGTTTGTTTTTTGTAAATTTGTTTGAGTTCATTGTAGATTCTGGATATTAGCCCTTTGTCAGATGAGTAGGTTACGAAAATTTTCTTCCATTTTGTAGGTTGCCTGTTCACTCTGATGGTAGTTTCTTTTGCTGTGCAGAAGCTCTTTAGTTTAATTAGATCCCATTTGTCAATTTTGGCTTTAGTTGCCATTGCTTTTGGTGTTTTAGACATGAAGTCCTTGCCCATGCCTATGTCCTGAATGGTATTGCCTAGGTTTTCTTCTAGGGTTTTTATGGTTTTAGGTCTAATGTTTAAGTCTTTAATCCATCTTGAATTGATTTTTGTATAAGGTGTAAGGAAGGGATCCAGTTTCAGCTTTCTACATACGGCTCGCCAGTTTTCCCAGCACCATTTATTAAATAGGGAATCCTTTCCCCATTGCTTGTTTTTCTCAGGTTTGTCAAAGATCAGATAGTTGTAGATATGTGATGTTATTCCTGAGGGCTCTGTTCTGTTCCATTGATCTATATCTCTGTTTTGGTACCAGTACCATGCTGTTTTGGTTACTGTAGCCTTGTAGTATAGTTTGAAGTCAGGTAGTGTGATGCCTCCAGCTTTGTTCTTTTGACTTAGGATTGACTTGGCGATGTGGGCTCTTTTTTGGTTCCCTATGAACTTTAAAGTACTTTTTTCCAATTCTGTGAAGAAAGTCATTGGTAGCTTGATGGGGATGGCATTGAATCTATAAATTACCTTGGGCAGTATGGCCATTTTCACGATATTGATTCTTCCTACCCATGAGCATGGAATGTTCTTCCATTTGTTTGTATCCTCTTTTATTTCCTTGAGCAGTGGTTTGTAGTTCTCCTTGAAGAGGTCCTTCACATCCCTTGTAAGTTGGATTCCTAGGTATTTTATTCTCTTTGAAGCAATTGTGAATGGGAATTCACTCATGATTTGGCTCTCTGTTTGTCTGTTGTTGGTGTATAAGAATGCTTGTGATTTTTGCACATTGATTTTGTATCCTGAGACTTTGCTGAAGTTGCTTATCAGCTTAAGGAGATTTTGGGCTGAGACAATGGAGTTTTCTAGATATACAATCATGTCGTCTGCAGAGGGACAATTTGACTTCCTCTTTTCCTAATTGAATACCCTTTATTTCCTTCTCCTGCCTAATTGCCCTGGCCAGAACTTCCAACACCATGTTGAATAGGAGTGGTGAGAGAGGGCATCCCTGTCTTGTGCCAGTTTTCAAAGGGAATGCTTCCAGTTTTTGCCCATTCAGTATGATACTGGCTGTGGGTTTGTCATAGATAGCTCTTATTATTTTGAAATACGTCCCATCAATACCTAATTTATTGAGAGTTTTTAGCATGAAGGGTTGTTGAATTTTGTCAAAGGCCTTTTCTGCATCTATTGAGATAATCATGTGTTTTTTGTCTTTGGTTCTGTTTATATGCTGGATTACATTTATTGATTTTCGTATATTGAACCAGCCTTGCATCCCAGGGATGAAGCCCACTTGATCATGGTGGATAAGCTTTTTGATGTGCTGCTGGATTCGGTTTGCCAGTATTTTATTGAGGATTTCTGCATCAATGTTCATCAAGGATATTGGTCTAAAATTCTCTTTTTTGGTTGTGTCTCTGCCCGGCTTTGGTATCAGGATGATGCTGGCCTCATAAAATGAGTTAGGGAGGATTCCCTCTTTTTCTATTGATTGGAATAGTTTCAGAAGGAATGATACCAGTTCCTCCTTGTACCTCTGGTAGAATTTGGCTGTGAATGCATCTGGTCCTGGACTCTTTTTGGTTGGTAAGCTATTGATTATTGCCACAATTTCAGATCCTGTTATTGGTCTATTCAGAGATTCAACTTCTTCCTGGTTTAGTCTTGGGAGAGTGTATGTGTCGAGGAATTTATCCATTTCTTCTAGATTTTCTAGTTTATTTGAGTAGAGATATTTGTAGTATTCTCTGATCGTAGTTTGTATTTCTGTGGGATCGGTGGTGATATCCCCTTTATCATTCTTTATTTCGTCTATTTGATTCTTCTCTCTTTTTTTCTTTATTAGTCTTGCTAGCGGTTTATCAATTTTGTTGATCCTTTCAAAAAAACAGCTCCTGGATTGATTAATTTTTTGAAGTGTTTTTTTGTGTCTCTATTTCCTTCAGTTCTGCTCTGATTTTAGTTATTTCTTGCCTTCTGCTAGCTTTTGAATGTGTTTGCTCTTGCTTTTCTAGTTCTTTTAATTGTGATGTTAGGGTGTCAATTTTGGATCTTTCCTGCTTTCTCTTGCGGGCATTTAGTGCTATAAATTTCCCTCTATACACTGCTTTGAATGCATCCCAGAGATTCTGGTATGTTGTGTCTTTGTTCTCATTGGTTTCAAAGAACATCTTTATTTCTGCCTTCATTTCGTTATGTACCCAGTAGTCATTCAGGAGCAGATTGTTCAGTTTCCATGTTGAGCAGTTTTGAGTGAGATTCTTAATCCTGAGTTCTAGTTTGATTGCACTGTGGTCTGAGAGATAGTTTGTTATAATTTCTATTCTTTTACGTTTGCTGAGGAGAGCTTTACTTCCAAGTATGTGGTCAATTTTGGAATAGGTGTGGTGCGGTGCTGAAAAAAATGTATATTCTGTTGATTTGGGGTGGAGACTTCTGTAGATGTCTATTAGGTCCGCTTGGTGCAGAGCTGAGTTCAATTCCTGGGTATCCTTGTTGACTTTCTGTCTCGTTGATCTGTCTAATGTTGACAGTGGGGTGTTAAAGTCTCCCATTATTAATGTGTGGGAGTCTAAGTCTCTTTGTAGGTTACTCAGGACTTGCTTTATGAATCTGGGTGCTCCTGTATTGGGTGCATATATATTTAGGATAGTTAGCTCTTCTTGTTGAATTGATCCCTTGACAATTATGTAATGGCCTTCTTTGTCTCTTTTGATCTTTGTTGGTTTAAAGTCTGTTTTATCAGAGACTAGGATTGCAACCCCTAGGATTGCAACAAAAAAAGGCAGGGGTTGCCAAGTTTTAGAAAGGTAGCATTGGTAATTTCTAGGACGTGGTCTGAAGATACAAAGGGTAAACTTCATATTTCTGATTGTGTTATTTATTTACGAGGAGTCTCTTTTGGACAGGTACAGTTGTTTCTCATCTGTGTATACCTCTGTTTAACAAATGGTTAGTGTATAATAAATTTTACTAAATTTTACAATATTTAAATAGAACTTGAAATCATTTTAAAATAGCAAATCTCATAGAATCCATCCTGCTTACATTTTTGGAATCAGACTTTTGTCATTGAGCTTTGCCCCACAAGATGAACTGCCACTGTCTGCAACTTCCTTAGGATCACTTTTCTTGTAAATTTTCTGTACTAGTTATATACAAGGTGATCTATCTGCCCTGTCCAGTTAGAGTGACCGAGTCTCACTGAGACAATTCCTAAGAAACCTTGGCTTACTCAACTCAATAATTTATTTTTTCAAACTAAAATATTAAGATTAATCCTTTACCACTAGACTGAATATCAATATCTATTTATTTTTTTATTTTTATTTTTTTGAGACGGAGTCTCACTCTGTCGCCCAGGCTGGAGTGCAGTGGCACCATCTCGGCTCACTGCAAGCTCTGCCTCCCAGGTTCACGCCATTCTCCTGCCTCAGCCTCCTGAGTAGCTGGGACTACAGGCGCCCGCCACCACGCCCAGCTGATTTTTTGTATTTTTAGTAGAGACGGAGTTTCACTGTGTTAGCCAGGATGGTCTCGATCTCCTGTCCTTGTGATCCGCCTGTCTTGGCCTCCCAAAGTGCTGGGATTATAGGCGTGAGCCACCGTGCCCGGCCCTGAATATCTATTTTTAATTTAAGAGTGGGCTTATATTGTAAAATACCACTAGACTAAACCTCATTTCTTCAAATTAACATTATATAGTCATTCCTTCATCTTCACTCCAAATTGTTGTCTTGTATTTTAAAAGAAGTCTTCCATATCCTCACATCTTCAGCTCCATTTCAGAAGCTTCACTACAGTGTAAGGACAAACCTTTAGAGATAACTTCTCTGTATCTTTGCTCTTTCTCTTGAATGACTGTTTCACAATCTCCTTCTGAAACTTAATCAGAAGACATGTTTCATATTCTCTTATAATTTCTCTGCTACCCCTCTGCTGTTTTTTCTCCTTCTGTAATATACATCAGAAAGACACAAAGAAGATGAAAATCATACTCACACAGGTGCGTAGTAAACTGGATTTCTGCAAACACGTGAATTCCCATTTCCAACGCAGGAAGACTCCCACACCCACCTTTGTGACTCTTTATACATGTTGGCTACGACTGAATAGGGCCTTCTGTTTATATTCTGTTGGCCTCATTAGACAGCCTATAGAAATAAACTTTGCTCAGAAAGTACAATGTTTAAAGATAAATATTTAAGTTTAGAGTTAAAAATGCATTCTAAAGCAAGGAAGAAAAGGATTTTATCTAGCAGCATATCCAAAAAGTATGAGTTATAGTGGTGATAATAATAACAATAAACGTAATAATCTTCTTTTTATTGAGTTCTTAATCTATGACAACCACAGTGTACATATCTCCATTAATTCTTACAACTTGATTAACTAAAATTAAATAGTATTATCCCCATTTTGTTGTTGAGAAAACCGGACTTGAAGAGGTTGAATGACAAAGGTCACACATCTAAATACTCACCAGTGAACCCAGGCCTCTGACTCTAATGTCTATATTTGGATTCGTTGTCTGGTGAGAGCCTGTTCCTCATGGATGGTACCTTCTCTGCATCCTTGCATGGCAGAAGAGGTGAACAAGCTCCCACAGTCCTTTTATAAGGGTACTGATTCCATTCATGAGGGTACCTCTTAATTAATACTACCACCTGTGGATTAAATTTCAGCACATGAATTTGGGGGAGGGGGAGACACAAAATTTTAGACCTATAATATTTTCCTGATACTGTGTGATGCTATATATTTACTTATTAATTGACTACCTGTCTCTCTACCACATAAGTTTCAAAAGGGAAAGTTTTGGTCCATTTTGTTCAGCTCAGTATTCCCAGCACCTGGAGTAATATTGAGAACATCCAAGAAATTCAGAACGTATTTGTTGAATAAATACATTAATATAGAAATGTATCCTAAAATCTGGTGATCTCAGGGTTACCAAATAGCTCTTTCATCAACTAAACGGAGATCCCTGAGAAAATCCACAGGTTGCCACAGGATGTGGGAAAATCCATGCTTCCTAAATTTTATCCCAGCTCTAACTTGTTCTTTGCTTTCTCCTTGCTCCTCTAACATGTTAGGTGACTAAGTGTAGATACTAGCAGCAATGAACAAAGTAACCCATTCCCTGCGTTTGCGGGTTTTACCCTCTGTAAGCTTATAATATATTAACAAACAAGTCAAGGCAAACATTTAGTAGGTATAGCATGATACTGTAGAATTTGATGACAAATGATAAGTCCTGAAGAGTTCTTTCAGTGGTTTCCCACTTATTCGGATAAGTTTGCTATTTAATTATCTTAAGGACATGTTGAAATAATTTAATATTTTCAGCTGGGCACTGTGGCTCACACCTGTAATCCCAGAAGTTTGGGAGGCCAAGGCAGGCGGATCACTTGAACTCAGGAGTTCGAGACCAGCCCAGGCAACATGGCAAAACCCTGTCTCTACTAAAAATACAAAATTAGCCAGGTGTGGTGGCAGCACCTGTAATCCCAGCTACTTTCAGGGCTGAGACAGGAGAATTGCTTGAACCTGGGAGGTGGAGGTTCCAGTGAGCAGAGATTGCACTACTGCACTGCAGCCTGGGTGACAGAGCAAGACCCTGTCTCAAAAAACTTAATATTTCTTGGGGTTTTTTTTTGAGGATGGTACTGGCTTGTGATGGTATTGACTTCTGGGTGAAAACACAGCTCTATTCATTTTATTAATTTCAACTTGAAAATGCAGACCTTTATGGCTACACAAAGAATGTGAAATAATTTTGCCAGAACTGCTGCATTTCTTGTCTACTAAGAAAATTGCACTAAAGCTACAGCTGAATAATTATGTTGAAATTCCACTTCACATTGTGGCAGCAATAAACTCTGATGATGCTTTGTTTTCCCCACCAATAGAGTAGGGCAGTCTTGGGGAGAATGTTTTAAAACCACTTAGGCCTGTGATATTTCTCTACTACCTGCACCTATGGCAAACTAATTTTGTCTTTGGATTATCCAAATTTCTCTAACATTCCCATAGCCCTTGATTTAAAGAATGAATAAAGGCATTTTTCTAATGCAAATTATCTTCAGACTCTGCCTATATAAACAAAATCAATGTCTGAGATACTTAGCTAGATAATTCAAATTTAGGACACACTTTGACTCTTAGAACTTATTTTTCATAAATGGGAAAGAGAGCTAAGACATACGAAAAATTAGTAAAATATAAACTATGTTAGATGGTGATAAATGCCAATGAGAAGACACCGAACAGGAAAGGAAATATGAAATGAAGACGTAATATAGTTTTAGGGAGAATGGCCTAACACAGTCTCACAGAGAAGGTGCATTTTGGTAAGCACATGAAGTGAGGGATCTGGGTGTTCAAGTGTTTGGGGGAAATGATTTCAGGCAGAGAAAACAGTAAGTACAAAGGCCTCTCAGGAGTGTGCCTGGGCCTTCAAGGAGCAGCAAGGGGATTAGTGGAGCTGGAACAACTTGAGACAGAAGAAAAGGGGGTCAGAGAGATGGAGGAGGGAGGTAGCGTGCTGCAAATGATAAGGATGGTGTAGGTTGTAAGTAGGACTTCATTGAAAAATTTCGTGCAAAGAAATGACATGATCTGATTTACATTTTAAAACAATTGCTTTGCCTGCCATATTGAGAATAGACCATAGCTCAGAACAAGGGTAGAAGCAAGGAAAGCAGGTAGAAGGCTCTTGCATAACCCAGATGCAAGGTGATGATAGCTCTGCAGGCAGCGTTAGAGTTAAGAAATGCTCTATTTATGAAAGTAGAGTCAAACAAATGCACCAATGGGCCACACATGGCATTCATGGGAAAGAAATGGGTCACGAATTACACAAAAGATAATAGCCTAAGCAACTAAGAAAAATAGAGTCCCATTAACTTAAATGAGGAAAAATCCAGGGGCACACAGGATTGGACAGTAGTAATATTATTAGTTCAGTTTTGATCATGCTGAATTTGTGATGCTTATTTGATATCCAAGTGAAGATAACAAACAGATAGGCAGATATATAAGTCTAGAGCTGAGAAAAAAAGTCTAGGCAGGAAAAATAAATGTTTAGAATCTAAATGGCATTGAAAGTCATGAGAGTGGATGAGATCACCAGGGGGGTGAATGTAGATTGAGAAGATATCCATGGCTGGATCCCAGGGGCACTGTAGCCTTTAAGAGACAGGGAAATGATGAGGAAGCACTAAGAGAGGAGTTTCTATAAAGGTAGGAATATGCAGAAAATACATTTCCTGTCGGGGATTGATCATGTTTCAAAGATGAGGATAGGTAAAATGAGGTCTGAAAAAAATGAGCATTGCATCTTGCAAGCTAGGGCAGGTTTTCTGCATAAAAAGAGGTTATCTATCCAGATGAATTCACACATTACTGTAAAAATGAAGCTCCAAAGTTACTATGAAAAGAGAGATGGAATTATTCAGTTAATTTTTTTTATTATATCTACTGCTCCCTCAAATTTACTGAGCCTAGACTCTGGGCATAGTGGCTGGTAGATTAGCGTTAGCATCAGAGAATTGCATACAAATCACCATCTTTAAAATAAACTATTGGTATTTGTAGAATGCTCAAAGCTTACAGTGGGTTGCAAGTGCATTATTGAATGTGTACTATTCAATATATAGGAATAGTAAATATTGTCACAATTAATGTGATCTAAAAGATATGGTGCCCAGTCTCACTTTGCATGCATTAGAAATGAAATTTAAATCCTGTCATCTTACTCCAAAAGCCTTTCTCTTCCTCTTATATTACGCAGCTGCTTTTGCATAAGGATGAGTCCACTGATTCAAAAAAAAGTATATGTGTGTGTATGTGTGAATATATATGTATATGTATGTGTTTGTATATTTGTGTATATGTCTCTGTGTATGGGGGTATTTGTTGTTGTTGTCAGTGTTTCTCTGCTTTCTAGTGATCTGTCCACATTCTCTCAATCATTTTCCCCATAACCACCAGCAAGCAATCATCTGGGAATGAGAAAGTGGTTGGTCTGCTGCAGCAGAAAAAGCAAGAGCTTTGGAAGCAGAAATTAAAACTTCAGCTCTTGCAATTTCTACAGTGTGACCTTGGTCTCATCACTTATCATTTCTAGCCTCATTTTCTTTGTCTGCATGATGCAGATTGTCATATCTACTGTAAAAGAGTTTAAGCAGTCAAGACACACAATATGTAAAGTCTTCCACCTAACCCCTTGGAGACTAGGCTGATTCCCATTCATATGTTCTTCCATACCACTGATTCATAGCATTTATCACACTCCATTGTAGCTGTGAGACTCCTGCCTTAGCATCTTGAAGACAAAGATGTTTTTTCCTGATTTGTCTCAAGAATTTAGTAAAATGATGGCTGAATAATAAAAGTATAAAACTCATGGCATAATTAAGTTTACAATAAGTAATATTATTAATACCATTGTTATAGTATCTAGATCCACAAAAATCAAGCCTATGACTTTGGCCTCAATGACAAGGGAAGTTGATGATTAGAATTGCATTGCCACAGCGTTTTGCATCCAATTTAGATCTTATATCTCTCATATGCCCATTATAACTAATGATCTCCTAAAGATAATTGAGTAATGCTGCTAGAATAAATCACTTTCCAACTAATCCTACAAGTTGGCATGACTCAAATTAAAGGTATCTAACTTCAGTTAGACACTCACTCAAGCTTACCATGGAACCTCATCTTTTCTAAGCTTCTGGGGCTACTTTTTCCTTTAATAACTATGAATCTCTATATCTGCTCATTTTAAAATAGAATCGAGTACATACTAATTGCTAAACAAATGCTTGTTAGGAGAATTAAAAAATAAACGAATGATTCATGAATGTGGCAATGATAATTATTACCAAAAAGCAAAATTTTTAAAAACAAATATTTTTTGTCGGTTATCAAATTCCAAAAGAATGGGGTTCCTGATTTTTTTCTATAAAGAACATAATCTTTTTTTCAGTAGTGCATGCATGCTGTGAAATGTTTTTGCTTATTAATTTCCTCTTTACATTCAGTTTTTAGACAGCTGAAAATTATGAGTTTACAGAACAAGATGTACCTTTGGTTCTTATTTTATGGCCTAGTACTATGGAATGCACTATTACGAAAACAATTCTAAACTGTGCTTTATTATATTATATTGTGCAATTTATATTCAGAAGATACTATCAGCACCAGGGAACAGACAAATTTAATAAAAGACACAGTGTTCCTGTTGTCCTAATAGTTATTAAAATGAAACTCTTTCCAGAAGACATTTATAGTGTCTTTTCAGCGATATTCTACATGCTTTGACAGATCAATTGGGACCTATAGTTAGGAACAGAGACATCAGGGATGTTAGAAACATACTGTACTAAGCTAAAAGGAGCCTGTATAATCATCCAAACTAACTCCTTCATTTTACAGGGGAGGTCATTAGGCTAAGAGACACAAATTGATGCAATGTAATTTACACTTAAGTATGGCTAGAACTGAGGGCCCTGACATGTAATCAAGGATTCTTTCCACTTTTATTGTCATTAATGTTAGTAATCTTATAGGATATCCAGGCATTGCCAAATATAGCCATATCATCCCTAAAACAGCTCCAAAAGGCTCAGAGGAAAGATCTAGTTTTTACCGCCTTTTAAAGGAGAAACAATAGTCTTGAGAGGACAAATAACTTAGCAACTATCCACTATTACCTTTATTATTTACTTGTTTATGTATTTTTATCTATCTTTTGATAGAATATAAGTTCCATGAGAACAAGAGTGTGCTCATTTGTGGTAATGCTTAATTCTTTATGTTTATAACATGTCTAACACATATAATTTATTCAATAAATATTTGTTAAATAAATATGGACTTAGAGGCTGTAAAAATTTATTAAAACTTAGGACCAAGCTCTAGGATGTAGTCAGAAATTATACACATACAAACACACACACATAAAACATAAGGCAGACTATACTAAATGGCAAAAGCAAATTGTAAGATCCTTGAAACAGTCACCATGATTCTTGCAGCAAGAAGTATACAAAAATTGCTAAGTACCTATGAAACTTAAGTGAAGTTACAACTTAAGAAAAACATAGAGAATACTACATCATAATTTTGTGACATCCTTCAGCTATGCTGAACGTCCTGGTACTGGAGGGTAGGGATTGGTAGAGTTGATATTGGAAAACCGAGTTCATCTGGAGTCTGTAGAGCGAATGGAAGCCATGGTAAATGTTGAAAGTATCTGAAAAAGTAACAAAATGCAGCCTGAGAAAATGATTAAGAGGTGTTTGAGGAAAAAAAAAAAACACCGTTTTCAGAGATGTAGAGTAAAAATGATGGATAAATATTAAATAAGGAACTACTGAGAGTGAGAGATTGGTCTTGATACATGGTCATACCTTTGTGAAGAGATGATAGAAGAAAAGAAAGGGAGGGATAGAAGGAAGGGAGGGAGGGAGGAAGGAAGGAAGGAAAGAAAGAAGGAAGGAAGGAAAGAAGGAAGGAAGGAAAGAAAGAAGGAAGGAAGGAAAGAAGGAAGGAAGGAAAGAAGGAAGGAAGGAAGGAAAGAAAGGAAGGAAGGAAAGAAGGAAGGGAGGGAGGGAGGGAGAGAAAGGGAAGAAGGAGGAAGTAAGAGTAAAGGGGAGAGTGAAAGAGAGAAGAAACAAAGGGAGGAGTGAAAGAAGGAAGAAAACAAAAGAAGGAGGAAGGGAGGGAGAGAGGAAGAAGAGAAAAGAAAGATGAGGCGAGAGAGAGAATAGGGAGGAAATAAACTATTGGGGAGATACCTACTCTACACCCAATGCTGTATACACAATGCTTTTACATGCACTTTTATTATGTTTTTACATACATTTTTATTTTAGTCCTCGCTAAAACTCTCCGTTTTTAGATAACATTAATGCTCAAAGGAGCTAAGCTTCCAAATATAAACAGAGGTGGAGTAGAGACGATATTTATTTAGAGTCAATCAGCTCCAAAGCCATGTACTGCACATAATTTCAATTCATTTTGTTCAATTGCTTTATACAGGTTTACTTTTTTTAAGTGAAAGGAAGTTTATTAAGAAAGTAAAGGCATCACATTTTGTTTTTATTTAGGCTTTAGTGATTACAGAGCATTTTCACATGATAACTTTGTTGTATCTTTATAATAATCTTACGAAGACATGTCCTTATCTCTATTTTACAAGTGAAGAATCTGAAGATCAAACAGGTGATTTACTTTGTCTAAGGGTGCATACTTATCAGTGGCAGAATAAGGATCAAACCCCTGTCTATGGCTCTCAATTCATGATCCTTTCTATCATCATCCATAAGGAAATCCATCACATGATTTAAAGCATATCCACACCCACACAGTGCCATGTATCTTTTGAATTTGGTCTTCATAAATACTCAGGAAGGAAATATATTTTCTCACCTTTCATACGTGACCAAACTGGCACAGATCTCTACTAAGAATACTATTTAAAAGGGGAAAGTAGATAATAAATTTGAAAATCCAAAGACAGAGGTAAAGATAGAAAGAAATGCTTCTCAGGATATAAAGGGCAATGTTTTTCTTATTTAGAAATGTCATGTCATTCCTTATTCCAAAATTAACTAAAATATTACTTTATGCTTCTCTTCACCACTCATAATTATCCTTTAATTATATTCAATAAGTCAGAAAATATTGAGGCGTTTTTATAGAACAGTAATAAACCCAGTCTGTGACTATGAGCTTAGGTCTTTCACTAGCTCATTAGATGACTCTGAGATAATTTCTTGGCTTCCTTCTCCCTCATCAACTTAATGCTACTTGCCAATATGCCCAGGAAATGCATGGAAGAAGTAGGATGATTGTGAGACTCCTCGTTTACAAAATGCTCTTAGAAAATCTGTATAGATGCCAACATTAGCGTGGAATTCTTTCAACAATGTGTTTTTAAAAGTTAGAAGCAGAATTGAATTCATTTTGCCAGTTTAGAAGATACAACTTTTCTAAAAACACAAACAAAATTAACATTTACCTGAATATTCCAAAATATTCACAGCATGTGTCTGGAACTTTAGATTCTTCTCTATTGTAATATTTAGGGTATTGTATTAGGTTCTCCAGAGTAACAGAAGGAAAGAGGAAACTATGTGCATATATATGTGTGTAGATGCATTTTGCATGTGCATATACACATATATATGCATGATATGTGCCCTTAAAGTAAATTACCTGTTTGGTTTTCAGTTTCTTCACTTGTAAAATAGAGATAAGGACAGATCTTCATAAGATTATTATAATATTGATACCAAACATATTTAGTACTTGACAAAGGTCCAAAGAATTGATAATCAGTAACATTTATTTGTTAGAATAACTCTATAATATTAATGTTCCTTTTATTTTTACTATTCATTAATATTTTACTTAAATCACCACTGATTAATTTTTTTCTTTTTCTTTTTTACTTTTTTCAAACCTTGTGGCATCTGGTGATAAATTAATTATGTAGAGATATATAATTGTATATATAATTAATGTATTTAAAACATATTAATAATATGATTATTCCTATTTTATAAATGAGGAAACTGAAAGAGAAGTTAAGAAGTTTGCCCAACATTCTAGCATGGCCAGGACATGGTGCAAGCTGCCATGATAAAGTTGTTAAGTTTGCCACTAAGGCCAATTTATGCAGCCCTAGCACTCTTGGACAGGTGGGAAAGAGCTTTCAGGTGCCTGAAGCATACCTCTTCTGGAAACAAGAGAGCAGTAGTTTAGTGTATCATAAGGTTCCTCCTCCTATTAAGCAGCAAGATTCTTCAATAGTTGCTATTCTTTACTTGTCATCATCAAAGCTAAAATGCTGGCTAGAGGCCATATTTTATGCAGATTGCTTGAGTAAGCCAGTTTCTATGTTCCATCCACAAGTGGGGCATGGGGAATGTAACACAGAGGAAGAGATGAGCAATACCTGTATTCCACCTCAGCAGTCTGACCACAATCTACTCATTACTTCAGGCCTGACAACCCCCAGTTCTGGGAGGCCTTAGACTTAACCATGTCTGTTCCTACCTTGACATTTGGATGGAGGATTAAAATAGTTCTTTATATAATTGTATCTATGATATAGAAGAATAATATTCTATCATTCATTCATTCATCTATTTACTCAACATTCTATGTGCATAGAAGTTGATGAAGAGCTTTCACTCATAGCTAAGAGCATTAATTTGCCCATTCTATGCCCATTCAGTTGATTAATATGCCCATTGATTTATTGTAGGTTGAGTGTTTATCACTTAGTACTCTACATCCATACAGTTGGTTAACAGCACAGGTTTTATTATTAGACAGTTTCTGATTTTGGCTCCACTATTTTCTAATTATCTTATCTTGAACAAATTTCTTTCTGACTGTCTCTAGAACTCATTGTCTCACCATAAAACAAAGAAAGTAATATTTTTTTCTCATAAGATGGTTTAACGATTAAAGGAGATGATACAAATAAAGCCCCTAACACTATCTGGAACCTAGGTAGCACTCAAGAAAGTATACCTATGAACATTAGTTACTACCTACTTTTCAAAAATCATAACAGTAAGAACACTCTTAGATAAATAAAATAAAAGATAAATTGAGACACAGTCTCTGACTGCAAGAAATTTATGGTATAGCGTCACTAGACCCCTAGTGGTTCTCCAGCCTGGAAAAAATTGAGAGGGAGATTAACTGATCAGAGACCTTGAATATTGACCCAGCTTGCAAATATTTAACAACAGAATGTAAGATTACAGATTAATAGAAATAAAATACTTGGACCTCTAAAGAGATAAACATATGTATAGCAACATTCTGAATGTTAATAAAGACTATTTTTGAATTGGTTGGTAATAGTAAAATGGAAATGGTAGAAACACAAAATATATTGTACATTAGATGTCATAACTCACTTGATTATGAAAGAACACATTCTTCACTAAAAATAAGTCATGTGCATTATCTATCCACTGATGTGCAATGTCATTTAAGACATTCCATCATTCTCTGCTTGAGCACTCTTCTGTAATCTCATGAGGTGTCCAGGGAAGAGACAATGATAGCCAAGACATTAAAATGTAATCAAGATATGCAAATTCATATCTAAATATGATTTGCTAGGAAAAAGAAATTAATCTGGGCATGGTCAAATAAACAATGTGTAATATGGATAATTAATCACCAAATTAGCAGCTGCAGTCCCTTGAGGAAATTATGCAAATTGAAAAGACCCCCATCCACTGACACAATTACACCACTTAATGGCAAACTCTCAACAAAATAACCCTTGGGAACATCACAAAACAAATAGCCCAATCAACCTTAGTGTCCCAAACTCCACTGCAATATTTAATATCATCTAATATTGTTTCTTCCTAGTTTGAGCTTATTCAGAAGGGCTCTATTACATTTTGCTAGAAAATATTCTAATTCTACATCATGGATGATCCATTATGTGGTCTGCTCAGAGTCTAGTTTTCCCCTATGAATCAAATATCTTTTTATTGAAATCTGAAATATTGCAAATGATAGGACTTCATGAATCAAGAAAGACCAATTATGTATTTCCTGTCAGTAACACAAAAGCAAGAAAATATTGATGCACCACCAAAGTGTACCCTCTGAGGCTTGATGTCACCCATTTATTATGTCAGCAGCAAAGAAAGGATTCCTACCCTTCACCAATAACTAATATCATCATCTCAGGCAGGAATATTTTGTCTCCAAGAATATTAGAATGCTGTCCTATGCCTGCCCCTAAAATATATATAGTAAGTAATCCTATCTTTAGTTTCCCTACTCCACCTACATTGAAGTTAATGACAAAATTAGTCTTATAGAACTCTTTGAGATTGAGCCCAAAAGAACTTATTGGATTCCATTGCTACACCCACCCCCCCAACCCCCAAATATGTGATACCACCTCCAGTGAGATACCAAACCTTCCTGGATAGAAATAAAAGATCCTTCGCTTCCAGAAAAGGATTTATTAGATATTTTATTATTATAATTTTGCTGATGAAAAGACTAATCCTAGAGAACAAATTTTATTAGTACTGTGGTTGCTGCTGGTTTTATTGTATGCATCATTTTTAGATGCCATTTATATGCCTGGCAATAAGGCTAGTGATGCCGTGTATTTCATGTATTTTCCCAACCAATCTAATATGCCCAAGGTCAAAAACTCAGAATTGACAAACCTGAGCTGAAGATTCTAGGTCTTCGGAGTCTCCAAGTAGCATGCTACATGCCATGCCAATCATTATGTCAAGTGATACGCCCAAGATACTGCAGCCAAGATCTCAACAGCCAAACTGGGAATGAAATGCAGCTGTGTTGTCCACTCATTTTTCCATGTGCAGAAAGCCATAACTGATATGAAAGCAGATTCTGCTTATACTGCCAATATTCAATTCCTCTGGCTATCTAGAGGACAGGATTGGACCTCCATAGGAGTCAATGCATTACCTTACCCTGAGAAGAGGGAATTGTAGCTTTCACATATATTTTGCCCTCATTCCTTTATTGTGTTCCTAAACTTAAGAGTGCAATAAAAGCCAGATGAGGACTGGAATCTATTTCTCTGTAAAATTGTTATTTAGGAAGCCATAAACAAATGTTATAAACATTAGCAATGGCATACCCCTCTACCCTTGTTAATCAAATGTCCAAGTCTGTCTGCATCTAGAACCACAAACTACTAGTGTTTTTAGCAGTGAAAGTGTTTTCTGAAAGTGGTCAGAAGTCGTCTAATCTAGTGATTTGCAAGCAATCCTCTGCAGAACATGAGGGAGTCTAAAATGTACCCCAGGGGCCACTTTGGAGTGATACAGGTGAAAGGAGTGTCTTTTATTACTCAAAACAAGCCCCTCTCAACCTCAGCTGAGTTGATGTTAATAAGGTGATATTTTGAAAAGCCCCTAAAGTTGGGCAGCTGGTTTCCAGGGGAACCAACATGATTAGAGGGTTGGAACTTTCAGCCTCACCACACCCCCAACCTCTGGGGTTGGGAGAGGGGCCGGAGATTGTCCTCAATCACCAGTGACCAATGATTTAATCAATTGTGCCTATGTAACAAGGCCTCTGTTAAAATCTTAAACTATGGTGTTCAGATAGTTTCTGGGCTGGTGAGCAGGAACTCCTCTACATGCTGGGAGGGCGGTACATCCTCAACTCCACAGGAATGGAGGCTCCTGTGCCCAGGACCCTTCCAGACCTCATGGCTTATTATCTCTTCATCTGGTTGTCCATTTCTATCCTTTAACTTATTCTTTTTAACACATTAGCAATAGTAAGTAAACTTTTCCTGGGTTCATTGAGCTGTTCTAGCAGATTATCAAACATGAGGAGAGAACTTCTGATTTGTAGCCACGTCAGAGAGAAGTTGTGGATAACCTAGATACCCACTATATGAGATTGGCATCTGAAGTGGGAGGCTGTCTATTGAGGGCTGGGCCCTTAATCTGTGGGGTCTACACTAACTCTGGGTAGTTAGTCTGAGAATTAAGTTAATTTGTAGCACACCTAGGTTGGTGTCCTCTGAGAGCTAGTGAATTGGTTGGTGAGGAAAAATGCTACATACACATTTGGCTTCAGAAGTGTTCCGTGAGTAAGTACAGAAGAAACAGTTTTCCCTTATAGTCATCCTATGTAAGTCAATTCCCTAAGGTCACACCTGAGTGACCAGTGTTCCAGCACTTTGTCAGTGCCTGTTGCCACCTTGGTGTTAAATCTTCCCTATGAACCAGTGTAATCTGTGACTTTTTTAATACAAATTCCATCTGTGAATCACCACTATGACCTCTTTCCCAAATGTCATCTTTTAGCTCTTTGGAGTCAGTCAGGGTCAGATATTGATTTAACGAAGTCGATCTGATAATGAAGTTCTCTTCCTGATAAAATTCAATACAGAGAGACAGCATTGTCTGCTCTGACCCTGAAGCTTTGTACCAAAGTGACCTACTGACTTAGCACACCCCCAGTTCATAGCCTCTACTACCTTTCTACAATAACCAGGAATCTTCTGCTTGTTTGAGCCACTCTTGTCTTATTACCAGATCACTCTGATCACTACCTCTATTACACATTTATTATCTCACTATAGTCCTTTGAACCCCATGTATATGACTGGTTTTCCAGTGTCGAGTTTCCATTCTTACTCAAAAACTTTGGCTGGAAACATTAGAGTCCCAGTTCTGCTCCGGTCCACCTGCGTAAACTTAGACTAGCATTGTTTGAAATAACACTAGATTAGATAATTTATAATCGTATATCTATTGCTAAAATTTTAAATTTCAAAATTATTTAAAATCTTAATTGTGATTTTATTGTTGATTAAAATTAAAATATCTGCTCCACTTTTTTGGGTGAGGGGATTTCTGTAAATACAACATGAGCTCATACGTTTGAGTGATTTTTGTTAACTGTATATAAAACCAAAGAAATATATTGTGATTTCTGGACCTGGTTTCAGTTACATTATCTCTATGTTATAATGTAAAGTTGCAAGAAACACCAACCTACAGAGAGTTGCATTATTCAGATGTTTCTTTAAAGTTTTCCTGAGCTTCATACCCTTGAATTTTCTGTGCACTAAGATGTGAAATCCCTGAGCTTTGTGACATTTCTGTGATCAAGAAAAAGAAAATAACAAGAAATCCTATCTAAGGAAGGAGGCAGAAACATCAAAGCAGATAAGTAAAGGAGAAACATCCATATCCCAAACATGTCGACCGATGGTTTTTATTGTCACAAAATAGTGATATCAAGCACATTCTTTCAGAGCAAAGTCTAAAGACAGCTACACAAAAATGAAAGCTGAGTGGGAAAACTTAATTGGAGATTTGATTGTGTCCAATCCCTAACTTTTAATCTTATTTTTCATTGAACTCTGCACATACAACATACATATCAACAAATATATACACATACAGATATATAACCCCGGGTTTGCTTAACTACAGAATATGAAGTAAATAAGAACCAGGCAACCACTTCACACTTGCCACTAGACACATTATTTGAGTAAGTTGTGATGGACACTACGTTGTTCTTATATGTTAATCGGGTCAAGGCCATCTGATCTTGATTCTAAGAGTACTTAGCAGAAAAAAGTTATGTAAGAGGATCAGTTTGTTTATTTTAGCCACATAATGGCAAACGTAAGACTAATTTTCTTATTTAATTGATAACAGCTAATCAGTATTTTTGGTATCTGCAAAAAGATGCAGACTAGAAAATAAATGCTGCAGTCAGACTATTGGAGAAGAGAAAGGTAAAGAAATACCTGGCTAGGCGCAGTGGCTCAAGCCTGTAATTCCAGCAATTTGGGAGGCCGAGGTGGGCAGATCACCTAAGGCCAGGAGTTTGAGACCATCCTGGCCAACATGGCGAAACCCCGCCTCTACTAAAAATACAAAAATTAGCTGGGTGTGGTGATGGGTGCCTGTAATCCTAGCTACTCAGGAAGCTGAGGCTAGAGAATCGCTTGAACCTGGGAGGTGGAGTTTGTAGTGAGCCAAGAGTGTGCCACTGCACTCCACACTAGGCAACATAGTGAGATTCTGTATCCAAAAAAAAAAAAAAAAAAAGAAAGAAAAGAAAAAGAAGAAGAAATACCTAGTATCTTAGTACCATTTATTTTGCTATTAAAAAAATACAGTAAGCCCCCCACATCCTTGGAGGATTAGTTCCAGAACCCCCCAAATATACCTAAATCCAAGTATGCACAAGTCCCCTATATAAAATGGCATAGTACAGTCAGCCCTCCATATTTGCAGGATTTAGTCTGTGGTTGGTTGGTTGAATCTGCACATGTGAAACCGCTGGTACAGAGGGGCTGACTATACCACAGACTAAGTAATTTATAAAGAAAAGAGGTTTATTTAGCTCATGTTTCTGAAGGCTGGGAAGTTCAAGATTGGGTGACCACACCTGGCAAGGGTCTCTGTTGGAAAAGAGCCTCTGTTGGCAAGGGTCTGTTGGAAAAGCAGAGGAATCACAAGGTGAAAGGGAACATGAGAAAGCCAGACTTGCTTTTACTGGAATCCACTCTGGAGGTAACTTACCCATTCCCATAAGAATTAACCCACTTGAGAGAAATGCATTAATCTTCTTAATGATTGAATTGCCTCTTTTTAAGGCTGTACCTCCTAACACTCTGAAAATGGCAATCAATTTCAACGTGAATTTTGAGAAAACAAACCATATTCAAACCATAGACATTGGAAACCACTTAACTAATTGGTAGTACAATTCTCCCCTTAGTTTTTCTTCCTTTGGCAATATGATTCCTACTTCTTCCCCTTTCTTTCTTACTTTCTTTTGTGGTTCCCATCTATTCTTTCTCAACTGTGGCTATTCAATATACTTAGTAGTAGTAGTAGTAGTAGTAGTAGTAGTAGTAGTAGTAGTAGTAGTAGTATTGGAATTATTATTACTATTGTTTAATTGTATTTGCTTTGGGGAGAAGATAAAGAAGAAATCTTCAAGGATGCCCAGTGTTTGGCTTAGTCTTGAGTAGACCACAAGGCTCATGGGAGGAAGACTCTTTACAGTTAAAGTCAGCCTAATTCCTACAATTATATTTCTGTCTAATAGATGCTTTGGCTAGGGAGATGAAATAGCAACACCATACTCTGTGGGTAAATGATGAAAAAAACTCCATGTAGTACAATTTTTTTGTATGCTTAATCTGCAAAGGTGCTTTTACTGGAAGATAAAGATTTAGTAAAGGGGTTTCTACACCCCAGAAATGACTACATGATAGCAGAATCTACTGTGAACTTTCAGGTTGCTTAATGAATAGCCTGGCTCACTTTATAGTTAATTAATACATACTCTATTGTGTATTATGTGAAAATGACTTAGAATCCCTAAGGAAATGGTCAGTGTGGATAGACCATGGGAGGAAGGGAGGTCAATAAGAGAGTTGTCATAAGAACAATGTTTTTTGTTTGTTTTTATTAGGCAAATAACAGATGATCAATCCGCAAATAAAAACTCCCTCATATGGTTCAAAAGTAAAAGTGTCTGTTAGTTTTCTAGCTTTGGAGAAATTGATTTTCATAGCTTTATATATCTCCTTTTACATTTTAAAAGCTTAGCTATTGTATTGAGATGTTTAGGAGTCCCCAAGCATTCCACGTGCTTCTGTGTATTTCCCAGAACCATCTACCATACCCTTCAGGAATGAAGGTTCAAATTGCGTCACCAGGTAAAGAACCATGACTAGCTGACGTGCTTGCTGAAGGCAAAGGGAATACAGAATGGATGGTGGTATAAGATAGTTATAAATACCAGCTATGCTCAACTGATCAGTTAAATAAATAAGGACTGTAATTGTTACAAGCATTTATTTCAGTATGTTTAGCTTTATGTCGTAATACTTAAGTTATAGGATATGAGATATCAGAAAGAAAAGTGAACAACACACAAACACTTTACCTCCGCTTCTGGGGAAGGGATTAGTACATTTTCAGTAATATGCAGGATAGTTGTATTATGTTAAGCAGAATTATGGCCTGGTTATTGTCTTTATTTGGAGGTTAAGTATGAGTTACAGAGATGAATATGGGTGCCCAGTTGACAAGAGGTGGACTCATGATGGTTAACTTTTGTCAACTTGACTGGGCCACAGAATGCCCAGATATTTGAACAAACATTATTATGGGTATTTTTGTAAGAGTATTTTTGAATTAGATTAACATTTAAATCCATAGACTGAATAATGTGAGTGGGTCTCACTCAATAAATTGAAGGCATGAATAGAACCAAAATGTTGACCCTCCTTCAAGTAATAGAGCACTCTCTCTGCCTACTTTTGAACTGGGACATTGGCTTTTTTCTGGCCTTTGAACTGAAACTACACCATTGGCTTTTCTGGGTCTCCAGCTTGTTGACTCACCTACAAATTCTGGGACTTGCCCACCTCCATAATTATGTGAGCAAATTTCTAATAATCTCTCTGTCATATATGTGTGTGTGTGTGTGTGCGCGCACGTGTGCATGGGGGTGTGTGTGTGTATCTTATTAGTCTGTTTTTCTGGAGAACCCTGACTAATACAAAGTTTGATTCCAGGAGTGGTGTGTCTCCTCTATCTTTCTCTTCTTCTGTTGCACTAAATGTGGAGGTCATGGCTCCAGGTCATCTAGCTCAAAATGTTAGACACTCAACCTGCATCATACTTTACCTAAGTGAGAAACAAATCTATATATGACATGTCAGTGAAAGAGCTAACAACTAGTATCCTAACACTATGATAATATTTGGGGGTTTCACCTTTGTTCTGACTATGTCCAGAGCCATGAGATTAAAACTATAATAGGCTTTAAAATGTACAACCCCCAATAATGGAACATACCATCTGATGGGTACAAATGAACCCACAATAAAATTAATAAACTAATGTCTCTATTCTTGCTGCTACTTGTGTGTGTGAAACCACTAGGCTGTTGATGATTTCCATATGGTTATCAGGAAATTCCCCCAAAGAATGTTTCAGGTGTGTTTGCAACGCAAACCGTCAGCTATGGTACACCGGTAGTACCTATTGTGTTCTGCTTCTGCTCTGACTCTCCCTTTTGAAACATATGCCCAAAAAGTCACTTGAAGAGCCTGTTTTTTGCTGCTACTTATGGTAACAACATTTGTACCAAGAAGACTGCCTCTCAATGCTATCAACATTGTTTTAAGCATCGGTGGTGAGAATTGCCTTCTTCAAACTCTTTACTAGTTTTTGTCATTTGGACTCTAAAACAAAATGTGTTATTCACAAGTTTCCAGGGTCATTCATCAAAAAAACAAAAAGCTTCTCTAACACTAAATGATCAAAAACAACATAAAATCAGAGGGTTTGAGGGAACCAAAGGTGCACATTTCCCTCCACTCATATCCCTTTCCACTTCAACGAAATACGTTTTTTTTCCTGATTTGCAAAATGAAAGCCCATATACACTTCAATGAATGCACACAAATACTTGTACATGGTACAGGTAATGTAAGAAATAAAATAACTATTAGAATTTTTCTTTTACAATGCTAAAAATTAGCTGTTTTTTTCCATTAAATTTATGTGATTGGCATGATGGTTTTCCTTAATTACTCTACATTTTACCTAATTCTTTTTTACACATGAGTATCATCATAATAAGCTAAACTTTCCTCATGAAATGAGTCACTTTTCCTATCAGTGTTCTATAACATATAAGAAGATGCTTAGCTACCTACACATTTTAATAAATGCAAATTATAAAAACATTAAAAAAAGTGATAGTTAATGCCCCTAAACACCAGTAGGCAGCACAATTCTAATTATGTCCCTCAATAATTATTTCTAATGAGTAATTCCAAACAAAAAGTAAAATCTGCAACAGAAAGCACCAATTCAACATGCAACCTATAATAAATTTATCCATGATACAATTATAATTACTGCATTTTTGCCTAAATATTACTGAAAAGATAACAGCACCCAGAACTCAGGAACACTAAATTACTTGAAAGTGCATCCCTTCAGAAAAATCTTTTAATTGATATGAAATTGCTATATTTTCTCAAAAATTTCTGAATGATGCTATTATGCACTAATGATCTATATAGACATGTTTTTGAAGCATGTATTAAAAAGCACAACAGTTAATCTTATTATTGGTCATGAATGTGAAACTCGTTTTAGAACATTGATGTTTTATTTAATACACGACTCACCGGTTATACACAGCAGTGTACAGCAGGGGATAAGAATGTGGAAATCAATGTTTCCCAAGTGGTGTTCTCTCAAAAAACTTACCAGATGACTATTGCACCATGACCACTTTTTCTTGTTTTCCTCCATCTACTATCCAAAAGCATACAGCACCAGCCCCTGCAGAAAGAGATTAGACATGATACAATATCTAGGAGCTTATTTAACAGGAAAGTACATAGTGACAGAACAACAATGATTTATTTGTAATGGTGGTGCTTAATGAGTCGTGATTTATTCAGATGACCTCCCCTATGTTCCCATGTCCTCATTCCTCCCAGCTCATACCCACAGCCTTCTCTTTTCAGCATAGTTGTGGGGAATGAAGGCTGATGACTGCATTTGGTTTTAACTATGCATTAATGTTGGAATCTGATATTCTAGGAAAATTTGGTTATTCTGATTGGCTATATTCACTTCCAAGATTCTACAGTTCAATCAATGTTTCACTGAAGTAAGTCTTGAGTATTCTTAAAAAATGTAAAAAAAAAAATCTATACATGATTTTGTAGAATTTCTTTCACTTTTAAAAACTGCAATACCTCAGAGTAGGCTTTCAGGGCTTTTCACATAACATTTCTTTTTACTTTTTCTTCTAGTATTTTACCCCCTCTCACTCATCAAGACATAGGATGCCTAGAATGTATTTCTATTTATGATGATCTTAATTTTTATTCTGGACTGTACAGAAAGAAAGAGTGATCTCCACTAGGAAAATTAGTTGCTGTTTTGAGGGAAGCTACTTTCTGATTTCACTTAAAATGGTTGCTACATGATTTTCTCAGAATGTGTTAAAAGTTTTGTGGCAGCAGAGTTTAGTATCTTTAAAATTAGGTGGCAGTATCTTTAAAATTAATATCCACATTATAGATGATCATTTCTCAGAAACAGACAGTGGAAGTAGAAGTTAACAAAATGGGCAAAGAACTCATATGCCAAAAGTGTTAACTACTTTTTACTCAATTAAAGGTTGAGTAACTATATAAAAAGCGCCTCAAAGGAGATATGCATCAAGCTTTCAAACACCACTAGCTCCTGAGCACAACACTGAAAGGCTTATTAACTTAAAAAGTTGAAATCCGGGTATGGAAATAAATTTTGAGAGACTATCAGAAGTTCATACACACACACACACACACACACACACACGTGGTTGAGAGTAATGTAAATGCACTAGTCTTTGCCTACACAATTGTAATTCCTTGAATCTTGAACCATTTTATCTGTTTTCCTATACCTTTTCTTTAGAGCTTACATTAGCCAATATTTATGCTGAATATTTTATTTAGAAGTTTTGTGTTTATAGGAAAGCACACTTGATTATGGAAATATTGTTTTTAAATCTTACTTCCTAATCAATGATTAGTCAGATGGATAGTAGCATTTAAGTCACTATCCCAAATGGTGACAACAAATTAAATTTTAGGCAGAGTTCCAGGAGGTCATGGCTTGTTTTAAAGATAACATATTTTCCAGCTTCATCCATGTCCGTGCAAAGGACATGAACTCATTCTTTTTTATGGCTGCATAGTATTCCACGGTGCATATTTGCCACATTTTCTTTATCCAGTCTATCATTGATGGGAATTTGGGTTGGTTCCAAGTCTTTGCTATTGTGAATAGTGCTGCGATAAACATACTTGTACATGTGTCTTTATAGTAGAATGATTTATAATCCTTTGGGTATACACCCAGTAATGGGATTGCTGGGTCAAATGGTATTTCTAGTTATAGATCCTTGAGGAATTGCCACACTATCTTCCACAATGATTGAACTAATTTACACTCCCATCAATAGTGGAAAAGCATTCCTATTTCTCCACATCCTCTCCAGTATCTGTTGTTTCCTGACTTTTTAACGATCACCATTCTAACTGCTGTGACATGGTATCACATGTGGTTTTGATTTGCATTCCTCTAATGACCAGTGATGATGAGCTGTTTTTCTTATGCTTGTTGGCCATCATTCTCAGCAAACTAACACAGGAACAGAAAACCAAACACCACATGTTCTCATTCATGAGTGGGAGTTGAACAATGAGAATATGTGAGCACAGGGAGGGGAACATCACACACCCAGGCCTGTCAGGAGATGGAAAGGAAGGGAAGGGAAGGGGCAGCATTAGGAGAAATACCTAACGTAGATGATGGATTGATGAGTGCAGCCAACCATGATGGCACATGGATACCTATGTAACAAACCTGCATGTTTTGCACATGTATCCCAGAACTTAAAGTATAATTAAACAAAATAAAATGAAAAAAAAGATAACACATTTTCAGTTATTACAGGAAGTTGTATAGCTATCTGGCAATCATAAATATGTTCCTGCCTTAATATGATTAATACAGAGCAATTATAATTTTACAGTCTGTGCTACTGACAGTTTTGTTATTTGCTAATACAGATGATGCTGTCTATTGAAATGTGATTTGGGGGGCTTATGAAGTCATGCAAGTTCCACTGCAAGCCCAATATGCATTCTGAGAGAAATTTTGTTAGTACAGTAGAGATCTGGAGTTCTTCAGCACACAGTATCTAGAGAGACTGGCCTTAGAAGGACTATATGTCTGCATATTATGTTCTCATATAGGACTTCTTTCAAAACTAGTACTCCATTGCCTCATATTTTTCCTGAGGGATCGGAGAAAGATACTTGTGGTCAATGTCATGTCCTGCTTCCAACCCTACCTCCACTCATCAAATGGCTACCCAGTACTAAACACAGTCATTATATTTCAGGAGAAATAACACAGGAGTCTTTGCCAAAACATATAGTGTTGTGATGTGGGTTCTCTCTGTGCAGAAAACCATGTGTACCCTGTGTTTCTCACAAGCACACCAGCTTTTGAAATGAGATAGGACAAAATATCAGCTGTGAAAAATACATTCCCAACAGTCTTGAGGAAACTCTAGGCTTTCTTTAACTTTTCCCAAACAGTTTTGAGAATTCTATTTGGGTTTATTCTTAGTGTAGCATTCATAACAGTGAATTGAAATTACCCCTTTCAGTGATGTCTCCCATTATACTGTAAGCTCTTGATTTTTTAAAGTCAATCCCTCATGAGAAAGCTCCATCATCTCCATTTCAAAAATACTTCTATATCTGTCTTCCAATTGGTTCCTTCTCATCAATTCCACCACTCCACCCCTGCTTCAAAATGTCATCATTTTTTGTTTGGATTTATAGAATAGCCACCTAAGTGGGCTTTCTGATTCTGTTCTTATCCCTCTACAGTCTACCCTATGGAGCACACGTTCCTAAAACTTTTATATTCAAATCATGCTTCTTAATACATCTTCAAGGTAGCTTGATGATAAAGGTCAAACCCCTTACCCACTTGTTTCTCTAACATGTTTCTTTTTATTTTTCCTTTGGTTTATACACTTCAGGGAAATTGATTTTCATTCTCTTTCTGGAACATTCTACATTTATTCCTCATGAAGGCCGTTGCTCTTGGCTACCCTTCTGCTTGGATTCTCTGCTTCCAGATCTTTGAACGGTTGCCTTGTTGTAGTCACTCAGTTCTCAGTTTCAATATCCCTCCCAGTTTAAATTCCCTCCCAGGAATGACTTTCCTGACTTTTTGGACAAAATTGCCCAACCTTCCCTAGTCACTCTTTCTTATAGCTCCTTGCTTATTTTTTTTTTCATAGCACATTTTAGTCTCCAAAATTATATTTGGTAATATGACTTTGTCCTGTTCGTTACAATAGTCTTAGCTCTGGGACCTGTGCCTGATTAATACTACATGCTGAATAAATATTTTTGACTGTCCGATTGATTGGCAGATAATCTGTCTTATTACCTACTCTATCTCCAGTAGCTAGCACAACAATAGACACATTGTAAGTATGCTAGGCTGCTTTTGCATTGCTATAAACAAATATCTGAGACTGAGTAGTTTATAAAGAAATGTGGTTTATTTTGTCTTATGATTCTACAGACTGTGCAGGAAACATGGTGTCAACAACTGCTTCTGGTGAGGGCCTGAGAAAACTTACATTCATGGGGGAAAGCAAAAAGGGAACAGGCATATAGATGGTAAGAGCAGGAGTAAGAGAGAAGAGGGAGTTCCCAGACTCTTAAACAACTGGATCTCATGGTAACTAACAGAGAGAGCTCACTCATCACCAAGGGGATGACGCTAAGCCATTCCTGAGGCATCCACCCCCATGATCCAATCACCTTCCACTAGAACCCACTTCCAGCCTTAGAATTCATAGTTCAACGTGAGATTTGGAGAGGGCAAACGTGGAAACCATATCAGCAGCAAGATAAGAAATATTCATTGATTGGATTTGTTTTTCCAAATAATTATCTCCTTGAAAATTATGTGGCATTGTTGGTTGAATTGTGTTTCCTAAAAAGATATGTTGAATTCCTAATTCTTGATGCCTGTGAATGTGACCTTATTTGGAAACAGGGTCTTTGCAGATGTACACAAGTTAACATGAGGTCATACTTTATTGCAGTGGTTCTTAATCCAATATGACTAGTGTCCTTATAAGAAAATGAGAAGAGACATAGAGACAAACACACAACGAGAACACTATGTGATAAAGAAGGCAGAGATTGATGTGTCTACAAGTCAAGGAATGCCAAAGACTGCTGGCAACACCAGAATTTAAGAGAGTGATATGGAATACCATTCCATTCTCAGAGCTCTCCAGAAGGAACCAATCTGGCTGACACACTGATTTCAGACTTCTGGTCTCTAGAACTATAAGATAATAAATTTCAATTGTTTTAAGCTACCCAGTTTGTGATGCTTTATTAGGTAGGCCAGGAAACTAATAGATGAGACAAAGAAAGTAAGAGAATGTCAGATTAAACTGTGAGTGCCAACTGCCTTTACCGTCATTCCCCTTATGAGATGCAAGAGAGTGCTTCACTTTTCATTATTTACTATTCATGTGACTTTGGCATACTTTTTAACCTCCC
Source organism: Homo sapiens (assembly GCF_000001405.40). NCBI lineage: Eukaryota > Metazoa > Chordata > Mammalia > Primates > Hominidae > Homo > Homo sapiens. Next base: position 91,737,063 of record NC_000012.12, read on the forward strand.
TAAACCTGTTTCCTCATTTATAAAATGGGATTTATATTGCCCATCCTATAGGGTTATTGTGATATCAAGATAGTAAACTCATGCAATGCACTTAGAACAGATTGCGATAAGTAATGAATATTCAGTAAAAAAAATGACTATTATTCTCATGCAGGGGTGAAGTAACTGTGGCTGAGAGTAAAGATTTGTGCAGTAACCATTAGCTACATAAACTCTATATTTCACACAACCATTTATTCTTCCAGCAAACATGTATGAGTTCCAAGCATTGTATTTGTCTCATTTTGTTCCAGATGGCAGGTTGAGTTCTTTAGCAGAGTTTCTTCAGAATCTTCTCTATTCAAGGATTAATGAATCTGGAGTTAGATTTCAGCTTAATATAAACCTCCAAATAATAAAATAGGAGTTATTTCTGAATAAACTTGGATGGAGAGACTAATGAGGAAGTGACTTAACTGGAGTCTACATGGCCATTTGTCAGGAGATGTAGATGAGATTCATAGTCTGGTAAAGTAGGTACATCACTATCTGTAGTAAATGCTGTAATAGCTCCCCAGGGCCCCTTTTAGTGCTGAAGGACATCATACCCAAGCTGCTAAGAGTGCTTCTGGCTGTCAGTCCATTCTGGGAATTGCTTTGTTTGAAGAGAGGCCACTCACCTAAAGTCATGCCCTCTTCTTGGGGCAGTATGCATCCAAAATTGGTTCATATAGTTACAAAGATTCAATCCCTTCTCCCCTGCTAGGGTCAATAGGGGCTATCCTACTGTAGAGTTCCCCATGGGATCAGCTGAGACCTTTCCTGAGTCTGATTGAGGCCAACTTTTTCCTCTGCCCAATCCTACATCTTTCCCTTCTTCTACAGATGTTGAACCCAAGAGCACTCCTTCACATATCTGCTTCAAAGTCTTCTTCTGAGAGATCCCAACCTAAATATCGTCTGAAACCGATCAACCAACCTTCATACAACTTATTTATCTCACATGAACTTTTAGAGCCAAAATACTTGCCAGAAAGAAATTTGAAACTTTGGTTTAAATATGAATAAGATGAGACCATTTGTCCTAGAAAAAAAGCAAGTATACAGGCAATTGTCTACAATTTATTCACATAAGAATAACACGTGAATGTATCCTCTTTTCATTGTATCACTTAACAGTAGAGCCTAAACAGTAAAATTTGCAAGTTGAAAATTATTGGTTGCTATGTTGATAGACACACTGAAATTGGATGGATAGAAAGAAATTAGAAGATGTCATAACTCTTGTTAATATCACCTTTACATTTCTGTACACATTGGTGTTTATAAAGCCTTTCATATTTTTGCTTTCATTTGGATTTTATTTTAGTGCTGACAGAGGAAGAAAAGGTATTATTTCCTTTTTAGAAATGAGAAAGTCCAATGGAAGAGCTAAGAATCCAGGCTGGTTTTCTAAGAGCCTGTTGCTCTTTGACTCTCTCATACTGCCTAAAGCAACTGAAACTGTAGAGACAACACGTTCATTCAAAAAATAACTAGGGAATAATTAAAAGGTTTTGATGACATGGATAGACATCTGGTAGATGGTACTGACTTTGGATTTATTAGTACTGAAGGAAAGTAAGGGAACTTTTGGAAGGGAATTGAAAAACAAAAAAAGTTACCTAGGAAGTATGTGTTATTGCTGCTGTATCCAAGTATTCAAGCTAGCATCTATTTTCAGGTATTTTTGCTACATATTTTACAAACATTATATAAATTCATCCCCAGAACAACCTTACCAGGTGAGTGCTAATTATCATAGTGGGAGTTAGTGCTATAATTAAGATCAAGTATTATGGAGGGCTTGCTTTAAATCCTGCCTCCATGGCTGTGTGGACCTGGGCAATAGTTGAAATCTCTAAGCATCAGGTATGTCTTCTACAAATGAAAGAATGGGTACATTATTATGCCTATTTTCTAATGTTATTGTGAAGATTAAGAGAGGTAAATCATTAAAAATGATCAGCACATATTACAAACTCAATACATGATCATAGTATCTATTTTACAGATGAAGAAGTATGGGCACAGAAAAAACTGATAACTCTCTTTAGATCCTACAGTTTGCTGGTGACAGTGGATTTTCTAGATCATCAAATCCCCTTAGCCTAACATCTCTTTTGTGACAGAATTTACCATCAGGTAATTTTCCTGACTTCTTTAAAGGAGACACAATTGTAACACATGGGAGATAATCCCAGTGACCATATTGTAAGTGGGACTCAGTTCAATAGGAAGTAGTCGATGGACCCTTGTGCTGTGAATTTCATGTCTAACTCAGCAAAAAGCCTGCATTCTGCAGGGCCTATCTCTCCAATGATGTTCCAGGATGGGCAGCCACTGTCTTAAACTATTGATGTCACAGATATATGCAGAGGCAGGGGAAGGCTGACAGAGGAGGACAGGGTCCTTTGTGGATTGACAGATGGATTCATACTCAGGAAAGAGAGAAATCCAGTTTGCGAATGATGATTTGTTTCAGAGGTATTTCATGGCCAGTATATTCACTTTCTAGTAACCCCAGCTTTTCAGAATGGAAATGTGGTATTCAAATTAAACATTTTTAATCCTCCAAAAGCACTACCATTAAACTGATCTTAATTACCACATTTTTTATTAGGTAGAATGATCTGAAATTCTGAATCCATCATGCAAGACACGAACAGAATTGGACTGCACACTAAAAATGTGCATACTTCAACGTTGTACATTTGCCTAGATCACCTTTAAAACAATTAAATGGTGAATATGTGACTAAATTACCACACCATGTTCTCTGTTTAATTTCAAGGTTGAAGTGTCTTACCATCACAAACGTGGGTAAAACCCTAGAATGCTAGGGGATAGAATGGGAATTAATGGCTCTTTCTGTTGTTTTGATTTGCACAAATTTGATGGCTTTGTGTAATTTGAATAATTGTAAGCTTCCAGCATGCTGATAAGGTTCACCTACATTATTCATTTGCATGAAATGCTGATCAATTACAGCTGCTCTCAAAAAAAAAATAACCATTATTAAGTGTTCTTGCTCCCTACCATCCTACATCAGCAAAGTTTAGGTTGCTATCATCTCTTTCTACTCTGTTTTACTAGGGTATCTCATCAGTGAATGTCTATCAATCTTTTTCTTTCTGTTCTTTTTATCTTGACCTCATATGTGTTCCCACTTTTGGTCTATTCTCATCTCACTCTTCCTATCTGACTACTCTATCTTTAACATTTATTTCAGGAAAGCCTTTAATTAACATGATCATTATTGGGAGGAGGTTGTTGATTACATGGTTGCTGATTTACTAGCAGCAACAAAAATGCATATGTCCAAATTCACCTAGAATAAAACACAGAAAGCATTACTTTTTAAAATGGAAAAATTGATTATCTGTCTCTGTCTTGTCCTATAAGAAAGATCTGATTGTTAATTTTATGTATCAAGTTGGCTGGACAACAGTGCCTAGACATTGCCCAAGCATCATTCTAGATGTTTCTGTGAGGCTGTTCTTGGTTGAGATTAACATTTAAATTGGTAGATTTTGAGTAAAGCAGATTGCACTCCATGATGTAGGTGGACTTTTTCCAAACAGTTGAAGGCCTGAGTGGAATAAAGACTGACTTCCTCTGAGCAGGAGGAAATTCTGCAGCAGACTGCCTTTGAACATGAACTGCAACATCAGCTCTTTCCTGCATCTTTAGCCTGATGACCTTTAGACTTGAACTGCAACATTGGCTCTCTCTGAGTCTCCAGCTTGACAGCCCCTCCATACAGATTTTGGTTGTGCCAGCCTCCATAACCTCCTTGGCCAATAGATCTCTCTATCTCTCAAATATATATATATATATATATATATGTATCTGCAGAGGCAGTGGAAGGCTGAGAAAGGAAAACAGGGTCCTTTGTGTATTCATAGATAGAATATATATATTTTTTATATTGTGTATTGATAGAATATATATATATTTTATATATTATATATGGAGAGAGAGAAAAAATATGCATGTATATATTTTGGGGGGTCTTTTCTGGAGAACACTGATTAATATAAAAAGTAATCAACAGAGAATAACTACATTATTTTACATCTTGAGAAAGAGCAACTGGGGTAGCTTAAAAGTCTAAAATGTATTCCCAAAGAAGGTAATAGACATTTCATATAAAAAGTATGTGGTCAAGTAAGTTTGAGAAATGTGGAATGAAGCAAAGTTGATCATATTTTTGTTTGTTTGTTTTACAGTAGAAGTCCAGAGTCAAAAATGATCAAGATGAGCTGGGAAAACTGGGAGAATTATGGAGAGGGATCCAGTTGGGAGAATACCACATACAAAGGCAGACAGGAGTGATTAAGTATGGGAACCTGCAGTTAGTTTAGTCTCTCCAGAACCTGGACCAAGGGGTTAGATCATGTTCCTCCCTTTGGAACCTGTTCCAGTGGCTTTCATTGTGCTTGGGTATATCTCATCCTTCTTGCTGTGGATGATAGGATCTTTCCCTTGTCTTCTTCTCTGACCTCTCTTCCTATTTACTTTTCTCCTTTTTGGATTGTGTTTTTCTCCTCCATCCCCCAACTGGACCCTCAAGTCCACTCCTATCTCAGAGTCTTAGTACACCTCCATCTTGCACACTCCATCTCCATCTTGCACACTCTTTCTCCAGATCTTCTTGTTGGTTCCTTCTCATTACACAAGTCTTCCCCTCTCAAAGAAATCTTCCCCATCTATCCCAATAGAGAGTACAACCCTCTTGTCTCTCTCTCTAATACTTTACCCTGTTTTGTTTTCTCCATACAAGAAATCAGGAATCAGTATCTGAAGATTGTATTTATGTGTTCATTTTACTGCTTCTCATCTAAGCCCTTAAAAGCCACCTAAAATAAACTTGGTAGTTTTAAATCATTTATCAATTTATTAATCAACCAAACATTTTACTGACACCATATGAATAAGGGGCAATGTGACTGAAGGCAATTTATAAGATGCCTATGTGAAGTAAATGAAGAGAGCTTGTTAGGATGACTAAAGGTGCAGAAATCCAAACAGTGCGGCTAAAATTCAGCTAGAAATATGACCTGGGAGAGAAGTTCAGCAACAAAAATGAAAGAAGGCAAATGGAGGTGCTGGAGAGGGTGACCCAGGCCGCACCACTAGGAAAGCTGTGCTGAATAGGCTAAGCCAATAAATATGATGGTTTTAGATCATGCAGACAGGTCCTAGACAATGGGGAGCTGGAAAGTGATGGAAAGAAGCATCAAGCAAAAGATAAAATGTGTAAAAGTATGATATCTAAAGTGCAGTACATGTAGTACCACTGGCAAGATAATTGTAAATAGTATGCAGACATACGTTTTAAGAAATTTTAGTTGAATATTTGCCAATGTGTGCTACAAAAACTCAACATATCAAAGTTATAATTTTGTGATATGTGTTAGAATCATGCTACATTTAAAAACACATACATTTAACACAAAAAGGTTGGATATATATTTTTACAGCTAATATGCACCAGAGATGTATGAAAAAAAATCCATGAAGGGGGCAAATAAAAGATAAGCTTAGAATACCGGATTAAAGAACATGAAACATATTTTGCCTTCCACACCATTTTCCTGAAAGATGTCCTTATCTCAACATATAACCAAATCAAGGCCTGGATCCCAAACCACGTTGCCTACTTCCTGTAACCTGCCATCCAAATTCTAGCACATTTCTATTCCAACTGACTCAACTTACTAGATATTTAGCTTACAGGAAGATACTTACCTCCTCTGATTCACAGCCCCCTTATTGGTAAGCACAGAATATGTTCCTGGTGAATTCAACTTCAATCCACCTACTCCCAGCTTGTCTCTGGTTTGTCACTGCCATTCCATTCATTCTACTCTCCACGGCCTCTACTCAGGTCATTCTTAAGTTCCAACATCTGTCAGAATCACCTAGGAGCTTGGAAAAATGCAGCTTCCTGGACCTCACACCCGGAAATTTTGATTCCTGTAGTCAGTGGTGGGGCCTGATAATCCACATTATGTTTCTTAAGCACAGGTCCCATGTTAGGAAGTACTCCTCAGCTGGCAGTATCAGTATGAGAGTTATTTTAAAAGGTATATAATTGTCAAGTTATTATCGTTGTTAAGTCACCTCTGAATCAGTGGTCCCTCCCTATCTCTCTATTCCTACCTAGTTCATCTCCCACTTTCTTTTTGCTTTTCATGGTGGTTTAGTCCAGCCACATATCCTAGTATTTCCAGCTCAGCTATTGAACCTTTAATCCTTTGGCTGTTTTTGTCATTCCCTCTAACTCAGAAGACTCGTGAGAAAAGGAAAAGTCGTTACCATTGTAAAAGACACACAATGAGCTACCCAGTCCTCTTCTGACCCTGGATTGAGCAATAACAGACACCCCTCAACCCAGGAGCTCCAGTCTATGGACTTTGTTCCCAGAGTCTGAATCAAACCCAGTTACCTCCAGATAATTATTCAGCTGCCCCTTGCAGCTGCTCTCATGGCTCATGTGCGGATAATCAGCGATGCACTGTTCAAAAAGCTAATAAGGTTAATATCTACTTTGGTTGGGGGGAGGAATAAAATGAGAGCGAAGCAGAGGAGAGCCATAATTAAGGGACTGGGGGAGTTCCTTTTTTCTTTCCCCATGACATAATCTAAAACTGATTAGGGAATCCTTGACAAGTGCAGGCTGAGCTGCTGGATTTTGAATGTTTGTTATAACGCAGCACATACAGGGCAGAGATAGCCTCTCTTCCACCTCCCCTTTGTTGGAGCATGTTCTCCCCTCCCAGAAGATCTGAGCACAAGCTCTTTATATGCACATGTATCATGCCGAGGGCTGCATAGTCACAAAACAGCCCAGGAAAACAACATCCTGCGCACAATATGTTCATTGTTTTGATTGAGACATTGCTGTTTGAAATGCATTTATTTCTGCCTCTCGTAAATACTCCTCCGCAGTAGGAAAAAATAATACTAACAAATGCATTGTAAATAGGCCCAGACATCTTACACTTAAATTACAGTCACGTCATCCCAGTTTTATCCCATCTTTCAATTATAGTCATTAATTGAGGATGTAACCCAGAAACAATTACATCCATGAAATTCTAATGAGTCTCCTGTAGTTAATATAGAAAGAAAACAATGAGAAATGCATGCTGATGCTGGAGTCTAATCCAATTCTGTCGATTAAAATAAAGAACAGCATTTTTGTAACATGTAAATCTGACTCTCTTTCTCTACCCAGTTTTCATTTCTCAGAGAATGACAGACTCTGCATAGATTTGCTTATCTAACTAGTTTATCAAACTTCCCCTTCTCAATTTTGTCCAGAACATGTCTTGAAAATTCCCAAGTGGAGAATATGTTTTGCTCAGGGAGACATCTTTTAAATAATCTTACACTTTCATATGAAAAGTCCATTCTACTTAAGTGGGAATATACTTCATATTTTACTACAACAGAAACAATTATTTTAATTACGATTCTGGAAGAGCACAGTGGCAGCTAAATTCTGAATCTTTCTGCTTCCCCTGGAAATAGACCAGTGAGATAATTAAAAGGAAAATAACAAAAATATCACAAACTCCCTTTTTAGTTAAAATAGAAAACAAAGAAAACCCACAAATTTTAAATTATGTATACATGCTGCCAAAAGCAACTAAGACCAGCAGAGCCAGACAGGAAGTCCCTAATGCAACCATGATACAGTGGCAGAAAGACGGGGGAGTGTTGACACTGCAGATGCAGGTCCCAGACACCAAGCAAAATATCCACTCTCATATATGTGAAGGCTCCACACTGAGGGCAAACTGCTGTGAACCGTGTGGAGAGATAAATAGGAATAAGCACTAGGGGTAGAAGGAAGACTTAAAAATTACCCAGAAAAGCTCAGAGATGATATTTTGCAAGCATCAGTAAAAATCCACTTTCTAAATAAAAGTGAATGGTTCGCATTCGCTCTGTCCCTTGGTAGAAGCAGCAAACAGAGTCAGCAGGAGACACAAGTCTGGAAGATGGAGCCCTCCAGAACCAAGTTAGGTTCTGAAAAGCAAAGGAAATGTGCCGACATGGAAATACCACAACCATAAGGAAACACTTTGAACCCAGGGCTGATTTTCAACAGAGACTCGCTCCTGTATATTTTAATGTTTTCTTTACAATATAATGGCTGGCTGGCTGTTGTAAATTGGTCAGTTTCCCACCATACCACTGCCCATACCATTCCAGCTTGAGCTGTGAGGCAGAGAGGTCATCCTTACCCACCCTCCTCTGCCTTATACTCACATCCAGGGATATTCTGCTCTCATCTAAATATGAGGACAAACAAAGAAAAAGGTAAATTAAAAAAATGCAAAAATAGGATAAAACGTGAAAAATGTTGGAAAATTATAGATAAATTTTCCAACAGGAAAGGAATACACACTAAAATTATCTTACACAGCAGCTAAAATTGTAATCTAATGTTCCAATATTTTTTAAAAAATAAGAGTGAATTATTTCCAGCTATGAAGAAAAATCACAAGGCAAAAACACAAGAGTTCAAGATAACATAGTCACACAGTAAGAGGTGATGGCCAGAAAACTGAAAAAGGTAGAAAAGGAATTGGCAAAACTCATGAGAAGAAAATTACTAAATTATTCAACAATGAAAAAGAAATTCCAAGGCTTACGAGGAGAGGGATGAATGATGGCATGAAAACCATAGTAATGGCTTTGATGAAGTAAGAAAGAAGAAAAAGAAACATATAAGGGGATAGAGATAAAAATAAAATAATAGATTTAGAAAATAGGTAAAGGAAAGGTAATTGAAGGTCCTAAAAAGGTAAAACAATGGGAGAGGATAAATGTTTCAAAATATCATTTAAAAATGGAACCAAATGAAGATGTGAATCGATATGTAGATATGAATCTATACATTGACTCTACATATTTACTACCAAGTAAAATCAGCCACAGTCAACATCTGATGAGATTATTAGTCTCCAAAGATGAATAAATAATTCACTAAGTGAATTGGCAAGAACATTAGTACTCTTTGAAAAAGAGTTTAGTATCAGACTTTTTCTACCTTTTAACACCAGAAGAAAGTGGAGCCAACACCAATATGATGTTTAAGGAAAGAAAGTGTAAGCCATAAAACAGAATCAGGGTTGGTGACCTTAATATCAGAGCAGATGAAATATAAGACCAAAAATTATTTTTAAAAACATATTTGATAAGCAGAGATTGTTATTCAAAATGAAAATATTATAATGATTCTCCAGAGATCAAATACCATATCTAAAAAGCTATAAGATGTATGTCTTCTTTTCAGTTGCACTATTTTAATTAATGTAAAAGCACAGGCATTTATGCTACAGTCAGGAAAAAAGTGAGGATGTCTACGGTCACCATTACATTTAACATTATACTGAGGCTCACAGCCCACACAATTATGAAAGAGTAGAACAGTCAACAAAGTTGGAGTGGAAAATGTAAAACTCTTTGTTGATTATCTCGTAATAGAACTATACCCAAAAGAATAAAATACAAAAAAAGGGAAGTGGCAGAACTCAATAAGGTTATATGTATTTGCATCAGCAGATGTAATATACAGGAATCAGTAGTGTTCATTAAATCATAAACAGTTAGGATATAAAATGAAAGAAAGGACCCAATTCGTAAAAAGCAACAACAAAAAAAAAATCCAAGAAAAATATTGTGACACATTAAATTTTCTAAAAATGACTGCAGCAATATCTTTTACTCACATAATCTCAGTGACATACATCCCTCCTGTCAAGAAGTGATATCTATGTTCCTCCTCTTGTTGCTGGGTGACGCTGGGTATGGTAGAAGTGATGCTATCTGATTCTGAAGCTAGGTTACAAAAGGTGATACAGCTTTCACCTGGTTCTTTTGGACTACTTGCCTTTGGAGCCCTGAGCACCAGGTAAGATGTCCAAGGCCGTCATGCTGTGAGGCAACCCAGGCTACATGGAGAGGCCATACATAAGTTTCCATGGGACAGCCCCAGCTGAGAGTCCTGACAACAGGCAGTATCAACAGCTAAACATGTGAATGAAGATGACTTCAGATGATTTCTTTCCCCAGCCATGGAGACACTCCTGCCTTTGATTCATCTGCAGTCTTCAAGTCTTTTCAGCTGACATCATCTAGAAGAGACAGTCATCAGTGTTCCCTTTCTACATTGTTGACCCACAGAATGCAAGAGCATAATAAAATACATATTTCATATCTCTAAGTTCAGGTAGTGTGTTCTGCAGCATTAATAAGTGTTACAAATGCCTAATAAATAGTATTCAAATCCTTTATGAAAAAAATTTTAAAATAATTCTTAAAGACACAAAATTATACTTGCCCAATGTAGTACACTATTTTTTTTTTCTGAAGGGGTTGTTATTTGTATTGCTTTGGAACTAAGGAAGCTGATTCTAAAATTCATGTGGAAAAATAAAAAGTAAAAAATATTTTCAAAAATATGAAAAATTAATAGAAAAATTATTAGTACTAGCCCAAATAGGTACTGAATTACATTAAAAGATTTTATGGCCGGGTGTAATGGCTCACACCTATAATCCCAGCACTTTGGGAGGCCAAGGTGGGTGGATCAGCTGAGGTCAGGAGTTCAAGACCAACCTGGCCAACATGGTGAAACCATGTCTCCACTATACAAAAAAAATTTGCCAGGCATGGTGGCAGGTGCCTGTAATCCCAGCTACTAGGGAGGTTGAGGTGGGAGAATCACTAGAACCCTGGAGGCTGAGGTTGCAGTGAGCAGAGATCACGCCATTGCACTCCAGCCTGGGTGACAGAGCGAGACTCTGTCTCAAAAAAAGAAAAAAAAAAAAAGCTTTTATATTCAAACAGTAGAACAGAATATAATGTTCAGAAATAGATCCAAATATGGAAATTTAGCATGTGATAAAAGTAGCATTTTTAAGTAGAAGAATAAAAGTAGACTTTTAAATACATGGTACTGTGACAATTGAGAAGCCATCTGGAAGAAAAGACAAAATTGGATCTACACCTTTAATCAAACACCAGAATAATGTCTAAACATATAAAAATGAAATATCAGAAGTAAAATCAGAAATACTAGAATAAAATATAGACTCCTTTATATACTTCTTTATAATAAGGAAGAAAAATTTATTTAACTGTAATTTAAAAATCAGAAATCTTAACAGAAAATATAATAAATTTAAATATGTAAGGATATGAAAACCTGCATCACAAAAATACCAATGCAAAGACAAAAATAAATAACAAAATGGAAAAAAATTTGCAACTTTTAACATAAGGTTAATATCTTTAATATACAAAGAGTTCCTAAAAAGAGAGGAAAGATCAATAATCTAAAAGAAAAATATGTAAAAGGTACGAAGCAAAAATTAATTTAAAAATAACTACAATGGTTTCTAAACATACAAAAGGATATTCAACCATTATTATAATTAGAAATGTGCAAACTGAAATTATACAGAGATCTTATTTCTTACCTACCATATTGTAAACAATACAAAAGTCTGGCTGCATTTTTGTTGATGAGTTTGTGAAAAAGCAGGCAGTCTCATATATTGCAGGTGTGAATGTAAAATGAACGATATAATCCACATGGATTGACATTGGCAATATCTATGGAAATCATAATTGCTTTTACACTGTGAATTTATCTTGTATATATTCTTCCGTGCATATGAAATTATTGAGATGGCAAAAGATGATGGAAAGAAAAGAACAAATATGTATTCCATTATATGCTCACAATGGAATACTATGTAGCCATAAAAAGATGGAATATCTCCATTAATTGTTATGGAAATGTTTCCAGCATACATTTAAGTTAAAAAAAGAAAGAGGCAGAAGACTAAATGTTTTATGCTTTCTTTTGTGTAAAAGAGATAAAATATATATAATATATGTATGCTTATTTCTATTTGCTTAAAAAAATGGAAAACAGAAATGAAAAAATCTACTACCTTTGGAGGACAGGAAGAATTGAGTGAATGGAAGCAGGAGTAAATGTGATACTTCTTAATGTACACGTTTTAAAAATATTATTTTGAGTTTTGAGCCATGAGAATGTATTATCTAGTAAAAGATTATACTTATTGTTTAAACACCAGCCAGTAACCAGAATTAATTCAGAACTGTATTTCACTAACATATCAACCAGAACGGCTCAGAAGCTCAAAAGTACAGTTTCTTATAAAAAATTATGAAAATTTGAAGGGAAGAGAGAACAGTATCATAATATCCTATTTTAATCATTATCAATATTTTTGCCCATCATTCTTAGTTTAAGCAACTCTTTTTTGTTTATTTTCTTATTTTGGTTGAAATAGTTTAACTTAAATGCCCCAATCGTACCTTTCCATCTATAAATATATTGGTACAGGAAAAGATAGTCTTTATATAACCACAATGTGATTATCAACCTTAAAAGTTAACCATTCCTTAATGTCATCTTATATTCAGTCCACATTTAAACTTCTCTGATTGCATCCACAACAGTCTTTTATAATTAATTTGTTTGAATCAAGATGCACTTCACGCCCTCTTATTGCATTACATTTGTCAGCTGTCTCTTCAGTCTCTCTCTCTCTCCCTCCCTCTCTCTCTCTCTCTCCAACACCTCACCATCATATTCCATGCCATTTATTCGTTAAAGGAATGGGTCATTATCATATAGTGTCTCATATTCTTTTTTTATTATTATACTTTAAGTTTTAGGGTACATGTGCACAATGTGCAGGTTTGTTACATATATATACATGTGTCATGTTGGTGTGCTGCACCCATTAACTTGTCATTTAACATTAGGTATATCTCCTAATGCTATCCCTTCCCCCTCCCCCCCTCCACAACAGGCCCCAGTGTGTGATGTTCCCCTTCCTCTGTCCATGTGTTCTCATTGTTCAATTCCCACCTATGAGTGAGAACATGCGGTGTTTGGTTTTTTGTCCTTGTGATAGTTTGCTGAGAATGATGGTTTCCAGCTTCATCCATGTCCCTACAAAGGACATGAACTCATCATTTTTTATGGCTGCATAGTATTCCATGGTGTATATGTGCCACATTTTCTTAATCCAGTCATCATTGTTGGACATTTGGGTTGGTTCCAAGTCTTTGCTATTGTGAATAGTGCTGCAATAAACATACTTGTGCATGTGTCTTTATAGCAGCATGGTTTATAATCCTTTGTGTATATACCCAGTAATGGGGTGGCTGGGTCAAATGGTATTTCTAGTTCTAGATCCCTGAGGAATCACCACACTGACTTCCACAATTGGTTGAACTAGTTTACAGTCCCACCAACAGTGTAAAAGTGTTCCTATTTCTCCATATCCTCTCCAGCACCTGTTGTTTCCTGACTTTTTAATGATCGCCATTCTAACTGGTATGAGATGGTATCTCATTGTGGTTTTGATTTGCATTTCTCTGATGGCCAGTGATGATGAGCATTTTTTCATGTGTCTTTTGGCTGCATAAATGTCTTCTTTTGAGAAGTGTCTGTTCATATCCTTCGCCCACTTTTTGATGGGGTTGTTTGTTTTTTTCTTGTAAATTTGTTTGGGTTCATTGTAGATTCTGGTTATTAGCCCTTTGTCAGATGAGTAGATTGCGAAAATTTTCTCCCATTCTGTAGGTTGCCTGTTCACTCTGATGGTAGTTTTTGTTGCTGTGCAGAAGCTCTTTAGTTTAATTAGATCCCATTTGTCAATTTTGGCTTTTGTTGCCATTGCTTTTGGTGTTTAAGTCATGAAGTCCTTGCCCAAGCCTATGTCCTGAATGGTATTGCCTAGGTTTTCTTCTAGGGTTTTTATGGTTTTAGGTCTAAAATTTAAATCTTTAATCCATCTTGAATTGATTTTTGTATAAGGTGTAAGGAAGGGATCCAGTTTCAGCTTTCTACATATGGCTAGCCAGTTTTCCCAGCACCATTTATTAAATAGGGAATCCTTTCCCCATTGCTTGTTTTTCTCAGATTTGTCAAAGATCAGATTGTTGTAGATATGTGGCATTGTTTCTGAGGGCTCTGTTCTGTTCCGTTGGTCTATATCTCTGTTTTGGTACGAGTACCATGCTGTTTTGGTTACTGTAGCCTTGTAGTATAGTTTGAAGTCAGGTAGCGTGATGACTCCAGCTTTGTTCTTTTGGATTAGGATTGACTTAGCAATGTGGGCTCTTTTTTGGTTCCATATGAACTTTAAAGTAGTTTTTTCCAATTCTGCGAAGAAAGTCTTTGGTAGCTTGATGGGGATGGCATTGAATCTATAAATTACCTTGGGCAGTATGGCCATCTTTCTTTATTCAGCTGATTGTTTTCACATGGCATGTTAGTACTTATTTTTCATCCTCTATATTTCCTATAAAATGCTAGAGACTTGATTTGATTCCTAAGGGGATTTTTTGGATTATTATTATATAATAATACATATCTGCCATTTTATCTGTCTTATCCAGAGGTAAATAATATTTGGCTGTTCCAATCTGATGAATGTTAAAATTGGTCAGAATTTCCAGTTTTGTCATCCCCATCCATCCATAATGATGTTTCCCATCAATAGGCTTTAGCAGACATTGATGATCATTGTCTATTCAAGGATTTTTACCTTCCCCACTTAATAAAAATACAAACAGTTAAAAAAATGCATTTTATTGAAGCATGATTGTCATACTAAAATCTTTACTTGTTTAATGTATACAGCTTGATAAGTTTGGAGGTAAATGTGCATCCATGGGACCTACATGACAACCTATGTCATAAACATATTCATTAACTCTAAAAGTTTCCTCCCCCTCTTTATTAATTATTATGATTATATGTTAAGCACTATTATCATGAGATATACCCTCTTAGCAAATTTTTAAGTAGTATACAAATACAGTACTGCTAAGTGTAGGCACCTATGCTGTGCAATAGATTTCTAGGACTCATGCATTGCACTACTGAGATGTCTTATATTACTAAAGTTTCATAGCCTTTGAAAAATTCTTCTCTATTTTATTCTCTCCCTATCTTTTGGCAACCAGCATTCTACTGTCAGCTTCTATGAGTTTGACTATATTAATCATATAAGTGATACCATGTAGTTGTATTTGTCCTGTGTCTGGCTTATTTTCCGTAGCATAATGTTCTCAAAGTTCATTCATGTTGTTGCAGATGGCAGGATTTCCTTCCTTTTTAAGGCTAAATAATATTCAATTTTATGTATATATCACATTTTTCTTTATCTGTTCATCAATCAGAGTACATTTAGGTTGCTTCTATGTCTTGGTTACTGTGAATAATGTGGCATTTGGGATGGAGGTACAGTTATCTCTGAGATCCTGAATTCAATTCCTTTGGATATATACCTAGAAGTAAGATTCTGCATCATGGTAGTTCTCTTTTTAATTTTTTGAGGAATTTTCAAACAATTTAACATAGTGGCTCTATCAATTTATATTCTCAACCAATCGTGTAAAAGTTTTTTCTAGCTTTTTCTTTCTTCTTCTTCTTTTTTTTTTTTTAATTTAAAAATAGGATCTTACTCTGTCTCCCAGGCTGGAGTGCAGGGTCACAATTTTAGGTCACCCCAGCCTCAAACTCCAGGGCTCAAGCCTTCCTCCCACCTCAGTCTCCTGAGTAGCTGGGACTACAGATGCGTGCATCACCACCCCAGCTAATTTGTGTATTCTCTGTAAAGATGGGGTCTCTCTGTTGCCAAGGCTGGTTTCAAACTCCTTGCATCTCTCTGAGGCAGGTGATCCTCCTGCCTCAGCCTCCCAAAGTGCCAAGATTATAGACATGAGCCACTGCACCCATCCCAATTCCTCTTTCGTTCACATCCTGGCCAGCATTTGTTATCTTTATCATTTATGTGTGTGTGTGTGTGTGTGTGCATGTGTGTGTGTGTGTGTGTGTGTGTGTGCTTTAATAATAGCCATCCTAACAGGCATGAGGTGATATCTCATTGTGGTTTTGATTTACATTTCCCTGATTAGTGATATTGAGCTCCTTTTCATATTCCTATTGGCCATTTATATGTCTTCTTTGGAAAAATGTGAATTCAGTTCCTTTTCCCATTTTTTAATTAGTTTATTAATTTTTTGCTATTGACTTGTTTAATGCTGAGCTCTGTTTCATATTCCTATTGACCATTTATATGTCTTCTTTGGAAAAATGTTGATTCAGTTCCTTTGTCCATTTTTAATAAGTTTAGTCATTTTTTTGCTGTTGAATTGTTAAAGTTTCTTGTGTATTTTGGATATTGACCCTTAGCCAGATATATGTTTTGCAAATATTTTCTCCCATCCCATAGGTTTCATTTTCATTTTCTTGGCTGTTTCATTTGCTGTGCAGGAGCTTTTTAGTCTGATGTAATCTTATTTGTCTACTTTTGTTTCTGTTGCCTGTGCTTTTGATGTTATATCCAAGAAATCATTGCCAAAGCCATTATGAAGAAGCTTTATTCCTATGTTTTCTTCTAAGAGTTTTATGGTTTCAGATTTTACATTTAAAGTTTGAATTGATTTTTGTGTATGGCATAAAATAAGAGTTCAATTTCATTATGTTGTCTGTGAGTATCCAGTTGTCTCAATACCATTTATGGAAGAGACTATTCTTTCCTCATTGCATGTTCTTGGTAACTTTGTTAAAAATCAATTGACTGTATATACATAAGTTTCAATTAGTTTCATACAACATAAGTTTCAGGCAACCTCAATCAATTGACTGTAATATACATAAAAATCAATTGACTGTATATACATGAGTTTATTCTGAGCTCGCTATACCGTACTGTTTTGTTTACTGTAGCTTTGCAATATATTTTGAAATCAGGAAGTGTGATGCCTTCGCTTTGTTCTTGCTCAAAATTGCTTTGGCTATTTGGGTTCTTTTGGGGTTTCATATGAATTTTATGATTGCTTTTTCTATTTCTGTAAAAAATACCATTGAGACTTTGATAGAGATTCCATTGAAGCTGGAGATCACTTTTGGTAATATGGGCATTTTTAACAATATTAATTCTTCAATTACATATTTTCTTCTGCATGTATAAACTAAAATTCTGCTAAAAAGAACTTTCCATCCTTAAATAGCTCTGAGGAAATAAAATTGATAGTGAAAAGTTAAAATAAATGCTTTTTATCTTTATCAACTTTTACAGTAAAGAGTTATAGCCAAGCAACCACCACAGTAAGGACTTGTTGAGGATCATTATGGACTCGCGAATGTCTATGTATTTAATATGTCTTGATTGATCAAGACAATATTTTTCAATGTCAAATGGTCTTATTTTTGGCTAATGGGAGTCCTTTAAAGTTAGCCTCTGTGCTTTTGACATGACCTCATTAGTGTTTGAGAGCTTCCTTTTTCTCTGGAATAAGATGACCACGATTCACTTTATACATTTATACAGTTCAGGCCCCACACTTAGCCTAAATCAGCCTTTAGTAAATAAACATTTTTACATGCTTTTAAAGAAAATACTATCTTCATGTGCCACATAATGTTTTTGTTGATAATTAACCACACATACAATGATGGTCTCATAAGATTATAATGGAGCTCAAAAATTTCTATGACCTAGTGACATAGTAGTCATCGTACCATCATAGTGCAATGTATTATTCATGTGTTTGTGGTAAGGATGACATAAAAAACCAATTGTGCTGCCAGTTATACAAAAGTACAGCACACACAATTATGTACAGTGCATAATGCTTGATATGATAGTATACAACTATATTACTGTTTGTGTATTTACTATCCTATACATTTTATTATTTTAGAGTATACTCCTACTTATTAAAAAAATTATTTTTAAACAACCTCAGGCGAGTCCTTCAAGAGGTATTCCAGAAGAAGGCAGTGTTATCATACAAAAGGACAACTCTATGTGTGTTATTGCCCCTGAAGACCTTCCAGTGGGACAAGATGTGGAGGTAGAAGGCAGGGACATTAATTATCCTGACCCTGTGTAGGCCTGGGCCAATGCATATGTTTGTGTTTTAGCTTTTAACAAAAGAGTTTAAAAATGAAAAAATTAAAAACAGAGAAATGCTTATACAATAGGGATATAAATAAAATATTTTTGTACAGCTATATAATTTGTGTTTTAAACGGTGCTATGACAAAAGAGTCAACAAATTTAAAAAATTAAAAAGCTTATAAAGTGAAAAGGGTACAGTAAGGTAAGATTAACTTATTAATGAATAAAACATTGAAATCAATTTAGTGTAGCATATATGTACCGTGTTTATAACGTCTACAGTGGTATACCATGTTGTCCTAGGCCATCACATTCATTCACCACTCACTCACTCACTGACCCAGAGCAATTTCCAGTCCTGCAAGCTTCATTCATGGTAAGTGCCCCTATACAGATGTGTCATTTTTTATCTTTTATACCATATTTTTACTGTACCTTTTCTGTGTTTAGATAGGTTTTGGATACACCAGTGGTTTCCATTGTGTTATAATTACCTGCTATATTTAGTACAATAGCATTCTGTACAATTTTGTAGCCTAGGAGCAATAGGCTACACTATACAGCTTAGACGTACAGTAGGCTATGCCATTTAGGTTTGTGTAAGTACACTCTGATGTTCACACATGATGAAATCACTTAAAGATGCATTTCTCAGCACTCTCCAACATTAAGAGACATGTGACTGTATTTAGAGTGCTCATAGTAGGTATCATTGCTTTCTGGTTCTTCCAGTGGACACAGTGAATATATATATGACATATATATAATGAAATATATATGCCATATATATAATGAAATATATATGCCATATATATATATATGCACACAAGTTTGCATTTCAAATGATAGATTTTAAATTTTTTTATTTTATAATGTTTTATACACTGAAAATACTGATTCCTGTAAAATTAATCACGTGTTCAAATTAATAACAGAATTGCTAAAATTTGAATTCTGCCAAATATTTTAAAATAGATTATTGTCTTTAGAATACATCTTGTTAGGATTATACAGTACAAATAGTGTATTTTAAATCACATGAAATAATCAGTGTTTTTCTGTGTGGTTATTCTACACACAATATAAAATTTAGATCCATTTGCTTAATTTTCATTCCATTTTAGTGATTATTTTGATTTTGATTTGACTTAATTTTGTAAAATATCAAAAGATTTCAAAATAAAAGCATAACATAAGGTATACCCAGTAAAACCTTTCTTCTATTCTGGTTTCTCCATTATTTCTTCTCTCTCATCCTTTATCATATACACTAAATGATGTTTTGCATTTTCAGTTTTGTAGGGTTTTTTCACTTTCCAATTACCTTGGAGTCACCCAATATCAATATATAGAGATCTTCCTCATTATGTTTTACAGAGGATTGGTACTATATTATGAGGACATATTATAATTTATTGAACCAGTTCACTATGGATAGACATTTAGGTTGTTTCCAGGCTTTTGCTATTTTAAATAATGTCACAACCAGTATCTTTGTACATAGATCATTTTACATTTTTGCAAGGGTATCTTCAGTTAGATTCCTGAGAGGAATTACTAGGTAAAAGAACAAAGAGATTTATTTTCCGGATATTTCTAATTCCTTAGAAAGGCATTTTGCAATCCTACTAGCAATAAATGAAAGTGCTTGTTTCCCCAGATCCTTGCCAAAAAGTTTATGGTCAAAATCCATGATTTTTAGCAGTCTAATAAATGAACAATCTTATCTCAGTGTGGTTTTTATTTGCAAATTTGTCATTATGAACAAATTTAAGCTTCTTGCTCCTATGTTTTGGAGTCATTTGTATTATTTTTATCGAGTTGTCAATTATTGTTATTTTTTCCTCACTCTAAAGAAACTCTTTTTATATTAGGGATTTTAACCATGTGTTAGTTAAAAATATTTTCCCAATTTGTCATTAATTATTGTATTTTGCTCATCAAGTTTTATTTATTTGTATGTAAAATGTTTTCAAACTATTTGTTGTAAATTTTCAAGTTCTCAGAAAGACTCAAAGCAATTAGAAAAGGTGAGAGAAATTGAGAAAAATAAATTAGTCTGCAATATATTAGAAAATACAAACCAAGCTGCTTGAAACCCCAAAATTCATACTTCCTAAAATATCATATCTATTATAGCAAGAATTTTGTCAACTTCACCGCTGATTAATCCTCACTGCCCAAATGTGTATTTGGAATAATAAACAATTGTCAAATTAATCAACTAGTAATATTCTGTTAGTGTTTTATTTGTGTAAGAAGAATAGTAGGAATAATATTTTTGCCTATTCATCTTGCCTATTTTAATTTATTTTTTATGAAAGCATCAATTTTATTCTTCCTCTATTAGTGGAAGTATAAACTGGAACCCTATTTATAAAGGAAAATGTGAAGTATTAGCTAAACTTTTTATGTTCATATCCATCAACTTTAATGATCAATATTGACTCTAGTGTACTACTCACATAGATACACGAAAAGGCATGCACAGAATATTGGTTGCATAACTGTAAATAATAGCAATAAAATTGAGAACAATCTAGGTTTCATCAAGAGGGTATTGGATATAATATCATTCAGCAGTTAAAAGTACAAGCGAGCTCTATATAACTAACAAACTCTATGTAAACTTTCCAAAATCGATTTGAAAATTAAAAAATAATTATGTAACACAAAAAATTTACAGTAAAATGCCATTTTGCTTAAAAAAATTTTCACTCACGCCTGTAATCCCAGCACTTTGGGAGTCCGAGGCGGGCGGATCTCGAGGTCAGGAGATCGAGACCATCCTGGCTAACATGGTGAAACCTAGTCTCTATTAAAAATACAAAAAATTAGCCGGGCATGGTGGCGGGCGCCTGTAGTCCCAGGTATTCGGGAGGCTGAGGCAGGAGAATGTCGTGAACCCCAGAGGCGGAGCTTGCAGTGAACCGAGATTGCGCCACTGCACTCCAGCCTGGGTGACAGAGCGAGACTCTGTTTCAAAAAAAAAAAAATTATATATATATATATATATATATGTTTTCAATTTTACTATGAAGGTATTCTGCCAATAAAAATGGCAAAATCCAAATAAAATAATTTTAGAAATCAGTTTAAAGGTATAAGACAGCTACCAAGGCAGTAAGAACTTGAGCAATCAAGAACTCAGAGAGAATGGAAACAAAAAGAAGTAAATATAATATTTAGCTCTGCTTTTCACCATAAAAAATTTGTAAGTTCTAATATGATAAACAAGAATCTAAAAATCTGAGCAGGACTTTCAAATGTCTTAAGAGATTAGGGTAATGGCAGTTGAAGTTTAATATGTGCCAAGGAGTAAGGACGCTGGCATAAAACTCTGGGTTTCCGTTGGGGTCTCTGAAGGACTATGCCCATGAATAATGGTGAACCTGGACAGACCAAGTCTTCACAAATACTGAAAACTAATTTGAATCAGCTTAATCTCGAATGGAATAATCTGATCTTTCTCAAGCTAAATTACCAGATGAAGAAAACAAATTATTTTTACAGAACGATAGCATCATTCAAGACTTCAATCTGCCACTATAATTTTTCAAACATTATTTCTGGCTGCACACACACGGGCACCCACACACTTAGTTTCTGTGTGTGTGTTTATGTGGCAAACCGAGAGAAAACCAGCAGTAAAAACACACCCATAAGATATCCACAACTGTAGTTATCAAACATGGAATTACATAATTATGGTTAATATGTGTTCAAGAAATACAAGACAAGGTAAAAAAATTCATCAGAGAAATGTAAGCCATTTTTAAAAAGCAAATAGAAATTTTGTAACTGATTAACACAGTAACCAAATTACAACTTTAATGTGTGTGTTAAAAGTACACAAACCAAAGCAAAAAGATTAGATTAAAAATGAAGAAAAGAGAAAAAAATATATAGAATATATTATTTTCTTAGTCTGTTTAAGCTGCTATAACAAAATACCAGAGACTAGGTAATTTGTAACTACCCGGAAATTTATTTCTCACAGTTCTGGAGACTAGTAAGTCCAAGATCAAGGTGCCAACATCTGGTGTCTGGTGAGGGTCCAATCTGCTTCCAAGATGGCATCTTGAACACTGTGTCCTCCAGAAGGGAGAACACTGTGTCCTTGCAAGGCAGAAGGTTAAGGGCCAAAAGGAACAAACTCCCTCCATCAAGCTCCTTTATAAGGGCACCTAATCCCATTCATGGGCAGAGCCTTAAAACTCAATCACCTCCAAGGATTATACCTCTCAATACTATTAAATTGGAAACTAAGCTTCATAAATTTTTGGAGGGTACAATAACATTCAAATTGTAGCAACAGTCAAATGATCTAACACACATATTAAACTCCCAAAAAAGAGTAAAGAGAGATATTGGAACAAAGGAAGTTTAGAAAAATGTAGTGGTCAAGATTTTTCCCCAATCAACAAAAGATATCAAGTCACAATTTCAAGAAGGGATATAAATCTCAAGTGAAATAATCATAAGGAATGACACATTTAGACACACTATAGTCATACTGCTAAAAACCAAAGACAAAGAGAACATCTTAAAAGCAGGCAGAGAGTGCCAGGAATGTAACTCTTCCATAGGATCAATAAAATAAAAACCAGAAGTCAATGGAATGAGATCTTCAAAGTACTGGGGGAAAACACCAATCTGGAATTCTGTATCTGGTAAATATTCATATTTTATAAGTAAAGGTAAAATAGAACACTTTCATAGAAATAAAAGCTAAAATAATTAATCATTAGTTCCACACTAGAGGAAATACCAAAAGACAAAAGAAAAACAATCCCCAGTTAGAAGCTTATATATACAGAAAAAAAGGAGAGCAATGATTTTGGTACCAGGAAGTACAACTGTAATGAAACAAGTATCTAACAATCTGGAAGTGGCTTTGGAATTGAGCAATGGGTAGAGGCTGGAAGAATTTTGAGGGGTATGGTAGAAAAAGCCTAGATTTTGGAGAAGGCTCAAAGGAAATGAAGAATATAGTAGAGAAAACTGTTATTATCTTAGAGAATACATATATTCCCATGAGCACAGTGTTCATGGTATAGACATGAATATTAAAGACAGGTGCTCAGAAACAAATTATGAACATGTTGAAAACTGGAGGAAAGGTAATCTTTATTATATAGTGGCATATCTTGTCTAAGTTGTGTCTTAATGTTGCTTGGAAAGCAGAAGTTGTAAGCCATTGTTTACAACTTACATGCTTATATATTTAGCTGAAAATACTTTCAAACAAAACTTTGAAGGTGTGACCTGATTTCTTGTTGCCATTTAGAATAAAATGTGAGAAGAAAAAGATAAATTGAAGAAGAGACCATTAAGCACAAAGAAACCAGCACTTGATGATTCAAAAAAATCACATCTATTCAGATTCCAAAACGTGCTAATGTTATTCACTGTTAGAGAAACTGTGCTCTGAAGACAAGGAAAAGACGAGGCTGAAAGATTTTTGCTGAAGAAATTAAGTGTGTGACTCTTGGGGTCCCCTCAACCATCTCAGCAGAAGCCAGAAACAGAAATGGAGTTATCTAGGAAAGACCTGTAGAGGATCCTCTTGTCTAATGGTGTGAAACCTTATGGTATATGTGGGAGACCGACAATGTTGTTGAGAAAATTATATAAGCAGAAACACTGCCAACTTAAACTAAAAGGGATTTCACAAAGTGAAAGAAGACTATCAGACTTCCAAAATTTTACAGTCAGGAAATGGACTGATAGAGCTACTCAACTGCAAACATGTGCTACACTTTAATGGTAAGAAGAACTCAGAGGTCAGAGGGGCAGAAACAGAGGCAGAGGCCAATAGAGCTGCCATGGAAGCAGAGCAGAGACTGTGGAGTAAAGTAAGCCCTGAAGATAGAGCCTTAAGCCACAGAGCTTAAGCCTCAGACCTTGAAACATAATGAAACTTAGCCTGCTAGATGCCAACTTTCTTGGAACCAGTGATCCCTTTATTTCAATTTCTCCCTCTTGGGAGGTTAGTGTCTATCATATATCTGTTCTACTGTTATACTTTGAAAGCAGATGGCTTATTTTTAGGTTTCACATATCCATAGGTGGGAAGAAATTTTCCCATAGGATAGATTATGCCTAGAATCTTAGCCATACTTAATTTAGGTTATTTAAATAATTAAGTTTTGACTTTTGAACTGACAATATTTAGATGAGATTTTTAACTAAGAGTAGATGCTATAAGTTGAAACTTTGATGAATGTTGGATGGGATTAATGTGTTTTGCATGTGGGATGGACATGAGTATTTGGGGGACCAGAGAATGGACTGTTATGGGTATAATTTTGTCTCTCCAAAATTCATGTCCTTTTTTCTTTCTATACCCCTCTCCTTTGGTGATCTTGTGGCCTTATAGTGGCAATACGGTGATGACTTTCAACTTCTAATCTCCTATCTAGGCTTCCATTCCGAACTTCAGATATACACACATATCTGTCTACTCAACATCTCCACTTGTCTAAAACAGCCTTCCTAATTTTCACTGACCTCCTTCAGCCTTTCCAAACAATTAATAAGAATTCTATTCTTCCAGTAGCTGCAGATTTTAAAAAATGGCTGTCTGTCCTTTTCCTTCCCACATGTAATGCATCAACAAGTCCTCTTGCCTTTAGCTTCAAAATAGCCTCTGTATTTGTCTACTTTTCAGTCTTTCCTGTAACATTTTGGTCTAAGAGCACATAATCTCTTACTTGCATTATTGAAAAAGCTTCTAGACTTTGTTTACACCTTTGTCCTCCCTATTGTATATTCTCAAGAGAGTAACTAAAATAATTCTGTTTAAAGGTTGATCACATTTTCTTGTTTTCTTGCTAAAACCTTCGAATGACTTCACATTTCATTACAAGTAAAAGCTAATATCATTCCATTGGCTTGTAAGACCCTTCACAATCCAGTGCACTCCCTCATACCTCTCTGACTTTATGCCTTGCTACTCTCCTCCTTGCAGACATTTCTTCTAAAATGACTGGTTTCCTTCATGTTATTGGAATATAGTAGGTAGTGTTCTTTAGGGTCTAATTGCTCCTCACTCTGACTGGCTTTCCTTTCTAAAAACATGAACACAATTCATGCGCTCATCTCTATTAGACTTTTATTCTATATTAACCATATAAATGAGGACTTCATATCTACTTTAGGAAAATTGTAACACCAAACTCCAAATTCTCGCTTTCTGAGCTTTTTTCTTCTTAACATGAATTGTCTACATGGACTTAACATATTATATATTTATTTATTTTGCTTATCAGTGTTTATACACACACACACACACACACACAGTTCTAAGAACTGTTAATTTCTGTTTATTTTCTGACTACTGCCTATATTTATTTCACCTAGAGTAGTGCCTGCCATGGAGCATATATGTTGTTGAAACAGTAAATATATATTGTTGAGTAAATGATTGAAGGAATTAATAAAGTGAATAGAGGAACATCTTTTTCTGGACAGTCCTATTACATTGAGGGTTTATTTTTGTGTCACCACTCCTAGCCCTAAAGCCATATTATTTCTCATTTGTTACTTTACTGGTGAATTCATATTTTACGCCTCTTAAATTACAATTACTGTGATTTATTTTTTCTTCCAAACTAACCATAGTGAGGAACAAACAAAAACTTATTTGGTTCAAGAAAGAAAAAAAAGAACATATTGCACAATGAAAATAACTAACACGAACCAGGCACAGTGGCTCATGCCTGTCATCCCAGCACTTTGGAAAGCCGAGGCAGGCAAATAGCTTGAGCCCAGGAGTTCGAGATCAACCTGGGGCAACATAGTGAAACCTCTTCTCTACAAAAATTAGAAACATTAGCCGGGTATGGTGGTACACACCTTTAGTCCTAGCTACTCTGGAGGCTGAGGTGGAAAGATGGCTTGAGCTTGGGAGGTGGAGGTTTCAGTGAGCTGAGACCAAAGTTACATAGCCATTCTGTGGTAAAACATGAATTTAAACTTAGGAAATGTAGCCCCAGAGTCAGTGTACTTAGCATCATCACTATAAGGCCTCTATATTTTTATGTTATAGAAAGTATTATTATTCTCATCTTAAAAATGAGCAAATTCAGGCATTAGATGTTAAAAACTTAAACTTTTATAAAGCCAGTACATATAACCAAAGATAAACCCAGGCTTTTATCCACAATGTATACCAACTCTCACTACATTATTCTTTAGGAAAATATGAACACTGTAATGTGCTTTAGTGCTTGATAAATTATTCCATCCATGTATCCATCTATCTGTTCATCCAGATAGTTATCACATATTTATTGAGCACCTATTATGGCAGCAGACTCTGTGCTTGATGCTGGGAAATCAGAAGTGAACAGAACAGACATAATCCTAGGCTTCATGGTGTTTATAATCTAGAAAAGTAATATTTGGGGGTATTTAAACAATTGAGAACATGGCAACTACCCCAAGCACTCAAAGTAAGCTATTTATCATAATGGCATATTTTTGTGCCTAAAAAAAGATTCAAATTTATAACCCTCCCACACTTATGTTTTCACATAAGCAGCTACACTAATCATACATTTTGTGCAATATTGTCTTTTTGATACATATAGGTCAACGATTAACCTTCACAGAGAATAAGACAGTAACTGGAAAAAGCAATATATTATTTTATTTCTGGTTAAAAAAAATCCTAACTGGAAACAACAACAGGCTCCTGAGAAACTGCATGTTTAAGCCCTGAGTACATCTATTTTCAGAGCATTTTCACTCATGGAAAATTAGATGCCTTTCTGTAGTAACCTCTGAGAATGGACATTGTAAATATAGTACAATGACACTTAGGATTCCTATGAAAAGAAAAACAAATAAATAATTTGCCTTCAGCTAAGGGTATCAGTAGATAAACGGATTGCATAAAACTATGTGCAATTATAGCTCTTCTGATATTTTGGAACTCTTCTAAATATTTATGTTCTTATAGAGGTCAAGAGGTGAAAGGCATTACATATGTTGTCCTACTGCATAATCTTATCAAGGCAGTGTTACTTCTAATACTGTCCTGTGGTTGGCGAAATGTGGAGGCGAACCATCTGTCATCAATAATGCTGTCAAGAAGATTTGGAAAGCATTTGATCGGTTTTTGGCAGTGTACTATCTGTTAAAATATTGTTGGAGGCAAACCTGGGAAGTTCTGATGCATTTAAAGGAGACACAAATGTTTCAGCACATGGGCAGCCTGATACTGGGAAGGCAAAGTGTTTTATTTAGAAGAGGCACAGATTTCAGTGCAAGTCAATAAAGAAAAGAAGTAGTGCTGTGTTTGTATATTCAAGCATATATGCTAGGCTCCACAATGGAGCACTTTTAGGCGCTCTGAAAAGATGGCATTGGAAAGGAGCATCTGTTGAACATATTAGGGAAAACTCCTTTAGTACTTAAGAGAAATCTGGCCCATAAGGGAGATTAGAAAGAAGGCCTGATGAAAAATTGGCTTAAGGAGTCACAGAAGTAAGGTTCTGCTTACCAGCCCCAGAGAAAGGATTTTGGTGAAATTATGCCACTTCAGACACCAAGGTGCTAACACCAGGTCAGAAGAAAGAGGAGAAAAGTTAGGATGGAAGTTGGGTGGGGATAAAAAGGAGGGATATGAAGAATGAAAAATCCATTTAAAGGTGAGACATGGATCATTTATAAGAAGGGCTCTATGTCACAGCCAAACTAAGCCGATCATGGACACCAAACAGCTACTTACCTCAGCATCTACTGGGCTCAACCTTCAAAGGATTTCTAGGTTTGTTTCTTAAGTTATCTGGAAGTTGCAAAAATTCACCAGATGCATTTACACTAGTAAGCAAGCCTAATAAGCACCCGAGCACAAAGGTTTCAAACCAAACTGATTTTTATATACAGAAAACTGACAGTGAGCACCTAAATTAATCTGTGGTTCCTATGTTGTATCAATGGACTGTGATTATAAGCAGTTTATAATTAAATGTTAGAGACATTTTTGATGAAAAAAATGAAGTGTGAGAGAGAAAAATTTTGCCACCTGGGGATTTTCCTCCATTTATAATGGCTTTGCAAGAAATCATTTACACTCTTAAAAAGTAACTTGGATTGATGGGCAGAACCCCAGCATTAAATAAGGGAACAAAAAGCAAACATTGTTTTTGTTGTTGAAGGGGTATGGTTAACCCTCTGTGGAATGTACACAAGTATGTATCTCATTTTTTTCTTTCTATAAAATGGGGATAATAATACTGATTTTATTGATTTTTATAGTAAAGATTTCCTATGAAAAGTTTTTAAGCAAATATTTAATGCAAAGTCAAATCATGTTAAACCTTGATTTGAATTTTCTTAAATAGCATATGTTATACATATGTATATATGTACATATGTAGGTAATAATTATCCTTTAAATGAGACATCTTTCTTCCTGGGAATTTATAAGAAAGGGATAAACACTCCTCAATCTGTATTGACTTGATGAAGCCTGATTGGAAGACGGAAAATGACTTAAATGCGTTCAGGAATACGGGCCCTTCTAGTTTATATTGCGTTATGCTTAATTTATCATTCATATTTATATGTCTTTCAGATAATTATTAATATATTTCAGGGAAGTATATTTATGTATACTTATAATTAAATATGTATATTTCTAGATCCATTTGTAAATCAGAAAGTCTTTTGCCACTGATAAAAAGAATGAGGATTGTTTCATCTACATATTTCAAGTGCATTTGATTGCCAAATCATTAGTAATGATCTAAAGAGAGAACTACATGAGAGAAGATGGAAAATGTCTCTATCATCAATCTTTCACATACTCAAAGGGAGGAAAAAAGAATGTTTTCTTTCAACATTAGTATATACCTTGGGGACATGATGCTTTAACAAGTAAAGGCAAGAGGAATTCAATATCACCAGTGGAAAACAGAAAGTAATGAGGAAAAAGCAATGTCTTGTGGGATTTGCACGTGACACACACACACACACTCCCCCCTTCCTGATTAACTACCTTTTCTTTTAACACAATTCTGAAACACCTTCTTAAGTAATGAGTAGTGTGCTAAGAAATAAAGATTAATGTTACTCTTGTTTTAGATTAAGTGTTAAAACACACACATGCTCACAAAATAAATCCACCAACTGCCCCCAAATTATGTGCTGCTGCTGCACTACCAAATCAAACAAAATTTATTTTGAGATTTATTTTTTTTGAACTACTGTTTTCTTCCAGAAGTAAGAAAAACCCAGGGTTTGCTCTACTTATGTATGTATTTGCATATGTTACAGTAAAGACAGAGCTCTAGCCACCCCTTGGCGGGGAAGAATCTTTAACAAACTCAAAAACATTTCTATTCCCTTAAGTAATTACTTAATTAATGCCTTCTGTCTTGATTATAGCTTTAGTAAATGAAAATACCTTTCATTTTTACTAGTATATTTGAACTTCTTACATTTCCTATATGCTAGAATCAAAATAGACAGTTTTGTTTAAACAATAAGAAACCAAGAAACATCACCCTGAGACTACACATATAATATTACTACATCAAGCAGCATAAACCATCCAAAAAATTTATAGTTGAATTTTATTGTAATGAATACATTGTTGTGTATCACATTTCAGACTGCAGGAGCTGAAGAGCTGAAGGCAAGCAATCAGAATCCATATTTTTCTCAGTAGTAGATTAGCAAGGGGAAATGAATGAACTGAAGCAATTAGGCAAACAGAGGAGATTTTATAAACATGACAGCTAACGTTCAGTGAGCACTTACTATGTGCCAGGCACTGTCTTAAGCACTTCACATGTTTCCATTGATTTAATCCTCACAACAACAATCATATAAAGTCATAGAAAAACAAAAGGGCAAGTAACTACATCAAGGTCATCTAGTTGCTAGAGCCAAGATTCAAACTCAGGCGCTGGGTGATTCTAGGACTTCTGGGCCACAAACACACCTTTGCAAGCAAACATTTCCAAATTCAAGCTCATAAATTTTATTTATAACTTGTTTTGTGTTGTTGTGTTTTAGAAATGTGTGTGTAGAGAGAGAATCAATGAAATGTTTCAGATGAGAAGAGATATTTGTCGACTGTTGTAGTAGTCAGTGTTCTCTAGAGAAACAGAATAAAGTGCATGTGTATGGAGAAAGATTTATTTCAAGGAATTGGCTCAGCAACTGTGGAGTCTGCCAGAACAAAATCTTCAGGGCAGCAGAGCAGGCTGGAGATCTAGGGAAGAGCTTCAGTTTGAATTCAACATCAGGGTGCTAGCAGAATTCGCTCTTCCTCCAGGGAGGTCAGTCTTTTTCTCTGTTAAGGCCTTCAACTGATTGGATGAGGCCCACCCATGTTATAAAGGGCCATCTGTTTTATGCAAAGTCTACTGATTTAAATGTTAATCTCATCAAAAAGTACCTTCACAGAGATGTCTAGAATAATGTTTGACCAAATATCTGGGTACTATGGCCCAGGCAAGTTGATGCATAAAAGTAGCCATCACAAGGGTTTACATGTATTATTTGCATGTATTATGCTATGTAAGTAAATTTTTTTAAAAAATAGAAAATCAGTGTGCAGATGGGTGGATAACAAATAAAGAAATTTTTAAAAACACATATTTGATGCTATGCCTAAAAATAAATTCACAAACTCCTTAACAGGGAAAAAAGAGCCACCTCTGAAAGGACACTTCTAATTATATACTCCTTTCAAGAGAGTATGCTGGATATCCAGACTACAAAATGGATCCCAAGTTTTAAGGCTCTCACAGTCTAGATAGGGACATATCAGGGAGGGAGAAATAGTCATATTTACACTCAACTCAGCTCTGATATGCTAAGTCAGCACATGGTAGCATAGCTGATTGTAAGTAGCATAGTTACATGCTTCAACGTAACATGATGTAAACATAGCTGGGACAGAGTTCTTCAGGAAGATAAGGAGTAATGTACTTCCTTATTTCTAGTGCAGGCCTGAGAGGGATCTTCAAGAAAAGGGGATGCTTTGGCACATTAAGAAGGAAGAGGGGCCAAGTGTGGTGGCTCACACCTGTAATCCCAGCACTTTGGGAGGCCGAGACGGGCGGTCAGGAGTTCAAGACCAGCCTGGCCAACATTGTGAAACTCTGTCTCTACTAAAATACAAAATTTAGCCAGGTGTGGTGGCATGTGCCTGTAGTCCTGGCTGCCTGGGAGGCTGAGGCAGAATTGCTTGAGCCCGGGAGGTGGAGGTTGCAGTGAGCTGAGATCACGTCACTGCACTCCAGGCTAGGCGAGCAAGGCTCCATCTCCAAAAAAAAAAAAAAAAAAAAGAGAGAGAGAAGGAACAGGACTCCAGCAGAAGAAGAAAGCTGAGGAACAAAGATATGAAGACACAAGCTTGGACAGGGCTTTAAGGATTTGTGGGAAATCTAGTGAAATTGGAGCACCACATTCTTGATGGAGCAAGAAAGATTGGAACAACTTTATAAGTCACATTATAAAGTTTGGACTTTGTTCTAAAGCCAATGGGTAATCACTGAAGTTTTCAGCTGCAAGAATGATATAATTTTTTATGAGTTTCAGAAAGTCCTATTAATGGCAGAAGGAGAAACAAGATAGACAGGGAGATGCAAGCAAGAACACTATTCAAGGGAGGTGATGACTAGAACCAAGACAGTAGGACTGAGTGGAAAAACTCAAAGGTAACTTTTTAAATTAAAATTGGCATAAGTTGGGTACAGTGGCTCATTCCTGTAATCTCAATGCTTTGGGAGGCCAAGGTGAGAGGATTGCTTGAGGCTGTGAATTTAAGCCCAGCCTGGACAATGTACCCAGATCCTGTCTCTAAAAAAATTAAAAAGCATTAGCCAGGCATAGTGGTGGTGTGTGTCTGTAGTGCCAGCTACTCAGGAGGCTGAGGCTGGAGGATCGCTTCCCAGGAGTTTCAGGTTACAGAGAGCTGCACTGATTGCACTACTGCACTTCAGCCTGGACAAAAGAGCAAGACCGCATCTCTTAAAAAATGAACAAACATTTAATTATATGTAATATGTAAGAAAAAAGGGATTCTGTCATTCAACAAACATGGATTTAACACCTATTATGTGTGTGACCCTGTGCCAAAAAATATTGGACTATAAAAATGAATAAGAAGATATTAACAAGAAATTACGATGTTTAATAAATACAATAGTAGAAGAAAATTCAAGACATGAACATGACAGAAAAGAGTCAAGAAGGACCACACAGATGAGGTGACTCCTGGGCTGGATCATGATAGATGACTAATTGCACAAGGAAGACAAGACTGATAAGGCCATTCCAACTAGAGAGGCAAAAGTCAGAAAGGACTTAGATGTGGAACAAAAATTGTATTCAGGAGTCAATGATGCAGGAAATAATGTGGAAGAGAACAAAGAAAAGAAGAGAGGCCAGGTGGGAAGAACCTTGCTTGTGTTTGATTGAAAGACCTTAATCAGAGACATGGTATAGTCTGAGAGTTCTGGTGGAAGCACAGAAGATGTGTTGAAGGGGAAACTAGTTGGGAGGTGTCTGAGTTTCCTAGAGCTGCCATAAAAAATCATCATAAAATTGGTTATTTAAAACAAGAAAAGTTTAATCAAAGTGTCAACACAGCCATACTCCCCCTGAAGGCTTTAGGGGAGCATCTTCCTTGCGTTTTCCAGCTTCTAGTGGCCCCTGGCATTGCTAGGCTTGTGGCTGCATCACTCCAATCTCTGTCTCCATCTTCACATGGCCTGCTTCCCTGTGTGTGTGTCTGTGTGTCCTTTTGTCTTTCTTATAGGACTCTCTCACCAGATTTAAGGCCCACCCTAATCCAGTATGACCTCATCTCAAGCCTTACCTTAAGAACATCCACAAAGGACCTATTTCCAAATATGGTCAAATTCTAAGGTTCTGGGTGGATTTGCATTTGTATGAGACATTATTCAATCCACTACAGGAGGCCATAGCAATAACACAAACAGGAGATAAGATCTGAGGTAAAACAGGGCAGAGGTAGGCAGGAGGTCACAGTAAAACAAAATCGGCCGAAGTGGAGGAAGAAATGAAATTAGGAATTGAGGACAATCCGTGTTTCTAGCTGGAGAAACCAGTTGTATTTCAGTAGCACTGATGAACATAGAAACGACACGAGTAAGAATGGATTTGAGAGATGGATTCAGATGTGTAGAGAGTGTAGATGTGTTCAGTTGTGCACGAAGTAAAGTGCTTTGAGTGAGGCTGTTCTCAAGGAAAAAGAAAAAGCTTAAAAATGACTTAGGTAGTTGGGTGGGTGGTAATGCTATTAACTGTGATTGGATGAATAATGTAGAGACTTTTTTGGAAGAAAATAAGGTTAGTATTGAAAATCTTACACTTGAAGGACATGTGGTGTATGCAAGGGAAGAAGCAGAGCACAAAAAAGGAAATATGCATTTGGTGTTCTAAGAATTGACAATATTTAGCAGTTCGACGGCAAAGAGCATATGTCTTATGGGAGACTAAGACACGTAGAAAGGAACAATGAAAGAACAGTGTCGGTAAAGTTAAGAAAGGAGTTTCAGTAAGGGAAGGTTGGTAATTAAATACTTCAGGAAAGATGTGAAGTGGGACAATCTCATTGCATGTTATTAGAGATGATTTGCCTTGGACAAAGTGGCTGAATTATAGCTTAGTGCCCATGCCATGTTGCAGGTGGATGGAGTTTAAGTAAAGATTTAAGAAGTGGAGACACAAAATACTGTTAAGTGAGAAAACAAGTTGTTAAAATAATTGATACGGCAAGATTGCAAATAAAAAAACAATTTATATATATGGGCAAAGACTATAACTAAAGATGTCAACAATAAAAAATTAGTAACCTATAGTTTTAATTACAAGTGCCTGTTACCATAACTGCTTTACATGCACTTCCACTAACCTGTTAAATTTTCACAGCAATTCCCTGCTATCATACATTTTGCACAAAGGGAAACAAAGGCACAGTGAGGTGAGGTTACTTGTCCAAAGTCACACAACTGGTATGTGATGGTGCCAGAATTTGAAATCAGAGTCTAATTCCAGACACTGCTCACTTAAGCCTCCGTCATTCTAGCATTTTTCTCTAGGTGGTAGGGTTATAAATGGTGATCATTTCTCTTTTTATAACTCTGAAACATTTTGCCAAATTTTCTATATTTATTTGTAATAAAAGATCCAAATAATACACATATATTTTTATGGCACTATTGCATGCACGTCTTTCAAAGAAATGGAGAGAATAGAGAATTATAGTGATTTGATGAGTAACATTAAAGAAAAGTTATTGATTTTTTTTTTCACTTTTTTCTTAAGGATGACATCTTTTTGAAAGCTAAAGATGTAGAGTCAGCAGAGATAGGGAAAACGAAAATACAAGAAAGAAAAGACATAAGGTGGGTTTTGGTAAGTGGGTCATGGTGTTTATCCAGGACCAATGTGAAAGAACATCCTAGGCTGAGTGGCAGAGTTCAGAGAGGCATGGAGTATGCAAGAGGCTGGCTGTGTGGATCAGGCTGGATCATGAGGAATCAGAGCCTAAGCATGAGAGAGGAAATGAAAGATAAGGGTGGCTGAGCATAGTGGCTCACGCCTGTAATCCCAACACTTTGGGAGGTCGAGTCCTTGAGGTCAGGAGTTCAAGACCAACCTGGCCAAACTGGTGAAACCCTGTCTCTACTAAAAATGCAAATATTAGCTGGGCATAGTGGCGCAAGCCTGTGATTCCAGCTACGTGGGAGGCTGAGGCTGGAGAATCACCTGAACCCAGGAGGCAAA
Source organism: Homo sapiens (assembly GCF_000001405.40). Lineage (NCBI taxonomy): Eukaryota > Metazoa > Chordata > Mammalia > Primates > Hominidae > Homo > Homo sapiens. The sequence continues at coordinate 91,771,850 of NC_000012.12, forward strand.
GGTTGCAGAAAGGAAGGAAAGGAAGGAAAGGAAGGGGAAATAAGCCTTGGAAAGGAAAAGTGATAGCATCAAAAGAAAGGAGCTGAGTAAAGTTAGTCTAAGACACAATTTTTGAGATTGAGAGAATCACAATTGAGGAAATCTATTATTTTGCATGTCTATTTTTTTCAGAGGATTAAGTCAGTTGTAAGATCCTTTGATAAAATTGTAGAGGGCAGTGGTTTGCCTGAAGATAAATGAGAGGTAGAATTTGGAAAACCTTTGAGTAGAATGGGTAAGTCAGGTGCTTGGGGATGGATACCTGTGTTACAAAGGGGTAAAAAGAGTCCATTCTTCCCACTGAAAACAGTGATTTGTTTTACTTCCATGTAGATTCCCCTGCCAGACTTTGAGTTCTCTCAAAGTAGAAATTCTTTTTCACCCCTGGGACTCAATGTTCAAATCACCATCTAGAACAAGGCAGTTACCATTAATTGTATAAGCATGAAGTGAAGTTTTTCCTACCGTTATGAGTTTCCGGATAAAATGGAGCACAGTGACTTGTTTCCCCGGTTCTTGCTCTCAACTGCTAAATAGGATGTCTCTGTCAACATTATGGCAGTCATGAAGAACCCCAAAAAAGCAGGTGTGATGCTTACAGAAGACTCAAGTTAAAGATGTGTAGAGGAAGAAAGAGCCCTAATATTGTTCTCAAGGCAGAAGGCCAAGCTTGCGTTTCTTAGTACCTTGATAACCTAATATGTCTGAAAGCCTACTCAACAGGCTGACTAACCTAATTGCTATTCTATGTCTTTTCCACTGTGTGTCATAGAATCATTTTCAAGGAAACTTGTCCACCTTTATCTGACTTCACTGCCACCAGCATGTCTAGAAATTGTTGAGAGGGCCAAAATAATGTTTCATGGCAAGGCTGATTGGACATGAAGTCAGAACAGATGACTTAAATTTTTTTTGTCGTATTTTTTTTTGAGAAAAATAAGAGAATTGTCCAATGTCAAACAACCAATACATCTGACTGTGGCAGGAATTGGGGACACTGGATGGAAGAGGTGAGGAGAAGGCCTCAGCCAGTTTGTATTATTTTGTTCTCGCATTGTTATAAAGAAATACCTGAGAATGGGTCATTTATAAAGAAAAGAGATTAAATTGGCTCACAGTTCGGCAGGCTGTATGGAAAGCATGGCTGGGGAGGCCTCAGGGAATTTACAATCATGGAGGAAGGTGAAGGGGAAGCAGGCACATCTTACATGGCTGGAACAGGAGCAAGAGAGTTAAGGGGGAGGTACTACACACCTTTAAACAACAAGATCTTGTAATAACTCACACATGATCATGAGAACAGCAAGGGGGAAATCTGTCCCCATGATCCAATCACCTTCCACCAGGCCTTGCCTCCAATATTGAAGATTACAATTTAACATGGGATTTGGGCGGGGACACAAATCCAAACCACATCACAGTTTCATTGGCATATTCTTTAATTAAATAAGTAAAATCAATAATCAAATCACTGTTGTGTATCTTGGGAAGGAAGCCTGAGGAAGGAAGGCATCCTGCACCATGTAGCTTAGTTTCTTTAAAAGGCAATTGTAAGGTCAACATCTACTTAAACTTTACAATTTACTGAGTAATGTCGAATTCAACATGGAGATTAAGATTCCTTTATTAGCATATGGCCACAAAAGCTTTCTGCTAATAAGGGTTTATTAAATGTGACTTATTTGAATTTGTAGCCAGGGCCCTGATCCTAAATTGTAAGCCCGCAAGGAAGGCTCTAGAAAAGACATTCTAATTAAACATGCCACATCAAGAGTGTGTCACAATGTGCCTCCAGGAATACTTGCTTCTAGGGCTTGTGAGGTCCCAGAGATAACAGGGGCTTCTGAGCATGCACTATGCCTTCATCATTGCATATGATTCAGTCTCCAAAAACAATTACATTTTTAGAAGTTATAATCTCCCTTTGGAAAAAAAATATTTTCCAAAACAAGGTACACAGACCTTGAGCACTGATTTATGCCTTTTTCCTTTCAAAAAGGCTAGGGTGGGAAGGTGGGAGTGGGCTGAGGAGAGAGAGTTTAACTTTAGAAATGTACTCAATTCCCAGTTGCCACATTTGTTTCCTTCCCAGCCTGAATTTCTGTGACCAGTCATAAAAGGTACAGTCAACCCATCCTAAGTAACAAATGCTGGAAACATTTATTATACCTAGTTCTTTAAATTATGAAAATGGAAAGTACATAAAATTTTCTACGCAAGTGCTTCTGTGATTTACTTCTCGAGCATCCTGAGCTAAATAGGCACTGAATGGGTTCTACTGCTGAGTTACACACATCAAAATTTAATTAAATCTCTGACCTAACATCCCCCTGGTTTCATTGATTAGGGAAGTCACGGGTGGACCACGTCATTCTCAGGAGGTTTATGCAATTGTGAATTCTGAGGAGTCTCTCTCTCTCTGTATATATTTTTTTGCCTGAGTGTTCTTTTCAGGTCTCATTAGATTATTATGAGTGTTATAGCTGTGCTAATCTTTTTCCAAGAAATGAACTTTTAAAATTGCACATTTTTTAAAGTGACTTCTGGAGTTACCATGGCAGCTTCATTATAATACACAGAGATGAACATTATCACAGCTATGCCTGATCTATCCAGGGTTGTCAGGAAATGAGAATTCTGCATAAAGTGCATTCTCCGGTAGGGTTTGTAAAACTTGCCAGATAAAAAGCAGAGACTTTCGCTTTAACAGTTTTACATGAAAAGCTTTCTATCATGTACTACGTGCTGCTCTGTTTCTTTAAATGCATTCTTGATGACTCAAGGTCTCTGTTATCAACAATTTACTGTGCTGTTGCGTTTTTGGCTCCTTTTTTGGACTCAGAGTGCCAGCTGCTTGTAATGACCAGGGACAGAAAGAATCATTTAAGACCCTATGAGAGTAGTTTTGCCTTCCACCACCTAGCAAGGATAGATTTATACCGATATGCCACCTACATAGTCCAGGTGTCTTGTGTCTTGCTGGGGGCTTGGCACCCGGAAATGGCAGATGGGTACTGAGATGCAATGTGGTTAGTTCCTGGATCATTTTTCTAGAAGCAAAGCTTTAATTTTGTACTGGCTTCTTGACCCTCATAGTCTAAGATATCCACCACTGCTTGCTCCTCTTAGATTTACCATATGCTGATGGACTACTCCTTAACTGCTGTGAATTGAGTTCTTTAAGTAATTCCCTACACAGAAATTTCTATGGTTCTGAACTAGGGGCTAGGACTCAACATTCATTATGACACTTAAGGTAAAGTTTCCATTTAACATTTATAGACTTCAGTTTTCTCTAAAATAGTGTTATTAAGACAAAATATTATACATGTGGAATGTATAGTGCAATCTCTAACTCACGAGAACAATTCAATAAATGAAAACAACTGGTCGGGCACGGTGGCTCATGCCTGTAATCCCAGCACTTTGGGAGGCCAAGGCGGGCAGATCATGAAGTCAAGAGATTGAGACCATCCTGGCCAACATGGTGAAATCCCGTCTCTACTAAAAATACAAAAAAATTAGCCGGGTGTGGTGGTGCACACCTGTAATCCCAGCTACTTGGAAGGCTGAGGCAGGACAATCGCTTGAACCCGGGAGGTGAAGGTTGCGGTGAGCCAAGATCGTACCACTGCAATCCAGCCTGGTGACAGAGAGAGACTCCATCTCAAAAAAAAAGAAAAGAAAATAAAAGAACCATATGTGTAGAACTTGATAAAGGTTGTGGATAAAATGATTAATAAAAAGTTATAGTGTATAGACTATATTAGGATCTTGAAGTTTTATTTTGGTATCAGCATCGAGCTGCCATGAAATGACTATTGACCTGTCCAGGTGGCATCTTTTTTATGCTTGTTGGTGTGTATAAAGTCTGCTAGTAAGAAATTAGTTGATTCCGCCCTATAAACATTTTTAAATAAAATTAGAGATTGCAGGTGTCTAACAGAATGCATTGAGCACAAATTCTGGTGTTGGCTTAGTAAAAAGATTGTGACTTTGACTTCAGAGAGAGGCAAGTTCAGTTCTTGCCCGAACCACAAAAACAGCTTCCTAACCTTGGAGCTTGGCTCTTATAATCTCAGATCCTCTCTTTTCTTATCCCTAAAGTAACGATGATAATACCTCCTTCTAGGATTAGAAAAAAATAATAAAGTTTTATACATAATAAGCACATAATAAAGTTATTGTAATGAATTTAGTTTCTAGAGGTTATTATTATACATTTAAAATAAGAATGTACTTAATGTGGATTCAGATGCCACAGAAAAATAAAATCTGAGTTCACATGTAGCTGAATGCTTGGGTCACTAGAAACACTAATCATAGAGCAAGGTTCCCCACTATTGCTAAAGCAGTGGATCATCAACCACATTACAAGTTAGAAGAAGGGCATTACCCTCCCCTGCTTGCTCTTCCTTAATGTCAAAAAACAATAAATACATAGAAGAGACTGACATCCATTATCCTCTGGCCAAAAGAATCAAGCCTTCCCTGCCTTTTCCTGCTTTTCTAGTTTCCTTCAAATTTCCCTCCAAACTGATCTTAAAATTGCAACCAACCCTGCTCTCTGGCTCTTATCGCTTCCAGTCTAATATGCAATTTACTTTTCCTTTTGGTATTTATTTTCTGTGTTCTCCTCACAAACATGTAAGTTCCACAAGAATACAGATTTTTATTCACTGATGTATTTCAAATACCTAAAACAGTGCCTAGTATTGAGTAATATTTATTGAATATAGAAATAAAGTTTTAGTATTGTTTTGCAAAGATTCTATTTTGAAAAAAAACAGCACAAAATAGTATTTTTGGGCTGAATTCATAAAAATTATTGAAGACATTTTAATTAATGATAAATTAGCAGTTTAAATACAGTAAACTAAAACAAAGCAAGCCTATCTTTTTCATTGTTTTGAGCTCTTGATTTTGTTTTTACCTAAAACTGCTTGTTTTAGTTGAATCATGCTCTGTTTTCCTTTGGTCGTTCAGCAGTGATGTTTTCTGCACACAGGTCTTCAAATAGCTATGAAGAACTTGGTTGTGTGTTTGACTATCTTTTTTCAATTAAATTTCCTCAAGAACACAGTCTTTCATACATGTCCTGCTCAGGGAATAAACTTGAAGTTCTGCAGCCTTTTTTTTTTTTTTTTTTGAGACAGGGTCTTACTCTTTTCCCCAGGGTGGAGTGCAGTGGCGTGATCTTGGCTCACTGCAGCCTCAAACTCCTGGGCTCAAGCAATCCTCCCATCTCAGCCTCCCAAGTAGCTGGGACTACAGTCATGTGCTGCCATGCCTGGCTAATTTTTTTTTTTTTTTTTTGTAGAGATGGAGGGGTCTCACTCTGCTGTGTAGGCTGGTCCCAAACTCCTGGGCTCAGGTGATCCTCCCACCTCAGCCCTCTAGTAGCTGGGACTGCTTGTGGGAGCCACCATGCCCAGCTAATTTTTGTATTTTTTGTAGAGATAGGGTTTCATCATGTTGCCCAGATTGGTCTTGAACTCCTGGGTTCAAACAATCCTCCCACCTCTGCCTCCCAAAGTGCTGGGATTACAGGTGTGAGTCACCATGCCCAGCCGAGTTCTATAACCTTGAGGACTGTAAATACCTATAATATTTGGCCTTCATCACACAATGGTGTATTTTAAAGAATGAAACATTTAGGGTCTCTGCATAGCTTCACAGCGATGACCTACACCAGGGTTTCTCAAAGTAATGTCCAGTAGTTCCCCTTATCCAGTAGCCTTGATTTTACTTTCCAAGACTTCAGTTACCTGTAATTAATCACGGTCCAAAAATATTAAATGGAAAATCCAGGAGTAAACAAGTCGTATGTTTTAAATTGCGTGCCATTCTAAGGAGCTGATAAAATCTCCCAACGTCCCCACTCCAACTTGCTCAGGACATGAATCATCCCTTGTCCAGGTATCCATCTTGTACTCACCACATGCCTATTAGTCACTAGTCACTGTCTTGGTGATCAGATTGACTGTTGAAGTATCTCAGTGCTTATGTTCAAGTAACTCTTATTTTACTTTTATTACAATAGATCAATTTTATTACTAGTTAATGCTGTTGATCTCTCACTGTGCCTAATTTATAAATTCAATTTTATCGTAGATAGGTAGGAAAAAAGTAGTATATATAGAATTTGGTACTATTCAAGGTTTCAGGCATCCGCTGGAGGTCTTGAAACATACCTTCTAAGGACAGGGGGAATAATGTATATGCAAATCACACGGGAATATTTTAAAATGTACTTTGTGAATAGGGAGAACTGGGGTGCAGCCCTACATACTGCATTTATAATCAGTTCCCACTTAATGCTGATGTTATTGTTTCAAAAAACACCTTTTGAGTAGCAAAAGCCCAGATGACAATTTCTTATTTGCATTAGCCTATTTCCTCCTCAGTTGAATTTCAATTTGATTTCTCAAAGGGCAAAAGGGGAAGAACTTATACACATATGTTTCATAGTTTAAAACCTAAGTCTGGTCACATTTTTACTCAATGATATTAAGTATAGATTTCAAGTTTGCATACAGTAGCATTTACTATAAAATAGGAGAATGTTACTTTTTAGGAATAATCTAAGGACAGGTGTAGATGTTATTTTTTAATGAGGTTCAAATTTAGCACTGTAATGAACCTCACTGAAAAAGTAAAGCAGGAAATGGCAGATTTGTTTTGATAGAAACCAAGAATTTTAAGTGTGTGTTGGCTTTACACTGTCTTTGAAACTGTGCTATGAAAACACAGGATCCAGGAAATGAGCCCAGCCAAGTGATTCCACTCTCTAAAGATGTCAAAGTCGGTTCTCTGCAATATCCAAATGTTCCTCTTTTGGAAGTGAAATGAGGAAAGGCCTATATAATTTCTAGCTGAGTAAACGAAGAGTGCTTTATTCTCTTATAAATCAGTTACAGTCCCTTAAATAAAAGCATGCTTCCTCCTGAAAGCAGCTGAAAGTTTCATCTCTTTAGAAGAGGCTTTGTTTTCTCTGAAAATGGGCAGGGGGACTAATTAAATTAATTTTTCTTTGTTCCTTTAAGAAAAATAAACTTAAAGAAACGGAGTATCTGGGTGTGTATGTGGAAGAAAGTGACTAGCTCTGATGACCAGGCACGTCACAGTTTCTTGTTTTGACTCAAGAATGATAAAACAGTAATGGCTTTGACCCATTGCCCTGCTGATGTGCTGATATGAGTTTGCCATTGGTCACTGGAAGATCAAGGTCTGCCTTTCTGCTGACCAAGCATTCTCCTAACTATTAGTCACTGTCTTCACTTAGAGCTCTCTTTCATGACTCAGTGCAGCTCTCACATTTGGGCTGGGCAAAACGGAAGTTCTTACTTAATTCAACCTGCTGCAATAAAAATTGAAACAAACACGTCGCATTCTCCTTTTTCTTAAAAATTTTGGTAACATCACTGTGACTAGAGCAGTTAGAGAAACTCTAAAGCAGAAAATAAGAAAATCATTGCTTAATGTGGGATTTCGATGTGGCAGAGTGAGAGTTTTTACGGCTATACTGACACAGAAGCATTTGCCTTTGAAAATGGGTAAACTGAGCTTAACATTTTCATGAGGCAAATTAGATGTAATATCTCAATATCTCATAATTTTCCTCTCAGAGAACATCTGTTTTCTGAAGGAAAGCTGGCAAACCGTGTTGCAATTAGAAGCTGAGACCATTTATAGTGAAGTGAACCTCAGATTACTGAGGTTGACACTCTAAAGCAGGGATTCTTTACCTAGGAATCATGCCTATATTATTACACTCTGAAATCATGTAGGACACTGGTGTAATTTACTAGGAGAGGGGACATTAATTTTCATCTTTGTCCAATGGTTCTGTGATTCTCCAAATAGGTGAATAACCATTTCACTAGTGTCTATCAGCATTTAAAACATTCATGACTTTGAGCTAAATATCCTGTTTCCAGGGATTAATCCTACACAAATATTTATCCTGGTGAACAAGATATTTTAAAATATTATGGCATGTTTATATTATGGAAAACTCTAGTAAGATTAAAAATAATAAAGCTCACTTGGGAAACTGTCTAAGATGTATTAACTTAAGAGTAATTTGTTCATCAGATAATCAATTAAGCATCAACAATGTCAGGCACTGTGTTTGCTACTAGGAATAAAAGTAAACAAATACTGACCTTTTTTATTTTTATGATACTTGAAGTCTACAAGAGATCAATATGTATTTATAATATGTAAATAAAAATATGGGTTAGTGATTGCTTGCAGGTGTTTATTTACATATACTTATCAAAACTCTGGAAGCATATATATCAAGAAGTAAGATTTTAAAATCTGAGACTTGAAAAGGAGATGAGGAGAGATTTTTAGTTTTTTCTTCTATTTTGTTTGATTTTATTAAATACAATATATTACTTTTGTAATACCTCAATGCTTATTTTAACCATTTATTAAAACTCTGGGCTGAGGTAGGGAAATGTACAACATTAAACTGAGTGTTGGCTCTGGTTGTTGCAGTCTTCACAGTAAAAAAACAACACATAAGTTTTGGGTTTTTTTTTTTTTTAATGAGTTTTTGACTGATCTTAAACAACCGGCTAAATTACGTTTTGTATTTAAGATAATTTTGTCCACTAGATCACTATTCTGTTCTTGTACACACAAACCCTCTGGTCTTCAAGAATGTGGCTGACATATCAGATAGTTTATGAATCCACAGTGTCATTTGGTGTGCAAAACACTGACCTTAACCCTTAAAGAATAATCAATTATTGGGGTTAAATCTGCAAGTGTTTTATTTAGTATCTAACCACCAACTATATGCCCTTGAAGAACTTTTCTGGTATTATTTTTTTACTCTCCAAAAGCTCAGGCCTTGATACTTGAGTATTATTTATGTCATATTTTACTTATGTAAGTCTTTGTGTGAAGGCCTCCAAAGATATCGTGCCTATTTTGTGATCTTGTTGTTTATAGACTCTTCTATGAAAGCAAAATATATGCATTTGGCTGAGTACATTTGGAGCCAAGGTAGGGGAGCTGGAATAGAAGAGTCCTTGAATGGTATTTGAGCATTATCTTTTTTAAAGAAAACATTTAAAAAGCACATTAAAAATTACTCTTGCATGTTACTTTAGACAGAGAGATCCCTAACATTCGTTGCTTTCTAATTTTCCTCTCCTTCTGGGGATACAATTGTGTCACACTTTCTAGCCACTTTGTAGTTTGATGGGGCCACATGCTGGTGATGGCCAATGGACTGTGTGTAAACAGATGTGCATTAATTCTGAACCAAACCCTGAACAGAGAAAATCCTTCCATCACACCTTCTCCCCTTCTCCCTTTCCTGGTGAATCTGAAAGCCACACTATAGCCAGAACATGCAGCTATAAGGTGGAGCTGTCCAATAGCTCCTTTGTTAGCCTAGATCTCTGAGTGTAGGAGCTTCATGGATACTAGCCACCTTGGAGAGTGGCATGGATCATAAGCATAAGAAATAGGGCTGTGGTATGTTTGCAACGGAGACTTCAGTGCTGTTTTTTCCTGATGCGTAATCCAGCCTCTTCTGACTAACAGCCATGTCTGTGCCTCATGAAATTTCAGTTACTTTTAATTTAATTTTGTTTAAAATATAGCTTTTAAGAGTCTGATACATACTAGGCACTGTGTTTGGTGCCAGGAATACAAAGATAAAAAATCTCATATTGAATGGGCAAAAACTGGAAGCATTCCCTTTGAAAACCAGCACAAGACAAGGATGCCCTCTCTCACCACTCCTATTTAACATAGCATTGGAAGTTATGGCCAGGGCAATCAGGCAAGAGAAAGAAATAAAGGGTATTCACAGAGGAGGAGAGGAAGTCAAATTGTCTCTGTTTGCAGATGACATGATTGTATATTTAGAAAACCCCATCGTCTCAGCCCAAAATCTCCTTAAGCTGATAAGCAACTTCAGCAAAATCTCAGGATACAAAATCAATGTGCAAAAATCACCAGCATTCCTACATACCAATAACAGGCAAGCCGAGAGCCAAATCATGAATGAACTCCCATTCACAATTGCCACAAAAAGAATAAAATACCTAGGAATAGAGCTAACAAGGGAAGTGAAGGACCTCTTCAAGGAGAACTACAAACCACTGCTCAAAGAAATCAGAGATGATAAAAACAAATGACAAAACATTCCATGCTCCTGGATAGGAAGAATTAGTATCATGAAAATGGCCATAGTGCCTAAAGCAATTTATAGATTCAATGCTAATTCAATTAAACTACATTCTTTACAGAATTACATTGACATTCTTTACAGAATTAGAAAAAAAACTATTTTAAAATTCATATGGAACCAAAAAAGAGCCCATATGGCCAAAACAATCCTAAGCAAAAAGAACACAGCTGGAGGTATAACGCTACCAGACTTCAAACGATACTACAGGGATACAGTAACCAAAACAGCATGGTACTGGTACAAAAATAGACACATAGACCAATGGAAAAGAATAGAGAACTTAGAAATAAGACTGCACACCTACAAGCATCTTATCTTCAACAAACCTGACAAAAACAAGCAATGGGGAAAGGATTCCCTATTTAATACATGGTGCTGGGATAACTGGCTAACGATATGCAGAAAATTGAAACTGGACCCCTCCTTATACCATGTACAAAAATCAACTTAAGATGTATTAAAGACTTAAATGTAAACCCAAAACTATAAAAACCCTAGAACCTACACAATACCATTCAGGACACAGGCATGGGCATATATTTTATGATGAAGGTACCAAAAGCAATTGCAACAAAAGCAAAAATTGATAAATGGAATCTAATTAAACTAAAGAGCTTCTGCACAGCAAAAGAAACTATCATCAAAATGAATAGACAACCTATAGAATAGGAGAAAAATTTTGCAATCTATCCATCTGAAAAGATCTAATATCCAGAGTCTACAAAGAGCTTAAACAAATCAACAGGCAAAAAAAACAAAAACAACCCCATTATAGAGTGGGCAAATGACATGAACGCTTCTCAAAAGAAGATATACATGCAGCCAACAAACATGAAAAAAAGCTCAACATTACTGATCATTAGAGAAATTCAAGTCAAAACCATAAGTGAGATACCATCTCATGCCAGTTAAAATAGCTATTGTTAAAAAGACAAAAAAAGACAGATGTTCATGAGGTTGTGGAGAAGAACACTTTTCTACTGTTGGTGGGAGTGTAAATTAGTTCAACCATTGTGGAAGACAGTGTGGTGATTCCTCAAAGACATAGAGGCAGAAATATTGTTTGACCCAGCAATCCCATTACTGGGTATATACCCAAAGGAATACAAATCATTATACTATAAAGATACATGCATGCATATGTTCATTGAGCACTATTCACAATAGCAAAGGCATGGAATCCACCTAAATGCCCATCAGTGACAGGCTGGATAAAGAAACTGTGGTACATACACACCATGGAATACTATGTAGCCATAAAAAGGAACGAGACCATGCTCTTTGCAGGGACATTGATGGAGCTGGAAGCCATTATTCTCAGCAAACTAATGCAGGAACAGAAAACAAAAGACTGCATGTTCTCACGTATAATTGGGAGCTGAATGATGAGAACATATGGATGCATGATGGGGAACAACACACACTGGAGCCTGCTGGGGACGGGGGGAGGGAGAGCATCCAGAATAGGTTATGGATGCTGGGCTTAATACCTAGGTGATGAGATGATTTGTGTGGCAAACCACCATGGCACACTTTTACCTATGCAGCAAACCTGCACATCCTGCACATGTACCCCTGAACTTAGAGTAAAAGTTAAAGAAAAATAAAAGAAGCTTCTTTAATCTGGCTTTGAGTTGGAAACTAGAAACCATTAATTTTTAAAAAGCTACATATTTTTAGAAATTGAAAGAGAAGAAAGTCTTTTTCTTCTAGCAAGAATATTTAAACCCTGATACATGCTAAGGAGATGTTCTTGTCCCTGTTGCTCTCAATATGATTGTTATGAGCTTTCAACACATTCATGCCTTTATTCTAATACAGATCCAAATAGAAGGCACTTTGCAGATCAATAAGTAATTATCATACACAGAATTTATTTGTACCATCCCCATAACTTAGCTGTCTACAGTCTGTCAACTGCATTTGGGCAGAATTTAGAATTTGAATGAACATAATTTGCAAATAGCTTGTCATGACCCACAAAAGGTTTTCTGAGATGGGAAAGCTCTCTTTTTACCATCCCAATGACAGCAGAAACTGGAATTATCTAGAAGGTAAACAAAAATTTAGCTCAACGATCTCCATCTCCACAACTACTGTATATTGATTTTCTGTCAAGAAGATGTACAACTCTTGGAGCATGCTCCCTGTATTCTTATTTATTTTTATATTTATTTACTCATTCATTTATTTTGTGGTGGGGTAGCCATGGCTACCAAGTTGAATAAGTTTCTTAAGCATTAGAATATATATCAAAGCCTTGAAATGTGTACCTAATACAGGAGAAGATACTCCTTTAGAAATGAAAAATTAAAAGCATTATTTCTGGGAGTAGATGGAGCTAGATAGTTCCTGCCTGCTGTTAACATTGTACACGGGTAAATATTCATATCAACAAATCAATTGAAATACGAGAGTTTAGAATTAGTAAGGATTCCATGGTGGGTAAGCCATATTACAGGCACAGTCCAGTGGAAATATACCAAAAAATTATATAATGTCACTGATGTGGTTTGGCTCTCTGTCCCCACCCAAACTTCATCTCGAATTGTAATTCTCACCTGTCAAGGGAGGGACCTGTAATCCCCATGTGTCAAGGGAGAAAGGTGGTTGGATCATGGGGGCAGTTTCCACCATGCTGCTCTCGTGATAGTGAGTTCTCACGAGATCTGATGGTTTTATAAGTGTTTGGAAGTTCCTCCTTCGTTCCTCTCTCTTCTGTTGCCTTGTGAAGAAGGTGCCTGCTTCCCCTTCCACCATGATTGTAAGTTTCCTGAGTCCTTCCCAGCCATGCTGAACTGTAACTCAATTAAAGCTCTTTCCTTTATAAATTACCCAGCCCCAGGGAAGTTCTTTATAGCAGTGTGAAAATGGACTAATACAGCCACCTAAATTCCATTTGATATCTCCTCATACCATTTTTTTTCTTCAAGTTCACGAAAGAGATAGAGACAGAGAGAGATGGTCACAGCTCCAAGTTCCTAGGGACAATAGCAAGGAAATAATGTATTAAATTTTAAAAGAATAGTAAAACAGTCATTTAATTCAGGAGCTCTAAGCATTGCAGATTTGCAGTGCCTATTTATATAGTAAAGGCTCTACCTGTGGAGTTGACACAGATTTTCTAAATTTATTTAACTATTTTTCATATCATGTATTAACTTCCCATTAATACACGAAAAGTAGGCCTGAGTAGCTACCCATTAATACATTTTACTAAAAATAAGAGGACAACTGGATGAAAGACAGACTCTCTCTACTATCTATGCAAATCTTCTGTACATCTAAAATTATTCCCCAAAAATATTGTAAAAAAATGAGAAAAGAGAGAAAAGGAAAAGCAGAGGCAGAATATGAAGAGGAAAAAAAGCAAGGGAGAAGATGAAGAAAAAGCAAAGGTGTGGTTTTTATGGACCAAGAGACAGCGGAACTTCATTCACTAATGGTACAATCATTATGTCTACATTTGTGTATTTGATGGTCTGTAGCAATCAGTTTTAGTATTGCGGTATAGTGTTAATTAGGGCATACGCACCTCCAAGCCAATTAAATTTGGTTTATTAATGCATAATTCAGTATTGTTATGTATAGCAGAACACATGAAAAGATTTTAAAATTCTATTTTCTGATGTGGCCTGAATTATTTCAAGGAAACACCCTCTGTCAAGTGAGTGAAAATGAATAATTATGGGAGTCCTAAAAGCCCACAGTTGGGCGGACTAGACGGCTGCTATGATTAAGCACCTCAGATTGAAAGTATGGATTCTATCATTACAAGAGCAAAGACAGTGCTGTGATAATTGTGAAAACACTGTAGCTTCCATTTTTGCTAATGTTTTTGGTAGAATATTTAAAGTCACAGAAGGTGAAGATAGAGAGCTCAATTTCTGTATCCTGTTACTTATTTAGATGAATGAGGTTTTCTACCAATTGTAGTCACAACAGAGCTTGCAATCCCTGTGACATTATGATAAGAAAGTGCCGATTTGAGCAAGAAATTAAATGATAATAAACATAGTGTAGACTCAGTGGGGGTGATATTGTTTAATGTCAGTAGTGATTGAAACTACCTTCTAGATGACTGAAGCTTTGTTGGCCTCGTCTGTTTATATCAATTTCTTCTTTTCAAAGGCCATTATCCTAAATTGCATGTTATATAACTTGTGCTGCCTCCCTCCAGCCCACAGCACCACTTCTAAAGCAACTTGATGATGCATATTGTAGAAAAAAATAATCTTTCCTGGGCTCAGCATCCAAGGAGATTACAATCTTGAGACTGTAATGGGAATGGATTAAACTTTGCACAATTTCCTTTTGTCACGTGAATTGAATCCCGTTGTGCTATTTTCTATACTCCTTTCAATCTTTGTCATGAAAATGATCCATGCAAGTGTTAGCACTGCTTAAGCAACCCTGGCCTGGTTTTAACCCAGTCAGAATCTTACAGTTTGATTGGCTCTTATTTTTCCCTCCCTGAGAAAACAAAGCCAGAAGACTGGGACAAACCCACCTAACAAATGACAGAACATGAAAAAGGTCATTGTCCTCTGGTTCAGGCAGGCTTAATAAGGACATTTAATGATCTTCATGTAGATCTCATGCAAAAAAAAAAAAAATTGAAGGGGCAGGGGAAATGTTCCAACATAAATCCAATCTTGTGACAGCAATTGCACACCTCTGCAAGAGGGAAAATGAAACAGTACAAAGGTCCTTCATTCTCAATGCAGCTACAGGTTTTCAGATTTCAATCACAGACCCTTTCTCAGATGTCAGACTTCGCATGTTTTCATTACCTCCTAGGTTAAGATGGAGTCATTCAAATCTTGGTGGTGTTCACAGACTTTAATGTTGCCTTGAATTGACCAATACCAACAGAGAAAACACAAACATGCCTATTAAGAAAAAGAATAAGAGAATCACTTCCGCAGAACTTGATTTTGTTTTGATCTCCTGAGTGTCTTTGATGTTGGGCAGAGCTGCTGCCTGCAATGCAGTCTTGGGTACTTTGGATGCATGCAAATTAAACTCATTTGGTTGGAATTTAAAAGTAAAATATTTTTGCTGCTTATTTTTATATTGATTTCAAGTAATTCTATAACCATCAATAAATAAATAATTTTCCCAAAGAAAATCCATAAAATTTGATACATTAAGGTATGCAGAGATTTTTTTTAAACCTACATGCTTTAATTTAGCTGAAACCTACAGTTGTTAATCTTTTATTATGTAACCCTAAGTGGCTTCTTGTATACCATTTCTATATTGCTTTCGAATAACTCACTTGTAAGCATATGTATTTCAAGTGGTTACATAGAGCATAGAATTAGGGATCAGGAAATCAAGGCTATAAGCAATAAAATTTTGGATTGGTGAGCTATTTTCACCACATTGTATCAGAGATCAGCATGTTCTATAGGAACAGATTTTGGTCTGTGCTTCTTTCTGAGGACCAATTCAGAAATCGTCCATGAGACTTTCATCCTATCGCAGGTCAGTAGATGGACTACTGAATGTTTCTGAAAGAAGATTCACCAACAGGAAGATGAGCCTTCAGATCTCTGTGATTTGGTTTTACACTTACATGCTTGGGTCGACTCAAAATCCTAAATAGGTTACACAATCATATGATACCCCAACCAGAGCGGTCACGAGTTGGCCTAAAGGATATTTTACTTAGACCTTACCTGGCCTGAATTCCCCCAGGATTTTCCCTAGAAATAAAAATTGATGGGATTGAAGAGCCAACTAACAACATTCCTAATGTTTCCTGAGTTTTTGTCCAGTGTTAGACACTATCTTAGCACTTTACACGGGGACCTTCTTACTGCCCTATTTTATTATAAAGGAGATAGTGTTATTGTACCATGTTATAGAAAACTGAGGCTTGAAGAAGATATATATTTTACCCATGTTGGCATAGCTAGAAAGTAGAGAGTCTAGGTCCAGAACTGATGCTTAACCACTAGTGTTACTTCCTTTCTATACTACTTCTGCTCTTATATTGGGCTATCTTATTAACTGACTAATATAAGTAGTTGTCCAGAGCCTTCTAAAACTTTAGTTGATTTTGAGTAAGCTTTTACTTCCAAAGCTATGTTGTTGAGAGGGTATTGAGGCAGCATGATTCAGGGGAGTTGCTATATCTCTACTGATTGTTGGGTCATTTTTATTTACTCCAGGCCCAGAATATCCCATGTGCTGCCACAAAAAAGAGAAACAGCTTTAAAAATAGCTAGAAATATTGATATAGAAATAAATACAGACAGGAGATCACCTGTCTCACTTAGAAGATGAATTTTTCTGCAATCATAACTAAATCAGAGTCTGAAAACAATTTTAATGTAAATGTACATCTCTCAACTTTGTAATGCATAGCAACTGCTTGGACCCCTGGAACAAATCTTCTCTAATAGTCTGACTCTATAATCCACTGGGATTCTTTTTCTTGGTGTGTATCCTGCCCTGATACATCAGGGTTATCTGGAAATAAAACTAGATCAATGCACAGAAACTCTGGGTGAAAACCAGTGTCTCCATTTAATAGTTCTTGCCCTTTAAAAATTTCTATAACATGTAATGACACATCAATACTTCAATCATTTCACCAAATCTTGCAATAGATATTTGCATTTCCTAAAAAGCAGTACTTAAATTGTGTTATTCCTGAGCCTGAAACCATTGCCAATTTCTCAAATAAAAATAACAAATGAACAACTCTTTAAAAATAATTGTGTCTGAATTTTGGAGAGCTTGGAATTGTTGATACATTTTAAAAGGTGGTGATACCATACTAGTAATCAATATTCATAATAAATATTAATGAAAAATTATTGTATTATAACCTAAACTGTTATCATATGGAATTATGGTTTACTTTTTTTAGAATTGGCGAAAGTAATGGTTAGCAACAAGAGTAGTACTGGCCACTTAGGGAAGATTTGTAATTCCATGCAAGAAAGTTTTCGGTTTTATCAATGATGGTGCTAATGCCCTTAGTGAGTAGGCACTATGAATGCTAAGTGTTCTGCAAATGCACAAGTTGTCCCATACAACTTTTAAATATTTTCCCAGACACTTAAGTGCAGTCGTTAGGTAGAATCTTATCTTCTACTCTAGTTGTACAAATTGTTTTAATAAAATTACTTTCCTTTTTATTTCTTTTTTTTTCTTCATTTCCATAAAGTGCAGATATAATTTTCAATTGTTTGCCTTAGTAAACGTCGTCTTATTTCAGGTCCTCCCTGTGCTCACTCAAAAAGGGAGGGTGTTTAATTTTTATTTAACAAATATGTAATACCAAGGAAAAGATGAAAGATCCAATAATGTTTTTTGCAAACATTATTTCTTAAAATTATTAAAGCAATTACATTGATTTTTAAAAATTACATTGTTGGTATTTTTGTCATTGATTAATTTTATTTCAGAAAGTAAAGAGTATATTAGAAATTTTTTTTTTATAAAAAGTAGGGTTTTTAAATCTGATAGCCCTGAGATTTATAGGTTGAGAAATGAAGAAGGCATGTAGGGTAAAATTAACATAAGACAGAATCTGGAAAACTCCTAAACTAGAATGTGTCTCAAAAAGTGTTATTATGGCAACCTCTGAGGCATAAAAGTTGCCAGTGTTACGTTTAGTGCCTAGGTTTGGTTTAATAGCTTAACCTCAACTCTCTTACCGAGCCAGGGAGGTGAATGTTGATTTCAGTGATATTTTCAATAGCTTCTAAGAGTACAGTTTAGAATTGCTCAAGGAAAATTTTTTCATTGATATCTGTGCCAGGTTTTTGTTGTTTGGTAGTGGTGGTGGTTTCATGTCCTCTTCAATCTCTCTTAAAATTTAGTCATGACATTTCCAAATGAAACCCTAAAGTTAAAGCAACATCTAAGAAAATCAGTCTGGAAATCCTTGCTTTAACAGCTATAACTTCGAAGTATTTACCTCCCTTTGTATTTTAGTCCATCTGTGCTGTATGAGTGAAGTCTTGCCCAAAAATATGACCTTTGAATAAGCTTCAAATACTCAGTGGGCCAGTTGGAACAAATGTTCATGCACATCAAAGAACCCTTTTTTAAGAGAATGATCAGGATGAAGGCACATGTAACCATCCCTAGTGGGATTCTGTCCATCTTCTTAATAATTCAATCACCAGCATAATTATAAAGCTTAAAATGTATTCACCTTTGTGCCTTTTTAACTTATTAAACAAACATTGACATGTAGCTATATACTACAGAATTATCTTCAAAGAACATCTTTCTATCAGTTCTATTTTCTCTGAAGCCAAAGGATGATTAACGCAGATAAGATGTAACTCAAGAGAAATCTCATTAATTAAAACCCTAAATTGAACAGCATAAGATTGTTTCTAAATAGTAGCCTAATAGTAATCTTTCTACAGACAGAAATATGCATAAACATGAAATGTTCAATAACTTGTTGAATGAATGAGTGAAGTAACTAACACTATCTCTAGCGCTTTGCAAATACTAACTAAAACTTCATTTTGGAGATATGAATTAAACTAAAAACATAAAGAAGATTCTAAGTATGCTTTTTTTAGAAAGATCATAGTTAATATTATTAATGTAAATAATTGTAAAATTTAAGTGTATTTGGTGTTTTCTTTGTGTGCTAGAAACTATTATTCAGATTTTATATATATTAATTCACTTTATTCTCACAGATACTCTATGAAGTGAGTGTGCCATTTTACTAACTAAGGATATGTTAAGTGATTTGCTTTAGGTCACATATGAATTTGGAATGTGTTAAAATAGAAACTTTATTGATTGTGCTAAAGAGTGAGATCAGATGGATTGGTGAAAATGTAAAACTACAGATGAGGAATAGTTGAGATTCTTGAAGTAAGTACAAGCTAACTTAAGCAAAAAGCTGTGAAGTGTCCAGACTATCTTATGAACCCCAAGAGCAGGACAATGGACAGACTTGTGGAAGAACCAGAATCAAGAAGAGAGTTCTCAGGCACCCCACAGGATTTGTTCTGTTTTTGGTATCTGTCTCTTTCTGCTTGTCTGTGGCATACCTCTTTCTCTTTCTGCTCCCTTGTTCGTGTGACCACCCATGGCTTTCAACTCAATTTATTATAATTCCAATCTCAAGGTGCAATTAACATACTCTCAGTTCAAATTTTAAGTTCCTGGAGAAGATTCTTTAATTATCCAGATTGGATCAATTGACCAGGTCTGTTAAATTCAACTGCCTGCAACTGGAAGAGACTCTCTGTCTTGGGTCTTCAGCCACTTGCTGGGTGGCAGTAAGCCATGCAGAGCCAACATGGCTGCTGGGAGCCACTCTTGTGACCATTGGTGAAATAGTTTCCAGAATTGCCGGCAGACACTTTACTAGGCATCTCCCTCAAGAATGGTACACATAAGAGATTCAGTATTCAAGGGAGAGACTTCCTAGTGCAAAGATAAGTTCACCACTGGTCTACAGTGTGTGGAATCATTTTAGTGAATCTGGGGCAGATTGTCAGATTTTCTGGTCAGAAACTACATTTGATAAGCTTATTAATGTATAGTATTTCAGATTGTAGGGAGTTGACGTTAGACTAACTCACAGGAGGCAGCTAGAGAAAACAACAACAACACCAACAACTAAAATATTTTCCTCACTTTAATACAGTAAAAAATTAGCCTCAATCAAGATTCCTGATGACTGTAGACATAAGACCTCTCAGGAGGCCAAGTTACACATCATATGCTTGATAAAAGCAGGCACAATCACATCAGATAATCATTGCCAGGTGAATTATTATTCTTTTCCTAAGCAAAAAAAAAAAAAAAAAATCTATCTATCTATCTATCTATCTATCTATCTATCTATCTATCTATCTATCTATCTAGCTGGGCGCGGTGGCTCACGCCTGTAATCCCAGCACTTTGGGAGGCCGAGGCGGGTGGATCACAAGGTCAGGAGATCGAGACCATCCTGGCTAACATGGTGAAACCCCGTATCTACGAAAAATAGAAAAAATTAGCCAGGCGTGGTGGCGGGCGCCTGTAGTCCCAGCTATGTGGGAGGCTGAGGCAGGAGAATGGCATGAACCCGGGAGGCAGAGCTTGCAGTGAGCCGAGATCGCGCCACTGCACTCCAGCCTGGGCGACACAGCGAGACTCCATCTCAAGAAAAAATAAAAATAAAAATAAAATAAATAAATAAAGCAGATCTCTACAACCGGGGAGTAGTTGTCACTAAGTAGTGTAGGATAAACACTGAAAATTCTTCTTCTCCCTCTTGTACGCAGTTGGCCTTTTCTGAGTAACAATTGCTTCAATTACATTCCAGGCCTGAGGATGCCATTGTGATTCTATTGCAGTCTTTCCTAGGCTTCCTCAAAAAAATATTCATAAACAATATTGATATAAATAATTTTTCAGAGGGATCCTTTCATCTTCCTTATTTTGATTTTTTATCAGTTTGATCGTCAGAAAATGACCTTGTATGTTTGTGTGAGTGTGTGTGAGTGTGAAATATGAACTACAGCTTGATTACTAACAAGAACATTCTGTAAACAAAGACCTAAATAAATAAGAGATGGAGGCAAGAGTCAGAACTGGATGGGACCAGAATGAAAGAAAGAAGAAGTATAGTGGTAATAAATAAAGACAGCCCAAGACGTCTGCCACAAATACTACTAGTATCAGAGTTGTCAGCTAATGTGCAAACTAGTATGTCTGGAAGTGTCAGGCTGGATGAAAATAGAAGATCAAAATGTACCTATGTGAATACAGCATAATGTGAGATTGCCAAGAACCAATCCATTGGAATTATGAGGAAGCAATCACACACTATCTACCAAAATAGTTGAATTTGGTTGTACAAGTGGTATACTTCACAGATCTAAGGAACATTTCACATGTTAGTTAAAATAAATTTCTATATTTCTTATAAATTTATGGCAGATAATAAGGATATATCTTAAGGAAAAGGTGCCTTTTTCAAATTCACATAAAGTTGCTCTACCAGCTAAAGTAATACCAATTATCATTTTTGTATAGTTGGAATGCAAATGAGATTAAAGGCTACAAAGGAAACAGTTACCTTAATATCTGGTCAATGTTAACAACTGTATTTTTCAAGGATAGACCATATATCAATATACTAAGTACTGGGCAGGAAATCAGAAATTTAATTTTTGTCCAAAATCTATTCAGACCACCAAGTTATTTGTTATCCACCTAGCTGTGGTAACAGCAATTGGTACTTTTAGGATTTGAGTTAGATGGATTCTGAGGCTACAATTTGATTCACAATAGGTAAAATTTCTATGTTCATGATAAAAAATGTTTCCATCTTAGAACTTTACTTAAAAATTTAAAGAAACCCTCTATATTTCTCTCTCTCTTTCTCTCTCTCTCTCTGTCTGTCTTCTTGAGGTAAATTGGACATCCTGTGAGTTTTTAGGAATTCTTTGAATTTTCTTAAAATATGTGATTTTTGTGGTAGAGATTAAGGAGAGGAAGAGAGAACACAAGAGAACAACTTTAGCAATTGGGCTTGAGATGCTGGTGAAAGGAGGCAGAGGATGTCTCTATTAACAGTGCTTCAGTGACATATCACTGCTATTGCGAGGTTGAAGAACCAATGGTTTATTTTATACTTTCAAAGCCAAACTAAAGGTGAATGGAAACTCCTTCTGTCTTGGGCATATTCCCATCGGAGACAAGCAGCAGGTGTGAGAGCATGGGGCTACTGCTGTTGGCTGTTGATTACTCTCTGTGTAATTGGAAAAGCTCTCTATTCCCATAGCTTTATGTAATATATCAACAGTAATAGATTCATAATCATTATTCCATCTACTGGAGGTTTGGCCACTGTGACAGATGTCTTCTCAATTTCATGTTGTATGCTCTCAGTGTTCTCCCCTTTTCTGTGGAAAATATTTTACATAAAAGTTCAGCCTTAATGAATCTGCTAGGAGATTTTCATATGATGGTGACACTAGTTATCAATCTCAAACTTCAAATGAATAGTTAATCATAATGAGCCGATGCACAAGCACCAACTCAGCTTATTTTATTTCCACTAGATTTTATAGCAAAGACTACTAGATGATGCAGAGTTAAACTATGGGGTATGCCTTTGTTTTTAATATTTGAGATGATCAATTCTGGGCCTATGTATTTAAAGGCATTATCTTGTGTTAGAGTCTTGGAGATTTTATCTTAAATTTTATTGTGTCTCAGATTTTTGTCTTAGAGATATTCTGTCACAGGATGGAAAACATAGAGTATTTCTCTAATATCTTTGCTATGTCCAGCAGTCATCCCAAGACAGAAAAGGTTGTCTGTACTACCTGTGTACCATTGACGACTTTTGTAAGGGAAATTGACATCTGTTGTAAGGGAAATTCCAAATATACTCAACACACTTCATATTTTAAACTCTTATCCAGTGGACTTTCAGTGAATATATAAAAAAAGAACATCTATATTTCCCTGTGTTTATTTAGTTTCTTAAGAAACTCTCGAGTTTAAGACACACATATATTTACCATAAATATCCATAAAACTAATTAGGCTTGAAAAAATACCTTCAGGTTTCTGATATTAGTCTTATAATTGTCATTCTTTTAGCTCTGAATAAAAATTGTTATTATTTTTCAGTGTCTGCCACCTGGTTTGTTTCATCTAATTGCTGCCTCTGTTCTCATTTTCATTGTATTTTTTAAATAGAATTAACCCTTGAGCAAGGCAGGGGATAGGGGCACTGATCCCCTGCGCAGTCAAGAATCTGCATAAAACTTTTGACTCCCCAGAAACTTAACTACTAATAGCGTATTGTTGACCAGAAGCCTTACCAATAGCATAAACAGTTAACACATATTTTGTATGTTATATGTATAATATGCTGGATTTTTACAATAAAGTAAGCTGGAGAAAAAATGTTCTTAGGAAAGTCATAAGGAAGAGAAAATATATTTACTCTTATTTAGGTGGAAATGGATCATTATAAAAGTCTTCATCTTTGCCTTCGTCAAATGGGCTAAGGAGGAGCAGGAAGAGGAGTGATTGGTGTTGTTGTCTCAGGGATGACAGAGGCAGAAGAAAATCTGCATATAGTGGACCCATGCAGTTTACACCAGTGTTAAGGGTCAACTGCATATTGTACTAATTGCTTCTTTTAAATAGTTTTGAGAATCTTAGAAACGGGCTTGGGTAATCATAATGAGTATACACCCTACAGAGAGAGAGAAGGAGAGAGACATAAAGAAAGACCTCAACAGAAAGCAGGTCCTTTGCAAAGTTTTTTTTTTTTTTTTTTTTTGTCTTTGTAGTTTACCATCACATCACCTAGAAAGCAGGTTAAAAGCTTTAAAAAAAATGTCTCTCACTTGAGTTTGAATGCTTGTTAAAGCGCTTACAACATTGCTCCCCAATTTGCATGTTTTCTTATTGCTCTGACAGTCAGTGGGAGGTGAACTGGAAAGAACTGTAAAAAAATATATACACTTTGTATGGAAGAGTCTGAGATTTCCATAAGCATTTCAATTTTCTAACAACTGAGATCAATTTCTTATAATGACATTGAATAAAAAGCTGTTAATGTATCACTTGTAGGTTCTAAGCTGCCTATTCTATGAAGCATTTCTTACATTGATTTTCATTTCTTCTTTACCCCATTAGGAAGTATATTTAGTTGTATTAAAACTAATTTATTGAATGACACTAAAAATATGCCTAAATATGAAGATTACTTTTGTTTATGTATCAAAGGTCATGGTCTAATGGGAGAACCAGAAGCACCTTTCTGTTAAAAGACTGGATATACTCAGAAGATACCAAGGCCAGAGAAAATCATTTTCCATCAGTAGGTCAAAGGTAGCTTGCATAGTGGTTAAAACTATGAGCTTTGGCTATAAGACTCCCTGGTTGCAAATAGCAGTGTTCATTTAAATCCCATATGACCTTGGGCAGTTTACTTACTCTTTCCACAACTTGGTTTTCCTATATGTAAGGTGGATATAATAATAATACCTGCCGTTAGGGTGAGGGTTTAATGCAAACTTCTTAAACAGTAAGCTAAGCACTGAGGAGTGTTAGCTATGAGTTACTATATACCATAAGTGCAGACAGCATTTAGAAAAGTTAGACTTCATCCATTAGGAACTCGGATTAATTCCATTTTTTCTGGGGTAAAAGGAAGGGACTTATTTCCATTTGAAAGAATGTTCCAACAATAAACGTGTGCTAAAAAAAATAGAACAAAGAACTCTATCACCAAAAGGCTACAATGAAGTCTAAGTGGATAATCAGGGAACTTTTCTAACTGGGAGATTTGATGATTTTTCCCAAGTTTTGAGATTATTGAAGGGGGAAGTAAGAAGACTGCTAAGATAAACTGACAAGTAGGGAAAATAACTTGACAACAAATTCTCAAAGAAGAGTAAGAACAACTCTTTTCAAATTCCTTCCTCCAATGGGAATTTTAGCCAAACAGAAAGGATTGGTTCTGTCACAGTAGATCTGGAAATTTATTTAGTAAGATCTTGAGTTCCACCATGTTTGTTAAAATCTAGACACTATGCTCCTAATGACTGGAGGTGGTCAAATTCTGTCTGTTATCTGAAAGAAAACGGTCTTGATCGTAGCTTAACATGACCAGGCAGGTGACTTCTCAGGCCACAGAGAGTCAATTTTTAGTTGGATACCTAGAGTCCTGATTTCACAATCACCTTCTCCTTTTCCCTTTTCTACCTTTTCTTCAGGGTCCAGAGTCCATTCTGCTTTAACATTTTGTGATCAAAGTTCCATCCTAAAAAGAATACGTTAGACCTTTCCACTCTTCAAAAAAGACCAGCTACAAAATAAACAAATGTCTTATTGCTAATATTGAGTGCCTCTTCTGGCAAATTCCTGGTGCTTGAATATGACAAAGTAAAAGACATTCTCCATTATAACAGTGGGGATTCAAAGGAGCAAAGGCAAGAGAAAATCGTTTCCTGCCACAATTTAATAAATAAGTAGAAGAAGAAGTTCCCTAAAGTCATGTTCAACCCTGATATTTCCACAATTCTATAATTCCTCCCACTATATAGAAAAAAAATAGTCTTGTTTATGCTAAAGCCAGGACCTTCTGTTTAACCAGACAGTTTGCCTGGAAATAGTTGATAAATTTTAAAAAATCAATGTTTCAGACAAATTGAAAAAGACTTTCAGGTGATCTGTGAGTCTCAATAATAAAGAAATAGTGGTAAAGAGAAAAGAAGAGAGAAAAAGGAGAAGAATTAAAGAAAAGGAAATGAATACTAAAATAAACACTGCCTATTCAAAGTACAGAGAACTAACGTTGGTATATTTTAAGGTAATCTTTTTGTTTCACATAATTTAGGTATACTATTTGACACTGTATTTTTTCTAAATTGTATTGCAGTGATTTTTTTAAAGGAAACAAAATCTTTATTTTTTCCATCTTAGATTGAATAACGCAGTGTAATGGCTCAAAACATGAAATCTAATCTCACATGACCTCCAAGGTTTTTTTGATCTTTTCTCCTCAAGATGCTAAGAGTTTATGAAATGCTAAACATGCAACCCAAATCTGCCATGACCAAGTCAATTTCAGATTTCCATTGTTACCAAGCTTGTGTACTAGGTGGATATGGGCTTTGATGAGTGGTTTATAATTTATCTGGTTGTCTTTCTGTGCTTAATCCGTCTGTGGGAGTGACAGCTTGACATAATCACTAGCTTCAAATAAGTAATTCCATTCACTATCAGTTTTTAATTTTATTTCCTCATTCCGTTATTGATGCAGTAAAATGCTAGTTAATCTGCAGAGCCCAGGCAAACCCAGTGTTGTCAGTATTAATTTCACACTACTGCATCTTCATGTTTGGTCCTATATCATAATTAAATGAAATCATTATAAAGTTGAAATTAAGCTGCAAGTATAATCCTTGGTTTTAGTTTGCATGAGGCCAATAGATGATTCATAGCAGTCTTCATTAATTTCTTCACAAAGCCAAGGCCTTTCTCTTTAGTAAAATATGTAGCACAATATTTAGTCACATGCATTTCTTTGTTTCATATTTATGTCTCTTTTATTTCATAATGTGCAACATCCCCTAAAAAATACCTACCTTCTAGGCAGGTGGGAGTGATTCCTTTAACTTAATGAAGAAGACTTCCATTTGCTAAGAGCAGTGGTTCTCCGAATGTAGTCCCAAGAGGAGCAGCATCAAAATCACATGAGGTCTTGGAAAATGCAGATTCTACCAAATTAGAAACTCTGGGGGTGGAGCCCAGCAATCTGTGTTTTAAAAAGCTTTCTGGCCAGGCGTGGTGGCTCACTCCTGTTATCCCAGCACTTTGGGAGGCGGAGGTGGGTGGATCACGAGGTCAGGAGATCCAGACCATCCTGGCTAATGCAGTGAAACCCTGTCTCTACTAAAAATACAAAAAAAATCACCGGGTGTGGTGGCACACACCTGTAGTCCCAGCCACTCGGGAGGCTGAGGCAGGAGAATCACTTGAACCCGGGAGGCAGAGGTTGCAGTGAGCCAAAATCGTGCCACTGCATTCCAGCCTGGGTGACAGAGCGAGAATCCATCTCAAAAAAAAAAACAAACCCAAAAAAACAAAAACAAAAAAGGAACAAACTTTCTAAGTGTCTCTGATACATGCTTAAGTGTAAGAATGACTCTGTTGGAGTTTTTAAAGCATTTCACATGTTAAGTCTACTTCCACCCTCAGGACTGCCTGCAGAGTGGCATCATTAACCCCATTTCCTACATGAAGAAACGGGGGCTCAGAAAAGTTCAGGGACTTGCTTAATTTCACAAAAATGGCAAATCGTAGAGGCAGGAATCAAACCTGGAATTCTCTACAGTGTTTCTTCTACCACATTAATATATTTCAAAAATATTTCAAAGAAAATGTATTGTAGATACCTAGTATATACATTATTAAAAATCAGGTATTTCTTTTATTGAGATGAAGTTAAATGAGCAAACAAAGCCACATCCACTTGCTCTACCCTCCATCCCCTATATATACACACATTCTCATCTACTCCTGTGGTGGACTCAACCATTTGTTAGTAAATTTTTCAAACTATAATAGGCAGGCTCCACTTCAGATTCTGTCCACAGTGGTAAATGCCTTGAATGTCATGCTAAAGAATGTAAGCTTTACCTGTAGTTGAATGATTCCATCTTTCTGGGACATGGATCCTTTCCTATGGAGGGAGGACTGGAATTCTATAAAAGGTCCACCAATCCAAAAAGGGAAGCAAGCAGTGACTTTAGACAGGATGACTAATATCTCATTCAAATACATACTACAGCTCTTCAAGTGTCTAGTGATTAACAATATATATAATTACCTAAGAGTGCACTAAAAAAAATTTATATCATCATGGAATTTTTTCAAGCAACAAGTACTAAAATTTCAACTACTAGCATGTAGTCACCTGTAGAATTTTCTCATGTTGAAAGGGAAATTCAGACTCAAAGTTTGACAATTCGTGTCATTTAAGTCTCTCTTCTTGGTTTTCTATAATCTATTCACCACCATCTCCTACTGCCTTCCAAATTCAGGACTTAATTTGCCTTGACTATCAAAATAAATTGGATGACCAAATAATTTATGGGACATTTCTTAGAGTGAAAGAGGGCATTAATAATTACACTGGAGAGTTGCCGTAAGCCAAAGGAACTCTCAGCAAAGGGTGGGGGGATGTGGTGATTCCAGCAAGAACCACTCACTTCTCTCCTTCTAGCCTCTCTCTGTTCTTATCCAGAATACAAAGAGTTTGTTTGGTTCATACAAAATGCCAGTCATATTATTCCTCGGTTCAAAGCTCTCCTCATTCCCAGACACAGTAAAATTTAGGTGTTTTACTCAGCCACTTAAAATCCTGCAAGATTTCAACAATTTTATTTTAATCATTTTTTTCCAGTCAGGACCAGCTATGTAATTTTCCAGGCCCAGTGAAAAATGAAAATGCAGGGCTTCTTGCCAAAAAATTATTTAGAATTTTAATATAGTGGCAACAGAGAAATAAACCAAGCACAAAACTCTGTACAGCAGCATAGGCCATGCTTCCATGAAACCTGGCCTGGCATCCAATCAAACCAGACCATCCACTGGCCCCTTTCATGTCTGCGCTCTCCCACCTTGGCCCAGGGCCTCCTAGATGCCTTTTCTCTGATAGCTTTCCTTTGAAACTCAACTTGTATGTTTTAAAGTCCTGCTTAGAAGCTATTTCATCCTCCATAAACTCTATCTTGATTCTGTCAGCTCGAAATAATCATTTCTTCTTCCTTTGAAACCCCCAGTTCTATTTTATTTGCATATTTCTCTTAGGTCATGTTACATTTTTGACTATATTACTTTAATCATTATCACCATCTATTTTCCAGTTCAGTTTAGTTATATAAAGACAAAAAGAATTTCAAGAAAATTTGCTGAAAGCATTGGGAAATTTTTTAAACTCACTTCCTTTCTAAATATGTAGAATATTATTTGTTGATATTTTTAATCCCAAGTTTACCTTAACATTTTTCAACAGTGCCTAAGTATATTGGTTCATCCCCATTCAGGGGAAATTCTTCCATTTATACTTCAATAGATACCTATGCTACCTAAAATTTTCTTTGTTCTTGTTTCTTATGGAGAAGGGAAATGCTATTCACTAAGCACATATCAAACAAGTAATGGAGTAGGAATGTTTATAAAATTTATGGAATTTACTGTTTGCAAAATTTATGTGTTAATATGTCCATATTATAAATAATAAAACTAAGACTCAAGGGGTAAAGCTACCTGCTCAAAATCACTTTGCTGGTGGCAGAGTCAGGATTCAGAACAATATCTGCTTGTCTCCTGCACCTTCACCATACAACACTGCATTTCTAAGAGCAGTTTGTCAAATTATAGGCGGTGACAATCCATTCATTTGATCTTCAGTTTATGAATAGATGACAACAAACTGTTAGGGCCATTAAGTTAAGCGAATAGGAGACCATTGGCCCAAGGCTGACTCTGTATTTTGAGTGCCTATGTAAGAAACCACAACCTAACTTAGGAGTATATTTTTATAACAAACAGCTAAGTTTCAGCCAATCATAAACAGCTAAGCTTCAGCCAATCACAGACAGCCAATCAAGCACACCATGCCCAAATAAGGTAAACACCTGCCTGTGGGCAGTCAGATGATTTCTCTCCTTCACTTCCATGTTGGGCCAATAAAAGCTCACTGTTCATGCTGCTGGGCAAAGCTCTCTGAGCCTCTTCTGGTTCTGAATGCTACTTGATTCATAATTTGTTCTTTGCTCAAATAAACTCTGTTATATTTGTCTGAGGCTTTTCTTTTAACAGTGCCAAAGATAGGGCATTTTCACAGGGACGTCTATCTGGCTGCATCTTTTCCTTACATTTTGGGTAAAGAAACAAGGTATCCTCAGGATATGATCAGTACTGAGACCACTCTAGAAGATTGAGTAGCCTGGCAGGGGTTTTCAGGATACCCACAAAATTCTGACATTCTCTCCCTTCTGAATATAAATGGATGAATTAAAACTTTATGCTGATCCCAGTAATGCTCTGTAGCCTCTAAATATTTGTTGGCTAAAAGTGAATGAATGGGGATATTATAAAACTCCTGAATTTCCACAGCTGACTCTAATGAGAAACACACCTCTGCTAACAACTCCAGATGGAAATAAACATTCAGATTCCACAGAGTTCCTCCACCACCCATGGCCAGCCTCCTTAGGCAAGGAAAGTTTCTCTGTAGAACTCCCAAATCAAATCCTGATTACAATATATCCTTAGTTGTTGGGTCCTAGGTGATGTGAAAGATCTTGCCTCTAGACCAGAATTCATAATCCTGATTTTCCTAATAACTGCTCAGCCCCAAGAATTGCCCTCACAATCAATACATTATCATTTGCATTTCACAATTAAGAAATAGCTGAAGCTCAGGAGACAGGCAGAGAAAAATTTTTCAATAGTTGTAAGAGGTTCACTTTAGGGTAATTACTCTAAGGGTCTGAGGTCCCGGAGAAATGAGAACAGGTCAAAACAATCAGAGGAAAAGTTATGCTATACTGACTAATTAGAAACCTCTGTTTCTAAAATGAGGCGTCCTTGTGAGCTAAACAGTGCCCCCGGGGTGAATGGGGCTTTTAACTCATACTTCAGAGACCTGCCACTTTTTCTCTTTAGGTCCCAGGTTATCACAGAGCTTATCACTTATTTCTAAGGCAAATCACAAAGGCTCAGAAAAGTCAATGAGAGACCATTTACTCTCTAATTCTAACACTGATCCATTCTTTAAGATTCAGCTCCGAAGTCAAATTTCTCTGAAGTGTTCTCAGTTCACAAAGAAGAGATTGTAAAATGTTATAGGAGAAAAAGTTATGAATTTGGGAAATAGTTCAGATGTGGATCTACTTGCTGCTGACCTCAGGCACATTACTTAATTTCTCTTTGCCTCATATTTCTTCTATGATGATTCTCAGCCAATCAGACTTGTATGTGGTGGGTGTCTGGTTAATGAAAGTTGGGTTTCTTCTTATTGTGTCCCCATCATAACCAGTACCAACACTATAACACATCTTGGACTTTGCCTTAGAGTAGGGTTTGATATACATGACTTGTCTCCTCCTCTATGGTATAAACTGCTTTTCAAGAAGGGCATATGTATATCCCTGTGGGCCCAGTGTACCTTCCACAGCATATGTTCAGTGCATGCTCACAGCTAGGAATTAAATTAATTTTTATTTATAGAAAAAGAGTGAACTTTGCTTCAAAAGGCAAAGTAAATGATAATTAATGTAGACATTTCTCCAAACAAGACACACAAATGGCCAACAGGTATATGCAAATATGTTCAACATCACTTATCATCAGGGAAATACTAATCAAAACCACAATGAGATATTATTTTACACCTGTTAAGATGCCCATAATTAAACAAAAAAAAAAAACAAGAAAATAACAATGTTGGTGAAGATATGGAAAAGTTGGAACTTTTGTGCACTGTTGGTGGTAATGTGAAGTGATGTAACTTCTATGTAAAATAGTATGGAGGTTCCAGGAAAAATTAAAAATAGAACTACCATATGATCCAGCAATCCCACTTCTGGATATGTATCCAATTGAATTGAAAACAAGATCTCAACAAGGTATTTGCACCCACATCTTTATTTCAGCATTATTCATGATAGCTGAGAGTTGTAAACAACCTAATGTCTATCAATTGATGAGTGAATAAAGAAAATGTGGTGTATACACACATGGAATATTACTCAGCCTTAAAAAAGATGGATATTCCACAATACGTGATAACATGGATGAAACCTGAGAGCAGTATGTTAAGTGAAATTAAGCCAGGCACAGAAGGACAAATAGTACTGCATGATTCCATTTCTATGAAGTATCTAAAGTAGTCAACCTCATAGAAGCAAAAAGGAGATTGATGGTGTTGGAGGCTGGGAGAGGAAATGGAGACTTGCTGTTCAATGAATATAGAGTTTCAAGCATGCAAGAGGAAAGAGTTCTAGAGATCTGCCGTACAATATAGTTCATACAGTTAACAACAGTGTGCTGTACATGAAAAAAATGTCTTAAAAGGGTAGAGTTCATGTTATATGTTTTTACTACCATGAAAATAATAATCATTAATAATCTTTTTCTAATCATGATTCCTTGTAAATCTTTTTACATTGATTACTTTCTTAAAAAAAAACCTCGGAGGGGGGCCAAGATGGCCGATTAGAAGCGATTATGGTCTGCTGCACTCAAGGAGGGGAACAAAAGAGACTAGTGAATACAGCACCTTCAACTGAAATATCCAGGTAGTCACACTGGAACTGATCAGGGAAACAACTCAAACCACGGAAAATGAAGAAAAGCAGGGCGGGGCTATGGCCCACCCTGGAGCAACATGGAGCCAAGGGAACCTCCACACCCAGCCAAGGAAAGTGGTGAGTGATTGTGTGACCCTGGGAAACCACACTTCTTTCACAGATTTTTGCAATCCACGGATCAGGAGATCCCCTTGTGAGCCCACACCACCAGGGCATTGGGTGGGACACACAGAGCTGTGTGGAGTTTCAGCAGAGCAGCGGCTCAGGCACACACAGAGACCCAGGTGCTTTACATGCTCCAGCCCCTAGATGTGCAACAAACGTGTCTGCAACTCGACAAGGCAAGAGGTCTGCACATACCCCTAGGAAGTGGACAGAATCCAGAGAGCTGATCAGCCTTGTTCTGTGGGCCCCACTTCCAGGGCACCTCACAAGATGAGACCCACTGGCTTGGAATTCCAGTCAGCCACTGGCAATAGGGTGGAGCATGCCTGAGACTGAATGGAACCCCCAGGAGAATGGGTAGGCACCATCTCTGCTGTTTGATTGCCTCAGCCACTCCAGCCTGCAGGCTTTGGAGTGTCCAAATGGTCCAAATGAGGAAGGGTCCCCCAGCAGCTCAACACAGTGGCTTAGCCAGATCATGGCCTGACTGCTTCTCTAAGTGGGACCCAGATCCATTCCTTCTCACTGAGTGGTTCCTCCCAGCCAGGCCCACTGGCAGGTATTATTATGGACAGAGCTTTGATCTCTCCTTGGAACAAAGCGCTGGGGGGTGTGGAGGCCACCACCTGGGTTGGTTGGATGACTCAGTCATTCCAGCCTGCTGACTTTGGAAAGTCCAAGCTGACAGGCACAGAGGCCATTCCCTACCACAATATAGTTTTTGTCAAGGCATGGCCAGACTGCTTCTTTAAGAAATCTGCTTCTCTTCAGAGGATGGATCCTCCCAGCCAGGGGCTCCAGTCACCCTTGCCACTGTTATTTGAGGGGACAGAGCTCCAATTTCTCCCTGGGGTGGAGTGCCTCAGGGGTGGTGCAGGTGACCACCTTGGCTGTTCTGGCTCCTCAGCTGGTCCAGCCTGGGGGCCTTGGAGAGCCCAGACCAATGAGGGGCTGAAGGGGTCCCCAGCACAACACAGCTGCTCTACCGAAAAGCAGCCAGGCTGCTTCTTTAGGTAGGACCCTGATCACATTCCTCCTGACTGAATAAGACCTCCCAAATGGAGTCTCCAACCACTTCTTAAAGGTGCATTCCAGCTGGCGATAGGTCAGTATCCCCTGGGACGGAACTTCCAGAAGAAAAGGCAGGCTGCCGTCCCTGCTGTTTTACAGCCTTCATTGGTGATACCTCCAGGTATGGAAAGAACTGAGGTGGCTAGGGTCTGGAGCAGACCCCCAGGAAACCACAGCAGCCCCATGGAAGAGCGGCCAGATTGTTAAAAGAAAACAAAACAAACAGAAAACAACAACAACACAGAAAAACCACAAAAACCTCATCCAAAGGCCAGCAACCTCAAAGATTGAAGGTAGATAAGCCCACAATGATGAGAAAGAATCAATGCAAAAACAGTGACAACTCAAACAGCCAGAGTTCCCCTTTTCCACCAAATGACTGCAACACCTCTCCAGCAAGGGCTGAGAATTGGGCTGAGGTTGAAATGGCTGAAATGACAGACATAGAATTCAGAAGGCGGGTAATAACAAACGTCGCTGAGCTAAAGGAGCATGTTATAACCTAACGCACAGAAGCTAAGAATCATGATAAAACAATACAGAAGGTGACAGCCAAAATAACCAGTTTAGAGAGAGACATAACCAACCTGTGTAAGAGCTGAAAAACACACTACAAGAACTTCCCAATGCATTCACAAGGATTAATAGCAAAATAGACCAACAAGAGGAACAAATATCAGAGGTGGAAGACTGGCTTTCTGAATTATGACAGGCAGACAAGAGTAGAGAAAGAAGAATGAAAAGGAATGAAGAAAACCTCCAAGAAATATGAGATTATATAAAGAGACCAAATCTGTGATTCGGGTACCTGAAAGTGGAGGGGGAAGAATGGAAACAAGTTGGAAAACATACTTCAGGATATCATCCAGAAGAACTTCCCCAACTTAGCAAGATAGACTAACATTCAAATTCAGGAAATGCAGAGAACCCCAGTAAGATACTCCACAAGAAGATCATCCCCAAGACACATAATCATCAGATTCTCCAAGGTCAAGATGAAAAAAAAATCTTAAGGGCAGTCAGAGAGAAAGGCCAAGTCAGCTACAAAGGGAAGCCCATCAGGCTAACAGCAGGCCTCTCAGAGGAAACCCTACAAGTCAGAAGAGACTGGGGGCCAATATTGAATTTTTTAAAGAAAATAATTTTCAACCCAGAATTTCATATCTGGCCAAACTAAGCTTCGTAAATGAAGGAGAAATAAGATTCTTTTCAGACAAGCAAATACTGAGGGAATTTATTACCACCAGACCTCCCTTGCAAAAGTTCCTGAAGGAAGCACTAAATATGGAAGGGAAAAACCATAACCAGCCACTACAAAAACACACTGAAATACACAGACCAGAGACACTATGAAGCAACCACATAAACAAGTCTGAAAATAACCCGCTAGCATGACGATGACAGAATTAAATCCACATATAACAGTACTATATTTAAATGTAAATGGGCTAAATGCCTCAATTAAAAGACACAGAATGGTAAGCTGGATAAAGAGTCAAGACCCATTGGTATGCTGTCTTGAAGAGACCCATCTCACATGCAAAGACACACGTAGACTAAAAATAAACAGATGGAGGGAAAATTACCAAGCAAATGGAAAACAGAAAAAAGCAGGAGTTGCAATTCTAGTTTCTGACAAAACAGACTTTGAACCCACAAAGATCAGAAAAGGCAAAGAAGGCCATTACAAAATGGTAAAGGGTTCAATTCAACAAGAAGAGCTAACTATCCTAAATATATATTCACCCAATATAGAAGCATCCAGATTCATAAAGCAAGTGCTTAGAGAACTTCAGAGAGACTTAGAGTCCCATACAATGATAGTAGGAGACTTTAACACCTCACTGACAATATTAGATCAAGGAGACAGAAAATTAATGAAGATATTCAGGATCTGAACTCTGCTCTGGATCAAGTGGACCTGATAGATATTGGCAAAACTCTACACCCTAAAACAACAGAATATACATTCTTCTCCTTGCCACATGGCAGTTACTCTAAAATTGATCACATAATCAGAAATAAAGTAAAACACTTCTCACAAATGCAAAAGAACTGAAATCATAACAGTCTCTCAGACCACAGTGCAACCAAACTAGAACTCAAGATTAAGAAATTCACTCAAAACCACACGAGTACATGGAAATTGAACAACCTGCTCCTGAATCACTCTTGAGTAAATAACGAAATTAAGGCAGAAATCAAGAAGTTATTTGAAACTAATGAGAACAAAGAGACAATGTAGCAGAATCTCCAGAATACAGCTAAAGCAGTGCTAAGAGAAAAATTTATAGCACTAAATGCCCACATCGAAAAGCTAGAATGATCTCAAGTTAACAACATAAGATTACAACTAAAAGAACTAGAGAACCAAGAGCAAACAAATCCCAAAGCTAGAAGACAAGAACTAACCCAAATCAGAGCTGAACCAAAGGAAATGTAGACATAAAAAAAAAAAAAAATTCAAAAGGTCAACAAATCCAGAAGCTGGCTTTTTGAAAAAAATTAATAAAATAGATACACCACTAGCTAGACAAATAAGTAAGAAAAGAGAGAAGATTCAAGTAAACACAATCAGAAATGATAACAAGGATATCACCACTGACCGCACAGAAATACATACAACTGTCAGAGAACACTAAAGATACCTCTATGCACATAAACCAGAAAATCTAGAAGAAATGGACACATACACTCTCCCAAGACTGAACTAGAGGAAGTTGAATCCCTGAATAGGCCAGTAATAACAAGTTCTGAAATTGAGGCAGTTAATAAATAGCCTACCAACCAAAAAAAAAAAAAAGCCCAGGACAGACAAGGCAGATTCACAACTGAATTCTACCAGAGGTACAAAGAAGAGTCGATGTCATTTCCTACTGAAATTATTCCAAAAAATTGAAAAGGAGGGAATCCTTCCTAACTCATTCTATGAGGCCAGCATCACCCTGATACCAAAACCTGGCAGACATACAACAGAAAAATAAAACTTCAGGCCAATATCCTTGATGAAGATCAATGCAAAAATCCTCAACAAAATACTGGCAAACTAAATCCAGCAGCACATCAAAAAGCTTATTCACCAGGATCAAGTAGGCTTCATCCCCAAGATGCAAATTTGGTTCAACATACACAAATCAGTAAATGTGATTCATCACGTAAACTGAACTAAAGACAAAAACCACATGATTATCTCCATAGATTCAGAAAAGACCTTCAATGAAATCCAACATCCCTTCATGTTAAAAACTCTCAGTAAACCAGGTATTGAAGGAATATACTTCAAAATAATAAGAACTGTATATGGCAAACCCACAGCCAACATCATATTGAATAGGCAAAAGCTGGAAGCATTTCCCTTGAAAACCAGCATAAGACAAGGAAGCCTTCTCTCACCACTGCTATTCAACATAGTATTGGAAGTTCTGGTCAGGGCAATCAGGGAGAAGAAAGAAATAAAGTGTATTCAAATAGGAAGAGAGGAAGTCAAACAATCTTTGTTTGCAGGTGACATGATCCTATATCTAGAGAACCCCATAATTTCAGCCCAAAAGCTTCTTAAGCTAATAAACAACTTCAGCAAAGTCTCAGGATACTAAATCAATGTGCAAAAATCACCAGCATTCCTACATACTAATAACAGGCAAGCCGAGAGCCACATCATGAATGAACTCCCATTCACAATTGCCACAAAAAGAATAAAATACCTAGGAATAGAGCTAACAAGGGAAGTGAAGGACCCCTTCAAGGTGAACTACAAACCACTGCTCAAAGAAATCAGAGATGACAAAAACAAATGACAAAACATTCCATGCTCATGGATAGGAAGAATTAATATCATGAAAATGGCCATAGTGCCCAAAGCAATTTATAGATTCAATGCTAATCCCATTAAACCACCATTGACATTCTTTACAGAATTAGAAAAAAAAAACTCTTTTAAAATTTATATGGAACCAAAAAAGAGCCTGTATAGCCAAAACAATCCTAAGCAAAAAGAACACAGCTGCAGGCATCACACTACTTGACTTCAAACTATGCTACAGGGTTACAGTAACCAAAACAGCATGGTACTGGTACAAAAACAGACACATAGACAAATGGAACAGAATAGAGAACTCAGAAATAAGACTGCACACCTACAAGCATCTTATCTTCAACAAACCTGACAAAAACAAGCAATGAGGAAAGGATTCCCTATTTAATACATGGTGCTGGGATAACTGGCTAACCATATGCAGAAAATTGAAACTGGACCCCCTCCTTATACCATGTACAAAAATCAACTTGGGATGTATTAAAGGCTTAAATGTAAAACCCAAAACTATAAAAACCCTAGAAGAAAACCTGTGCAATACCATTCAGGACACAGGCATGGGCAAAGATTTTATGATGAAGATGCCAAAAGCAATTGCAACAAAAGCAAAAATTGGAAAATGGAATCTAATCAAACTAAAGAGCTTCTGCACAGTAATAAAAAAAATCATCATCAGAGTAAACAGAAAACCTACAGAATGGGCAAAAATTTTTGCAATCTGTCCATCTGAGAAAGGTCTAATATCCAGTGTCTATAAGGAACACTTAAATTAACAAGCAGTAAACAAACAACCCCATTAAAAAGTGGGCAAAGGACATGAACAGACATTTCTCAAAAGAAAACATACATGCAGTCAACAAACATGAAAAAA
The DNA here is from genome assembly GCF_000001405.40 of Homo sapiens. Taxonomy (NCBI): domain Eukaryota; kingdom Metazoa; phylum Chordata; class Mammalia; order Primates; family Hominidae; genus Homo; species Homo sapiens. The sequence continues at coordinate 91,809,871 of NC_000012.12, forward strand.
GCTCAACATTACTAATTATTAAAGAAATGCAAATCAAAACCACAGTGAGATACCATCTCACACCAGTCAGATGACTATTATTTAAAAGTCAAAAACAACAGATGGTAGCGAGGTTGTGGAGAGAAAGGAACACTTTGACACTGTTGGTGGGAGTGTAAATTAGTTCAACCATTGTGGAAGACAATGTGACTATTCCTCAAGACATATGGGCAGAAATACCATTTGACCCAGCAATCCCATTACTGGTTATATACCCAAAGGAATATAAATCTATTATAAAGACACATGCACACAGATATTCATTGCAGCACTATTCACAATAGCAAAGACATGGAATCAACCTAAATGCCCATAAATGATAGACTGGATTTAAAAAAATGTGGTATGTATACACCATGGAACACTATGCAGCCATAAACAGGAACAAGATCATGTCGTTTTCAGGGACATAGTTGGAGCTGGATGCCATTATCCTTAACAAACTAAAGCAGGAACAAAAAATAAAATACTGCATGTTCTCACTTGTAAGTGGGAGCTGAATGATGAAAACACATGGACACATGGAGGGTAACACACTCTGGGGCCTGTCAGAGGGTAGTGGGTGGGAGGATGGAGAGCATCCAGAAGAATAGCAAATGGATGCTGGGCTTAATACCTTGGTGATGGGATAATCTATGCAGCAAACTACCATGGCACATGTTTACCTTGTAACAAACCTGCACATCCTGCACACGTACCCCTGAACTTAAAAGTTGAAAAAAAATCTTAAAAAAGTAGAAACTCTTTTGTGCCTTGCTGTTTCACTACCCTGGGACTAAAGAAAGTGAAACTGTAGGCTTCTGTGATCCGACTTGCCTCTAGGACAGTGGTTCTTGACCTGAGCACCATAACAGTCCAACTTGGAGATGTGCAGAAAGTAAAACCATACAGCTGAGTAGGGGAGAGCCCAAGCTAAGAAGGCAAACCCCAATTTTATCTCGTAATGGCTGTTTTCCTTTGAGCAAATTTCCTGGGCTTTGGGTGAAAAATGAAAATAATAACAATGCTTCTCTCATAGCACTATTGTAACAATTAAATGAGATCATAAACACAAAGCACCTAACTCAGCCAATATAACTCCCACTGTTAATTTGTACTCAAAATCAGTAAAGAACCCAGGTTGCAAATATGTGTGTGTGCACTCATATATAATTGATTTATTTTAGACACATTATCCCTATGGCAGCATGACTGTTACTTTTCTGCTATGGTCCAAATAACTACTTCATAATTCATTTATTTTGTCAACTTTAATTTTTTTCAAAGTGGACCACTTTTCTCTAAGCTTGTCATCTACAAATTATGGGTGCTTTTAAGACAGATTACACATGTTTTTTTCTATTCTTAGCTCCTCTTGTCATCTGCACTCCAATGTGTAGTAGAATAGATTGTCTATTGTAGGCTTTCTGTAAAATATTTTCAAATGAATAAATAGCTACAAATTTAAATTTTGAAAAAAATGTAATGAAAATTTTTTATCAAAAGATAAAATGTGTTCATTTGTCTCCAAATATTTTAAGTTGAGCATACCTTAACTGAAATATCTATGTCACATTTTCCTTCTTAGGGAGCAATTGATGAGAGAGTTTCTATTTCATAAAATTGTTTAACAGTCAGGAGGATGCTGAAGGACTGACAGCTCACTTATTATGATTTCCTATTTTTTAAAATAGGAAACTAAAATCCAAATTGACCTAGAGAGTTGGCTTACCAAAGACTCAAGTCATGTTCATCAGGTTTCTGTACCAGGCTGCATTTAATCAAAATCTCTTGCTAGCTACAGAGCTACAGCCAAGATCATGGTTAATCTAACAGCTTCTAATGGATTTAAGAGTATTTGTGTTTATTGAGAAAGAAGTACATTAGCATTCACTCCATCATACCCTCTCAAAATCTCTTCCCCTCCTTTCAAAAGTACACACACACACACACACACACTTTTTACACGCTCAGCTAAGAGCCGCTTGTAAAATCCATCTGGCCACCAGGGGGCCACCAAGAGAATGAAAAACCAGAACAAACTCCTGCCTAAGAGATCCCCCTTATTTTGTCAAGAAAACAATTGTGTGGATTACTAGAATATAAAAAATATTGTCTTCCAGAAACTGGAATCTTTGTTTAAATGACAGCACTATAGCTGCTTAATGTCATTCTGCCGGTAAAATATAGTGTAGCCCACGAATTTAGATTCAATACATTTTCATTCACTAACTGAATTCAAATCGTCATTTTCTTTCAACAGTAACTGGATATTCTACAATTTTAAGAAATTACTATTCATTTTTATTAGATAAATTGTACTGGGGATAGTTTTTTTAAAGTTCTTAGCTTTTAGAAATATATTTTAACTATTTATTTATTCATAGGTTTGTGGCCTAGGAGCAATAAGCTATACCATATAGTCTAGGTGTGTAGTAGATAGACCATGTAGGTTTGTGTAAGTACAATCTGTGTTGTTCACCCAATGATGAAATCACCTAACAACACATTTCTCGGAACATATCCTTGTCATTAACATATCACCTTATGACTGCATTATAAGAATTTGGGGACATTAAAAATTATATAGAAATGAATGTATGTACACATAGCTACACTTATTTCCCCCAAGGTAGAATATTGTCGTGTTGGACCACTGCTGAAATAAGTGCTTTACATGCAAACTACAGGCAGATTCCTTCTTTCCTCCAAGTGCATCTGTGCCTTAAGGACTTCGAGTAGTGACTGTCAAACAGTATCCTGCCTCAGGGGATATCTGGCAATGTTTGGCAACATATTTGGTTGCTACAACTTGGAAGGAGGGTGCTGTTGGCATCTAGTGGGTAGAGGCCAGGGGTACTGCTAAACAATGTGCAGCACAACCTCCAAACACAGAATTATCCTGCTCAAATTATCAGTAGTACCAAGGTTGAGGAAGCCTGTCTTAGAGTCACATTATCTTAGATCTGGAAGGAGCCTTAGTTCCATACAATACCTTCATACTTGAGATCAGAAGGCAAGAAAGGTTTCTTTTTTTTTTTTCTCAATAAGTATAGAGTCCAACATTTCTGATACTGAATTAGGCCTGAGTCCCTGAAAATCCTGTTAAAAATAGCTCAAGGTAAATGTGTTTTCGTCAGATTTATATTTTGTGGTATATAGTGCTCTCAACTGAGAAGATTCCAAACTCAAAGATACCAGTGTGGTTAATTTTGGCCTCTCCCTTGTACAAAGTAAGTGCTCAGGAAAGTTGTTGAATCAAATCCAGGTAGTACTCACTACAATAAGAAACTTGATTTTTTTCCTCCAACAATTTGGATCAAAATTCATTGTCCGAATTTGATATGTTGAAAGAGATTGTTTTGGGGGGAAGATTTATGAATGTTCATGGTCATCTTTAAACATGGGAAATCAATTTAAAGATCCATTTTCAGCACTTTTAAGTTGTCTTCTCCCAGTATCATTCAAATCACATGGAGTCTCCATAGAGTTATAGAGTGGGATGGAGATAGCAAGGCTAACCTACATTAGGTAATGTTAAAGAAATAAACATATCTAAACATACCAACATGATAACATAACAAGGACATATAATTTCAATATATTAGTGATTTATATAGGCACTTCAAATGGTCTTGAAATAGAAAATCAAGCCCAAAACATCCCCAGTAGATGTATGGATCTGAGCATAGAAGTTCTAACAACTATCCACATCACAAAAACAGAGGTGACCGGCCATTACATGCCCCTTGTTGGAGGAACACATCACTTCCTTTGTATTTCTCCCCATCTCCCCAAAAAGAACTGGAACATTATCAAGCTATGTAACTACCGATTTACAAGAAACCCAGACTACAGGACGTTCTGTGGATCAAATGACCTATGTTCTACAACTAACAAATTGCAAAAAAGTTTGCAAAGAAATGAAGATGAGGAAGGATGTTTAGATGAAAGAGACTTAAATGACACATTAATCAAAAGCAGAGCCAGGCATGTAGCTCAAGCTTGTAATCCCAGTGACTCAGAAGGCTGAGGTGGGAGGATCACTTGAGGCCATGAGTTGGAGACCAGCTTGGGCAACATAGCAAGAACCGCCCCCCACATACTCTAAAATAAATAAATGAAAGCAGGCAAAACTAATCTTTAATGTTTAAAGGTGCACATTTGGGTGATAAAACTGTAAAGAAATGAAAGAAAATGATTAAAGTACAAAATAATAATGTCTTTTATGAAGGAAAAAGAGTGCCTTGATTGAGATAGGATACCTGAAGGATCGCTTGGTTCACAATCAAAAGTCTCTCTCTTCATCAGAGAGATATAGATGTTTAATAATTCACTAAGCTCACACTTTTTTTGCAGTTTCCTGTATATTTTATAATAAATGATACTCTAAATTTTACAATAAATATTTTATTAAAATTATATTTTATTATAAATAACTGTTTTACAAAAGCAAATGACTTCTGGTCTAACATTTACTCACATATCCCAGGTGATCTCACAGACTTGAGGGAATCACATACAAAAGTTCTACACAGTGCCCGCAGTGCCACAGAGTGGGCATTGCCCACCAATATTGGCATGATATAAGCAGAGTTTGAGTTAAATGTTCTTAAACCATACTTTTAACACAAACTTTTTCCTCATATTTGCAGTCTCTTAGTACTTTAACTGACACCAGCTGGGAAAAAAAATGACTTTCTAATATAAAAGGTAGTAGGTGTTCCCATAATTGTAGTGCTTAATTACTATTTCTACAACAGTTTACTACTATTGAAAACTCATATCTCTAATCCATCATGTATAATGATAAGTACGCATGTTTAGCAAAATTACATTAGCATTTCATTAAATATACAGAGTAAAATGGGTGACATTTCAAAAGCCCTAATGACTTGTCGTTTGCTGAAATTGTTGAAGCCAGCAACCCTGATCGCTTTGCTCATTTGTAGCCCAGTCTCGACTATCCATGGGTAGATTATCCATAGGAGACATTACATCAAAATTCACATTAACAGTCATCCTTTTGGTCTACAGATGTGAGTCCAGAAGGACACTTTAGAAAACATTTGTTCCGGTGCCTAATTTCACAGATGAGGACAGCAAAACTTGGAGAGGTTAAATGACTTGCCCAACGTCAATCACCTGATAAATGGTAAAATGATGGAACTAGAACCCAGGTTTGTTTAATGCCAGGACAGCATTTTTTCCATCAGCACCATTTGATCATTTGAATAATATATATACTTTATTATTTTTCAAGTCTTATAGAATTTAACCTGTTTCTAGGAAGTTTACCACACGTGTTACTTGTGATCCAGAAATAACTACCACCACCACTACTATGTAGAGAAACCTTGTGTTTGTGCTTCAGTGTAAAAATACACAGTCTCTAGCACAGCTCTCTCCCATTTTAAAGCTTTGATTCTATGGAATTTATTTTGCAATTCTATAAGTTGTAGATAACTGATAGCAGTGCAAAAATAAGTCTTGTCTCTAGACATTTAAGTTCTCTACAGTGGCCGTTCAATTGTTTCCCCATCTCCACTATGGAAGAAATCAGTTTTGCCTCCATTTTTACATCCATGTTAATATTCCAAATCTATAAATGTGTCTATTCTTAGGATTCTCTTTCGAACAGGTTATAATATCTGTTTGGTTATTTTACTGATTAATATGTTAAATAAAGTTTTTAACGTGTTCATTTTCAGCTGTATGAATGTCATGGTTTCCCTGTTTATTGAAATTATCTTTTAACGACAACTACTACTTCTTGAAACCACATTGTTAAACTAAGAAAAACAACCAGCAACTACTACTCCTATTTACTTGTACTAGCTCATCTGACTTCCACAAAAATCCTATGAGGTAGGTAAATCCTATTATGATTTCCCTTTCACAAATAAGGTGTCTGAGGCCCAGGGAGGTTAACAAAATTGCACATGGTAACACAACTGTTGTCAGACCTAGACCTTGATGCCCAGTTTCATCTGACTCCAGAACTCACGCTGTTACTCATAACACTGTATTGACTGTCAACACAACACCATTTTAAACCAAGTTATTCTGTCTGCTGGAGAATAGGAGCAGAAGTACTATTTAGAAAAAAGACCACTCAAGTAAAACTGATATTTGGAAACATTTATTATATGACTGCATTCATACCTATTCTGAAATATGAATCTGAATCTGGACAGGAAGGAGGGATCATCACAAGGCCAAGAGAATGAAGTTGAATCTATTTAGCTCTCCCTGAGTTTATTATGTTTCAATTATGATATTAAAGATATTTTAAATTCTTATACTATTACAACCTAAATAATATGGTGCAATAATACAAGAAAAAATATTATCTTAATGTCAATAGAAAAATGTGTTAAAATGTTTGCTATCAAGGGTTATTTCCTAATTTCCTTCATTATTCTTAAAAAACATAGTTGAACCATATCACCAAGTTCAATAAAATATAACCAAATTGTACACAGATCACATCTTTATTTATCCAACAGACACTTTCAAAACGTTATTTGTAAACATTTTCATACAAAAAAAGAGATGTAAATTTCTGACATTATTATTTATTTGTCCTTATTATTATTATTATTATTATTATTTTGATACAGAGTCTCACTCTGTCACCCAGGCTGGAGTGCAGTGGCGCGATCTCTGCTCACTGCAAGCTCCGCCTCCCAGGTTCATGCCATTCTCCTGCCTCAGCCTCCTGAGTAACTGGGATTACAGGTGCCCACCACCACACATGGCTAATTTTTTGTATTTTTAGTAGAGACGGGGTTTCACCCTGTTAGCCAGGATTGTCTTGATCTCCTGACCTTGTGATCTGCCTGCCTCAGCCTCCCAAAGTGCTGGGATTACAGGTGTGAGCCACCACACCAGGCCTGTCCTTATTAATTTTTATGATTGCTTGTGAATGAAAGCCCATCTTTTGGCTTTCCATTTTTGCATTTCTGAATGTTACCAAATTTCTCTATCCTCTGGATTTTCATGGTATTCTTTTTCATTGTTCTCTTTTGGAACTAATTACATTCCATCTTTATTTATTATCAGGGTCATTTTACCCTAAATCTTTGCCTTTAGGGCCATTAGCATAGGACTGCAAAGTAATATGGTAGTAAGTCATAGCTCCAAGTTTATCAAAACTATAACTGTCCACTGATGAAAACATTCCCCCATTGAGAATTAAGACCTGTACTTTGGCAGAACCTAAGTTCAAGGTAATGGAAAATGTAAATCTACAAGTGGGTTGGTCAGTAAGAATTATACTGAGAGGCTAATGATAATTTTCATTCATTGGTTCCAAAACTCATGTGTTCTAGCCCTTGAGTAAATACTTATTAGCCACAGGTTCAATGTGCACTTCACATTCTGCAAGACATTGTCCCTGAGCACGATTGGAGCATTTTCTAGGTCTGTCTCTTCAACCTCATATTCATTATTTATCAAGTGTGATGCATGCTGTCTCCAAAACTTTTCTCACACTTGACTCCACTAATACTGCTTTGTTTCAAGTCCTTTTCATCTCCTGCTTGACTTTTGCAATTGTTTTCTAACTGATCCTTTTGCTTTTTCTCTTTCATCCATTTTCAGTGGTGTCAGTAAGCATGATCCAAATGAAATGGACCTCCTGCCCTATTTCTAAACCTGCATTTGGAACTGCTTCCTATCCCTATTTACTTTTTACTGTATTACTCATTACTCCACCTACAGCTTCAGCTGACTCTTCGAACTTGACCACTGGCACCACCTTTTGCTTACTTTGGCTGCATTTTTCGAACTGTATTTTAAATCCTCCCTCTGGCAACACTGCCTTAAGCTATCTTGGTCCAGTCTACACCAGGACTAGGACAATGAGGTCTGGACTGGACTACTGTGGACAGTTCTCTTGCCAAATATGCCCTGGCCTGCCAAGAAAGACTTGGACTTTTCACCACTGAAATGGCTGTTTGTTATGCCATGGATGCTTTATATATGCAGTCTCTGTCTAAATGTCCTCCCTTGCTCCCTACTGGCAGGATTACCATTCAAGAATCTGCTAATGTATTGCCTTCTCTAATACATCTCCCCTAGGCACAATAAAAGTATTCATGCATTCTTATAATACTTGACACATAGCAGTCATAGTACCATTACTCTCAATGGCAAAACTGCAATTACTTTTGCACCACCTAATAAGATTTGTAAATGTTTATTACATGCTGGTCTGTGTTAATCACAGGTATTTCACTGGCATATGTGAATCAGTCAGCTCCCAAACTCTGGACTTCTTAAGGGGGGAAATCTATTCTCTTTTCCTTCAATGTCTTTCCTTCATTGTAGCCCAATTCAAGGCCATATAATTAGTGTTCATAAACACTGAACTAAATTAAATCAAATTGTTTGAGATATACTCAGTTTACCATCTTTTCTTAGACATAGTTAACAAAACAGTAATTTTTCCATATTATGCCACTTAACACATTCAAATTTCAAACTTAATTCTTGCCTGAGTCATTCTTCCAGATGACTGGGTTCAGTCATGCATAGCAATTCAATTTACCCTGATTTTAACCTCTTGTTACAATAATGGCTTCCAGGTCAACAGAAAGGACTTTAAAAGCTATTCCAGTAAGGATTGGTGAAGGTGAAGGGAGAGGAGAACAGGCAATAGCCCAATCATGTTTGGTACATGGCATGTTTGCTGTACTTTCTGTCGTGTGTGTGAGGAGCTCTGTTTAACTGACTTGAGGACTGAAGTACTGAACAAGCAAAGAATTGCTCAACTCCCTAGGTAGGTGGGTCTCAGTCAGTATTGAACAGGCAACCCTGTCATTTCAGTGTGATCTGTACTTGTTGGGAAATTGCTGTATGGTGTATGTACAACGTCTTTGCTGCTCACCAAGGTTGAAAACATTTAGTAGTCCACCCATGGGAAACTGAGAGTCTGTCTAGCCTCCAGCCATTGAAGCTTGAAACAAATTAAGTTCCCATCTCTCTCCTGGCTATTTGGGTTTGAACAATCTCTAAAGTGGTCTAGTAAACAGGCAGACAAGACTCCACTTGAGATGTAACCCTGTGTATAACCTAAAGCTAAGGAAAGTTTATGGAATCAACAGGCTGGGGCATGTTAGCTCTATAGTGAAAAATCAAAGAATTGCAATTTAGAGGTAGGGGTAGGGCAAGCCTGTGCTGTTGAATAAAAATGAATGCAATGTGTTTTGTTTTTTCAACATGTCTCAATGTGAGAAGGAGGTCAGAAAAGCTATGGGAGTGTTCAGAAAGTGATCTGTGTCACTGAAGTGTGGCAATGGGCCTGTGTAAATTAAAGATCTAAGCCAATGTGGAAAACACATTTTCAGCAGTAAATAATGTCATTTAAGGAGACTGATTGCCAAAGCAGCCTCATTGCCTAATGGGGGCCTAGTCTTTCATTCAACAAATATTTACTGCCTGGCCCTGGAGCTGGCACTGCAGTGCATTGGTAAGCAATAACCCCTGCCTTGTAGTTTTAATATTTTTATATAAGAGACTAATAAAAAACAAATACAAAGACTTTTTTTAAACCCTGCAATTTGGAATAAGGTCCTGAAAAGGGTGAAGGGAGTGCTGGCGTGCTGTTCTTTCAGCCACTTGGGCAAAATACGCAAGGATATTTCTATTCTGACCTATATTTGTAGAAAGTCTCTCCCCAAAACAATGATCTAGGCACACACACACACACACACACACACACACACACACACCCCAAACCCTAATTCTTGTGATGCCTCAATTCAGATCTGTCCCAGCCATGAATTTTGATTGCTCTGCACTTTCCCATCAGTCAACATGAAAGACTAGAAGGCCTGAATTATATTCATAAAGGACGCAATTGCTTATGGAAATATGACTCTAAGCTTAGAGTTTAGAAGTTTAAATTGCCCAGATCAAGATCATATAAATTACATAAAATAAATGACAGACCCGTTTTTCCATTTCATTTAGTCTAGATACCTATGGATCCTGCTTGTTTAATATGTAGTAATTATAATGTCACCTTCACACAAAATGCAGTAACTCTGTTAACAGTCTAAAAGAAAAAAAAAAATCATATAGGGGAAGAATTGTAGAGCAGCTGCCAAGAAGCTAAAAACAACAAAATTATCATTAAAAGATAGACTTAACAGTACCACATGGCAGAATTAATCTCTCCTGACCTAATGACCCACGTATTATGTTACCGAAATGGCATTTTTCAGAGGAAACATTTCTGCCCATCCTCTCACCCAGAACAAAAGCCTAATAAAATTTAGATTTTGAAGAGTTGGGTGCCTAGCTCTGTGGTACACATTCTGTAATTGTTTATGCGTATTTATCAATCAGATTGTAAATATTTCAAACGCAGACATCCATTCAAAGTCTTATTTTTATGTATCACAAGTATATACAGTCAGGTTCATTGTGCCTTTAATTCCTTCAGCTCTCTTATTTAGTTATTCATTCATTTATTTCAACAAATAATAAACATCTGTGAACACTATACCCAGGCCAAGAGCTAGAATACTGGCAACTGGTTGCAGGTATCTGGGTTCCTTCCCATCCTGTTTTTGGGCGGAAGTTTCCAATACAAGCTATCCATCATTCTGCCTTTTGTATTTTTATTTTTTGTGTGTTATGGACTGAATGTTTGTGTCTCCCCAAGGTTCATATGATGAAACCCTATCCCCTGATGTGACGATATGTAGTGGGAAGCCTTTAGAAGGTACTAATAATTAGGATTAAATGAGGTCATGAGGGTGGAGCCTCTTAGAAGGGATTAGTGCCCTTCTAAGAGTCACAAGAGAGCTTGCTTCCCCGCTCTGCTCTACACTGTGTAAGGATACAATTCAAAGTTGGCTGCCTGTGATCTGGAAGAGGGCCTTCACCAGAACCGGACCATGCTGGCAATCTGATCTTGGACTTTCAGCCTCCAGAACTGTGAGAAATAAATGTCTATTGTTTGTAAGCCACTTGGTCCATGGTATTTTTGTTACAATAGTACAAGCTGATGAGGACACCTTGCTTTTTTTTTTTTTTTTTTTTTTTTTGAGACAGAGTCTCTGCTCTGTCACCCAAGCTGGAGTGGAGTGGCACGATCTCGGCTCACTGCAACCTCCATCTCCTAGGTTCAAGCAATTCTCCTGCCTCAGCCTCCCAAGTAGCTGGGACCACAGGTGCACACCACCACACCCAGCTAAATTTTGTATTTTTAATGGAGACAGGGTTTCACCATGTTTGCCAGACTGGTCTCGAACTCCTCACCTCAGAAGATCCGTCCACCTCAGCCTCCCAAAGTGCTGGGATTACAGGTGTGAGCCACCGTCCAAGCGACACCTTGTTTTTTGATAATAGTTGTATTACACATAGCATATATTTAGTAATATTTTTTATACTGAGCTTTTATTTTCATTTTTCTAAAAAAAGGCTATTATGTTATATACAGATTCTGGGATTTTTTTTTTTTTTTGTCACTCAGTAGTAGCTGTGATTCATCCATGTTATACAAGTTGTGATTTATTCGTTTTCACTACTGTGTAATGGCACATTTATGATCTTTTTAATCCACTTTATCCATTCTCCTCTTGTGTGTTTTGTTGTTGTTGTTTGTTTTGTTTTTTTCCAGACAGAGTCTCACTCTGGACAGGCTGGAGTGCAGTGGCAAGATCTCGGCTTATGGCAACCTCTGCCTTTCAGGTTCAAATGACTTTCATGCTTCAGCCTCCCAAGTAGCTGGGATTACAGGTGTGTGCCACTATGCCTGGCTAATTTTTTTATATTTTTAAGTAGAAAAATACAACAAATTTCATAGCATTGGGTTTTGTCATGTTGGCTAGACTGGTCTCAAACTCCTGGCCTCAAGTGATCTGCCCACCTCACCCTCTCAAAGGGGTGGGATTACAGGCATGAGCAACCGTGCCTGGCCCTCTTTGTGGTTATTTGCATTTAATACAGATTTTTAAACTTTTGTTTCTTTTTGCAATTATAAACAGTGCTGCTCTAAACATCCTTATATATGTCTCTCAGTGCACATAAACAAACATGTCACATGAATTTATATCTAGGAGAGGAACCAATAGGTCGCAGGACATATGAATATTCACTTTTACAAGATAATGCTAGATTGCTTTTCAAAGCAATTGTACCATTTTATCCCCACAACGATGTAAAAGATTTATTGATTAGCATTGCTCCAGCAATTGTTATCAAACTTTTAATTATTTTGATTGAATGGATGTAAAATGGCATTTTCTTGTTGTCATGATTTATAGTGACCTGATTACTAATTAAGTTAACTATCTTCATATACTTGTTGTCTAATGGCTTTCCGGTAGGTTTGTTAGACAATTGTACTAAGCAGTCTAATGGTAATTGATTCTGGATAGGAAAGTGTTTCTAGACAAACACTCTCTAAATTAATTTAGTTTCAGAATGCTAGCTTTTTCATAAATAATACATTTATAGATATTCTATTCATATTGTTTGACCTATATGGCTAATCTGTTTTTGCCTTAGCTGTGGACCTACAGTTTTACCACCTAATAACTCCAGAAATTTCAGAGCAAAAGTTGGTGAATCTCAAAGGCAAGGGATGTTTTCTGAATGTTGCAGATTCTTTAATTTATATACATATATTAATTTCAACTTGTTGGAGGTTTAACCTCCTGGGAAAATGAAACTCTTCATTTGGACTTGAATTGTATTAGACCTAGGATCTGTTCTTTGGGTAGGTATAGATTATTTTATGCTTTAAAATGCCTCGATGTTTCTTTGGGGACTAAAATACACAGATCAAAGTTAAAGACTGTAAGAAAGATAATTTTCTTTTTTTTTTCTGTTATATAGGGATTCATTTCATTTTATTTTTTAAAAAATGCAAGTTGTATACAAACTCCTTGGGAAGCTATAAATCACTGTTCTACTGAGATTGTCATACGTAGGGGTAACAGGCACCATCTGCAATTCATCTCATAGACTCCATTTGAAAATACCAATTTTTCTTCAGTCTGTCTGAAGGGATTGTGAGGGATGGTCTGACAAGGAAGACAACCAGGTCTTCCTTTGGGTATCCAAATACTAACAAAATATCCAATCTTTGCTAGGTATTAGAAAAGGGAGAACAGAAAGTTATCCCAGAAAGCCAAAATCATAAGAATACAAATTTAAAAGCCAGGATCACAGAATTATGACATACAAGGTGTCTCCAGTCTAAATTCTAGAGATGCAAATTTTCTAGAAAACCCATGGCACTTCTCCAGGTAAAATGATGATGATGCATTCATATCTTGCATGATGATATAGCCCCACTGGGAGAAAAGGTAGAAATTATGTAGTGAAAACTCAGTTACTAGCCTCTCAAAACAAAGAGACTTTCTTTTCATAATTAGAATTTGTTCTTATTTTTGGCAAAAAATTAGAGATAGATTTGTTTTTGGAACTCAAATGTCATTCGCTATGTACCAATCAGCACCGAATTGTATGGTTGCTTTTCAGAAGAAAACATAGTTCATATTCCAGTTGCAAATACCATCTCCTCACAGATGAACTTAAAGTCAGTTTGAACAATAAATAATCTTTTGATTTATTACACCTTTCATTTTATGATTTCTAATAGCTGCACAAAAATAAGTCGACCTGTGTTATTTAGTTGAATATCTTGTTTCTTCATTTTCACCAGTGTAGGCTTTTGTGATTATTTCTAGTGTAAGTACACATTGTCATCCATAGATAGAAATTAACTGTTTTGTAAATTAATTCTCACAAAATAGTTATAGTATACACTTTTATTTAAAGTGTCCACTATTAATGTGCAACTTGCTTTAAGTCATCTTTAATGTAAACTGTAAGCTTTCTTCAATAGATGCAAAAGATATCCACAATAGTGCCACAGTGGTAGATGATTTGAACAGGAATGAAGAGAAACAGAATGGAATGTAAGTTGCTAGTCACAGTGACTAGTGGAGATTCAGCAATGGGGTGGTGCCCAGTGGTCACTATCCAAACCACTTTCAGTAAAATCACATCCAAAGAATCAAACAACATGCCTGACAAATGGTCTGTGGGAAGGGATGCAGCAGGTACTCAGTGAATTCTGACTTTGAGTTAGATTATATATCCCTTAGCTTTCCACTTTCTAGGGTAAAATAGCACTCTGGCAGGTTTTAACCAATCAACCAACAAATGTGTATTGAGTATCTACAATGTACCTGGTATTTTGAGGGAAACAGACAAACACATCTTATTCTCAAAGAACTCACAATTTATATGAAAAAGCATGATTTTAAGTATATAGTTAATCATTTTAACTTTTAAAACAATTTTGTGCATTCCTTTTCTTTTTTCTTATCTTGTCATTCAACAAACATGCTTTTTACATATTCAATACAGAAAATACAAGAAGTCCCATAGGGGACAAAAATATAAGTGATATAATTTCTCTCTCCTTAAAAAAGTTTAATGTCTACTAGGGAAGGTAAATATAGTCATACAGGTAACCACGATGATAGCACTGAATTTGGGGTTAGATAAAGTGTGCTGATACATTTAAAATGCTTAGTGTTTGACACATAGAAAAATTCATGAATTATTTATTATTATTATCTTGTTAGTATTATAGCTGAGTCTGCACAGATGTGTAGGGATTTGTCAAATGGAGAAGAGAAAGAAGGGTATGACTTCTTCTACATATACATTAACCTCCTTAACTCTGTGTGTTTACAGCCTCCTCCTTTCTCCTAAACTTCAGATCTACATTCTCAGCTTTTTATGGACTCTCTCCTTGGATGACAGCATGCAGGCTATAGTTTAAGGGGAGGCAAGAGAGGGATTAGGCAATTAACAGCACATACAAAGAGAAGACCCAGGATGCTTGAAAATTCCCTAAATGTCAAGGATAATAGAAGACAGAAAAATCAAAGAAGAAAACAGAGCAAAGGCGTTCAGGGATAGTAAAATATCACAGATGCCAGAGTGAAGGCAGAGGGTTAGGGCAGAATGGAGGCATTTATACAGTCAGATGGCTTCCTACATATAAAGGAATGAGCTTTTTCCTCCCTACTTTGAAGTATATCCAAACATAAGTTTGATATTTTCTGAAAATCTCTGCAGCTCAAACATGTACAATAATAAAGTATCTTTTTACCCCAATCTCTTCTAAACCTAGGACATTTAATCATTTGTGGAACTTGTGGGATTATTTTAGATACACTTCTCATCAGCACCAGCAGCCATTGTGCAGTGATTTAAATTTTGCAAAGAAAATCAACAGCTGGTGAGGGCATTGCTGCTTATATTGCAAAGCTGTGCCATCTGTTTATGCAGTGCAATTTGCAAGATTTCTTAGATGACATATTTCATGATCATTTCATATGTGGAGCTCATGTTAAATCCTTCTAGTAGTGTCCTTGGAGGAATCAAAATTGGCATTTATTATGGCTTTAAAAAGGACCCCATCCAATAAGAGATATTGCTGTATATCACTGAAATTAAAAGAACAATACTGCACATAAATATCCACAATATACAGGCAGAATTCTTGATGCTGAGAGCTGTTAGCATAAAATCACATAACCAGGGACATTTCAGATTCATGGTCTCCAATCTCAGTTGTTGCCAGGCTACATTTCTCTTGACTCCTCCTCCCTCACCCTTAGTTATGGATGTTATATTCTATTTGATTAAAATGAGACCATAGAACAAAAGTTCCTTCCACCTTTATCTCCTAGTGCTTTGAGTACATTTTAATCACCACATTCTCCCAGAATCTCCTCCTGTCTTTGTGAAAGGGGATTTTCTCTTTCTACTCCAAGTTCTTTCACCTGTGAATTCCAATTTCTCTTTTGAGACTTTATTTCGTCAGGTACTCTGTCTTTTCTCCCCCAGTCCTCTTCTTCTTTTTTTCTTTTGCTTCCTCTCTCTCTCCTTAGGATTCTGTCTCTCACACACACTCTTCTTTTCTTTTCTTTCTCTCTTCTGGATCTTTTCTTAAAATTTATGTACATGTTTGAGTATATATGCATAGTTCAATAAAGAAATGCCTTTCAAGGACACCATATTCCCCTCTACCTCTACTTTTTTACTGTCGAGCTTCTTAAAAAATTTCCTGCTACGTGCTATCTGTACTTCATAATAAGCAATTTACTCCTCACCGTGCTGTGATCTGCCTTTTGTTCTCTAGTTCCACTGCAACTGTTCTTGCAAAGGTCACTAAGGACTTTTGTATTTCCAAAGACAATGGATAAATCTCAGTTCTTATCTGACATGACTGCAGCAGTTGCCCATCTGATTATTCTCTCTCCATTCTGAAAACATCTGCCCTCTTTGTATCTATGAAACATCACACCTCTTGGTGCTGTGTAACTTCATAGAGGTCAGGCCCTCTTGGGTTGAATTTGGCTTGATTTTCTTCTCCCTGCCTTAGTTAGACTAGTACACTGACTCTAGACTGGATTCAACAACTCGTTAATTCTGTTTTGTGCTTCCACCCAGAGCTGTCAATCTATTCAGTGTTCTTCAACCCCAATTATTATGATCTGAACTCCTTTTACCAAAGGCATATAAACAATGCAGGCCAGACACTTTGCTAGGGAGAGATATAAAAAAGAACATGAGAATTTCTCTGTGTTCTGCAAATGGTGATGTGGAATTAAGTATTCTCTATAAGTAATTTAGATGTGCTACTTGTTTGGTTCTCCATTCAAAGTCAGTAGTGGGAAAATGATGATTAATTTGGTGCATTGGGTGGGGAGGAGAGTGGCTAATAACACGTGGTTTGTTATTGTTGGTATACAGGTTTCAAAGCAAGGCATAGTGAGAGGTGAAGATGGACAGGTAGAAAGTCTAACCGTGAAGAGCCTTGTATGTTATGACAGTGTGTTCTATTCATTAAAGGCAAAGAAAAACTATGGAAGTTGTAAAAAGACATATGGTATATGTCATACTCAGAGGTTTTAAATCATTAGTTCTGAGATTCAGTTCAGAGAAAAGCTTTCCCATGCTTCTAAAGAAAATCACCATTTGAGAATCATTATGCTAAGAAGTTTGGATTCGAGGGGAAATTATATAACTAGATAATTGACATAATTAAAAACTCATGATGCAACGTGGCCGCTTCTTTCCACATAGTTTCTATCTCCACTCTCTACAGGTTGCCACCATCAAATAGAGACTCTTTCATTTCCCTTCAACTGGATTTACAACCTATCTTACCTGGATCCATCCTTTTCTATTTCCCCTCATGTAGCTATAGAATCAGTGTCCCTTTCCTAAGACTCATCCCTCTGCCTGTGTGTGCATGCCATTCCTTCTCCCTCCTTCAGAGACCTCTTTTCTTTGGTAATAACTTCTTATGCATGGTTCTTCAAATTATCTCTCATTTTTCTATTAGATCTTTCTTATCGGCATTCAAAGGCCTAGCAACCCTAGTAACCTTTAAAAACAAACAAAAGTTCCATGACCTGATAACTCTCTTCAGTTACCATCCTTTCTCTTGCCTATCTTTCCCAGCCAAATGCCTGGAAAAGATGCCTACTTCCTGTCTCCTATTAACTCTCTTACTACTTCCATTCTGACTTCTCTTATTTTGCTACTACAACTTCTCTTGCTAAGCTCACAATGACCAATCTATGACTAAGCATAGCAGATACTTCTTAGACAGTTTGGACATCTCAGAAGTATTCAACATAACTTACCATGATTCTCTCTTTGAAAGAAACTCTTTATTTTTGGCATATATGATTCCACCTTTTGCTAGTTTTCCTCTTACTTCTTTAGTCTCTCCTTGTCAAGAAGCTCTTTTGGTTCATCCTTCCCTACTTAACCTCTATTTGTTAGAATTCCCGATAGCTCCACCCTGGACACTCTTTCTTCTCATTCTTTATTGTAAATTCAGACTTATATATATAACTGCAATCTCAAACCTAACTCTTCTTGCTCATCTTTTCAGCATGCTTCTTTACCCACTTTGCTTCATGATGCAAAAGCCAGGATATTTTAAAAGCCCCAACGCCACTTTATTTACCAGTTGATGTCTATTTTAATACCTAAATGTGTCTTAAATATATCCACTTCCCTGTGATACCACAGTCACCTTACAGTCTAAGCTAACATCTTGTCTTGGCTGGAATACTGAGCCATAAAATTCCCCCACTTCCTATCCAGATCTACTATTTTAAAATGCAGCCAGAATGATTCCCATAAGCTACAATTGGATTCTGTCACATTCCTACTTAAAATTCTAAGACAGCTTCCCATGGCACTGGAGATGAAATCCAACATCTTTTATATGGCCTATTACCCTGTATCATCTAGACTACATCTCCCTCTCCAGTCTCATTGCATTCCATTTTTTCCCGTCACTTGCTATACAACAGTTGCACAGGTTTTTTTCTCTGCTCCTTAAACACACCAAGTTCTTTACCACTTTTAGGATCTTCATGTGGAGGCTACTCCTGTCTGAAAAGCTCCACCTGCCTCTCCTATCTTCATACTGCCCCTCCAACCTTCTCCTCATGTTTTGCATTATTAACCTCTCTTCCTGCTTCAGGACACAGTTTAAATGTTACCATGTCTGCAGGGTTTTTTGTCTTGACTCCCCTTGCTATCTATGTAAGGGCCTAATTATAATCTCTCAACACACTCATTGCTTTTTCTTTGTGCTCCTTATTGCAGCTTATTGCTAAACATTAATTTCTGTGGTTGTTTAATAGGTCTTTCTCTCATCATACTATGTGCCTCATGAGACCAGAGAACCAAATATCTCATTTGTTTATATCCTACCCTCAGCATAGCACAGGATTTAACATACAGTAATTACCAATACATATGAGATAGACATTCAGAGGTGTTAAGCTAACTGCCATGGTAAGACTTAAATTTCAAGGGATCCAGGTAGTGACATTGAGGAGAATGCAATAGAAAAGGGCAACCCTCCTAGTAAGGGGAGGATTTTAAGAAGCTATTGTAGCCATCTGAGCAAGATATAAAGAGAAGTTGAGCCAGAAAAATGCCCACAGAAATGGGAAAGAAATGACAGATTTTTAAAGATGGTTAGGAGATATTGTGAACAGGGCTTGATGAGCAACTTAATGTGGTTTTATAATGAGAGAAAGGAGCCAGAATGACTTCCAGATTTATGGTGTGAACAACAGAGAACTATGATGCTATTAATAAGGTCAATGGCATACAAAAAGAAGAGAATTTTGAGAGAAGTGGATGGGGATGGTTTCAGATGTGTTGAGTTGAAGTCCCTGTGATACATACAAGCAAAGATGTCTGGTTGGCATTTAGATACACATCAGGATGGACTGGAAGTTTTCTAAGTATGAGTGCCACTGGGAGCAATGAGAGAGAATGAAATATTTCTTAGGGAAAGAGAACAGTGTTTAAGAGCAGTAAAGAAAATTATAATATTATCTAGGAATACCTTCTAGAAACCTATGAAGTTGTAAGCTTTTTAAAAAGTAAACATACTCAGACAAAAATAAGAGGAATACAACAGTGACAAAAGATGCCAACACAATTTACAGATGTATTGAGGCATAATAAATAATTTTAAGTAGGAAAGTCAAATTTGCCAATGAGATAAAAATCAATTGAACCTCCAAAAGTTTTAAAAAATTTATGCAGAAGTCAAAGATAAAGGGTAGGGCTGGAAACCAGATTGTTAGCTAAAATTTTAAGGTTCTCAGACTCATAACCAGATAAATACTTCTCTTTGGCCTAGGTAAGAGAACAGTATTTATTGATTTATTTATTTATTTTTGAGACAGTCTCACTCTGCTGCCCAGGCTGGGATGCAGTGGTACAGTCTCAGCTCACTGCAACTTCCCCCTCTCGAGTTCAAGCAATTCTCCAGCCTCAGCCACCCAGGTAGCTGGGATTACAGGTGTGCGCCACCATGTCTAGCTAATTTTTGTGGTTTTTAGTAGAGACGGGGTTTCCTCATGTTGGCCAGGCTGGTCTTGAACTCCTGACCTCAAGTCAAGTGATTTGCCCACTTTGGCCTCCCAAAGTTCTGGCATTACAGGTGTGAGCCACCGTGCCTGGACAAGAGCAGTTTTTAGTCTTTAAAACGACTGAGCCAGAGACATTATGGGTCATGGGACAAAAGGTATGGCAGAAAGCAAGTGTAAGTATGCAACCTGAACCAAAGGGAAACTAATAAGTCTATAGGTTTAACTAGAGACCACCAGCTGCCTTTTTCGGCTCAACACCCAAATACAACCAGATTTACGTATCTGAAAAGACTTGTAGGTACTGAGTTTTGAGGACTATATGATGAAATGGTATCGTCCTCAATTGATCAGCACAGAGTGAAGCCCAGTGTTCAACAAGCCATGCCCCAATATAGAAAGTGTTCATTATTCCAATATTGTTAGATACCTAAGGAACAACAAACGTAAGAGAGTATACAACATGAAAAAATCAATTATAAAAGGGGTAAAAAATATTGTTAAAAAACTATGACTGACATGCTCAAGGTGATAAAAAAAGATAACTGCATTCTTAAAACACCACATTCTTAAAACATACCATTAAAAAAAAGTACTGAACCATAAAAAGAAAAATTTGGAGAATAAGAAAAACTTTTTAGAAATTAAATTACATAGATAAAATTAAAACTGTTATAAAATAATTGAAGATAAAGTCAGGGAACAAATGAAAAGAGAAAAATATAAAAATAGGAGAAAAATAATCAGGATTAATTTAGGAAGTCTAAAAATTGATTAATATAATTCTATAAGAAGACAATGGTGAAAAATGGAAGAAAAGAAGTTATGAAGAAATAACACCAGAAAACTTTCTAGATTAGAAGTTTATAGTATCAAGGCTAAAAGTACCCACCCATTAGAAGAAAAATCAAATTAAAAAGATCTCCACCAAGGCAGGTCATCATAAAAATTTAGAATACCAAGGACAAAGATGAGATTATGAAAGCATCCAGAGAGACAAAAACATGTTACAAACTAACATGTTTTTGTCATGGGCTTCTAAATAGCAACACTGAAATCTGAAATGACGTTGGGCTTCTAAGTAGCAACACTGAAATCTGGAAAAGAGTGTGTCTGGCTACAGTGGCTCATGCTTGTAATCCCAATGCTTTGGGAGTCCAAGGTGGGAGGGTAGCTTGAGACCAGGAGTTCATGACCAACCTGAGCAATATAGCAAGACACCATCTTAAAAAAAAAAATTTAGATCAGTGTGGTGGTATGCACATAGAGTCCTAGCTACTGAGGAGACTGAGGCAGAGCCCAGGAATTCAAGGCTTCAGTGAACTGTAATTGTACCACTGCACTCCAGCCTGGGCAACAGTGTGGGACCCTGTCTCTGAAAAAGAAAAAAAATAAAATAAAAATAAAGAAGAAAGGAAAATGAACAATGTCTTCAAAATTCCAAGGAAAAGGTATTCTCAGCCTGGAATTTTAAATCCAGCCAAACTATGTGAAGTATAAATATAGGATAAAGATATTTTCAAATAAACATGAATTCAAAATGTTTATCTTCCTTGAACTTACTTTTAGGAGGCTATAAGAAAATATACAATGTCAAAATTAAGGAATTAAAAAATAAAGAAGGGAGATATAGTGCAAGAAAAAAAAATCCTACACAGGAGAGGCATGGGAATTTCCCAGAATGATAGATAAAGAGAAAACCAGATTTTTTAAATTTAAAAATTACAAATTATTAAGCACAAAAATAAAAACTTTAAAGCTTGTATTGATATTACCTCTAACACTCATTTGTACTCTCACCAGAATTAAAAATAAATGCCCACTAAGAAAACAATTATGTTATCCTTAAAAATTTTGGATGGCAATTTCAAGGTACTTTTGGGGTTCTGATGTACGGTAGGAACAATTCTAAATTGGCCCCCAAGATCTCTCCATGGTGTACATACCTTCTATAATCCTTTCCCCATGAGTGTAGGAAAGACTTGTGAACAAAATGAGATTTCACTCTTGCGATTACATTATATAGCAAAGATGAACGAATTTTACAAGTGTAAATAAAGTAACTAACTTGGAGTTAATCAATCAGAAAAGACATTTGCCTAGGTGGCTCAAATCTAATCAGGAGGGCCATTTAAAATACAGTCCAGGCACTCCCTTAAGAAAGAGATTCAAAGAAACACAGATTCTCCTGGAGTCACTTGGACACAGGGTGGGGAACATCACACACTGGGGCCTGTTGTGGGGTGGGGGACTGAGGGAGGGATAGCATTAGGAGATATACCTAATGTAAATGGCGAGTTAATGGGTGCAGCACACCAACATGGCACATGTATACATATGTAACAAACCTACACATTGTGCACATGTACCCTAGAACTTAAAGTATAATAATAATAATAATAATAATAATAATAATAAAGAAACAAACAACCATATTGCGAACTACCTTTCAAACGAAGCACATAGCAAGGCTCTGAAGTCAGCCTCCAGCACCTGAGGGCAGTCTCCAACCCACAGCCAGAAATAAAACAGGGACTTCAGGCCTACAACTACAAGGAATTGAACTCTGCCAACAACCAATAAACTAAAAAGATGATCCCAAGCTTCAAATGAGATTGTAGTTCCAACCCATAATCTGTTCAGACCCTAAGCAGACAACTCAGTAAAGCCATAACTAGACTCCAGACTCACAGAAATGCTGAGGTAATAAATACACATCATTTTAAGCCCCTAAGTTTAGGATGATCTGTTAATTGAGCCAACAGAAAACGAATTCATCATCTCAGCTGATTGAATTGGCTTAGCAACCAGAGATTTCACTTCCTTAAGATCTAGGAGTGAAGGTATTCGAGACAAATCCTCTTACTACTAGAACCACAATCTTGAGTCTCCTATAATTTCTATATTGCAGGAAATAAAATTTAAAGAATTCCTGTCCTCTATAAGTTTGAGTCACTCCACATACATATCCACACCTCTTGTTTCATTCAATTAATCTACTGCTTGGTTCCATCCTTTCTGAATTCCTTTTCTTTTTTTTTTTTTTTTGAGACAGAGTCTTGCTCTGTTGCCCAGGCTGGAGTACAGTGGTGTGATCTCGGCTCACTGCAACCTCTGCCTCCTGGGCTCAAGCAATTCTCCTGCCTTAGCCTCCCGAGCAGCTGTGATTACAGGCATTTGCCACCACACCGGGCTAATTTTTGTATTTTTAGTAGAGACAGGGTTTCACCATGTTGGCCAGGCTGGTCTTGAACTCCTAGCCTCAAGTGTGATCCACTCTCCTCACCTCTCTAACTTTTTTCTTATATTAAAGTAATATTGCCTAATTTTACATCATCATGTCTGGCTGAATATTGGATCATGAATATTTTTATAGTTTATACTACTTTGGGTCATTCTGCTAAGAAGAGGGCTAATTTAAAGCTATAAAATAGGAAGAAATAACTAATGGCGTCAAACTCAAAGAAGATCATAGTGGATAGGATCCAGAGAAGAGGTGAAAAAATTAGCATTAAACTGAATGTTGAATATGATTTCCACCAAAATGGTAGAGAAAAGAGCAGATAAATGAATTTTGTGAAGGACCCATAGCAAGGATAAGAGGATACTTGCTAAAAGATCTCTAATTTTTCTTTGAAGTTGGAGACTACTCTGGCCAATTTAAGGTGGGTTAATGAAAAGATTGGGATCTTGAAAAAAATTATAAATGGCTTTTTGGGAAAATTACAGAAAACATTAACTGGAGACACATTGAATAAAAGACAGCTAAGAGAGTCTAGTAAAATATTGGGAAATATTATATATTATTGCTTAGCTTCTATGTGGGAAGCATTTGTCTTTGCTTTATAATGTTTGGCTTGGCCCGGTGACATGCTTTGGACAATGGAATATAGGCAGAAGGGACAGTGTGTCAGTTTTCTTTGTAGGTCTTAAAGTTATGATATATTTCTATTTCATGTCTCTGGGAGTTTCTGACCCCACTGGAAGAAGAACTTGCCTCAGGTAGTTCCTGCTTCTTCAGCCTGGGCCTTAGAAGAAAAAATAGAAAATGAACCAAAGCCTAGAGCCAAGTCAGCCAGCAACCCACAGACCTTTCCAAACTGACCAGTACAAGTATCCATTGTGAACTTGCAGTAACGGCCCAGAAGCCTGTGTGAATTTTGTCTGGCAGTGATCAGTAATTCAGTAGAGGACAAGCAGAGAGGCGAATAGTTAAGTTGATCCAGGGACAGAGTTTTTCCAGGGCAAAGCTGAAAGAAAAATGGAAATTGAGGGCCATGGCAAAGAGCCATTGATAATGATGAATGTTTTGGTCTTGGCTGAATAGAAAAGGAAGTGAAAGTAGAAGGGAATTGTAGGTTAACATGGAGCCTCACACCACACAGTTTTTACTGCAGAAGAAATCTTCACTCATTATAAAGCCAACACGATTAATTTCCAGTTCCTTTCTTCTCACATTCCTTATTTTCTTCTTTGCAACCTCTATTTTCTCAATTCAAGCATTTTTTGAGTGTTTGGCATTGGGGATATAAAGAAACCAAGTGGACTTCCTTGAGCTTGAGTTTTAGGTTAGGCCAGGTAACAGGTGAAAAAGCAACCATATTCGAATGAATGTGGACTCTTGTATTTTTCACTAGATTATCGCACAATATCTATGTCTTCACAGGCCCTTCTGTAGTAAGACCCTGCTACATCCCATTAAGGAGTTGAGTCTATGGACCCTCTCCTAGAATCTGGGTGGACTTTAGATCACTTTGAGCAGTAGATTATGATGGAAATGTTTTTATGTGGCTTGGAATTCTCTCCCTCCTGACATTTTCCTTCAGAATGCTTTCTGTTGGAACCTGGCCAAGAGAAAGTTAAGAAATTACATGTAGAGTGGTTGTGGTCCACCATTGAAGGTAAGTTCAACTTCTTAGTCATTAGAGTCCAAATACCAGTTATGTAACTGAAGAAGTCTTCATAAGATTCCAGTCCCTTAGACATTTTGGTTGTCTCAGGATGGCCCCAGGCACTGTGGAACAGACCAAGCCATCTGTCCGTACCCTGACCAAATTTTTGTCCCACAGAATACATGAGTATAATAAAATGGTGATTGCTTAGCTAGTAAGATTAGGGTGGTGTTTAGCAGCCTGGAATGATATGATATATGCTGGCATAAAAGTTGGTGCAGAGTGCTCTGACAGAACTGAGAAGGCAGTGGATAGCTCTAAATGAAGAAATGGGTGTGATAATCCAAGGAGATTTAGAGAGTGAAAGAGAAAACTGGAGATCTCAGA